>NC_000004.12:177046381-177671381 GCF_000001405.40 Homo sapiens | reverse complement strand
AATAACAGTTTTTGGTGGGGAGGATGTGAAGAAATTAGAACCTTCTATGGTTTGAAGGTGTCCTCTCCAAAATTCAGGTGTTGCAACTAAGGGCCAGTGTGATAGTATTAAGAGGTAGAGCCTCAGAGAGGTGATTAGGCCAGGAGAGCTCCCTCATGAATGGAAATAAGGCTGTTACGAAGGAGGCTTTGCACAGTCCTGCTTGCTTACTTGCTCTTCTGCCTTCTGCCATGTGAGGACACAACGTCCCTCCCCCTAATAGTATGCAGCAACAAGGTGCCATCTTGGAAGCTGGGAGCTACCCTCGCCAGACACTAACCCCGTCGGCACCTTGATCGTGAACTTCCCAGCCTCCAGAACTGTGAGAAAACACATTTCTGTTCTTCATAAATTAGAACAGTCTCAGGTATTCTGTTATAGCAGCACAAACAGAATATGACAGTACCCTCAGAAACTGCTGATGGAAATGTGTCATAGTGCAGTGCTTTGGAAAACCGTTCAGCAATCTCTCATAATGTTAAACATAGAGTTTCCATATGATTCAGCAATTTCACTCCAAGGTATATACCAAAGGAAAAACATACAGCCACAAAAAATTTGAACAAGAATGTTTATAGGCCAGGCGCAATGGCTCACTCCTGTAATCCCAACACTTTGGGAGGCCGAGGCAGACGGATTACCTGAAGTCAGGAGTTCAAGACCAGCCTGGCCAATACGGTGAAACCCCATGTCTACTAAAAATACAGAAATTAGCTGGGCATTGTGGCACAGGCCTGTAGTCCTAGCTACTGAGGAGGCTGGGGCAGGAGAGTTGCTTGAACCCAAGAGGCAGAGGTTGCAGTGAGCCAGGATCGTGCCACTGCACTCCAATCTGCGTGACAGTGAGACTCCATCTGAAATAATAATAATAGTAATAATAATAATGTTTATAGCAGCATTATTTGTAACAGTCAAAAATAGAAAAACCCCAAATGTCCATCAACTGATGAACAGATAAACAATGTGATTTAATCATACAAAGGAATATTATTTGTCTATAAAAGAGTATTCAGTACTAATACATGTTACAATATGGGTGAACCTGTAGAACATCATACTAAGTGAAATTAGCCAGTCACAAAAAGTCATATATTTTATTATTCTATTTGTGAAACATCCAGAATAGGCAAATCCATAGACACAGAAAGTAGTTTAGTGGTTGCCAGGGGCTGGAAATGGCTAAAGAGAAAATGCAGAATGACTGCTAATAGGTACAGGTCATTTTTGGTGGGTGATAAAATGTCCTACCATTGATTAACAATTGCACATCTCTGTGAATATACTAAACAATTGAATTGTACACTTGAGGTAAGTAAATTTTGTGGTGTATAAACTCTATTTCAATAAAACTATTATAATAAAAAAACAAAAAGTTAATGATTACTGGCACAGACTGTGGAGTTAGACTGCCTAGTTTTGAGTTCTGGCAGCAGTACCACTTAATTAAACTTGGGTTATTTTACTTGAATTTGAACTTTCTGTGATAGCAGTGCCTGCCTTATATTGCTATTGCTTAGTCTAAATGACACTACACTTAGAAAATGCTAAGATTAGCCGGGCTCGGTGGCTCACGCCTATGATCCCAGCACTTTGGGACCCTAAGGCGGGTTGATCACAAGGTCAGGAGTTCAAGACCAGCTTGGCCAAGATGGTGAAACCTCATCTCTACTAAAAATACAAAAAAATTAGCCTGGCATGGTGGCGGGCGACTGTAATCCCAGCTACTCGGGAGGCTGAAGCAGAGAATTGCTTGAACCTGGGAGGTGGATGTTGCAGTGAGCCACTGCACTCCAGCCTAGGCAACAGAGCGAGGTTCCATCTCAAAAAAAAAAGAAACTGCTAAGATGAAGTCTAGCAAAGTGTAAGCACTAAATAAGTGTTAGCAGTTACTACGACCCACCTCAGCACCCACGTAACACATGACTATACCAGTTTCACCTGGAGCTTGCCAATATGAAAAATGCCATTTTTGAAAGTTGCTAATCATTTTTAAATAACATTTTGTCATTTCTTATACGCAAATACATAAATTCATCTAAGTTCAGAAAAAAAACAGAAAGAGAAAAACATAAAATGTCTAGGTATAATCTTCAAGCTATGTGCATATATAAATAAAACCCTGAAACTTTTCCTCAGAGATAATAAGTAAGTCTAAGTAAGTCTTTGATAAATGGAGAGATTTACCATGAGTCTGGATGAGGAGATCAACTACTGTGGTTCTTTTTTAAATAGTTTATATTTCCAACACAATAACAAATTATTTATTTCTCATCTTTTTTAAAAAACTATAAACTTCATCTGGAAAAATAAAGAGGCAATAATAGCTAAGATTTTTGGAAAAGAAAGAGTAATGAGAAGTGACATGACTTTCTGGATATTAAAATAAATTATAAGCTATAAAATAATTAAAATTGGGCTATATAAAACAACACAGTATAATCAATCAGTATAATAACAACCTCTTACAATATCATATTTAACAGGCAAATTCATGGAATATAGTAAACTTCCATAAAATAGACTCTAATGGTTATAAACATTGATTTCATGCTGAAAGAACTATCATGAACCAATGGAGAAGGAACATAGTAATCAGTAGTGTTAATGCCATAAACCAAAATCAGTTTCAAATAGACAAAAAAGTGAATATTTAAATAAATTATTTAAAAAATAAAGAAATATTTATTGCTAAATTGGAAGCAATTTGTTAATTATTTAAAAAACGAAAGCAATTATTAAAGAAAATGTTGATAGATCTGAATGAAAAATAACTAAACCTTCTTAATGTCAAAAAGAACATAAATTAACATTTTTTTTTAATTGGAAGGTTATTTTTCAATGCCAAGTTTAATATTGTATTCTCTCTCTCATATACAGACACATAAGCACACACACACATACACTCTCTTAAAATAAATGTGAAAAATAGGGAAATCTAATAATGAATAAGCAATTAAACAAAAAAATTGTTTAATGAATATATTTAATACTGTATTTCTGTAGTTGTTGCAGCAAATGAAGAAACTGATGCTTTAACATATGGAAAATAACTTTTAAATATGATTTTGTGTTGAAAAGTTGGTACAGAATATAAATTCGTTTGAACATCTGGAAAGCATTCAACAGTTTGTATCAAAATACTTACAAATCCCTATATAATTTAACTTAATTATTCTTATTCCTAAGTATATCATCACACATTTAAACATAAAAATATGTTAAAAAATCTTCATCATAATCTTGTGTATAGAAGATAATGTAAATAAGTCAAAATTTCAATAATCAAAAAATAATTATGGCACATCTATACAAAAGACTATTTTAGGCAGTATAAACAGATGTTTGAAGGATTTTAATGACATGAGACAATTTTTACAATATAATATCAAGCTAGAAAATCACTCTTTTCTCTTTTTGAGACAGAGTCTCCCTCTGTCGCCCCGGCTCTGTCTCCCTCTGTCGTTCCCTCTGTGCAGTGGCACGATCTCCTCTCACTGCAACCTCTGCCTCCGGATTCAAGTGATTCTCCTTCCTCAGCCTCCCAAGTAGCTGGGATTACAGGCACTTGCCACCATGCCCAGCTGATTTTTGCATTTTTAGCAGAGACAGGGTTTTGCCATGTTGCCTAGGCTGGTCTCTTTAACTCCTGAGATGAAGCAATCCAGCTGCCTTGGCCTCCCAAAGTGCTGGGATTACAGGCATGAGCCACCACGGCTGGCCTGAAAATAACCATTTTAATTGTACTTAGAGTTTAATCACAATTTGGGCATAGAAAAAATAGTGACAGGAAATATATATAATGCAAATATGCTATGATGGCTATACTTGGTGAGTATAAAGTTTTTTTTGTTTTTTTGTTTTTTTACTTAATTTGTTCTCCATTTTCTAAAATCGGCCTCTATTCCTGTAATAAGCATGTACACCATAGCTGAATGTGCATTCTCTCAATATGTCTTATGCAATTGCTTCAATCATGTTTTCTTATTTTCTGCTAGTTTACAATTATTAAAATGTGACTCTGGGATGCAGGCTTACTTTAAATTTTATTTAAATGGCAAAGCAAGTATTTTGCCACTACCAATATTACAATAAAATTGGTATTTTGTGTTAGAGTATCTATTATCAAAATGGATGTTCTGTGATTTATAAAATAATTTTAAAGGCATTAGTACATTCAAATATTTAAAGTATTTTCATAGTTCATTTCTTCCTCCAACTCTGTTAAGTAATAAATGTTCAAAATAACAAGTCTAAACAAAATATGATTTACTCTTTTAAACTTCACACCTCTATATGTCACCAATTTATTGGGATACTGAGAGACAGGACTAGCCGACTAAGAATTCCTAAGCCTAGCTAGGGAAGGTGACCGCACCCTCCTTTAAACACGGGACTTGTAACTCAGCTCACACCTGACCAATCAGGTAGTAAAGAGGGCTCACTAAAATACCAATTAGGCTAAAAGCAGGAGGTAAAGAAATAGTCAAATCATCTATCATCTGAGAGCACGGGGGAGGGACAATGATTGGGATATAAACCCCAGGCATTCGAGCCGGAAGTGGGCAACCCCTTTGGGTCCCCTCCCCTTGTGTGGGAGCTCTGTTTTCACTCTTTTAAATCTTGTAACTGCATGCTTCTCTGGTCTGTGTTCCTGCTGGAGCTGAGCCTTCCCTCACTGTCCACCACTGCTGTTTGCAGCCATCACAGACCCGCCATTGACTTCCACCCCTCCAGACCCAGCAGGGTGTCTGCTGTGTTTCTGATCCAGTGAGGCACCCATTGCCCCTCCCATTTGGGCTAGAGGCTTGCCATTGTTCCTGCATGGCTAAGCACCCGGGTTCGTCCTATTCGAGCTGAACACTAGTCGCTGGGTTCCACAGTTCTCCTCTGTGACCCTTAGTTTCTAATAGAGCTATAACAGTCACCGCATGGCCCAAGGTTCCATTCCTTGGAATCTGTGAGGCCAAGAACCTCAGGTCAGAGAACAAAAGGCTTGCCACCAACTTGGGAGCAGCCCACCACCATCTTGGGAGCGGACTACCACCATCTTGGGAGCTCTAAGAACAAAGACCCACCCATAACAATACGTTCAGTAAATTAATGCAAATTTGAATTACAAATGAAACTTAGGAGTTTAAAATAACATTTAAATTACAGACATACAGATCTACACAAGACAAAACCACTTTATAAGTAGCAAAATAGGTGAATGTAATACTAATCAATTTGCTTACATTCAAATGCAAATTAAAACTGAAGAGTTTCTGCACATCACTGTTTTTGCTTTATCTAACAAAGATCAGACTGATAAGAAATAAGCATCATTCTTTTGATACATGATACTACTTTTGAAAAACAAATATTGCAATAGTAAATTATATAGAACACTTTGGTGAAATCATTTGTGAGGTTATTATCTCTCCTGTTCCTGCATGCCCTTTTTCCTCAAAAATCCAAATATTTTACTCTTTGGTCAAGTTCACACATTAAAATGAGGGTAATCATTCAGTTCAAACCTGCCCCCCTTCTCCTCAGCTATTAACTCTTTTCCTTCTAATGCTTTAGCGTGCATAATAATAGCAAAATGGATTGAAAGAGCATCAACTGCCTCTTCTAATCTAAATTTAAGTACCCTGATTGCAGGTTAGAAGCTTTCCTTTGATATTTTTTAAGAATCTGTTTCATGGAAGTAAATTTTTAAGCACAATTTTTTATGCATCACAGTCTTTTGAAAGATTGATTCAACAGACCTTCACATTTCTTTATTCTCATCTATGCTAGTTTAGAAATTGGCTGTTTAATTTTTTTTAATTTACAGTATATATTGGTACAAGTTAGATTGGTTTGCACATCTCATTTTTATTCCAAATCTATTTCCCCTGAGTAGTCAAAACTACTGGAGTAAAACATTTATTACTCTCTATTTTTGTTAGCTCTCAATCCTGTAGTTATGCATCAGTTCTCTGAATTTCTCTCATTAAGATTAATACACATGTATGTTTTCATCTTATAATTATGTTTCATGTCATATCCTATTGGAATAGCTAGGGTGATATTCATAAATCAATTCATCTTTGCAGTGCTTTTGCTCCCCTCTTTGTTTTTCTCTCTTTCTCTTAACTCAGCATCTTCAAAATGCAGAAATGATTAGATTTTCATTAATTCTGTTAAATAGGTTCGTACACATTACAGTGAGCAGCCATCACTTAGAAAATGTCAATAACCTTAGAAGTCAAATCATGCTGATTCGCTTCCAGTGAAGCATGGAAAAAACTATTACCCCGGATTTATTAGCTATGCATATTGGGAACACTCAAAAACAATTAAGCTTTTGAATGTGGACAAGAGTCATGGAGTACAGAAAGCGCACTATGTTGAAAGTAGAAGCTACTGCTTCTAAACATGGCTCTGATCAGCTTTGTCAGCCTTGATAGGTCAGTAACATTCCCTGGACCTCCGTTTCATCTGTTAAAACAATATTTGGTTCCAACTTCACACTTTTAAAACTATTGTTAAAGAAATATACTTAAAAACGAACTCTTCTGCCAACCCAGAAAATTGCTCCAATAAGATAGAAAAGAAAAAATAATTTCATTATTGAATAGCATTAAACCAGGACATGATGTGCATCACAATAATTGCTAAGAGATTGCAAAAACAGAAAGAAATCTCATTTTATATAGCCAAGCAGATACAACCCATTACATATATGTTCCCAAGATAAACAATAACTAGTCCTCAAATCAAAGGACTTCACAGCACCACTGTGACATATGTGACAACACATAGTTCATCCTGGATTCTTGGTCATTGGGCTGGCCATCTGTGTTTCCTTTGGCTTTATCCAAAGGAAAAACAAACTTCTCATATCTTTATGAAAAGCAGTAGTTTTGCAACTTGGAGTGAGATGCCTACCAATGTCAGGTTCCTACCCTCCCACAGAAATTGGGAGGTCGGTGTACTTTTGTAATTGGGGACCTCAGTTTTAAAAATGCATTTTTAAATCACTTACTCTCTTTTTCTTCCTTTCCTTCCCTCACCCCTTCATTCCTTACCTCTCTAGACACTCCCCTACCCCCCCGCCCCAGCAATGCACACTCACTTAATTATTTTCTTCCTTAAGAAACTCAAAAGACTAATCTTTTGAAACAAGGCATGGAGCCCTAATGGTAGAATTCTCTTTAGGAGGAATTGTGAACTATCAATCCACCATCATTGGGCTAAAGTCAAGATAATGCCAACCAGATCTTCAGATGGGCGAGTACCCAAGATAGCCAGCAGAAAAAGACACTCGGACCTTACACTCTGCACCAGTCCTGCATGTCTCCCATATCAAGTTTCCCTTTTAAAACCTTATGATAAACTTTAAAATTTGAGATGGTCTTTATGACTTGAGTTCAGCATCTTCACAAGCCCTCTGGCACTTGATTCAATCCGATTTTTCCTTCCACCAAACCTTGTCTCTCAAGACTGGCTTTTGGGTAGTGGACTGCTGGACTTAGGTCCAGTTACACTTTTTTCCTTGAGGATGATTACATTTTCAAGAGATGGTTCTCAGATCCTCAAGCAAAACATTCCTGGGTCCTGAAGCTTCCAGAGATTCTTTAGCTTTTTAAGATTGAAATATATTTTTAAAGACAGAGAAAGAATAAACAAGTGGTCTAAATTAAATTATCTGAGAAAAGAGAGTGGGAAGAAGTCTTTTTCCTTATTTTCAACAGAAAGAATTAAGTCTCTTATTTTTAATTTGAATTTATCCTTACACTATAAAATCTCAACATTGCAAATAAGCACACATCAGTCTAAGCAAGGAGAGGAATTGCTCCTTGAATCAGTAAATACACAGATGTTTATTTCAAAAAAAAAAGTTATCTTACAGAGAGTATATCACCATTCAGAAGGGTGTTCTGAATATCACTTAAGAATGTGAGTAGGAAATCATGTACCAGATAATATAATTAATTTTGAATAATTTCTTGATATTTTGTAAGTGGAGTTATGCTTAAAATTTCCTCTCAGGGTCCCTGGGAAGGGATAAAGCACGACTTTGGAGCAGCATGCTGGCAAACGGAGCGTTCAGTGCAGATTAGACCTCCAAATGCCGGGGGCCGGGGGTCGGCCCTCAGACTACTTTTATTCTCTAACTAGACTCTCTCCAGGATCCAGGTTTTAAATGTTTTCTATATTTTGATGATTCCCAAATTTACATCTCTGACCCCAATTTCTACCCTGTGAAGTCTCCTAAATCCAACTACCTGAACAATTTTTCTTGTTGGGAATTGGCCCCCATGTCTGGCCATAAACTAGCCATAAACAAAATCTCTGTAGCACTGTGACATGTTTGTGATGGCCATGACACCCACGCTGGAAGGTTGTGGGTTTACTGGAATGATGGCAAGGAATACCTGGCCCACCCAGGGTGGAAAACCGCTTAAAGGAGTTCCTGAACCACAAACAATAGCATGAGCGATCTGTGCCTTAAGGACATGTTCCTGCTGCAGATAACTAGCCAGACCCAACCCTTTATTTCGGCCCATCCCTTTGTTTCCCGTAAGGAATACTTTCAGTTACTCTATAATCTATAGAAACAATGCTTATCACTGGCTTGCTGTCAATAAATATGTGGGTAAATCTCTGTTCAGGGCTCTCAGCTCTGAAGGCTGTGAGACCCCTGATTTCCCACTCCACACTCTATATTTCTGTGTGTATGTCTTTAATTCCTCGGTTTCCATGACCGAGCTGGTCTCAGCAATTTTTACTCTTTAATGTGCAAAGGAAAACACCTCAGTCTCTTCCACTCCCTTTCTAAGGAGCATATGCATCCTAGGAAGCAGCACCACCACTCTCCCAGCTACACAGAACACAGGCTTATGAATCCAACCTCCCTATCCAACTCATCAGTGACTTTTATTAGGTTGGTGCAAAAGTAATTGCAGTTTTTGCTATTGAAAGTAATGGCAAAACCTTAATAGCTTTAATCTACATTGAAAATATAACTGAAATACAGTCACTTCTCATTGACTCGCCACTACCACTCAGATCCAAGCTGCCATCATCTCTTCACAAAATCACCCACACTTCACAATATCAGGGTGACCTTTTAAAAACGTAAATCAGATTCTGTCACTCCCCTGCTCAAGATCATTGGATTAGTCTGTTCTCACGCTGCTAATAAAGACATACCGAGCGACTGGATAATTTATAAAGAAAAAAAGATTCCATGGACTCACAATTCCACATGGCTGGGAAGTCCTCACAATCATGGCAGAAGGTGAATGAGGAGCAAAGTCACGTCTTACATGGCAGCAGGCAAGAGTGTGTTCAGGGGAACTGCCCTTTATAAAACCATCAGGATCTTATGAGACTTATTCACTATCACGAGAACAGAACAGGAAAAACCAACTCCCATGATTCAATTACCTCCCACCACTAGGTCCCTCCCACGACATGTGAGGATTGTGGGAACTACAATTCAAAATGAGATTTGGATGGGGACACAGCCAAACCATATCAATCATCTAATAGCTTCCCATCACGCAGGACAAAAAACAAAGTTCTTACTAAGTGAAATAAACCAGTCACAAAAAGACAAATACCGTGTGATTCACGTGAGCTATCTAATGTAGTTAAATGCTTAAAAACAGAAAGGAAATTGGTTGTGACCAGGGGAAAAGGGGGAGTTGTTTCACAAAGTGAAAAAGTTCCAGAGATCTATTTCACAGCAACGTGAATGTATTTAACACAGCTGAACTATGCACCTAAAAATGCTTAAGACTGTAAATTATATGTTATCTGCTTTTTACCACAATTGTAAAATAAGCTTTCACTGGGGTCTATAATGTTCTAAGGACATGTATATCTGTGTTTAAGAGAAAAACCTCTGGAATGGTGATGGGACAGAAAAAAACAAAACGTGCTAGAGTAAGAGTCTGGTAATAGCAGATCAATGATGAAAGGTCCAGTGTAGTGACAAGGTCATCAGGAGGTGGGTGAGAGGGAGAAAGAGTAGAGTAAGAACAGGAGGGGCCGCTCTAATTCTCGAGTAGCCAGTGGTAATTTTAAAGCTCCATAGGCTTTTAATTAATCATAGATCTTCATTAATAATGCTGGTAGTATTTAGTTAGATCTATGTTCCTTCTAAAATCTTAAGAAAAAAAATGAACCTATTACTCACCTTTCATTGACGAAACCACAGATTTATTTGGAAGAACAATGTGATAATGCACAGTAATGTGTCATTTAGACAGAAAATGCTACTCAGCCCCTGAGGCAGTATATAGTAACTTGTTTCTAAGATTTGTTTTATTTTCCACAATATTCAGGAGCTTTCTTCTCAAGAAAAAGATGAGCTATTGTTCAGTCAATAAAGTATAGAAGTATACTCTTAATAAATGTTGATTTCTTATAAAGTTTTTAAAATACAGCTATTTTGTTCTTTTTGTGTGTGTGTGCAATTGTATACAAGGCAATTTTTGTGCCTGTTCTATGCTGTCACTTTAGTGATCTTTCTACTCCTTTTAAGAGCTGCACAGAACCTCTGAAGAAAGAAGTCACTCACAGAAGACTGCTTAACATATGTAAAGAAACATATTTAGTTTAAGTTGAGATAAATTTGATTTAAACCACATCACTACAACCCCAACATGTACACCTCAATACTCAACCATGCCTGCAGAAAGAAAAACACGCTAGTAGAAAGAAATGCTTCATTACATGTTTTGCCTACTTTAAGGTGCTGACTATTTAATAATTCTGCTGCCTCAGAACTAGGTTAACTACTTAAAGTTGTGTAAATGTTACTGATTATTTCTGTTGCTTTTTCATACAATTAACATAAACTTGATCTATGTTGGTAATTTTAAAAAACACACACACAAAGGGTCTTAGGCAGCACTAAAAATGCTGATCTGCAATTTGCTCCCAGGAATGCAGAAGCTCATTCTCACATACCCTGAGGGTGAGCAAGTTTAGTATATTTTAATAAATTCACAAGTTAAATTCTATAAAAGAGAACCATTAGAAATTAATGTTAAACTCTGAACAGGCTTGGATATACCATGTTAGATCATAAAAGTGATATGCAAATGCTTATTTTTAGCAAAACCCCAGCGTCATAGTTTATAGAATTATTTTCAAATTATAGGCATCTGAAAGAAGTACTCACAAAACTACTCAATTTACAGTTGACCTGGAAACAAAGAATAAGAATATGAAATTTCTAAAGTCTGTAATGTAAGGTGTAGTTCTTAAAACTAATTATACGGAAAATCATCTAAGAAGGGGCTAAAATATAGCAATGACTGTGACTGGCTCCCAGAAACTCTTATTTAATTGTTCTGAGACAGGGCCACTGAGTCTACAAGGTCTTTTATCTTGGATAAAATCATTGAAGAGGATGATGCTTATGACTTCAGTACAGATTATGTGTAACAGAACAATGGCTTTTTATGATTTTTTTTTAACATTTTAAGCAGACTGCTAAACTGTTCTCTGTATAAGTTATGGTATGCATGAGCTGTGTAAATTTTGTGAATATGTATTATATTAAAACCAGGCAACTTGGAATCCCTAAATTCTGTAAAAAGACAATTCATCTCATTGTGAGTGGAAGTAGTTATCTGGAATAAAAAAAGAAGATACCTATTGAGAATGACTCGATTATGATTACATTGTAAGGCCAGAATACTCAGACTTTAGTGTTATATACCTATCCTTCCCCAACCAACACACAAAAAACACACTAAGGACAGAAAATACCTCAGGTATTACACTATTTTTCCAGTATCTTATAATAATATTGTCTAACCAGAGTCCTTTATAACTTCAGTTATAAAAAGCATTGGGATTTGACAAATGAATACTCTGGAGGAAGGGGGAAAGAGTTGGAACTAAAAGGAGAAGGCACAAATTCTGGGATAAAATATTGAAAAAATTTGATGTCAAACAGATTCTTCTAGACATTTCCCAATGGATGAGACCATTTTTCCAGCTCCAGTTATGGTGATAATTCTCTGCAATCTCCAGTAACAAGGATGGTAGTCAGGAGACAAGCCCTTTGCCTTTCTCCCTACAAACTGTTTTGTTTTTGTCCCTGAATGAAATGAACTCCAAGTTGTGCTAATTTCAGATGGACACTTAGAAATAGAAACAAAAATGAATTCACTTAATTCTTGAGGTAAAGTGGGAAAAGATATACTTTAGATACACTATAACGGAATTATGAACAGAATAAGATATAAGCATATATTAGCAATATTGCAGTTTCTGTTCTGGATTGCCACAATAAAGCAAATATCATAATAAAGTGAGTCACACAAAATTTTGGTTTCCCAGTGTATATATGTAACTAAATCTCAGGTTCAGTGACTGGCTGCTTGCAGTCCAATTAGCAAGAGTGAGGTCTGATATAAAGAAAGTGACTGGTTTTATGGTTTGGTTTTTTTTTTTTTTTTTTTGACAGAGTCTCACTCTGTCGCCCAGGCTGGAGTCCAGTGGCGTAAACTCAGCTCACTGTAACCTTTGCCTCCCAGGTTCAAGTAATTCTCATGCTTCAGCCTCCCAAGTAGCTGGGACTACAGGCATACCCCACCATGCCCGGCTAATTTTTGTATTTTTTAGGAGGGACAGGGCTTCACCATGCTGGCCAAGCTGGTCTTGAGCTTCTGACCTCCAGTGATCCACCTACCTAGACCTCCCAAAGTGCTGGGATTACAGGCATCTGACCAAAAGCGACTTTTTATCTCAAAGTTTAGCTTAAAGGAAGAGGGACAGGCTCCTGCCTTTGAGGGTGCTACTTCTCCTTTGGGACAGAACGCAGGGGCTTTAAAAGCAGGAGTTGGTGAACAGCATGCAGGGGAGGCAGTGAGCAGGTGGGGATCTATGTGACTCACTTCAGTGCCTTCTCTCCTGGGTGGTCGAGTTGGCACCATTAGGGGAAGAACTAGGCTATAAAGTGGACATTGTATGAGATATTTTCCAGGTGGGACAGAGTTTTCTCTGGTGGGCATATGTTAGGTTTTTGTATTAGTCCATCCTCGTGCTGCTAATAAAGACGTACCCAAGACTGGGTAATTTATGAAGGAAAGAGGTTTAATGGACTCACAGTTCCACATGGCTGGGGAGGCCTCACCATCATAATGGAAGGTGAAGGAAGAACAAAGGCACATCTTACATGGTGGCAGGCAAGAGAGTGTGTGCAGGGGAACTCCCATTTATAAAACCATCGGATCTCATGAGACTTATTCACTACAAGAACAGTATGGGGGAAACTGCCCCCAAGATTCAGTTACCTCCACCTGGTCCTGCCCTTGACACATGGGGATTATTACAATTCAAGGTGAGCTTTGTGTGGGGACACAGCCAAACCACATCAGTTGTAAATTGACTGTTGTCTCTTGAGGCAATCTCCTGGTGGGAAAGAGCTCTTGCTCTGGAGCTTCTAAGTAAGTACATAGTTAGATAAGCTTGTCCTGTAGTAAGTGTCTTGTGAAGAGAAGGTAAAGGTTATAACTGTATTTCTAAAGAGCGAAATAGGAAGTAGGGAACAGGGGAAAAGGAGAAAAGAGAAAAGAAGAAGAATATAATGAAAAACACATTTCTCTTAGAAAAAAATGGGGTACTCAGTTAATATATAGGAGTTAAATTTATAGAATACTGTGGTCTGTTAATTATGCCATAGCATTATGTCTAAAAAACAATGTACGTGCCTTAATTTTAAGATGGTTTATTGGTAAAAAATGCTAATGATCATCTGAGCCTTCAGCAAGTCGTAATGTTTTTGCTGGTGGGAGGTCTTGCCTCAATGTTGGTAGCTACTGACTGATCAGAGTGGTGATTACTGAAGATTGGGGTGACTGTGGCAATTTCTTAAAATAAGACAAAAATAAACTTTGCTGCATCAGTTGACCCTTTATTTAATGAAAGATTTTTCAGTAGCATGTGATGCCGTTTGATAGCATTTTACCCACAGTAGAAGTTCTTTCCAAATTGGAGTCAGTCTTTTCAATCCCAGTCATGGCTTTATCAACTTTATGAAATATTCTAAATTCTTTGTTGTCATTAAAAAAAAAAAAGCCCACTGCATCTTCACCAGGGGTGAATTTCATCTCAAGAAACCACTTTCTTTGCTCATCCATAAAAAGCAGCTCCTCATTTATGTAAGTATTATTTTGAGATTTCAGCAATTCAGTCACATCTTCAGGCTCCATTTCTACCTCTAATTCTCTTGCTATTTTTCCACCACATCTGCTGTGACTAATTCCACTGAAGTCTTGAAACACTCAAAGTCATCCCTGAGGATTGGAATCAACTTCTTACAAACTCTTATTAATGTTCATATTTTGGCCTCCTCTCATGAATCATGAGTGTTTTTAATGACATCTAGAACAGTCAATCCTTTCCAGAAGGTTTTTCAACTAACTTTTTGCAGATTTATCAGAGGAATCACTGTGAAAGCTACAGACTTATAGAATGCACTTCTTAAGTAAAAAGACTTGAAAGTCAAAGTTACTCCTTGATTCATGGGCTACAGAATGGATGCTGTGTTAGCAGGCATGAAAACAACATTAATCCCCTCATACATCTCTATCAGAGCTTTTGAGCGACCAAGTGCATTCTCAATGAACAGTAATATTTTGAAAGGAATTTTTTTGAGCAGTAGGTCTCAACAGGTGTTCTAAAACTGATCATAACCTCACACTTACTATCTCAATAATGGAACCCACTCTACACACAATATATTCATCTACTCATTCTTTTATTCAAATTTATTTAAAATACATACTCTAACAACTTGCAGAATGGAAGAAAATATTTGCAAACTATGCATCTGTCAGGGGACTTATATTCAGAATTTACAAGGAACTCAAGCAATTCAACAACAACAAAAACGTAACACTATTAAAAAGTGAGCAAAAGATATGAAGACATTTTTCAAAAGAATACATACAAATTGCCAACAAGCTTATGAAAAAATACTTATCACTAATCATCAGAGACACGCAAACCCACAGTGAAATATAATCTTACGTCAATCTCCACATGGCCATTATTAAAAAGTCTCAACATAACAGATGTTGGCAAGGATGTATAGAAAAGGGTGCACTTATATACTATTGGTGGAAATGTAAATTAGTACAACCTCTATGGAAAACAATATGGAGATTTGTCAAAGAACTAAAAATAGAACTACCATTCAGTACAACTATCTTACTACTGGATATCTACCCAAAGGAAAATAGTTTATTATATCAAAAAGATTACCTGTACTCAGATGTTTATTGCAGAACTAGTCACAGTAACAAAGATGTGGAATCAATCTAAGTGTTCATGAAAGGATGATTGGATGAAGACAATGTGGAATATATACATCATGAATTACTATGCAGCTATAAAAAAGAATGAAATAATGTATATTGCAGCCACATGAATGGAGCTGGAGGCTGTTATCTTAAGTGAAACAACTCAGAAATAGAAATTCAAATACCACATATTCTTACTTATAAATGGGAGATAACTAATGTACACACATGGACATAGAGTGTGGAATAATAGACATTGGAGACTGAGAAAGGTAGGAGGGGGAAAGGGGGGTGGGTAAAGGATGAGAAATTACTTAATAGGCACAACACACATTATTCAGGTAATGGTTACACTGAAAGCTTAGATTTCCCCATGGTGCAATATATCCATGCAACAAAACTCTACTTGTACCCTTTAAATTTATACACATTTTTAAAAGTGTATTCTATTTGTAGTGCACAAAATATGGTATATATTAATTATGCTTTATTAATTTCATTGCTCAAATCCTTTATTTGTCATATTTTATATATTTCATAGTATTTTAATTAGTGATGTACTAATAGCTCTTCCAGTAATTGTGTGTTATCTATTTATTTTAGATTTTTGATGGTTTTTGTCATAAACATTTTGCTGCTCTATTATTTGTCACAGTTTTATGATGGGATTGTCTTCATTATGAATTGTATCTGAAGGAACTAAGGCCCATAAAAGAGCTTCATGATCCCTTCCATACAGAGCCAAAGAGTGAGTGATTATTATTAACTTTTAGCAACAAAAAATTACTATCCTTGGTCCATTTTATTTAATAAGCATCTGTTCCATGCGCTTGTCACTGTGTTTGGCCCTGATGATAATCTCTATTCCCAAGGTTCACATTTTAATGAGACTCATTAATATTACAGCCTTACTGTGGAATGTACCTTTTCTCAATATAAATATAATATCAATATATTACTTTTTATTCTTTCAAATTCTATTTTGTCCATCACTAATAAAATTGAGGTGTATCTTTCCTTTTCTTTGTCTAATAAGCTTTTGCCCATTCTTTCAACACTTTAAGTGTAACTATGCTTTAAGTTTTTCCATTATGGGCAATATATAATTGAATTTCCTTTAGTTTTTGTTTATAATACAATCTCAGAGCATTTTGTTACAATAGGGGACTTTATCAATTAACATTTAGAGCAATAACTGATGACCTTGGTTATATTTCTGTTTTCTTGTTTTATGTTTTTTATCAGGCTTCCTAATTGTTTCATTTATTTTCAGTCTATAATTATGTGTACTAAGCTATTATTACATCCATTATCTGCAATGACTTGAAAGTCAAACTTTAAAAAATTCCAGTGTTATTTGTCTGTAAGTTTTTTCAAAACCTACATGAATTTACTTCTCCTAATACGAAAGTTAAACAAACACACCAAAATATTGACCTTCTTTTCCTTCTTGCTGGAGGGAAAAATATCTTTTATTTTTCTTCATCTCACCCACTTCTATTTTTCATGAATTCAATCTTGAAATATCAAACTAAACAATCATTATTGTATTTTAAGGAATCATAAATATTCCCCTTTTGTTTTATGCAGTCAAATGAGAACAGAAGAGGATTGGATTTGTCATTTCATGTTACTATTTCAGTGCTCATGAGTAGTTCTTTCAAACTGAAGTACGTGTTTTTGAATTATTCAGTTGTATTTATCTCTAAGCCAGTTTCTCAGTAGGAGTAAGTCTTGGAATCAGTCACTCTACTGCCGCTACCCCAGCATCCTGGAAGCCATTAGATTTCTGAGAAAGTTATTTTTTCTGTTGTTGCATTTACAATAAACATCAACTTGCTTCACTGTCAACATTTTGATTAAAAACTGTTTTCTCTCAATATGTTATCATTGGTTATTGTTCCATTGTCTTCTGGAATTTTATGTTATAGAAGACTATTATTATAAATTTTTTAAAGTAACCAGAGTTTTCTTATTGTTACTTTTCTGCTTGAGAGCCAATAGGATTTTTTTCTTTTTCTTGAGATTGAAGACACCACTAATCTATCTCTAGGTAAGGGTCTCTTCTTAAATTTTGCCTAGAAAACAGCAATCCCTTTTTCCCTTGAGATTTTATTTTTACTTTATTACAGTTATCTTTATTCATATTTAACATTTGTTTGGTATCTCTTTACTGATTTTTGAATTAGGATTTTTTTTTTAGATCTGACTTTTGCCAGCAAAATAATGTTAATTTTTTTCTAATTGCCCACTCCTAATTCTCAACTCCATGTAATAACTGGAAAAGTTTTTTCTCAAATCTAAAGCCAGAAGTAAATTGTTGCACTACTATCTTTAATCCTGTATCCAATAATTACCTCAGGATCATTCTACAGTGACTATATTGTACTATTGACCTTTGTCTAATTCTAAGACTTTAAAACAGGAATAAGTGCAAAATAAAATCAGTGGTCCCCAAACTCTTTTAATCACAATTCTCTATCAGGGAAAAAAAAAAAACACCATACATAGGAGGTAGTATATTAATATGATTAATATGTTACTCTGTTCATTTCCCATTTCACAAGAGATTTTGTGAGTGCCTGCATGTTTTTTAGTTTATGCATTCACTTTAACCCCAGCTAGACAGTAGATAAGTAAAAATCTGGTGTCTATCTTATTTCCCTCAAGGTAGGCATAGCCAAGGGTCATGTTATTCCAGCCCCACCCATTTTTCAGTTAATTCTTGCATGGGTTGATGACTATTTTTTAGTTTTTATTTTTTTATTTTTTTTTGAGACGGAGTCTCGCTCTGTCGCCCAGGCTAGAGTGCAGTGGTGCCATCTTGACTCACTGCAAGCTCCACCTCCCAGGTTCACGCCATTCTCCTGCCTCAGCCTCCTGAGTAGCTGGGACTACAGGCGCCCACCACCAAGCCTGGCTAATTTCTTTTTGCATTTTTAGTAGAGACGGTGTTTCACCGTGTTAGCCAGGATGGTCTCCTGACCTTGTGATCCACCCACCTCGGCCTCCCAGAGTGCTGGGATTACGGGCGTGAGCCACCGCGCCCGGCCTTGATGACTATTTTTAAGTTTCATTGTCAAGGTGTATTTTCATCACTTCTGTGTGTAATGGAACAGAAGAGAATCATGAGTTTTGCTTGAACATGATATCTGGACTATCATATATGAATATTTCAAATGTCAACCTCTAGAACAAATATCTGATTATGTCATCCCCCCAGTACAAATCCTTTAGCGACGCAAATCACCTACAGAATATAATTCAAACTCCTCAGTGGGGAAAGCATGGTCATTCATGATCCGGCTTCTGCCCTCCATTTCAGCATCATCTCTGACCACTGCACCAGACATACCCTGGCATCTTATACTTAGAAACGAATTTACTCCCGCAAACACAATTTGCTCTTATACCATTATGTCTTGGCATGTATTGTTTCTTCCCTAAGAAATGAAGAGTGTCAGCTTCTCTCCACTGTTGTCTGCTTGACCAATAAGAAGTTGCTGTTCAAGAGAGCCAATATGTTCGTCATCATCAGAAATGGGCTCTCAGCCTACTACATATATGAATTAAGATATGTGTATATATGTATACATACATATGATTATATTATGTACAATACAATAGGGCTTTAAAGGAAGAAAAATAACACTTGGACAGTTTTCTCCCTCTCATAACGGTGCTATGTATGTATCTATTTTTCTGTCTGTCTGTTTCCTTGTTCTTTCTCTGTAGACTGGTTTCTTTACTTACCATCTGCTTGGTGTATTATCCTAATTTGCATCTTCCAGTCTCCATATCCCAAATATAAATTGATAAACCTGGAAGAGGCAATCTTATTTGTGTTCACCCATAACACATATATTAGATAACAATATTCCAGATAATTGACACATTGAACAAGTTCCATTAAAAACAAATATCTAGTTTTGATATTTTCTGAATAACATGTTATGATAGTTTCTTACCAACGTTAGAAGTCAGCCTGTTACTAAAAGGAGTTCTAAGTAATTTAAGTAAACTATAGCCAGAGGAGGGGAAAAAATAATTATCTAAAGGAAGAGTCATAACTTTGTTCTAGTAATTCAGTAACTTGATGGAGAGTATATAAAATCATTCATAATGAAAATTACCATTTCTCCAATATTTGGAAATAATGCTACACATTTGATTAAATATATAGCTTCTCTGTGATATTAGCTTGTAATTATATGCTGCTTATAGAATGTCAGGTACCATTTTAAGAGATTTACAATTAATATTCACAACAACTCTAGAAAACAGACACCATTATTCTCACTTTTTATATGAAGTAACTAAGACATAGAGAATTCAAATAATGGACTTGAGCTCACATCTCTAATATACAGTGATTGGGCTCATAACTACAATGCCATAAATACTGCCCATTCAAGGTTTATAAGTGTCCTCATGAATCAGTTTATGATTAATATCTAAAATAAAATTATACATTGTACTTATGAATATTTTAAATTATAAAAGCCAAGTGGTATTTTCCAACTAGTAGCTGAATGCTGAATTTCAATCATCTTATTTCTGTGACAAAAAACATGATTATTTGTAGTAGCTCAGTAATTATAAAAGCTTCATCCACACTGCTGTCATGTAAGTGAAAATTGGAAATTACTGAGCAATTTAAGATTGTGGTTAGAGAACAGTACTAGTTTAAAAACTATATTAGAACAATTTTGTAAGTTATTATTCAATCTTCTAGACCTTGGGAAATAGTCAATATCTAACTAATAGTAGTCTCTTCCTATGTACAACAGAAAAGGTAACTTGTGGCTCACATCAGCAAATGATTTGACCGTTGATGAGAATGACTTCCCAACAGTGTATGAGTACATTGTCCTTTTTCTGAGACTGGCTTCCCTACTCAGTGTTTAACAACCATTGTGGAAGTCAGTGTGGCGATTCCTCAGGGATCTAGAACTAGAAATACCATTTGATCCAGCCATCCCATTACTGGGTATATACCCAAAGGATTATAAAACATGCTGCTATAAAGACACATGCACACGTCTGTTTATTGCAGCACTATTCACAATAGCAAAGACTTGGAAGCAACCCAAATGTCCAACAATGATAGACTGGATTAAGACAATGTGGCACATATACACCATGGAATACTATGCAGTCATAAAAAATGAAGAGTTCATGTCCTTTGTAGGGACATGGATGAAACTGGAAACCATCATTCTCAGCAAACTATTGCAAGGACAAAAAAACCAAACACTGCATGTTCTCACTCATAGATGGGAATTGAACAATGAGAACACATGGACACAGGAAGGGCAACATCACACTTCGGGGACTGTTGTGGGGTGGGGGGAGGGGGGAGGGACAGCATTAGGAGATATACCTAATGCTAAATGACGAGTTAATGGGTGCAGCTCACCAACATGGCACATGTATACATATGTAACAAACCTGCACATTGTGTACATGTACCCTAAAACTTAAAGTATAATAATAATAAAATTAAAACAAACAAACAGAAAAAGTTATTCAATGATAGTTGTTAAAGCATGATAAGGAAGTCTTTCTTCAAGGCCATCATGATAGATATTAAGGACAACCGTAGCGAGATTTTGCAGTAAGGGAGAGAGATTGGGTTTAATGCCCAATACAGCATGGGAAAGCGGAAATTTATAGCCAAGGAGCAGGATGGGGGCCAGTGGATAGGAAATGACTAAGAAGTAAGGAGGATTCTGTCTAAACAGACCTAACAGAATTCTTGCTGAAGACAGGCCAGGGTGATCAGACCTTACCTGGGGGATGGCAGAGGATGAGGATCCCGCTTAGATATTGAGGATGATCAGATATCGAGGGTGAGGTTTTCTTGCTAAACTGATTTAGCAGGGTTCACAGATGGACATAGGAGAACGATCAAGAGTTTGGTCATGAAAATAATCTTTGTCACCAACATCTACGGAACATATTGTTCCAGCATTGCTTTCCCTGGCCTCATTACCAGGAATACAAATCAATACATCTAGAAGCCAGAACTGATTTTTCACTTAATAAACTGTTTCTTCATCCATTTCCTAACTCTGTGTTAGCACATATTGCAGATGAGGGTAGGCAAAATCAAAGATCAAATACTACATATATTTGCCAAATGAAGTCTGCCTCATGTTATAGTGAAGTTCCCTGAGGATAATTGTTTAGTACCTATAAGCTAATAGACAAGCGGAAGCTATTTGCCACACTCTTGTATGACTAATTCCTATTAGTTTAGATGCGTTAAAAATAAGTAAATATCATAGTTATTTTAAGTATAGCTCAATACAATTTATTTTTCTAATTTTGCACCATTTACCTTTAAGTTCTCTAAAATTACATCATAAAATTGGGGCATTTGGAAAGACAATGAGAAAATACAAACAGGTGTATTTAAGCTCTTCATGCACCTTCCTCATGTCAAAGTTCCACAAGTACGGATCCTCTGAAGTTACCATATATAATATAATACACCATGAAACAAGTCTTATGAACTATATGTATAAAGCAATATCTTACATTACAAAAGAAAATTCTATATTATGCACAGTGCACCTATCTTAATATATAGTTTCTGTTGTGAAATGTGTTTGCATCCAAAACAAAAAGTCAAGAATTTCCTGATTCTACTTTTCCCACCATATTGTTTTATGTCTTTTCTAAATTAATGTTGCTTCTCTGGCATTCCCTAAAAGATCACACCAAATACTCTCTCTGTATCCAAGGCATACAAATTTTTAAAAATTAAAAATATATATAAATGATTTTAGTAACTGAGTGGGAATGGGGGGGAAGCAACATAATTTGAATTTTATTATGTGACTACACAAAACATAATACATTTTAAAACCCTTCCTGAACTCTTCTTAATGATGCTGGGCATATAAAATTTTAAACACAGTTATCAAAAAAAGCATCAAACTATGGATATACTTCATTACTTAAAATATTATATTATTTGCACATATTAATTAATTTCCCACTTATTCTGCAATGAAATTAAAGTCATTGTAATAAAACATGATAAAATATCTTGGAGATAATCGAATCTAAAACCTTTTTAAAAATGAGAAGCCAAATGATTTCTGATGACTTCAAAAAGCTCCTACATATATAAAATGCGCAGTTTATTTTTATGAAGAATAAGAAAACCCACTAAATTACACCTCAGCCCTCTATAAGTGCCGAACTAAAACTCTGTATACTGGTTTATATTGCTTCTTATAAACTGGATTATATATATTTCCAGAATTCAAGCCTGTAAACTAAGAATTGTCTCTGTTTTCTTTTATAATGTAGACATGATCATTTTGTCATAGCAGCATTTTTGTCTATCTTAGTGAGAATGTTAAGTCTCTTTGGGGGATTATTCTGACTGCTGCTAACCTAGGGTGTTATTTTAATGTTTAAACCATTGTTTTGCTATTTTGCAATTAAAGAGATTTTTCTTGATGCAAATATTCAGCAACATTCTTTAGGGACATTTTTAAGCAAATGCTCACACTTTGTGTCATGTAGCAAACGAAGTGATTTTTATATTTTTCCTATTATATTTAGTAAGATTGTGGAAGTGTTTTGCTGTGAGAATGCCCTACAATGGCTATAAGCACAGCAGTCTGAAGAAAAGCTTTAAGAATACAAAAACACAATTTGAAACAACATGGAGTTAACTGTCCACTTTGGGGAAATAACAACAGCAGACAGACCGACCTGGCACACAGCAATCAGAAATGAGGTCATTCACATTTCACAAAAGCCTTGGGCATTTTCAAGGGCAGAGAATAAGCCAAAACAACCATTTCCCCAAGCCAGAAGATTCTTCACATGTACAGTAAAAAAGACTCCTGATTCCATCCAGGTCCTTCCAGGTACCTGGAGGCCTGCAGCTCACAATGACATCAGTCGGTTGTATTATCTTCAAAAATGGAGTCCACCAAGATAATGTATTAGTGAGGTTTCAATAAGTTTATTTGAGCAAGCTATTCAACATTACTTTCTCTATTTTCAACTGCTGACTTTAGCATTCTTATTTTCTATATCTATTTCTTCATGTAATTTTCCACATATTCAGAGAACTGGAAAAAAGTTTATTTGAAAATTGTGAATCATGTTCAGCTAGCTGGTAATTGAAATGCTTTCTTAGCACACACTTTCCAGTAGGGTCTTGCTATGGGGGGAAATTTACCTCCTGTGGATTGTCTTCAAAGCTATAAAAACTCCTTATTTTGTTTTCTTTTGCTTGAGCTTGGGGTGGGGAGTTGATGTTACATCCTCATTCTGATAAAATGATTTTTGTTCCATATGTTGTGTTTGAAGGCCTATAATTTCACCACTGTTGATGGTGGAAATGAAGTTTGGTGGAGGAAATGATGTGGAAAGTTGCATTTGATATTTCTGGATTGTCCCAGCACATTTGAGAGTGAGCAAGTGAACATTTTACACTCAGCATCTTTCGTGGCATTAGAAAGCTACAAATATCCTTTCCTTTTCAAAGAATAATTATTTTGGTTTGATTTATCAATAATGTTTTCACTGTAATTATAGTAGAAATAGTGAATGGATCTTCTGTCTGCTAAGAATTATGCTCTCTTGCATGGTCCTTATTTGGTGGGCTCTACCAATAAGTCAAACAAATTTAATATATTAAAACTGTTATACACAGTAATTTTCAGCAGAGCAACACAATAGCTCTACTTCTAGGCAAGAGTTTCTTATAATACATTGACATCAAAACAAATGAAAAGTTGGAAAGTTATTTCTGCTAATATAAAAATATGTGTTATATAATGAACCTGTTTCCATACAGGTTTATGGTGAGATCAAGACTTCATCTTAATGCATAGTACACTGTTAAAATGCAGAAATGAACCAGGCTCAAGAACAATAAGTTTATGGTAGAGAAAAGCCTAAGTTCAAACAACATCACCACTATTTTGGTGGACTTCCCTTCCTCCTGCCCTTCTTTTCTTTATTTTGTTGACAGACCTTACTGAAAAACACAATGTGATCATTGGATGAACTGCTGCTAAATGATTGCTCAATCAGTTGGCCTTTTGCTTGGCCATTTGGAGTGGTCACGCCTGTCACCTCATAGCTACATGCAGTAATGAAAATGGACCTGTGAATTAGTTACATACAACACATGATGGCCACAAGACTCGAACATCCTTTATGCAAATGATTCTTTAGAAATTATTAATTAGTTTTTGAGGAACATTAATTTCTATAACCCCCCCAAAATTATTACTACCTGGAAATAGACCTGAATTCATTTTAACTATGATAAAATTGCATTCAGTGACAATTAATCGAGCAAGGCAGAAGAGACTTTGGTGTTAAATGAGAAGTGTACTCTTATTATTGCTTCTTCTGGATACTTTTAATTTGTATGCACAAACATGATTTTAAGCACAAGCACTGTCTCTGGCCAGTAAATGTTTTGAACACCTGATTTAAAAATAATTTATATGCAGTAACATTAAGATGAGTTCAGAGGTATTTTTATAATCAACATGCTTATGTTTACATATATTTTAAAAATCAAAAAGTAGAAATTCAAAATGTGCCCAAGGGAGCATCTAATGTTTTTCAGAAACACTGCTGAGCTATTTAATCTCAACCAATAGGACTGCCAGGTGATGCTCAGAGTCCATCCTTCTTGACTGCAGATGAGGTAATTTGTTTCATCTAGAAATATCCTGGGGCAAATATATAAAGAAATATAAAACACTCACAAAGCACAAAGTTAATTTTGTTAAAATTAACAATATCTTCTATTCTGCCATTTTACCATTAGATACAATACCTTAGGCGATATTATGAAGCAATCTATATTCAAATTCCTGGGGTGGATATGTCAGATGCTTAGTTCAATTTTGTATTAGTTCAATTTTGTATTCTACCTTAGAAGTAAGTGAATATAATTTTAGAATTCAAATATATTTTAAAAATATATTCTTGAAAAACTGAAGTTGTAAATTTCACATAAAAAATCTTTTAAGAAATAAACAAATAAATCAAAAGATTGTGAATCACATTTGTTTACTCCATTCAAAAGTGTTTTGAAGTTAGTAAAAGTCAAAGGTTTTTAACATTTTGAAAGGTCTGATATCCCACTGAAAAATATAAGTAAAGTTATAGACCCTCTTTCTAAACCATACATACATATATATGTGTGTGTGTGTATATATATATATATATATATATATATATATATATATATGTAAACATGCATAAAGAAATTGTTGCAAACTCTTTGAATGGTTTCACGAACACCTGGTCCTCTGAAGGTCATCTGTGAGTAACTTTGTGATCTAAAGATCTACTAGGCTAAGAAACTATGGTTTAATCAGTGATATGCTTTTAGAGATGTTGAAAAACTGACATGTCCAACAATATTATTCTTATGTGTCTGCCAACATGTCTAAATTGATTCATTAACGATATTAACATGTTATATCTTGGATATTACCCACTTAGCATGTTATGATAACTGTAAAAACTTACATAATAATATAGCCACATGGAAAATTTTGTCAGAATACAAGCATATAACCTTATTAGGGTTATATGCTAATAAGTAGAAGTTAAGAGAACTGTCTACTCTGCAGTTTAAAACAAAACTACAAACAAATAAAACTAAAGCCCATTCAGACCCAGGTAAAGTACTATAGGAGCCAGGTCAGAGGCATGAAGATTCTTGGGTCCAGGTGGTTGTCTGGGATGCAAAAGGAAGAAGTAGAATTTTTCTATACTGAATGTTACTAGTTTGTGATAGAGCTAGTCTAATGCATATTGTGCATACAGATGGTGACCAACAAAACTGTACAAAACCAAAACTTTGAAAATATGTTAGCTTAACTTATAAAAATAATACATTTTCAATATTTATCCTGAATAAATATTATTGGCATTACCAATTCACAAGAAAGTAGCCTTACTCTTCCAGTTAAGAAATTATCAGGGGAAATTTCAGGTAATCAGAATGTGACCTACTGATCAAATGAGAATGGAAGATCAGCTCAATGAAGCACCTGAGACCAGCATGCCTCATTAATCATTAGTTTCCTCATTTCCATTTTCTCGTTAAAAAATGATTTATTCCAAATAGGACTCCTTGTAAATGGGAAATATAGTTCATTCACATATTTTTATCCCTAGTGATAACCTTAACACTCAGTGGTATGTGGTAGAGGCAGAAAAAATTCCTCCAGATAAGGAGGTAAAAATATAAAGAGATAGACAAATCTGCAAAGAATGTGATGAGCTAGAGAGCTAGCTAAAGGGATGGAACTCTAGGGTAAGTAGGATTTCAGCATTTTGAGGTTGTGAGCCTGAAAGTGGAAGTTGGGAGCACAGAAGGAAAAAAAAAGAAATATGAAGGCATTAAACCCAGGAAGTGCAGGAAGCAAATTAGGAAGACGGAATAGAGAGATGAGAATGCAACAAAGAAAACAGGAAACCTAAGATCAACTCTGATAATTTACTCTCTTCACAATTCAGAGTAAAATTGTAGGAATCTTGAGATTCATCAAACAGATGGACTGCTACACTGTTACCACACTAACAATAATCTTCAAAGTAAGAATTGATGATTTTTCCTCTGAAACAGAAAAGGGCAGAAAATACGAGGACATTCTAAGGCATAGCACAGGGAGCTTACATTAAAGAGTCTTGGTAATTTTATTAAAATAGAAGAGAAAGTCATGTAATGAGAGGGAAGTCAGGTCTTGATGGGAATAAAATAGTTTAGGACAGCTACTGTTCAGAATTCAAAAGCTAAAGAGAAGTAAAGAGATTTGTGGAGCAGCAGTGAGGATCCAATTAGTCTTGAATAATATGAATTTGAATTGAACGTAATCAGTTCGATCACATAACTTGCCACACACAACACTTGTCAGAATGGAAGAGAGAACAGTGGAATCAGACAGTGAAAATATATATATATATATATATATATTCACCAGAATTATTCTGGGGAAGAGAACTTTTTGAAAGAAATATGTTGATAAGCTACTTCAAGGGCAAAGTTAACCCCATCCACCGCCTAATAACCAAGGACATGATCGTGTAACAAAGGATCGCTTCTGAATGGATTCTAAAGAGGCTGGGTTTGTAGGCTGAATGGCATTTTGGTTGCTGAGCACTGAGATGGGTTTTGGTCAGCAAGTTGAAGACAGATGGTGAATGGAGCAGAATGGCTTTTCATCATGTAGAAGAGAAGAGCAATGGGCCTGTGGGCAGAATGGCTAAATATCCAGGGGAAAATAGACCTGGGTATATTGGAGTATATCATTTTATTTTTATTGTTTGCATTCTAATGCTTCTTTGTCTACTTATTTTATTTTTTAATTGACACATAATAATTATACCTGTTTATGGGATACATGGTGATGTTTCCATATATATAATGGATAGTGATCAAATTAGGGTAATTAGCATATACATCATCTCAAAGATTTATCATTTATTTGTGTTGGAAACATTCAATATTCTCCTTCTAGCTATTTGAAACTATATTATTGTTAACTATAGTATATTGTTAACTATAGTATTATTAATATATTACTATTATATATTATCTATATAGCAGATATTATTGTCAACTATAGTAATATATTATTGTTAACTGTAGGAATCCTACAGAGCTATAGAATGCTAGAACTTATTTCTAAGATCTACTGTATCTTTAGAATGTTTTAGGAAACTGCCAAGCAGCCAAGTTTTGCAAATAGAACGCCCCTAGTCCTATAAGCCCTGACAAGAAACATAGACCTTTTACGAAAGCACTGGGTGTGGGGTGGGGGGCATTCATAGTCTCTAAAGTGGAGTCTTCTTATATAGTGGCCTACTTTGGGGTGAGAATAAATCAGGCAGTTCTACTTGGATGTCTGCAAGATTTGGGATTTTGCCAGATAGATGAAGTGGAGCAGGAGGTTTAGCATACAGAGAAAAGAATGGCTGGGGTGATGCATCTTAGAATCCTAAGGGTATATGAAAGAAAGTATTAAGACAAGGGACCATTATATTGTATAAATGTGAAGGAAACGATAGATTGAAATTTCAAATTAGATCAAAAAAGAAGTGAACCGTGAACAATATTGAAAGTGAACTAGAAGGACGATCTTTAATTTCTTTTTAACTTCACATTTTTGAAATGTTACTCTTCCTTCTTCAACCTCCCTTCACCCAAAATATTTTGTGCATTATACCAAGCACGTGGTAGGGATTTAAAGTAGGCAAATAGCATTTACTTGGATTATGTTCTAAGTTGTTTTTTTTTTCCCTAGCTGAGGTAAGAGACCTAAAAATTTCCTCTTCTTTGTCTTAATTTTGTAGTGGCCAGCCTCCTGCAAATGCATATGCTTCCAGAATGGTTTTAAAGCAAGAGTATTATCATATGATATGATTTAAATCCTTGTAGTCTATGCCATACAGGGGGCAAGATTTCTGTTCATAGTGAAATACAAAATATGAGCAATTAACTCCAAATTTCTCAAAAGAATGGGGAAAATATTCCTCTAGTTTTTTTTCTGTTTTTACTAATGACCTGTTATTTTACACATGATATATGAAAAATTAAAAGGAAAGCAATAGCTAAAAATAAGTAGGAAAAATACTTCAGCATGCTGCCAGTATTGCTCTTAAGGCACCTGTGGGAGCAAACATTAAACAACGAGTTAATGGCTTATTCAGTGGACCCCAGAGTATCTCATGCAAAATGCCATTTTAATTATTTATGCAGGGAAAAGAATTTTCATCAGATACTTGAGCTTTTTTTTTAACTTTCAATTCACTTTTAGAAAGAAGGAAACTGGGTTTATATAGAGAGTTTTGCCTTAGGAATACAAAGTGCTTTGAAAACATTACTGTAGGTTTTCTGATAGAATGAGATTAGATGCCTATTTTTATACTCATGCACTAGGTAGAAAAGTGACTTGGACAAAGTTTGCCAAGTTACTGACAGAATTCAGAATTAAACTCGACACTCTGAATTCTAAAACAATGCAGTATCAAAAAGGATAAATACTCCAAGACAAAGAGACTCATTCAAAGGAAAGTGGCACAGGATTTTTGGCATTAAAATACATGTGTTATCGGATGTATTTTAAATAGCTTTTGCAAAACAGAATTAAAGATAGGTCAAACTGTTAATCTGTCCTATCCTTAAATAAGTGAAGTTTTAAGGGCATGTAGGATATCCTGTGGATGACCCAACTGGTTTGAGTAAAACACATAATGCTGAACAAATACCTAAAGACAAGTCAGCCACCTTTGTTTTTCTCGGGAATTAAGTTTAACGATCTCAGTACTAAGAAAGCAATATTCTTTCAGGTAAGAACACAGTGTTATTGTTGTTTATTTGTTTGTTAGTTTACATTATTTTGAGACTAAGATTGAGATTTTCCTAGTTGTGTAATTGCAACCTTAATAAAAATAAAAGATTGATGCCTTTGATATTTTTCTTCAAAATAAATAGATACAAAACAACAACAACAACAAAACCAAATACTTGTAACCTTAGTCTGGGTTCAGCATTCTCCCAGCTCTTCATGGGGGTCTTCATAACATCCCAAATAAAACTTCGCCAAAGAAAACCTCGCAGCATCTGGCAAGGGCATCCACATGCCTTTGTTTAACTGTTATCTATAGACATCTGCTCCTTTCTTTCTGATTTTTGAAATATTTTTATTACAGTATTTTAGCTCAACAGAAAGTGTTTATGGGTCTACTACACGGCAGATTCTGAAGACATGAACATGAGTAAGAAAGTAGTTTCTATAGTCACAACTCTGAGAGGAAGACATTTATGTAAATAAATAATTATAATAGAATATAAAAGATGAAATAACAGAACGGTTTATGGAGTACACAGAAGGAAGTGGAAGGAAGCCCCCACGTAACCACGGGGCTACAGCAGAGGAAGCCCAGCCTCAGCCATGGTTGTAGGGATTGGCTGAGGGGTTGGAGGCAGCTCACCACCATGGCAGTGCTTTGGGACTGACAGCTGTCAGTTTGGTGACATCACTATCAGTTCTTTGTAAGCTGGAAACTACATTTCTCAGAAACCACTTGTCTTGAAAAGTGCCAGGTTAGATTTTGTCACTGAAACGAACTCCTAGAAGACTGGGAAGAGGGAAAGCAGAAACCATGAAGCTTGGCATTTTATACTGTCTGATGCAGCAGGTTTCCAGAGCCTTCCACAAACTCCTGCTGGGTGGGCTACAGGATCTGCAGCTTCCTCCAGGCTGACATCATATTGAGTATTTCTCCAATCTCCCAGACTCTAATCTCTCAGTCTTCCAGATCCTACCACATTCAGGTAAATTCTCATTCCTACATTAAATCCTATATGTAGATTCCTAGATAAAATCTTCTATTTCTCTAATACTTGTAGTGAACTTTTTCTCAGTAAACCCAGACTGATGCAGACAATTTCACAGAGAAAGTGAAAGCTGGACAGCGTTTTGAACACTAAGTAAGCGTTCCACACACAATATGGAAGTCATCCCTGTAAAAGGAAAGAGCATGTGCACTGGAGGAATTTGAATCCTTTAAATCCTTGAGAGAACAGAAAGAATTCATCTCTAGATGCTCACAGAATTGCCCTCTCTCAATCCACTAATGCAGATGATGCATTTTCCTCTTTAATTTAATCTCTTTACCCAAATTCCAAGAAGTGGCTCAGATTTGGGATCAAAGGTAGAAAGGAAGATGGCAACATGGGACTTGAAGCAGCCCTCACTCACACCACCACATAGAGATGGCTCTTCTGAGAGTCAATCCAGGCAGGGTAAGCAGAGCCAGAAAGGGAGAGGGCATCAAGCTGTAGTGGCACCATGAGGCCTTAGATCCAGCCATAACTGACATTCATTCACCTCTTGGATTTCTCAGTTATGGCAAGAAAATGACAAAGAGTAAAACACTTTTCTATAAAACACTTTGACATGAGTTTATATTCAAAAACAAGGGTCCTCAAAAACAAGAGTCTTGGTTAATATTACAGTGTTTGAAAAATGTAAGCATTTCAGTTACTTTGATACCAGTTTGTTTGTTTGGCATACCAATTCTGCAATCCCTACAAACTCTATGAGAATAATGTTTTATATGTGCAATTGATTTTCCAACAAATATTTATTGAACGCCAAATAGTACCAAGCATTATACTGGATTCTGGTCCTTCAAAAAGATAGGCAAAGAAGCTCATCCTCAAGGAGCTTAAATTCTACTGGGTACAGACATAAATGTAGGTTTGTTCTTCCACAACCCCAGGTGACTCAAATGAGAAGGACTCACCAGTTTGTAATGTCTAAGTGACAACTGCTTGTCAGCTCCAGGGATGCCCCAGCAACGTTTACCACTTGCCTCTCCCCAGTTCGTTTTCTCCTTAACCAACACCCATAACTCATATGGGTTAGGTTGATAAATGGCCCTCATCAGAGGCTGTGATACAAAAAGAAAAGCAGATTCCCTTTTTGGTGATATCTGCAAGTACTGATTGGGACCAAAATCCAATCGTATGGTGACTAGTAGGAAATGTACTAGCAGGAATTTACATTATAGTAGGAAATGAAGGCATAAAGATACTGTTGCTAGATGTTGTGAGGTTTTCTTTGGCGAAGTTTTATTTGGGAGGGTATAGAAACTCCCATGAAGAGCTGGGAGAATGCTGAACCCAGACTAAGGTTACAAGTATTTGGTTTTGGTGTTTTTTTGTATCTATTTATTTGGAAGAAAAATATCAAAGGCATCAATCTTTTATTTTTATTAAGGTTGCGATTACACAACTAGAAAAATAATCTCGATCTTAGTCTCAAAATAATGAAAAGTAACAAACAAATAAACAAATAAATGTCCCTCCCTAATTAATGCATACATTCTTTCCCTTTTGTTTCCTGCCACTTCCCCTGTTGTTCTGGACCACCCACCTCCAGCTGGTGAGTCTGCTTTCCTTCCTGGAATCCTCAATGGTATGAGTATTAATAAACTGCTTTCATCTTGCAGGCTTGCTGTTGGCCATGTCATTAGCTCAGGCCCTGGTAACTTCCTGGAGAATCACAGTGAATTTGGGGATTTCAGCAGGTCTCTCTAAAGTTGACAGAAATACTGATTCATTATTTCACATACCTGCTCATATCCCAAACCTCTTCCTTCATGCCTCCCACCCACACCTTTAGTTAATGAATTTACTCACACTCACATAGAAAACTGGAGCCACCGTAAGGTGACATTTAACAGTCTCACCACCACATCTACTACTTACTCCAATCTGCACCTGCCTAACCTACTCTTCCACCTGTTAACTTAGATGAATTTGCCATGGTCTTATCCAAAACCAATTCCTCAATTTGTCCTGAATCTCATCCCCTCTTGGTATGCTCATAGACATTGCGGAAAATTATTATTTCTTTGCTTTCTGTATTAGTCAGGGTTCTCCAGAGAAACAGAACCATTAAGATATGTATAAATATATGAGGAAGTTTATTATGGGAATTGGCTCACATGATTATGAGGGCCAAGAGGTTTCATGATATGCTGTTTGCAAGCTGGAAACCCAGAAAAGTTGGTGGTGTGATTCAGTCTGAGTATAAAGGTCTGAAAATCAGGGAACCCATGCCGGGAGTGGGAAGGACTTGTGTAAGTTCCAAAGTCTGAAGGCCCAAAAACCAGGAGCTCCAAAGTCTAAGGGAAAAATTAGATAAATATCTCAGCTAAAGGAGAGAGAGAAATTTTGCCTTTCTTCCACATTTTTGTTGTATTTGGGCCCATAAGAAGTGGGATAATGCCTGCCCACAATGATGAGGTCAGATCTTCTATACTCAGTCTTCTTAATATTCCAAAGGTAATCTCTTCTTACAGCACCCTCAATGACAGACATACCCAGAAGCAACCTCTTACCAGCTACCTGGATATACCTTAATTCAGTCCAGTTGACATAGAAAATTAATCTTCCCACTTTCTTGTATCATTACTTTTAACTCCGGAATGGCTTATTCTCATGACACACAAATATGCAGTTTATGTCTTTCATATAAGAAAAATAATTCATTCTCTATTTTACCTGCAAAGGAACCCAAGAAGTTCAGCGAAGTGGGAGGGAAAGAAAGGACATCTGTTTGTTTTAGTCCATGTGAAAATCTAGTGTATTAAGGGAAAATGAATATTCATTTTGCCAGTGCTGCTACCAAGTCAGATAAGATGATTATATCTCCTACCAACAAGGGTGGCACCAACATGAAGTCATTAGTGAGCTTTAGGAGCAATTTTGATGGAGAAGTGAGGGGAAAAAATTGATAAAAGTATTATTTCTAAAATAATGGGAGAAGAAGACTTAGACATAGGAAGTTAACTACTACAAGGAACAAAGAAATGGCATGGTATGGACAAGCAAAGTAGAGACGTTGATTGGTTTTAGACGGTATCACAGAAAGTCCATCCACAGTAACATGCAGAAAAGCAGAGTTTGCATGTATGGAAGACAGAGAGTGAGCAGTGAGAGTCTGTGGAAGACATCTCTTGATTGCTTCAATTTTTCAGTGAGGAAAAAACCAAGCTGAGAGTGGGGAAGGAGGAGGAGGCATTGGGGTATGAAAATGATCAGCCAAGGTCTGAAAGGGTCTACTTATGAACAGACACTTCTCAAAAGAAGACATACATGTGGCCAACAAGCATATGAATTAAAGCCCCACATCACTGATCATTAGAGAAATACAAATCAAATCACAATGAGATGCCATCTCACACCAGTCAGAATGGCTACTACTAAAATGTCAAAAAATAGTCCAGGTGCAGTGACTTACGCCTGTAATCCCAGCACTTTGGGAGGCAGAGGCGGGTAGATCACTTGAGGCCAGGAGTTCCAAACCAGCCCAGCCAACATTGCGAAACCCCGTCTCTACTAAAAATATAAAAAATTAGCTGGACATGGTGGTGAATGCCTGTAATCCCAGCTACTCAGTAGGCTGAGGCATGAGAATTGCTTGAACCCAGAAGGCGGAGGGTGCAGTGAGCCAAGATCATGCCACTGCACTCCAGACTCGACAACAGAGTGAGACACTGCCTTAAAAAAATCATAAAATAAAAAGTCAAGAAATAATAGATGCTGGTGAGGAAAGTGGTATGGTGATTCCTCAAAGAGCTAAAAGTAGAACTGCCATTCCACCCAGCAATCCCGTTACTAGGTATATACCCAGAGGAATATAAATCATTCTACCATAAAGACACTTGCATGCAAATGTTCACTGCAGCACCAGTCACAATAGCAAAGACATGGAATCAACCCTAATGTCTGTCAATGACAGATTGGATACAGAAAATGTGGTACATATATGCCATGGAATCCTATGCAGCCATAAAAAAGAAGTAGATCCATTATACCCACACAAAAACATAAAACAGCTTGTTTTAATAAACATTAAAATTATTTTAAGAAAGAAGTAAATTATTTCTTTTTTGGGAACATGGATGGCACTAGAGGCTATTATCCTTAGCAAACTAACACAAGAATAGAACACCAAATACCACATGTTCTCGCTTGTAAGTGGGAACTCAATGATGAGAACTCATGAACACAAAGAAGGGAACAACAGACACTGCGATCTACCTGAGGGTGGAGGGTGGGAGGAGGGAGAAAAGCAGAAAATTAACTGTTTGTATTGGATGTAATACCTGAGTGATGAAATAATCTGTACAACAAACCCCCATGGCATGAGTTCACCTATGTAACAAACCATCACATGTACCTCTGAATCTAAAAGTTTAAAAACAAACAAAATAAAATAAATTTGGAAATGATCTCCTTTGGAGAATAGCCTGTGGATATATACAGTGTGATTCCAAGCAGTCCACTTGAGGTTCACCATCACAACTTGAAGGTGATACCAGTCATAGAATTAGGTAGAAAACTGAATTTAACCAGATTGTAGGTTTTCCAACCTAGTGCAAGCAAGAAAGTTGAAAACAAGGTTGAAAATATATGCAAAGCTATTATAAGAGTGATTGATTATGAGCTTCATTCTGAGTAAGGAGGGCAATGAGGACATAATCAAATCAGGTAAGGGCCAATTAAATAACACCAGTGGAGTAAAGGATTAGAGTGGCAATGGAAGATTTCTGGACTAAGAGTAAGCTGTCTTTATAGGAAGTGAGGTAAGAATACATGAAAGTTTGACTTTTATAGGGGTGCTAATTATTGAGCAGGTCCAGTACCACTCTTGAAAGTACATGTCTGAGATAGAGTGAAGGACAAGTGAGATGAATTCAAGTGGTGTTATATGGTCTCTCTCATTCATATTATTGAGAAGCTCGGTTATTTGGAAGATTAAAGTCAACAGTTCTATAGCATATCATCCAAGGCCCTTTATGGGTTAATCCTCTACTTGCCCTAGTTTGAATTTCCACTACTCTTCCTTATGCACTCTACACTTCAGAAATTTCAAATTACCTCAGTGTCTCTGAATATTACTTTTATTTTCACTGGCTACATCTCCCACTATATTAATATTGTTCCCTCTTCCTGGAATGCTTTTTCCTTCCTTGCCTGACTGACAAACTCCATTAAGCTCAATCACCTGTAAATTTTTTCCTGATTATTGTGTGTGTGAGAGAGTGATAGATAAATACATAGGTAATAAATAGATGGATAGATAGATAATAGACAGTGTGTGTGTGTATTCTCTTATCAAACCATGAGTTCCTTGAGGAAAGAGCCAGATTACTCATGTTTGTACATTTTGTGCCTAATAGAATGGCTATGTGCCTGACACATAAAATGAATCTATCTAAAATGAATAAATGTAGAGATGAGCATTAACACAGTTTGTCTTCTTGACAAAATGTTCATACTCCAGTACCTAACTCATTTTACACCTTCACTTATGGATATTTCCATATGAAATCAAAGCCTTCTAGGTTGATTGAAAAGGGCACCTGCTGCTATTGATATAAAGAGGAAAAATAAATTGAGCTTTTTTTTTTCCTATTTCTCCATCACCCAAGTATCTTTAGATTGACATAACCTAGAATACCAAACGTTGATGGCTCCCCTCTTACATAAGCTAAGCCACACATTTACACATCGTCCTTATATGTGGGAACATCTTGTTACTGAAGTCTACACATAAGACAGCTATTTTCTTATAACAGGAAGGGCCCCATTGAATAATATTATTAGACTTTTCAAATGGAAAAATAATATTGTTAACTGAATATTGTAACTTAAAAATGATTCTGTGAATGCAGGAAGATATCTAATAACTTCTAAACGCAGCAACTAATACACATTTTGACTTAGTGCAAAGGGAGTGTGGTTTGTAAGAACCACCACTCTAGGAACCTTAAAGAGAAAAACAACTACCATCCTGGCTAACACGGTGAAACCCCGTCTCTACTAAAAATACAAAAAATTAGCCGGGCGTGGTGGCGGGCGCCTGTAGTCTCAGCTACTCGGGAGGCTGAGGCAGGAGAATGGCGTGAACCTGGGAGGCGGAGCTTGCAGTGAGCCGAGATCGTGCCACTGCATCCAGCCTGGGCGACAGAGCAAGACTCCATCTCAAAAAAAAAAAAAAGAGAAAAATAACGAAAAGAACCTGATTCAGGGCGTGTGAATCAGAGTAACCATACTGTGTAATATAACAGAAGTCTCTCCAAGACACCAGACGCACATCTAAGGAAGAAGTGTATAGCAAAATAATTATTTTGTGGTTCAGCCCTTTTCTCTTACTCAAATGTTAGATGAGGTGCTGGGTGTGCTGTCTTATCTGTTCTATTGGTCCTTCTCACAAGTTACTGAAGTGACTTTATTTGACCAGGACATTCACAAATTGCCCAGAGAACCCAGGCTTTTTGATCCACAGAGCTGTTACTTCTCTCTTTATGGATTATAAATGTAACACTATTCACACTGGGTCTTCCTGAGGGAGAATCACAAAAGGATTACAAGCTTGATTCCCTTGCAAGAAACAGCTAGCCTAGGAGATGGCAGCTCCAAACAAAATGGTAAAATCCCATCCATCCATTCTGGGAGGGAGACGGGATTGTTCCCTTGACCTTGACCCCCTTCGTGGGCAGGAACTGGAATGGCTCGTTTCACTCAGCCTCCAGTCCATGGACAAATAAGTGTTAACAGCTCAGTGAAGGGTCAGGGTGACAGCCAGTTGCACCTACACTTTTTGACACCCGAGTTCTTGTTTGGTGTCTGGAAAGAATCAGGTCACACAAACTATTTGAAGGCTAGTATATGTGGAGGATTTCACTGGGTGTTAAAAGTGGGTCTCAGAAGGATGGGGAATTGGAAAGGAGATGGTGCAGAAGGTGATCTTTCCCTGAAGCCGCACCATCTGAAGATAACCCAGTGTATCCATAGCCTCCGATGCTCAGCAGTGTGTATCCCCACCGTTCAGCAGCTTGCATCCCCAAACTCTTACATTAGCCGCTTCTATTGCTCTTTTTCTTGTTTGTTTCTGCCAACTGGTCTGGTTTTTAAGGGCACAGGATATAGGACGGGGCAGGCCAAAAAGGTAATCATTTGGGAGGAAAAATGGGGTCAGCTGTTTTCACCTAGCGCCAAAGTTCCAGGCTTGAGGGTGGGGTTTAGCCAGGAGCCCCTGTTCTGTATCAGGAGGAACACTAGAATCCCACAAACAAGCAGAGAAGCTTCACTCTTCATTTCTCTTCCTCTGTCAGTAGAAAGAAGCCTTGAGTGAGCGCTTGAAAAGTCTCCCAGAATAAAACCTTTAGAAATGTATACAAATAGTGATGAGTGTATGTGTTTATGTGTGGGATATCTATCAATAAATAACTGAACAGAAAAGTATAAAGAAAATCATGAGGGACAAACATGGTTATGCCCATGAATTGAAGCTGCAACTGGCTGAGGGATTCTGCTCATCTCAATAACCAAGAAAACCACACGTGGGGACAGGCAAAAAAGCCTTGGGGAATTGTTGTGAAGAATTCCACATATACTATTCTTCTTTTTGGAGAAAAATGGGGCCTCACTCTGTTGCCCAGGCTGGAGTGCAGTGGTGCAATCACAGCTCATTGAAGCCTAGACCTCCTGGCCTCAGCTTCTCTTGCAATCCTCTTGCCTCAGCTTCTCAAAGTGCTGGGATTAAAGGCTTGAGCCACTGCACCTGGCCAACCACACATATCATTTAGATGAAAACACAATAAAAGAGTGAAAGAGAAAAAAATATTCCCACTGATAGAGGATGCCCACAAACATTGTTTGCCTATTTTAGCCTGGGCTTTGGTCCAAAAAAATCTCCTGGAAACTTACAAGCACAATGGGCCTGCAGCTTAAATTTCAAGTATGATCTGGGAATTCCTACCTCAAGACATCAACAGCAAATGCAGCCTGAGGTGCTGAGATACCTGTAGCAACCAAAAAGCACAGACTGAAACACAACAAAACCAAACCAAAACAAAAAAAAAAGCTCTCTCTTAAACTCCCTCTTCAGACTTCAACACAACATGAGTGTGAATATGGAAAACTAGAATTCAACCAGCTGATCCAAAACTAGTAGAAAGAAATATTCAAGTACAGACAGTAGAACTATCAGATATAGACTATCTGATTATATAGAGATAATACAGTGACTCCAAAATGAGTAAAATATAAAAGAATTAATCAAACACATAAAAATCCCAGATTAGTAGACTATAAAAATAAAGATACATGTAAATAAAGTAGAAATTTGAATATTAAAAGATATTTAGTAATTGCAGTCAAAAACTGAGTGAACTAGTCAATTAAATAAAGCTGTAAAGAAAATCAGTAAATTTGAATATTAATCAGAGAAAAATCACTTACAATTTGCAGAAAATATAAACAGACATGGAATATATGAGAGTACAATATGTAAGTTAAAATAGGAAATAGAATGTATGGCTAATATAAAGTTTTTAAACTGAAAAAGAATGAGGAAAAACTTATATTTAAAAGTATTATCTTGGAGAATTTTCCTTACATAGAAAAAATATATAATTCTTAGATTCAGTAGTACAAAATATCCCATAAAAAGTAAAATTTTTTAGATCCACAGATAATTAGGTAAACATTAACCAGAAGAAGAAAAACAGTAAAACAGAGGACCTTAATAGGTAAGGCAAACTACTTTCAAAGGACTGATTTTTAGATTAAGGGCAGACTACTAAAGAGCTAAAACAAAATATAAAGACAATGAATGTACTGAGAAAGAAAAGTTCAGTTCGATATCTATACCCAGCTAAGCAAAAGGGCTGTATTTTCAAACTAAGAGAGAAAAAATAAAAATAAAAGACTGGTGCTTATCCATAAAAGAATTCCAGCCCAGTGTGGTGGCTCACGCTTGTAATCCTAGCACTTTGGGAGGCTGAGGCGGGCAGATCGTCTGAGCTTAGGAGTTCGAGATCAGCCTGGGCAACATGACAAAACCCCTTCTCTACAAAAAATACAAAAATTAGCCAGGCATGGTGGTGCACGCCTGTGGTCCCAACTATTCGGGAGGCTGAGGTGGAAGAATTACTTGAGCCCAGGTGGAGGCTGCAGTGAGCCAAGATGTTGCCACTGCACTCCAGCTTGGGTGACAGAGAAAGACCCAGTCTCAAAAAAAAGAAAAAAAAAGAATTCTTTGTAATAAAGCATATATTTCAGGTATAAGGAATTTGAACCTTATAAAGAACGTCTGAAATACAGAAAGGAATGGTGAGCAAAGAAGTTACTGAAGTGGTAGATAAGACTTTAACAAGTATTAACTATATAACAGCAGCAGCAGTATAAACAAAAATTATTAATAATGGGTTTTTTGTAAACATAGAAAAAGACAAATTCAATTATATTATATCAATTACCTGTGAGACAAGAAAGAAGTTTTCAGAGGTAATGCAGTTAAAACTCTTTTAATATAGGGAGGGTAGACATATACATTAATGTTAGAAATTTTTAAGGCAAATAGACATGCAACAATTTTATGGTTAACCTCTAACAGAAAAACAGAAAATACAATTTCTAAAGAAGTAAGCTTTCTTTGGTATTGTGTATTCCAATACTAAATAGGGAAGAAAATGAAAAAAAAAAGAAACAGAGAAAACAGTTGGGTGGATGCAAATCAAAATTAAATATTAAAAATAAATGCAAACATACTAGCATTTACAATGAATATAAATACATAAATTGGACTAAATTTAAAAGCAGAGATTGAGTGCGTTTTTTTAGACTAGTAATGTGAAACAATATATGCCAGGTAAATATTAACTAAATGAAATCTGGTATGGAGATATTAATCAGACCTAATACATTGTAGTACACAATAATTAAGAGGAAGAAATATAGTTATTATGCAATGATAACTTTTTTTTCTCAATCAGCAGGTAGATACTATAACCTCAAAATACATGAGAAAAATATGAAAGAATTACAAGGTGAACAGAAAATTCAACATCGTAGTTGAAAGGATATTTCATGATATTTCTTTCTATAATTCTTTTAAAAATTATGAAATATTTGAACATAAATAACTGATGAGATAATTATATATACACAAATATATATAAAGCAAACAATTAGACAATTTCTTTTCAAAAATATATAGAAACATTTGGAAGTTAAGCTAAAGCAAACAATTAGACAATTTCTTTTCAAAAATATATAGAAAACATTTGGAAGTTAAGCAGCATACCTTTAAATAATTATGGGCCAAAGAACAAATCATAAGAAGGAACATTAGAAAATATTTTGAAATATAAAAACACACTGCCAAACCTGTAAAATGCAGCTAAATCAGGACTTAAAGGGAAATTTACAGTCTTAAGTGCTTTATTTTAGAAAACAAGAAAGACCAAAGTCAAAAGACACACACACACAAATATCTAGAAATGAAAGAACAAATTAATTCTAAAATAGGTAGAGGAAGGAAGCAGTAAGAGCAGAAATCAATGAAATAGAAAATGGGCAAACAATAGAAAAAAATCAATGAAACAATTAAAGGTTTACTATTTAGAAAGATCAGCAAACCTGATAAGCCTTAGCCAGGACAACCAAGAAAAAAAAGAGAAAAAAACAAATTACCACTATCAAGATAATACAGTACTAGCATAAGGATAGACAATATAGGTCAATGGAGCAGGACAGGGCATTCAAATAAAGCATCGTTTATGTGAGGGACCCTCACATAAAGCATCATTGACTCTCAACAATGCTGCTAAGAGAATTTAATAGGAAAAGGGTAGCTTTTTCAGCGACTGCTGCTGGAACAACTGAAGAATATTTTTTAGTTAAACCTTAATTGAATCTCACCACACCTAAGAATTAATTTTAAATGAATCAGAGACAAATATAAAAGCCAAAGCTATAAAATGTCTTTTAAAAAGTGAAAAACTCATTGCAACTTTGGGTCAGGCAATCATGTCTTCTAAAAAATACAAAGAGCACCAACCAGAAAAGGAAAATAGTAATAAATTTCACTTCATTAACTTTTAAACTTCTACTTTTCAAAATATGCCCTTTAGTAAGTGAAAAACAAGACGCATATTGGAAAAGATATTTATGTATTTAAGCAAGGTCTTGAACCAAGCATATAAGAATTCTTACAACGCAATAATAGGAAGACAAGCAATCCAATTAAAAACGGGCAAAGGATTTATACAAACACTTCACCAAAGAAGCTATATGAATAACAAATCAGCACATGAAAACACACACATCTTTCTTTATTCAATGAATGCAATTAAAACCATATTTGAGTACCACTACACACCCACTTGAATGGCTAAAAATAAAAAGATGTGAGGAAACTGGAATTCTTATATTTTGTGTGTGGGTATGTTAAAGGCTATAACTGTTGGAGAAACACTTTGGCAATTTCTTGTAAATTTAAACATACACTTGGATAAGATCTTGCTATTCCATTTCTTGGTGTTACCCAAGAGAAGTGAAAACATTTGTATACAAAAAAAAGACATGTAGGACGGGGCGTGGTGGCTCACACCGGTAATCCCAGCACTTTGGGAGGTCGAGGCAGGCGGATCACCTGAGGTTGGGAGTTCGAGACCAGCTTGACCAACATGGAGAAACCCCATCTCTACTAAAAATACAAAAAATTAGCCAGGCGTGGTGGTGCATGCCTGTAATCCCAGCTACTCTGGAGGCTGAGGCAAGAGAATCGCTTGAACCCGGGAGGCAGAGGTTGCAGTGAGCCGAGATTGTGCCATTGCACTCTAACCTGGGTGACAGGAGCGAAACTCTGTTTCAAAAAAAAAAAAAAAAAAAAAAGACATGTATACAAATGTTCATAGCAGTTTTACTCGTAACAGCCCAGAACTAAAAACATCCCAAGTGACCATAAACTGAAGAATGGATAAAAGTTGCGTATGCGCATACAGTAGAATGCTACTTGGGAATAAAAGTAACAAACTACTGATGCATAGAACATGAATGAACAAAACTAGTATGCTGAGCTAAAGGGGAGGGTGGAGGCCAGGGGCAGTGGCTCACGCCTGTAATCCCAACACTTTGGGAGGCCGAGGTGGGTGGGCCACCTGAGATCAGGAGTTCAAGACCAGCCTGGCCAACGTGGTGAAACCCCCTCTCTACTAAAAATACAAAAATTAGCCAGGCATGGTGGCATGTGTCTGTAATCCCAGGTACTCAGGAGGCTGAGGCACAAGAATCGCTTGTGCCTCAACCTCCACCGGAAGGTGGAGGTTGCAGTGAGCGAAGATTGAGCCACTGCACCCCAGCTTGGGCAACAGAGCAAGACTCTGTGTCAAAAAAGAGAGAGAGAGAGAGAGAGAGAGAGAGAGAAAAGGGTGGAAAGTGGGAAGAGGGAGACAATCAGGAAAAATAACTAGTGGATACTAGTCTTAATAGGATAAAATAATCTGAATAACAAATCCCATGACACACATTTACCTATGTAACAAACCTGCACATGTACCCCTGAACTTAAAAGTTAAAAAAGAAGCCAGATGCAAACGAAACCATACCATACTCCATTACGTGAAGTCCTAGAACAGACAAAACTAAATCATGGTGATTGAAATGGGGTGGTTCCCAGGGCAGAGTGTTGAGGAGATCACTACAAAGTAGCTTGAGGGACCATTTGTGGTAATCGTGGAGTCCTGATAAAATAAGTAACCAAGGAGGACGTGCCCGAGGTTGGAAAGAACAATTGCTCTAAGAGACAGCTAATCACAACCACCCACTCGTACAACAATCCTGTTCCCAAATACCTTGCTCCACACATAGGCCCAGCAGCACAACCTCGTTCTACACACAGCTCCTCAGCACCACCCTCCAGCCCCTGCCGCTTTTAGCAGACAGCCCCTTCGCTGCTGTGCTGCCTGTTGCACCCTTGGATGTATCTTTGTACTTTCTCTAATAAATCTACCTTTCTTTACCCACAACTGTGTCAGTAAATTCTTTTACCCCCTGCAACGCCGGCCCCAGCCAGCCACGTACTCTCTCCCGTACTCTTCCCATTTCCTCTTTTCCAACTGCAACCTCTCAGCGGACAGCGTCCAAGTCTGGAGACAACTGATGGTCCCGGACAGGGGCTACTCCCCAGCGGGCCAGAATGTCCTAGTGGAAAGACAGCTGACTGCCACCACCTGATTGGGTGAGAGTTTAGAGTTTTCCTTTCAGTTGTCCAGTGGACAATCTCTAGTATCCCTCTGGCAACTGAAGGCAATGGGCCAGGGCCACTCCCTGGTGTAGCCTGATGGCCAGGGGATGAACAGGTTTGGCTGCCTTCCCCGGAAAGGAGGAAGGTTCTCTCCTCCTTATTCTGGTCAAAAGTCCCCAGTCCCTACATGTGATGCATCTGGAGGCAGAAGCTCAAACAGGACAAATCCACACATGTTCTGGGGAACTCAGACCCCATCTTTCTCACTCTAAATTCTCCTATGAAGACAGCCAGCCACCATGCTCTGGATGTCTTAAGTCAGGTGATCTCAAACTGCACCAGGACAGTGAGTCTTCCCGCAACCTTTTATCCTCGTACCTGGATTGGTCACTCAACATAATTCATACCTGAACTGACCTGGGGTTGCTCACCCACTGTTCATTCAGTGTAAGGTTCTAACACCGAGAGATCCTTTCTAATAGGGGGGATGCCCCTTTGGAAAGTGCATCTTGGAGTCTGTCAGTGGATGTGAGTGGATCCCTTTTCCCTTGGCCAGATTGCCTGAGACAAATTGCAGTACATGTCCCCAGCAGACGTTCTTTCCCATTCCCACCATGGGGTGAAGCCCCTCTATTCCCTTAGACTCGCCCCAGGGTTGCATTTTAAAGCAGCAAGGAGGACGGGGTCCCAGGTGGGGAAGGACAATTGTTCTGAGAGACAGCTAATCAGAGACAACCCACTAGCACAATCCTATTAAAATTCTAAAATGTAATTGTGATGGTTAATACTGAGTGTCAACTTGATTGGATTGAAGGATGCAAAGTATTGCTCCTGGGTGTGTCTGTGAGGGTGTTGCCAAAGGAGATTGACATTTGATTCAGTGGGCTGTGAGGGACAGACCCACCCTCAATCTTGGAGGGCGTCATCTAATCAGCTGCCAGCGTGGCTAGAATAAAGCAGGCAGACGTTGAAAGAGCAGACTTGCTGAGTTTTCCAGACTTCATCTTTCTCCAGCGCTGAATGCTCCTGGCCCTTGAACATCAGACTCCAAGTTCTTCAGCTTTTGCACTCTTGGACCTACACCAGTGATTTGCCAGGGGCTCTCAGGCCTTTGGCCACAGACTGAAGGCTGCACTGTTGGCTTCTCTACTTTTGAGGTTTGGGGACTCGGACTGGCTTCCTTCCTCCTCAGCTTGCAGACGGCCTATTGTGGGACTTCACCTTGTGATCGTGTGAGTCAATACTCCTTAATAAACTCCCCCTCATATATACATCTAGCCTGTTAGTTCTGTCCCTCTAGAGAACCCTGACTAATACAATTATAGTAATGAAAACTTCAAGGTCCAAAAAGAGCCAAGATATTCCTAAAGAAGAATAATAGTGGAGAGAGAGGGGGGTTGATACCTAAGAACTGTATTACAAAATCCTACTAGTAATAATGTGGAATTTGTGCAAGGATAAATAAGAAGGAACGGAAAGTGCTCCGAAGTGTAGCCATGCATTTGTGGAAACCTGATCTAAGATAGAGTGCTTGCAAATCAGTGGGAAAATGAAGACTTTTTCAATACATTGTTCTGGGACAATTGGTTATTCATATGGAAAATAAACAGAATGAAATTAAGTCCGTACTTCAAACCATACACAAAAGCAAACTCCAGGTACATTAAAGATACATATGTGAAAAGCATTTCTGTAAAAGTTTTGAGAATAGAGTATGCAAGATTATCTTTTGATTTTAAGATGAGAAGGGATTTTTTATACAAGAGGAAAATGAACGAAACATAATACACAATATTAAGCAATTTCTGTACAACAAAGTTCAGCATACACAAAGTAGGAAAGAAATGATAAGCTGGGCCAGATGCAGTGGCTCATACCTGTAATCCCGGCACTTTGGGTGGCTGAGATGGGTGGATCATTTGAGTCCAGGGGTTCAAGACCAGCCTGGGCAACATGGTGAAACCCCGTCTCTACAAAAAATACAAAAAAAATTGTATTTTTGGTGGTCCCAGCTACTCAGGAGGCTGAGGTGGGAGGATCAGCACCTAAGCCTGAAAGGTGGAGGCTGCAGTGAGCCAAGATAACGCCACTGCACTCCAGCCTGGGTGACAGAGTGAGACCCCATCAAAAAAAAAGAAGAAGAAGAAATGACAAACTGAAAAAGACATTTACGATCTATGTAACCAAAAAAGAATAAGTAATCAATACGTTGAAGGAATTCCTTTGAATTGATAAGAAAAAATGGCCAGGCACAGTGGCTCATGCCTGTAATCCCAGCACTTTGGGAGGCCGAGGCAGGCGGATCACCAGGTCAGGAGATCGAGACCAACCTGGCCAACATAGTGAAACCCCATCTCTACTAAAAATACAAAATAAATTAGCCAGGCGTGGTGGCAGGCCCCTGTAGCCTTAGCTACTTGGGAGGCCGAAGCAGGAGAATTGCCTGAACCCAGGAGGCAGAGGTTGCAGTGAGCCGAGATCGTGCCATAGCACTCCAGCCTGGGTGACACAGTGAGACTCTGTCTCAAAAAAAAAAAAAAAAAAAAAAAGGCAAAAAATGAATAGCCAATTCACAGAAAGCAAAATGTCTATCAAGGATATGGAAAGTTTCCAAAACTCATTAGTAACCATAAAAGTGCTAATTATAAAATTAATGAGCTATGTAGACCTCTTAGCACAGCCAGCAATGCGTCAGTCTCGTAAAAGTGAAACATTGTTTTATTATTTTTTTAATTTGCCAATGTTTAAGTTTGACAAGATTTTCAAAATCTTTTTGATTCAAAACCCTTCATAGGTTGACATTACCAAGTGCTGACAAAAATGTGAGGCAATATGAACTCTTACAAACAGCTGATACGAGTGTAAATTAGTACAACCATTTCAGAGAAATATCTGAATATAGAACTTCACACCCATTTATACACAACATATAAACAAGGAACATACTCAAGAGCATTCACTGAAACAGTGTTGGTAAGAGCAACACATATGCATGAGTCTTCCTTGAAGGAAAGTGAAGCATAGGGACGTGGGTGACATTAATAGGGTCACTCAGATAATAACTGGTGGAACCATAAGTCAAACCCAGAAGTCTGACCCTACAGTCTCCATACTAACCATGCCACTGACCTGTAGTATATAAATACTCACTAGCCATTAAAAAGAATTATCCAACTTTGTGTTTACTAAGATGAAATGAGCTCCAATGTATACCATTACATAATCAATGCTAATGAATGCAAATAATCTAACAGAATCTACAGATAACACATTACAACTAATAAGTAAATATAGAAAATTTGCTGGTGACAAGGTCAATATATGAAAATTGTTTTTATTTCTATACACCAGCAACAACAATTACAAAATGAAATTTTAAAAAGATACCAGTTATAAGCACACAAAAAGTCAAATACATGGAAGTAAACTTAAAAATATATAATAATTCAAAGAAATTAACAAATCTGCCAGGACTGGTGGCTCATGCCTGTAATCCCAGCTACTTGGGAGGCTCAGGCAGGAGGACTGCTGGAGGCCAGAAGTTCAAGACCAGCTTGGGCAACATAGCATGATCCTATCTCTAATAAAAACAAGAAGAAAAAGAAAAAGAAATTACCCAGGTGTGGTGGCATTCGCCTGTAATCCCAGCTACTCTGGTTGCTGAGGTAGGAGGATGGCTTGGGCCCAGGAGTTCAAGGCTACTGTGAGCTATGATCATACCATTGCACTCCAGCCAGGGCAACAGAGCAAGACCCTGTTTCTAAAACAAAGGCAGAAAGAAAAGAAGTTTACAAATCTTAAATCCTAAATGAGTGTGTGTATAAATACATAGATATACCCATAAAAGATTAATAATTCAAATACAGTAACATTTTAAAATTCTACTTATCAGAAGACATCACTGAGAATATAAATGAAACCATGTAACAAGAAAAGACACTTGCAACACATATAAACAGCAAATTATTTGTATCTAGAATAAATAATCCCTTCAAATCAATAAGAAATGACACATAACTCAATCATAAAATGGGCAAAAAGAATATCCTTTCACAGAAAGGGATACAAATAACTACTAATGTGGAAGGTACTCACCCTCATTATTAATCTGGCAAATTTGAAATAAAATCTCAATGAGACACTATTAACCATGCATTATAAGGGCTAAAATTATGAAAGACTTACAACTACGTTTTGGTTGAGCATGTTAAGTAATAATAGGAACTCTCATCCAGGGCTCATGGGTATGCAAATTGGTACAATCACTTTGCAAAAACAGTACTTACTAAAGTTGATGTATAACCCAGCTATTCCACTCCTAGCATCTACTGAACAGCACTGCATGGACGTATGCACCTAAAGACACTTTCAAAATATTCATAGCAGCTTAATGTATTATAGCCTCAAACTGAAAACAGAAATCATCCACATTGAAGTGAGCAAATTACCAGGGGGACACTGACGTTAATGAAATACCATAGAGCAATAAAATGCACTACAGACAGCTATACTCACAAACATAATCTCACCAACAGAATTTTGAACCAAAATAGCCAGACACAAAAGAATATAATTCCAGTTATATAAACTTCAGAAATAGGCACACACAAAAAAATGATCTATGGTATTAAAACTCAGGAACGAGGAGAGAGAAGTGACTTATTGCAAGAGGCGCCAGGGCAGTAGTTTGGGGATGTGGCCATGTTCTATTTCTTGACCTGGGATGTGATTATGTTGGTGTTAGCTTTGATAGTTCTTTGGATTGTACATTTATATTTTGTCTACTTTTATATATGTTTATCATTCTTCAATAAAAAAATGTAAGAAAACAATATTCAAGACAGAATGTGTATTTTTCATATTGTCTGCCTGCATGTGCGTAGCTTATCTTTTTTTTTTTTTTTTTTTTTGATGGAGTCTCGCTCTGTCACCGAGGCTGGAGTGCAGTGGCACAATCTCAGCTCACTGCAAGCTCCGCCTCTCAGGTTCATGCCATTCTCTTGCCTCAGCCTCCCAAGTAGCTAGGACTACAGGCGTCCACCACCACGCCCGGCTAATTTTTTGTATTTTTAGTAGAGATGGGGTTTCACCATGTTAGCCAGGATGGTCTCCATCTCCTGTCCTCGTGATCCACCCACCCTGGCCTCCCAAAGTGCTGGGATTACAGGCGTGAGCCACTGCACCCGGACAGCGTAGTTTATCTAGATGTACAGTCAAACACTGTTTAATGATGGGGATACATTCTGAGTACGGCATCATTAGCCATTTTCCTCATAGTGTGACTATCATAGGCTGTACTCACACGGACTGAGTTGGTACAGCCTACTACACACCTAGGCTGTGTGGTATAGCCTATTGCTCCTAGGCTACAAACCTGTACAGCCTGTTACTATAATGAATACTATCAGCAACTGGAACAAAATGGTAAGTATTTGCATAGCCTAAACCTGACTAACCATAGAAAAGGTACAATAAAAATATAGTATAAAAGACAAAAATAGTATAGCTGTATAGGGCACTTGCCATGAATGAAGCTTGTGGGACTGAAAGTTGCTCTGGGTGAGTCAGTGAAAGTGGTGAGTGACTGTGAAAACCTAGGACATTACTGTACACTACTGTAGAATTTATAAACACTGTACACTTAGGCTATAGTTAATTTATAAAACAAAAATTTATTTCTTTAATAAAAAAGTAAACTTATCTTACTGTAACTTTTTTACTTTATAAACTTTTTAATGTTTTACCTTTTTGACTCCTGTAATAACAAAGCTTAAAACAAACACATTGTACCACTATACAAAATATTTTCTTTCTTTATTCTTTATATTCTTATTCTATAAGCTTTTTCTATTTTTAAATTTTTTGTTTTAATTTTTCACTTTTTAAATGTCTTTGTTAAAAACAAAGACACAAACACACAAATTAGCCTATGCCTACACAGGGTCAGGATCATCAATATCACTGTCTTTACCTCCACATCTTGTCCCACTGGAAGGTCTTCAGGGGCAACAAGAAGCATGGAGCTGTCATCTCCTAGGATACTAACGCCTTCTTAAGGAATACCTCCTTGTCTTTGTTTTGTGTTGCTATAAAGAAAAACCTGAGGCTGGGTCATTTATAAAAAAGAGGTTTATTTGGCTCGTGGTTCTGCAGGCTGTGCAAGAGGCATGGCGTCAGCATCAGCCTGCTTCCACTCATAGTGGAAGGCGAAAGGGAGCTGGTGTGTGCAGAGATCATATGGTGAGAGAGGAAGCGAGAGGAGGTATGGAGGCCTCAGTCTCTTTTTTTTGTTTGTTTTTTTTGTTTGTTTGTTTTTGAGATGGAGTCTCGCTCTGTTGCCAGGCTAGAGTGCAGTGGCGCGATCTCGGCTCACTGCAACCTCCGCCTCCTGGGTTCAAGCCATTCTCCTGCCTCAGCCTCCCGAGTAGCTGGGACTACAGGTGAGCGCAACCACACCCAGCTAATTTTTGTACTTTTAGTAGAGACGGGGTTCACCATGTTGGCTAGAATGGTCTCGATCTCTTGACCTCATGATCCGCCCCCCTCGGCCTCCCAAAGTGCTGGGATTACAGGCATGAGCCACCGTGCCTGGCTGTCAGTCTCTTTTTAACAACCAACTCTCATGGGAACTAATAGGCTGCGAACTCACTCACTCCCGTGACCCGTCCCCATGACCCGAATTCAAACGTTTCCCATTAGGCCCCACCTCCAACGTTGGGAATAAATTTTCAAGGTGAGATTGGGAGAGAACAAACATCAAAACTATAGCACTCCTGAAGGATCTGCCCGAGACTATTTTACAGTTCAGTTGTTTAATACTCAGGAGAGTGCACTTTAAAATAACAATAAAAAGTATAGTATAGTAAATACATAAACCAGTATCATTATCAAGTATTATGTACTGTACATAATGTGTGTGCTATACTTTTTATGCAAATGGCTTGTTTACACAAGCATCACCACAAATACATGAGTGATGACTGCATTGTGCTAAGATATTAGGATAGCTAGGACATCACTAGGCAATAGGGATTTCTCAACTCCATTATAATCTTATTGGACCATCTCATATACGTGGTATGTCAATGTTATATGGTGCATGAATGTATTACATAACTAATAATAGTGACATTTGAGAATAATAAAGACGAGGGACAGGGCTGGAAGGATGTAGTGGATACTAGATATTTTTGGCTGTCCAATGTGTTTGAAAATTATCCCTACATTTAGGCGATTTCTCACTTTGTATTTCAAGCTACAAAGCTTGCCTGTCCAGATTTAATGGTCATATTATGTTAGTTTCCAATTCAGACTCTCCAATCATCTTGGAGAATCCTTTAGGTATCTTAGATACCTAAAATTCATCCCTTTTCTCTGTTAAGAACCAGAGTGGTGTCTGTTTTGTGTTGGGGGAAATAGTATTAAAAACAAAATCTCCTACCAACCCAGAAAAACTTGCTATATAGGTAGAAGAGAAAGAAGACAATTTTATCGTCGAATGAGCATTAAACCAGAATGTGATGTGCATTCCACAAAATCTGCTAAGGGATTGCAAAAACAGAAGGAAACCTCACCCGTTTATATAGCCAAGTCCTCAAGTTAGAGGACTTGACAGCACCATTTGTCACATGTAATTCATCCTAAATTCACTCGATATTTGGGATGATCATTTGTGTGACTTAATTGGATTTATCCAATTGAGAAGTAAACTCGTCTTTATGACAAGAGGTAGTTTTGCAACTTGGAGTGAGATGTTCAGTGGAGTTAGGCTCCTACCCTCCCACAGAAACTGGGAGGTGGGGTGCTTTTTTGCTTAATAATTAAATTTAAAAGAGGTGATTCCTGGTCCTTGAGAAAGACATTTCTGCATTGTAAAGCTGGTCAGAAGCTTATTTAGCTTTAAAAAATTTTTCCATACATTTCAGAGACCAAGAAATGACATAATTACAAGTTTCCTAAAGTAAACGCTCTAAGAAAAGGTAAGGGAGACATTCTCTTGCTTTTAAGAGGGGAATTAAGCTTCTAACTTCAATTTTTATTTGTCCTTACATTAGCAACTTAAAAACCTGGTGAATGAAGAGATAAACTATATTTAATAATATAACCTCTTACACATTTTGAATTTTTTTACTATGCCCATATATTATCACGTATATACATATATTTCTATTTGTACATTTGTATATACACATATATAAGTATATGTGTGTATTTTTTTAAGAGAAAACTAAAGTAGAAATGCTCATTCAGTTCAGAGATATGGAGAGTTAAAAAAACTCAGTTTAATTATTTCCAGTGCAATACCTATTAGTACTGCAACTATTTTCTCCATTCAAATGGCAATACTGAATCAGGCTAAATTCCTAGTAGCAATTCAGAGGTAAATTAATACTTGTTAATTCAACAAAGTGCTGTAATGAATCACAGGGTTGAAGGGTGGCGGTGGGGGTTGGGGGCAGGGATTTGGATTTGTGGCTGCAATAGCACCTCCAATTTTGTCATCACTGTGTTTAAACAGCATTTTAATATTTTGAAACTCAGCATCTCCATTTAAAAAATACAGTAAGTCTAATTGCCAGCCTCATCAGGGTCTTACCTGGTTGATTAAACCTTATTGAAAGGTCTAGCGGGGGATTTCCAAGCTACTCGGTTGTCTAATAAGCTTGTATTAAGTGATTCCTCTCACAGTACAAGCAATTCAGAGACATAAGGGACCTAGTTAGGGCATAGTATTAAAGTGTCTGGTGAGTTTCTTAATTAAAAAAAAGAATCTACAATAAGTCAAGATATTAATAATTGTTTAAAACACCACCCTTACTTCACTTAAAAAAAGCTAATAATCTATACATGAATTTTGAATATTTTTATGGCTATGTATTTTATTAATAATTATTTTCAAACAAATATAAAATAGCATGTGAAATATAGTTCTTCACCCGGGGTCACCAAAATCCTGATAAAAATAAGAGTGAAGCAAGTGAGACATAAACGAATTTTTTTATTCTTGCCTTTACCTATGATGGCATTTAAACAATACCAAAAAAAGTTTTCATGGAAAACACCCTACATCATGGCCATCCATTATGCCAAATTAAATATATGTAAATTTGCTTTTCCTATTTCTCATGTGAAATATCCCAATATGCCCCAGTATCCAGGCTCATCTAAATCGTAAAACCCTTAAAAAGTCAGATTAAATTCCACCTCTTCTTTTTTTTTTTTTTTTGAGACGGAGTCTCGCTCTGTCACCCAGGCTGGAGTGCAGTGGCTCAATCTCGGCTCACTGCAACCTCCGCCTCCCGGGTTCAAGCAATTCTCTGCCTCAGCCTCCCGAGTAGCTGGGATTATAGGCACCCACCACCACAACCGGCTAATTTTTGTATTTTTAGTAGAGTCGGGATTTCACCATCTTGGCCAGGCTGGTCTTGAACTCCTGACCTCGTGATCCATCTGCCTCGGCGTCGCAATGTGCTGGGATTACAGGCATGAGCAACCGCGCCCGGCCCAAATTCAACCTCTTCTAAGTAAATATCTATACTTTGTCCAACTCATAGGACTTGTTCTCCAAAATGACACACAATCATTAGTCTAAACCTCACAATTTAGAAATCATTGCCCATGGTCTGGCACTATTCTATAACTGTTTTATTTTCCAGAATAGATTTTAAGTTCCTAGAAGCCTTTTCTCAATCATCTGTTCACAGGTAAACTATTCCAAATTGATGGAATCCTTCAAACACCATGATGATATTCTTATTAAGCCTCTTACATCCTCTGCATTCTTCTCATGTTGGATTCTAATACCCGCCTTAGGAATGCTGGTCCCTATTCTATTGATTGTAATTTCATGCTTGTTTTTAGAGTTGGAGCAAACACTAGGGTCAAATTCAGCTTTTGAATTTCATCTTATTTTCACTTCCATAGGTAGTAATTTATTCACATTCATTTCTCATTTGGAGTTTTTTGTTGTTTGCTTATTTTCCTATTGCAGTTTGTTTTTCTTTCCCAGGAATATTTATTCTTAGTGAACCTCAGATAGTTATTTTATTATTGTGGTTCCAGTTTCCAAGGGTCATTTTATACTCATTCTATTGCTAAAATTCACCTCTTATGAAATGTCACAGGGAAGAAGAGTTTGAATGGGTAAAACAGATAGAAGACAAAGTACCAGGATCAGATTAAATGCATTTAAGAAATCTGAAGAAATTCAAGGGAAAAACAGAAAAAAGTATTAGCAAAAACACATAACCTGCCATTGTGAGGGGTGACTGTGGCAAGGCACTTGAAATTGCCAAGAGAATTACCAGTCATGTCTCAGCCCTGCCTCCTGTGGTTGTCAAAATAAGGGTCCAGGACAGCTAGACTGCTGCACCCTTTCAGCAAACAGTAGAATCTGTTCAAGCAGTGTATCTATACCCTAGGCCTGAATCTGAATATGGTCTTGATTCTGTAAGTCTGTTCCTGAACTCAGTCTCCCCCTCCACCCCTTGCTCCAAGCTTCAGCAGACAATCAGATTTCAATCCCTCACTCTCTACGAAGGTCTTTCATGAATCATCTCTTAGAAATTGATGCTTCAAAAAGGGAGGTGGACTGTCTTTCAATTATCATCAGGCAATCAAATTTCACCCCTAAGACCACCACTATCACCACAATTGCCACCACACTACCTGTTATTTGAAAGGTTTAGTAGCCATTGAGGAGAGTTGTGAATTGTGAGAATTCTTGATGTCTCCTCCCCATAATGTCCTTCCTACATCAATTTTACAAAACTAAAGATAGCTGATTCATGTCTTTGGCACAAACACCTACCAAATCTGTAGCAGTTCATGTAGGGTTTAGCAAATTCACTTATTTTAATTATTCTTGCCTCTCTCTTCCTGTTTTTGTTTTATTTTGTCTCTTTGTTGTTGCTTTTGTTTTGATTGTTCTTTTGTTTTGATTTCTCCATTGCATATGCCCTATGAGTTTGTTAAACCTCTGTATCACTTATGCAATATTGCTTTTGTTTAATGTGATAATGTTATTTTGACCAAAATAACAGAAAACTGTGGGTCAGAATTCTACTTATCAAATATAAATAAATTTCTATTCACCAAATGTCTGATGCAGTGTTAGTCCTCAAAGATGCAGGGATAATCAAGAATCATCCCACCAACAAAGGACTTCATAGCTGAGTACCGCAGTTTGATCCATAGACAAGCCATTCTAACCACAGTGCAATGAGAAACCCACACACTGGGTGACAGTGCAGAAAGATTTGTCAAAACAAACTGAGAGAACACTTCCCGGAAAAGGTGATAGTTCAATAGAGTTTTAAAACATTGATAGATGAATAGGGGACATTAGCTATTTCAGCAAGAGAAAAAAAGAGTAGATAAAAGTCAAAGGTAAGAAAAAGCTGTAAGAATGTTTCTTACTATTGATTAATACACTGCAAACTTTTGATGCTTCTCCCTGAATTGTTTTTATCTACCACTCAATTTCAGTGTAAGACTACTCCCCCCAAAAAAGAAAGAAAAAATTAAAAAGGAAATTGTCCTCCTGTTGATGTAATAAGTCACAAATAAATAAAGTTATTATGTGTTACAAGATAGATAACGAAGTAGGTAGAAAACTTATAAATGTCAACTCTGGAAATATTCTGCCTTTACAACAATTAAATAATGTCACAAAACAAATACAAAATTATTTAAAAGGTTCATAGTTGTTTTGTTTTGTTTTTTCTAAAAACTAGTACCTTACCAAATCTCTTGTCCTACAAAGATAGCGAAGGATACATGTCTTGCTATTTCTCCTTGGAAGAGACATCTTGCTCGAATTTGATTTGTATATGAATGAAACATTCAATGTGCTAATTTTCTGGTTAATATTCCCCTTTGGCACGTACCAGCAAAGGATAATTGGCAGTAATGTGATTTAAACTTACTTGAATTTGTAGCTGTTAATTGAACCTTCACTTTTAGTAACTCTGCATCACAGCATAGAAATAAATTTATTCACAGAAGATGTTCCCAAATCTCCTTCTGAAGAGATAACCATCAGACTCGGAAAGTTTCAGTATCCTCCCTTCCATCTGGAATCAAGGGGATCAACTCTAAATAACTTCTAGTATTATCTTCTAATCTCACGAGTTGATGATTATGGAATGGGCTACTTACCTATTTATCTCTCAAAGAAAGGAGAGCGCAGAACAAGGCAAGAAGGAGTCATTAATCCAAGGAAGGGACTTTGAAATAATTTCAGTGAATGATGAACACAGTCAAGAGGTGATTTTAAATTGTAATGATGGAGAAAGGAATCAGCTGATGCAGATTTTAGAAGTTGTACCAGGAACAATAATGAGAAAAGAGGATACTTAATCACATTCACAAAAGAATTATAGGAATACATAATTAAAGCAATGATAATGAGTAATAAAACTCTTGGTGAGATATCTTTCAAATATCACTAGAAGTAGAGTACGAAGCAAAAAAGTCTTCTGTGTCAGTGATGTAGATTTTGCATGAAAGTTCGAGAAGACACTTGGTAAAGTGAGAAAAATTTTCCTAGAGCTAAATGTAAATGGACATTGGGTATGTGATAGAAGGGTTTAACAAATGCTTAGGGTGTACACTGTGCAAAGACACAAAGCAAAAAGAACAAGACAATTTAACATTTTAACATATTCTAAAAATAGGGGAGTAAAAACTAGGGTTTTATACATAAAGATGATGAAAAATTGCAAAAAGAAAAGCAAATGTCCTTGGAAAATGCAAATGTTAGCATGGTGAAACAACAGAAAAGATTTCAAGGATTGGAGAAAAAAAGGAGAATAGGTAAATTTGTAAATAGAAGCATTATTAGATGCATAAGCAGAATCATGACAATGAATGAAATACACTGCAGGAAATCATCCTGGCCAAGCGATAAGTTCTCTGAAACTAAAACTCAAATTTATATTACACAAAGGAAAGTGAGGACAAATTAAAAATAAGGTTTATAAGCATCCAGAGACCACATATAATGTACACAATAATTAGCAAAATGCTAAGGAAATAAAATTATAGACAAAATGATAGGCAGATAAAGAGCTGATTGTTACATATATAAGCATATGTATAATTAGTTACGTACATGTGTATATCAGTAAGACAATTTATTAATAATCATCCCTGATGGCCTATATGTATGTATGTGTATGTATTTTGAATCCTTCTTTGAATCAGTCTTAATGTCTTATTGGTTCTCTCATGAATCAGTAAGTCAAATAAAATATTCAGCATGTATTCTTTTTATATTTTTGTGAGAGTCATACTCATTCTTTTAAAATATTTTAGTTTATCTTTTGAACATCTATAATACATATTTCAGTATATACTATAAGGAGCAACACACAAGAAAAAAAAATGCCATGTCTGTACGTAGGTATGTATATATGTATGTATATAGAGAATATAATATTTTACATACATATATACACACATCGTATGACATTTAAATAAGAATTAAATAGTTACATAGCACTATTTATTAAACAATAGTACATAGCACTAACCAGCTGCTCTATACATTAATTCATTTAATTATTGCAATTACCCTATAAAGTAGATGTGAGGTACATACCACTAGGACCACATTTTAGAAATGGGGAAACAGAAAAACAATGAGCAAACATGATTACACAAACAAAGTGGCAAAGCTAAGATTCTGAACCCATGACATTTGGCTCCAATGGTGTCACTCTTAATCTTACCCAAAATTCTTTCTCACTTTCTGTTGTATAAAAATAGCTGTGCATAGGCATACAACATTCCCTTTAAAGGAAATTAACAAATATTTTTAAATAAATATATGAAAGAGGAAATCTAGAATGTTAGATCTTAAATTGTATTTTCTTTCCTCTCCCCAAAATGAATTAAGTGTGATTGCAGGCTTCACATAAATTTGAACACTGACAGCAAAGCAATTGCAAACAGCAGCTTAACAGGTGAGAGACTACTTAGTCAAACTCCATGCTTACAGGTAATCTAGACTTGATGAAGTTTACCCCAGCGCACTCAGAAACTACTGATTCAATCTCACTGCCATTACCTCCTATATTTAAAGACTCGTTGAGGAATCATAAGATCCCAGAAGTCTGAGCAAATACAAACATATTTACAAAAATAAATGAATAACATCTTTATTAGGAATTGCAGACTAGTAGACCCAAGGAAGGATCTGGAAGGATTCTGCAGCAACAAATAAAGGGATCAGTGCCCAGGACTTAACCAATTATGGGGTGATGAGAAGGAATAAATATATATTCATCAAAATAATAATTTGCTAAATTCCTCCTTCTTTGAAGCAAAAACAGACTTTGTAAATATGTTGGGGACTGTTGAGGAGGATAGGTGGGGTAAATATGGGTGAAATGTTTAACTCTAATCCTATTTCTAACATTTCCTCACATATCAGTTTCCCAGGAAAATGTTTTAATTTCACCTTCTTATGCTTGTATGACGAACATAACTGACCCTGGATTTGAGCAACCTGGAAGTATAGGAACCATGCCAATATACACTGTATTACAGTTGTGTCCATACTCAAACTTACGAGGAAAGTAACTTCTTAGATACAGAAATAGAAAATTGAAAAAATAAGCTCCAATTCTGTCTTTCCTGGTGCCACCTTAGCTCAGCCAATCTGGGCTTCTATTTCTAACTAAACAATGGATGTCTTTCCTCATTATTTTAAGTGAAATTGTTTTGTTGTTAATCACAACCATCCTTTTTTTCTTTTTCAGTTTCCTTCCCAGTTCCTTTTGCCCAGAGGCTTCAGTTTCACTCATTTTTTTTTTAATAAATCCAACATTTCTTGTTAAACAATGTGGCACATTTGCACATCAACTAAAGCTTCCACTCGGTTCTGAGGAGAAGGTGTGCTGGGACGGTCCCCTTCTAAAGCTAGTCTAGGACTGGAGGGGGAGGGAACTCAACAATGATACTGTTAATATCAATGTGCCTGGAGTAAATGATTAAAAGTCGGCCAACGAAAACTTCAGGAAACTGAAATCAGAGGTTGGTTTTTCTCTTCATCTCTAGGAATTCAGTTATATCCCATCTTTTTTGATGTATTGAAAGTTTTTTTAATGTATGTTTCCTGCTCCTGTTATCCATGAAACATGATATTTTTATTAACTTATTGATTTATGTCCTGTTGAGGACATTTCCAAAGTGACTGCTTATTGCTGCTTATCATCTTCAAATCCTGTTATTTATACTTTCTTGGACTTTGCTTTGGGAAAGGAAACAGCTGCTACAAATGAATAAAGTTAGCCTTAATGTCTCATTTATGATCCAATATTATTTATCTGTCAAACCCATCTATTTAAATCAGGTGATAGCTACCAAAGTTATCCAACAATGCAAGCAAAATGTCATTTGTGCTACTCACTAAGATTAAAGACTTCGAAAAGTCCTTTCTGAGATAAACACAGCTGATGGCTATGTGATTATTTGGTTTTCCCAAAGCACAGCAACAAATTAGGGTGGAGAGGTTAGGTAGAATATATTGACAAATGCAAAAAGTGACATCTGATGAGTGAGAATATAGACAGGAAAAAATTTATATATATATATATATATATATATATATGTAAAGATCATATGCACATACATTAAAAGGTAAAATATCCAAGGCTATTTAGTATTTATTAATAATTTGCTCTCTAGATGTTCTGCAAGTTATTCAAGACAACTTGAAATAAAAGATCAAGGCATACAGTGGGCATCTCACAGGTATACCATAAACCAGGCAGTGCAGAAACATCATATTAAAATAGGAAGAAGCAGAAGAAAGCAAACATACTGATGTGGTCAGTTACTGTGAATGGTATTAATATTACCTTCAAATGTTTTCAAAACCTGAATAAGAAAAATAATGTGAGAAATATAAGCCTCAAAATTTTTAAAAAGAAATAATAGTCAACATTTACAATGTTTTCTTACTATTATAAGTTATTTTCATATATTAATTTAGTCAAAGCTCAAGAAGTGCTTATGATTATAGCCCCGTTTTCTTTTTTAATTTTATTTTTTAGAGACCAATTCTCCCTGTGTTGCCCAAGCTGGTCTTCAGCTCCTGGGCTCAAGGGATTCTCCCACCTCAGCCTCCTGAGTAGCTGGGATTACAGAGGCACTAGACAATGTGCCCAGCTTAGCCCCATTTAAAAGATAAGAAAACTGAAGCACAGATATCCTAAACAAATCGCCTGAGGTCACTCAGAGGGTAACTGATGGAAACACGGTTCAAACCTGGATAGGCAGAGTTGTGAATTCATAATAATATGAATTCCTTAAGAGGGACAAAGCTTTTCTAAAAGAAGTTTATTAACTGAGTTCTTACATAAAGAACGCGCAGAAATATGTTGGTCACTTTTTTTAAATAGGGGATGCCTTTAAAATGTGTACCAGGATTTTTTTTGTTTAATGGCCTAAGAACCCAACAATAAAGCCTAACTCTGTGAGGCAATTTTGGTAGCAGGTAAGCTGATTTGTTCAGACATCTGTTCGACATATTTGACAAGTCACTGATAGGGAACACAAAATGAACAGGATCCCTGATCTCAAGAAGGCTGCAGGCCCTTACGGATCAAAACGAAGCAAACGAAAGGACACTGGAGTGCAATAGATGCTAGAATAAATGCAGATTTTACATATGCAATGAAAGAGGAGAGGTAAATTTACTCGGGGGTGGGTCAAGACAGGTTTTACTGAAAAGCGATGTATAATGTGCATAATAAAAGGTGAACTGGAATGCAAACAAAATTTAAAAGCAGGAAAAGAGGATCTAAGGAAATGTACTTAAGGCGATATAAAGTCTTTAAGAACTAGAAAACTATGTGTTTAGAGGCCTAAAGTTAGTGAAGTTTGGATACCTAATTTTCTTCTATTTTAATTCTATTTCAGTAGAAGCTTAAACTTTCATCAAATCCATATGGTGTGATTGTGGAAAGTACATGTTCTTCAACCATTCTTTAAACGTACTCCTTCAGAGTCCGTTGCAGTGGAGCCTACAGAACCGCCTTTTTTAATATGCTTCGTGGGTGGCTTTATGTGCAGGGACATTTGAGCATGATAGAGATCATTTTAGTTGAGAATGTTTTTGAGGTTTTACCAGGCTCTCACTTCAATCAAAGATCATCTCTTCTGTGGAATGCTGTATTAGATTTAGGGTAACATTGCCTCAACATTGCACCTAGAGAATTCAGTTAACACCAAAATATGCATGCATGTAATTGAACAAATTGGCCTGTTAAGTGCAATTTTTAATAATGATTATTTGCAATTATAATTTGGAGAACATCTGTAAAAACAAAACCAATAGTTTTAACATTGTATAATGGTATGCTGTTCTTTATGATAGTTATTAGATAGCATGGTCAGTTGAGTCGAAAGTTATCTCCTCTGTTCTGAGGACAAAGTCTCATCATTGGAGACATGTAATATCAAGATATGCATGTGGTTGTTCCTATGTTTTACTTGATCATTCAGCATTATTCTTTACCTGTGGTTGGACGCCAGCCTGGCATCAGCTTGTTGAGAGAGCACAAAAGAGAATCAAATTGAATTTTCATTGAAAATGATAGTACACTAGATTTTTTCTTTTAGAATCTGTTGTACCATGCAACAAAGTTCCAATAGAAAATAATTATAGATATGTATTTTTATTACCTTCAATAATCATAGTTGGATGAATGTTCAGATAGATCTCCCTCGTTGAAAATACTATGTAATAAAATTCAGGAGCAGAAAAGGGTGACTCTCCATAATTCTACAATGTTCTTCCACCTACTCCCCTTCACTCACAATTTTTCTGTATATTAGAAAAGCAGAGTGGCACTGGGGTGCTGCAGTCACTCAGACTGACTCAGGACAGGCAATAATGAAATATTTGACAATTTTGTAGCCGCTTTTTAAATCATTCGTAGCTTAAATTTAGCCACAGTGGGAGTACTTACATCACAAAAGTCAGCAGATGTGGCAAAGCACTAATTTTTTTTTTTTTTTTAATTTTACGAGCTGGTTTACCAGCACACCACAGCTATAGAATTGAAAAACAGGACTTCAAGTTTGGAGGACATAAGCTTAAATCCTTACTTTGCAATCACAACTTACATTAATTTAGATAACCTTTCTGAACTTCAGTTTAACTTTTCTCTGATAGAGATAAAGTTACTTACTTTGATAGAGAATTAAGTTGATATAAAATAACTTTTAGTTAAAGCACTTTATCATTTTTAAACTACACCTAATATATCATACTAGCCTTGTAAATTGTGCCCCTTGTGTTTTAATATAATAAATATTCTGTTGAAACTGAAATTGAAATTACCATGGCCCTTATTACCAATAATTTTTCAGATTAGAAAAAGATAATTCCCTCAAAGCATTCTTTAGAATGTCAGACTCCTTATGCAATTACAAAATAACACAGTCTGAAGAAAAATTATTCGAAGAGAAGTTTCAGTAGAGGCCACAAATTCAAACAACAAAATCTTGCCTTCAAACAAATGAAAGAATGACTAATTTTTTAAAGGTTAATTGCAAAGTAAATAACTGTCTTAGTCTGTGTTTTGCTGTTGTAACAGAATACTGCAGAGTGGATAATTTATGAAGAAAAGAAATTTATTTGGCACATGGTTCTGGATGCTAGGACATCCAAGAGCATGGCCCTGGCATCTGGTGAATGGCACCCCATGGCAGAAGGGTGGAAGGCACCCTTCCACAAGATAGAGAGATAAGTCCACCTTGCACTTTTATTAGGAGCCCACTCCTGTAATAACTGACCCACTGCTTCCATCGGGGCATTAACCTTTTCATGAAGGTGGAGCCCTCATAAGCTAATCACCTGTTAAAAGCCCCACCTCCCAATACTGTTACATTGGCAATTAAATTTAACATGTGTTTTGGTGGAGACATTCAAACCACAGCAGTAACCAATCATGAATACTTAATCTTTTTTATTTCTCCTAAGAAAGTGTATCTTCTTTACTCTATGATGTGATGAGTGGTTAAGCTGTCCTGTTATTTAAGTTCTTAAACTTAAATTTTAAATTTTCTTAAACATTAATTTTTAAGTTCTTAAATTTTTAAGAACTTGATAGTACATAGTGGTATTGATTTTTTTAAGTAGAAATTTGTGAAAAGTTCATGGATGCATACTGTAGCTCCATAACAGCAGAAAATATGTATGACTAGATATTAAAATATTGAATGTAATGTTATGAAAGAATCAAAGGTGTTTAAAGACACCTCCTTCCACACTGAGAAATCAATTAGCAGCACTGTCCAATAGAACTTTCTGCGATGATGGAAATGTTTTAGACCTATACCGTTCAATCGGGAAGCCAGCAGCCACAGGTGATTCTTGAGCACTTAAAATGGGAAAATGAGAAAACGAACTTTTTATTTTATTAAATTTAATGAATTTAAATTTAAACCTAAGTAGTTACATGTGGCTAGTGGCTACTATCCTAAAAGTATAGACTACACATCTTATATGTGTTCATACTTGTGTTTGTGTGTATAGCGATTGTTAGAAAGAATAAATGGAGTAAGCTATACTTGCAGCATTTATTTAAGAGGCTAAAAACCTCCCATATCTCCTCCTCATTTTAAAGCTATGTAAGAGTCATGAATCACATCTCCTGCGGCACCTGATTTTGTTTTTATGCTGTAAAACTGAAAAGAAATTACTTTTCAAGCTTGGTAAGGGGCTTACTGAAAGGTGACAGCGTGCTGGCAGCCCTCACAGCCCTCCCCTGCTCTCAGCACCTCCTCGGCCTTGGCGCCCACTCTGGCCACGCTTGAGAAGCCCTTCAGCCCACCGCTGCACCGCGGGAGCCCCTTTCTGGGCTAGCTGAGGCTGGAGCCAGCTCCCTCAGCTTGCCAGGAGGCGTGGAAGGAGAGGTGCGGGCCGTGACGCCAGGGTTGCCCGTGACGTTTGCGGGCCAGCGCCAGTTCCAGGTGGGTGTGGGCTCCGAGGCCCTGCACTCAGAGTGGTCAGCAGGCCCAGGCAGTGAGGGGCTTAGCACCCCGGCCAGCAAGCAGCTGCGGAGGGTGCACTGGGTCCCCCAGCAATGCCCGCCCACCAGCGCTGCGCTCGATTTCTCTCCTGGCCTTAGCTGCCTCCCCGGAGGGCAGGGCTCCGGACCTGCAGCCCGCCATGCCTGAGCACCCCCCACCCCCCCACCGTGGGCTCCTGTGCCGCCAGAGCCTCCCTGAGGAGTGCCGCCCCCTGTTCCGCCGTGGCGCCCAGTCCCATCAACCGCCCAAGGACTGAGGAGTGCCGGCACAAGGTGCGGGACTGGCAAGCAGCTCCACCTGTGGCCCTGGTGCGGGACCCAGTGGGTGAAGCCAGTTGGGCTCCTGAGTCTAGTGGGGGCTTAGAAAACCTTTATGTCTAGCTAAGGGATTGTAAATACACCAATCAGCACTCTGTATCTAGCTCAAGGTTTGTAAACACACCAATCAGCACCCTGTGTCTAGCTCAGGGTTTGTGTATGCACCAATCCGCCCTCTGTATCTAGCTAATCTGGTGGGGACTTGGAGAATCTTTATGTCTAGCTAAGGGATTGTGAATACACCAATCAGCACTCTGTATCTAGCTCAAGATTTGTAAATGCACAAATCAGCACTCTGTGTCTAGCTCAGGGTTTGTAAATACACCAGTCAGCACTCTGTATCTAGCTAATCTAGTGGGGAAGTGGAGAACTTTTGTGTCTAGCTCAGGGATTGTAAATGCACCAATCAGCACCCTGTCAAAACAGACCAATCAGCTCTCTGTAAAATAGACCAATCGACTCTCTGTAAAATGGACCAATTAGCAGGATGTGGGTGGGGCCAGATAAGAGAATAAAAGCAGGCTGCCCGAGCCCCCTGTAGCAATCTGGTGGCGTCCCGTTTTACAGTGTGGAAGGTTCCTTCTTTTGCTCTTTGCAATAAATCTTGCTACTGCTTACTTTTTGGGTCTATACTGCCATTATGGGCTGTAACACTCCCTGCAAAGGGCTGCAGCTTCCCTTCTGAAGCCAGTGAGACCATGAAGCCACTGGGAGGAACAAACAACTGCAGACGTGCCACCTAAAGAGCTGTAACACTCACCGCGAAGGTCTGCAGTTTCACTCCTGAGCCAGCAAGACCACGAACCCACCAGAAAGAAGAAACTCCAAACACATCCGAACATCAGAAGGAACAATCTCCGGACACGCTGCCTTTAAGAACTGTAACACTCACTGTGAGGGTCCTTGGCTTCATTCCTGAAGTTGGTGAGACCAAGAACCCACCAATTCTAGACACATTACTACATTTAATATTTGTTGTATAATTAATGGCCTTAGGTAAACGGTAAACATATAATGTTCTATTTTCTCAATATTTAAATAGTTGTGTCTCTAAAAAAAAGTAATGTAAAATCTATTTCAGAAGCCAGTGTAAGAAACCATTTTAAACTCTCCTGTTTGTAACTTACTTTCTTTTTACCATTTAATAAATAGAAGTTATTTCTTCTTTAACTCCAGTCTTTTGACTCCTTCATGTTATTCATAGTAGATACCATTTTTAAACTAAAATGAATACAATCTATCACAGAATTTTTAGTGTAATAATTCAGTTTTTCTTTTTACACTATCAGCTGAAGATGAGTAAATACCTTTATTTCTTTTGTATTCACCAAAATAATGTGTTTACCCTAAATGACTTGTAACAAGGTGCAAGATACCTAAATAAATGCATTATTTAAAAATCTTGACATCTGTTAAAAAATAGAACATTTTTTAAAAATCAAATGTCAATATGTTAAGAGAAATGAGGTTATCAAGGTTCAATATATGATGGTTTTTTTCTTCCTTGACATTTAACCCATCATATTAAAAGCTTCTTCAAAGGAAAGAAATATCAGCTTGTCACCTGGAGATTGAAATTGAGCTGCTCTAAGACAAACTGCTGTTCCTTCCCTATGATGAAATTCATAGGATGGACAAAAATGTCAGGATAAAAATAGGCCACCTGGGAAAAAAAGCCATCAGGAGAAGAACTGTAGCTATTGTTATAATTACAACTAAAAATCATTTAAAAGCCAGTTATTTTTCCCTAGTAGCACATGAAAGAACGTCTAACACATTGATTTATATTGTTAAATACTTAGGTGAGAAGAAACTGTGATAAGACTATGCTTATGGCAGTCTGTGGATTTAATGTTAATAAAAGATGAATCATGGATAACATGGTATTTTAAAGAATGGCAAATATTTTAATTCATAATATACAAAGGACATACCACAAGCTGGCATTTTCAAACTCCAGGATAACAAAAAGGAATATCTATATCAATATTAAATACCATGCAAGATATTGAGAGGTTGGATGCCAAAATATACATATCTTATTAGGAAAATCTCCAAAAATGTAAGAGTGACAGAACACTAAATAAATCTAATGAGAATTAATAACTTGCATTTTCCCATAATGTAAAACTTATCTTGAATAAGCACTTAGAAAATATTATTACTCCTAAAAAGTATTCCCCCAAAAAACTGAATACTGTTAAATATCAGCTTTTTCTCCTTCTGTGAAATGGAAGAACATGAATTTGTGAAGGTTTCATTAAATTTAAATACTGTTAGCTACTGCTCACTCCATATTATTAATTGCTCAGTTTTGAATGTTACATGCTAAGAAAACTATTAGCTACTCTTATGGATACTTTATCATGTAAGACATATTACATGCTTATCTAATGAGATTTTAATCCTTGGGAAGTCAATACAGGAATCAGTCATATTGGATTTTACTTAACAATTTTAACATCACTTTTTAAAAAAACATTTTTAATTATTTAGGAAAAATTATATAGGATACCTAACTTTAACTTTATTCTACACTGCTTTTCCAATCAATATTTCTCCTATAGACAAATAATGCAAGGAGAGAAGTTCAAATGATGTATGGGCCAAAATCCAGTCTGACTTTGAAGAAAATAAATAACCCTCAAAGTGTAGTACACCTGGTACCTGAGATTGGCAAAACAGTCCTTAATTTTATAAATGTGTTGAATCTGAATGTCAACAGAAAAACAGGGAGTGTGGGGAGGGAGTGCTTAATGGATTGTTTTGGATTGTCCATAAAATATGTTACAGAAAGTCACCAACTCCTCAGAAACAAATTAGTTTCATGCAGTGAAAATATTGGCAAGTAATAGAACAAAATGGCACACTTGAAGTTGACAGAAATGTTTTACATACTCATTGTGTATTGGATAGCATTGTAAAAACACACAAATTGCCTTCACCATACATTATCAATTCCATATTCAAAAATGCCTAATATTTTAAATCTTCACATACAGAAAATGTGAAGAAACAATGCTCAACAGTCTACTGTTTGTAAAGGGATTTCCTAAAAAGAGATTGATAGTAGAATAGGACCTGTCTGCATGATCAATTTTCCTGTGCATTAAAATAAAATTTCATTTAATTTTTACCCCTTGGTATTTGATTTTTTACCACAGGTCCAAATAACTGAATTAAACATTTCACATAAATCATGATACATGTTCACCATCAGTCTTAAAGGTCCCATTTTGTTTTATTTTATTTTATTATATATTTTATCTTATATTTCTCACCTTCCTCCCTGAGTCCTACCCCCATTCATCTATCAATGGAATAAATGCTTGATTTCATGTTTTTGGTTTTTTTTTCAGTATGAGAATTTTTTCTAAAACAAGGATAATGTTTTGTGAAGGTACTTGTAATTATTACTATGCTATCAATATTCTCTTTTCTATTTATTTAGTCAACATGAAGTTTTTAAGATCAGACATGTTGATTATGAATACCATTGACGTGGTTTGACTCTGTGTGCCCACCCAAATCTCACCTTGAATTGTAATAATCTCCAGGTGTCAAGGGTGGGGCCAGGCAGAGATAATTGAATCATGGGGGCTATTCCCCCTTACTGTTCTCATGATAATGAATGAGTTCTCACAAGATCTGATGGTTTTATAAGCATCTGGCATTTCCCCTGCTGGTACATTCTGTCTTTGCCTGCCACTATCCACGTAAGATGTGACTTACTCCTCCTTGCTTTACGCCATGATTGTTAGGCCTCTCCAGCCATGTGGAACTGTAAGCCCAATTAAACCTCTTTGTTTTGTAAATTTCCCAGTCTCAGGTATGTTTTTATCAGTAGCATGAAAACAGACTACTACAACCATAGTGTGTAATCAACACATTTTGCTTTTATTCATTCCCCTAATAATAATAGCTATGTTGCCTCCAATTACCTATTTCCACAAAACATGTCCCTGCTTGGAATGGGGGCAAGATTTTTCCAGAATAAAATAACAAAGATCACATTGTTGAGTAGTACGATATAAGCATTTGTAAATCCACCATGTAATTTCCTCCAGAAAGGCTGCACCACTCTATGTTCCCATAAGCTATGGATGACAAGCATCAATTCTCCATATTCTTATCAACACAGCTTCTTTTCCATTTGGGGACTCCAATAACTGTGAAGTAGTATTTTATTTTATTTTGCATTTATCTGATTACTAATGTGGTTGCACATCTATACACATAATTTTCAGTCATTTTGTGCCATTTATATCCTTTGCCAATTTCCTTACTAATTTTTTCATCTTTTTGGTTACTTGGAAGACATTCTTTGTATAGTTTTAATATTAAACCCTTTGCAAATATCTTCTCCCAATCTGTCGTCCATCTGTTAATATTTTTTGTAATATTCATTGCTGGAAAAATATCCTGAATTTTTATGTTGATAAATCCATTGCAGTTAAATCCATATACATTGTGCTTTTAAGGTTCTGTAATGAAGTCTCCATAGCCCCATTATTTTTTATGGTTTTACTATTTGCATTTAAATCATTAATCAATCAGCAGTCCTCCTTTGTATATGCTATGAAATAGAAGGCCAATTTTATTTTTATACTTTGTAAGTCTGTTTTCCCAAAACAATTTATGAACCATTCAACCTTTTGCCACTGAACATGATACCACTTTCATCTTTATCTAGTTCCCAGATCAAGGGGTCTGCTCTTGAACTCTATTTTGTTACATTAATATTTTCACTCTTTATTTCCTATATTATTATTACTTAGGCTTTGTAATACATTTATATATCACTAAGAAGATATCCTGTTTCTCTTCTGTCAGCTGACTTTTTCACAGATATTTTTGTATCTGTGTATTTTGTATATACGTATATACGTTCAGTTCCTCAAAGGTACTACTGAATCTTTATTGAAATTACATTGAACTTATACATTTATTTTGGAATAAAAACTTTTATATTTTTAAATAAAGACATAATAGATTTCCACATTTATTTAGGTCTTCCTTAATTTCCTTTATTACAATTTTAAAATTTCTATTATAAAGGTTTATAGATTTCTTTCCAAGGTTAATTTCTAAATACTTTTAAAATTTTGTTGCTATTGTTTTATATTACATTATTTTTTGTTTTGGTTGGCATTACTTACTTAAATGAATGCTGAAGAATTGAGAAAGTTGACCTCATGTTTAGCAAACTTGTTCAGTTCTCTTATTAACACTCATTCTTTGTTAATTCTACTAGGATTTCATGCAGATCATATCTCTGTAATCATAGAGTTATAATGTTTTATTTTTTTCTCAAAATTTTCAAAATCCATATTTCTTTTACATGAATTCCAAAGAATTAGCCCTAATCTCAAGTGATTTATTGAAATCCAATAATTAAAATTGGACATTTGTTTTGCTCCCAATTTAAGATAATGTATCTAATCTTTAAATGTGATATTTGATGTATATGCATCAATTATTTATATTTACATTATATTTTGGTATAAGCTTTTAACACATTAAGGAAGTTTCCATTCAATTTTATGAGAATTTAAAAAATACATAATATGGTAGAAATTCAACTTTATAAGTTGTTTGTTTCAATTTTTAAAATAAATAATGAGCTTTATAAAATTCTTATTCAGCATCTATCAAGATATTTATGTGATTTTTACTGTTAATGAGTGAATTAGAACATTGAAAACTTTTACAAAGTGAAAATATTCTTCTATTCTTCTATTTATCATAAAGTACCTTTTAATATACTTTTGGATTTAGTAAGCTAAAAATGGTATGCTCACATGGAATTATTTCCATTATGTGTATGACGAAGTCCTAGGAAATGTATGTCAACCACTCCCATAGCCTATAGAAAGCTAGACTCACCCAGCAACACGTGCACACATATGACCTTAGCAGATCACTGGCCTCCAGCTGGTAAAAGAGTTAGAGAAGCTGACCTAGGCTGCAGATAGAGGAGGTGATTTATTTTAGGAGAAAGTTGTTGGTCTGCTCTAAGTCTCAATTTCCCGACTGGGAAGAAGTTAGGAGAGTTTTAAGCCTAGAAAAAGGGCCTCCTGGAGCCCTGGATATTTAGGAAAACTGTTACCCAGGGTCTGACAAAGGCCTATGAAATAAAGGCAAGAGGCCATGGTAATAACAAGAAAGTACTGTGCAGAGAAAGCACAAGCAGCCCTGGAACCAGCTAGAATTCCCTCATCAGCAGGGGCAACAGCATGCAGGTGGTTCTCATCAACCAGCGAGTGGTTACCTGAAAATAAAAATTTGCCTAAGAAATTTTAAATCATGCCAAAGGACCAAGCAACCCCAACAGGAGGCTGGACCATCCATTGTCAAGGGGCTTAGGGAGAGATTATCACCTGCTTCCTGGGAAGTGTAATCACATTTTCCAACAGACACCTTCAAAGGATTCAAAAAAGTACCTGCGGCCCGGTGCAGTGGCTCACACCTGTAATCCTAGCACTTTGGGAGGCTGAGGCAGGCAGATCATCTGAGGTCAGGAGTTCAAGATGAGCCTGGCCAACATGGCGAAACCTGTCTCACCGAAAAATACAAAATTAGCAGGGCGTGGTGGCGGGCACCTGTAATCCTAGCTACTTGGAAGGCTGAGGCAGGAGAATCGCTTGAACCCAGGAGGAGGAGGTTGCAGTGAGCTGAGATAGCACCACTGCACTCCAGCCTGGGCGACAAGAGTGAGACTCCGTCTGAAAAAAAAAAAAAAAAAAAAGCATTTGCATCAAAGAATGAGTAAAGTATACACTGCCTCCAGGGCCAGAGGAAATAAATATAAAGAAGAAAACTTAAATCAATCCCTGGGGAAAAAATTGTCTTAACATTAGGTAAGTGTGTCAGCATCCAATTTTTTCTATAGATACCTGTATGTGTGGGGTTTTTTTAATTACTATTAGAGAAAACACATATAATAGATTATATAGAAAGAATATAGAGAGAACATGTAATATATATAATAAACTTGAGTTTATATTCTTTATGAAGTACAGAATGCTGTACATTTTACTCAGAACTCTATCATAGGTGTTTTACTTGTTAGTATTTTATCTAAAACCTGTATAACATTTAAATTGACTGAATAAGAGTTGTCAGGTTAAAAGCAGAGAGTGACCATTTTTTTTTCCTCACTACTGCTCTTTCTAATTTTGAACTGTCCTTATTTATCCCCAGATGAAATATTAGGCCGATCTGACATTTTTTTCTAGTTAGTTATTAAGAAGAACTCTCATTTTTCAGGGGTATAAAAGTTCCTTTCTGCCTAATATCTGAGTATCAACCTCTCATCCAATTTAAAACTTTTCTCATCGTCTTCTCCCCAGTCTCAAACAACTGGGAACAGACAGGCAAATTCTTATTTCCTCTCCCACAGATTCCTTGGCGACCTTCTGTCGCTGGGATCTCTCTCTCACCTGTAGTTCCTATCAGAGACACAATGCCTTCTCCAAAGCATTAACACACGCCCGCCCCTTTTTACTGGCAGTCCACCTGATATTGTTTGGCTCTATGTCCCCACCCAAATATCATCTTGAATTGTACTCCCATAATTCCCGCGTGTTCTGGGAGGGACGTGGTGGGAGATGGTTGGATTGTGGGGGTGGGTTCTCCCATGCTGTCCTCGTGGTAGTGAATAAGTCTCGTGAGATCTGCTGGTTTGATAAGGGGAAATCTGTTTCACTTGGCTCTCATTCTTTGTGTCTTTGCCTGCCGCCATCCACGTTAAGATGTGACTTGCTCCTCCTCACCTTCCGCCATGATTGTGAGGCTTCCCCAGCCGTGCGGAAATGTAAGTGCAATTCAACCTCTTCTTTCTCTTGTAAATCGCCTAGTCTTGGGTATGTCTTCATCAGCAGCATCAAAACAAACTAACACACCACCCCACGCTGACTCTTCTATTAGTACAGTTTCCCAGGTGGGGGCTATTAGTACAGTTTCCCAGGTGGGGGCTTTTGACAGTGTCCTGTTCAAAATCAAGTCCCTCAAGTCCAGCTCCTTTCTATTTATGTGTTATAGGTCTGGCCTAGGGCATCTTCGCCCCAACATCAGTGGGTGGGTTGCAGTGTCTCACTCTTGCCATCTCTCCTCTTGCTCTGCCAGCGATAATAAAACCTTGAGACTTTTTTATATCTGAGTCAGGTGCCAACTGTGTGTCTACAGAAGCACGAAGCATACGCATCAAGATTCCTTAGTGCTTTTCCAAAAGCTCTCCTCACGTAGCTTCAAAAGAAATACTCAACTTTCCTAAAACTCTTTGTCCACGGAAATTCCCATTTTTAAAATGTCTTCTAATGAATTCATTCATTTTTATGTACATACATCATATATAAAATGCATCTAAGAATTCATTAAAGGTGTACGATGGTCTAGTGGTGCAGAGTTTCAGGACGTCCCTTTTGCAAGTAATTCATGGATGATCTAAAACTCCATTTGAGAATAAGGTAGCACTTGGCCTCTACAAAACTTTGCCTCTATTTTGGTGCTTCAGCAAAAACTATAAAAACAAATACTTGTTAAGCTCTTTAGATGTGATGTTTAAAATTGTTCAATACATAAATTCATTAAATGTATCACTGTTTATTTTCTCCATGCCCTTGTACAATGGAGGTTGTCTTTATATGCTTTGTACTCATTCTTTTATATAACAATTGTATATTGTTTATTATGCAACAGTCACTGTACTACGAACTAGAATGGTAGTAGAAGATAAAGCTGAAAGGCCCTATGCTTATGCAATTTACATTCCAGTAAGGGAGGTTGACTTAAATAAATAAACAAATAAGTAGTTTTCTGTTAGGTAAATACTCTGACAAAACTAGATAGACTGATAGGAGTAACGACTGTATAAAGTATAGTTAGAAAAGGACAATGCATTGACATTTAAGCTGTTGTTTTTAAAAAGTGACAGAGGCCAGGCGCGGCGGCTCACGCCTGTAATCCCAGCACTTTGGGAGGTGAGGCTGAGGCAGGTGGATCACGAGGTCAGGAGATTGAGACCATCCTGGCTAACCCGGTGAAACCCCGTATCTACTAAAAAAAAAAAAAACTAAAAAAAATTAGCCGGGCATGGTGGCACCTGCCTGTAGTCCCAGCTACTGGGGAGGCTGAGGCAGGAGAATCGCTTGAACCCAGGAGGCAGAGGTTGCAGTGAGCCAAGATCGCACCACTGCACTCTACCTGGGCAACAGAGCGACACTCTATCTCAAAAAAAAAAAAAAAAAAAAGTGACAGAATGAGGCACGTATATACTATGGAAAAAGCATTCTCGACAAAAGAAAAGCTAATGCAAGAGCTCTGCAAAGAGGCATGTTGTCTTGTTCAAGGAACAGAGGACTGTCAATGTACTTTTGAATATAAACGACAAATCTAGAGGTAAAGCTTCTAAGTCACAATCTCCTTTTTCTTATGATCAATTTTCTTAATTGATAAAAGTCACATCTCAATCTGCACCTGGAGGGCAAAATAACAAACACTCTTTTTAGGGCTTTTTTGTTGTTGTCTGCCAGCATTTATTTAATGAAATTTTGCTAGAAATAGGCAAGACTGCCACCTTCTCAATTGTCCATCTCTAGAAAACCTTGAAACAATTAGAATGCATCCAAACAAAAATAATTATGTAAGTTACCAGGTTTAAGGATTAAATTTTCTAGACTCTTGCCCATTGAGGTAGGAGGTGGTACTCGACTCTGGAGCAGGGACTCGGAAACTGGACCAGATTGAGGACTAGTTAAAAGGTCCAGGGCATCTGGGGCAAAAGCAACATTACGTAAGATATGCCCACCAGTGTGCTACATCAGTTTACCATTGCCATGGCAACACCCGGAAGTTACCACCCCTTTCCATGGCAGTGACCCAACGACCTGGAAGTTACCATCCTTTTCCTAGAAATTTCTGCATCATCCTGCCTTAATTTGCATGTAGTTAAAAGTGGGTATAAATATGACTACAGAAGTGGCTCTCAGCCACTACTCTGAGTTCACTGTCTATGGGGTGGCCCTGTTCCACAAGGAGAAATACCTCTGCCGCTGCTGTACGCTGCTGCTTCAATAAAAGTTGCTGTCTAACACCACTGGCTCCCCCTTGAATTCTTTCCTGGGTGAAGCCAATAACCCTCGTGGGCTAAACCCCAGTTTCCGGGGGTCGCCTGCCCTGCATCACTGTCGAGTTACTCAAATGCAAATGAATGTATTTAAGTAAGAGATTAAACCATAGACTTTAGATTGTCTTTGATTATTAGCATTGTAATTTTCTCTAGGTGTGTGTGTGTGTAAACTTCATTCAATATTTATAGTGTCTCATTTTAATAAACAGTTTCTTAGGATATAATTTTTTAAGGTTATAAATAATTTTTGCCCCGCATGAGCTCATAGTCACTTGGGGAGAAGAGAAAACAAACTGCAGATCATCGAGCTGCAGAGAGGCTGTGCTAAAAGTGTGGAGAAGATGCCATCGGTGTAATGTGGTAGTCTTAAAGACGGTACCAAATTCTTTTACCTTCCTCCCATGAAGAGGTTCCATTTCCGTCCCCTCTTTCCGAATTTGAGCAGGCTTGTGACTGTTTTGACCTGTAGATAACAGAAGAAGTGATGCTATGTGACTTCCAAAGCAAGATCCTGAGGCATAAGGTTTCTATCCGGCTTTCTGGAATCTCTACTATCTGGATGTTCCCTCTCAGAACACAGGCCCTGGGAGCCAGCAGCTGTACTGTGAGAATGCCAAGCCTCCTGGGAAGAGGACAAGTAAGTGCTCTGATGACAGTCCCCGCTGAGCCTGCCAGTCACCCCAGCCCAAGAACCCAACTCGCAGATGGAGAAACCTGCAGATGACTCACAAGTGTGAGTCACCTCCAGCCAGTCAAGGCTTTCCAGGGTAGGCCCTGACATTCAGCAGAGAAAACCACGCCTGCAATGTGCCTTTATTTCTGATCCACAGAAAGTCTAAGCATAATAAAATGATTGACATTTTGTCACTAAGTTTGGGCTGGTTTGTCACGTCGCAATAGGTAAATGGAATAAAATAGATAGTGATCATATATTTCAGAATTTTCAGATGGCCTTTATTTCAAATATTCAGTAACTTTAAATCCTTCAAGGTCCTTTAGATGATCAGATATTGGCCTAAAGCTTTCTTCTGATAAGAGCAGTCCTTAGACCACTTTTTCTGGCTGGGCAAGTTGAGGAAGGCTTCAAAGAGGAGGTAATGTTTGTCAATATTATTGAAAAATTGCCAGATCCATTTCATGCATTCATGAAATAAACACCACTATTCGGGGCCAATACCTAGAAGCCTTTAATGCTTTGAAAAGCACCTAAAAATCATTTCTCAATTGCATATTATTTGATCTTCAGTTTTGTCATCTGCCTGCACTTGGTACAAATTCTGTGTCATTCTAGAGGTAATTTTGCAAGGCAAGCCAGTCAGTATTGTGACAGCAGATGATGGAAAAAGGAATGCTGCCTTCTTTTGTCCCTGCAAAGAATAAGAGGGAAGGGGAGCGGGTGGGGGCACATGCAAGGATTCTATTGCTTTTTCATCTTTCTGTTATCATTGTCTGTGTCAGCTCCTCAATGTAGGGGGACCATTTAGTCTTTGCATCTACAAAAAACAAGCCATTTTTTTCTTTTTACTAACCTAATTTTTAAAAATCATTTAATTGGGCCCAGAGGCTGCGCAATGGAAGGATATGGAGTTTGGGAAAAATAAAACCAATGAGTGAACCAGGACATTTTGTGTTCTTTAAGCTTTTAGGAGGACAAGTGCTGAGGACACTGTAACATTATTATTATGACTGATTAACCGCCAACAGCATGATTTCAGAAAGAAAAGGAAGGAAAAAAGCCAGTTATCATTACACACAAGCAGCCTACTGTCAGTCCTTGAAAATAAAAATTTGAGACAGAAGACAATGAATGCTATATTCAGGCGTCAGTCTATTCTCTTTATGTAGATTTCATATTAATCTGTTTATTATAAATATGTTTCACATGTCACTTTTCTTCTATTTCCACTTTATTTTTTCTCTACTCCCAGATTTCTCGGCACCAAACTCTTAGCTACTATCTTTTCTGGCAAATTCAAGTCCCAGAAGGTATCTCCTGCCACAGTATCATAACTAATTTTCTCCTTTCAATTAAAGGTCATAGTTTGTTTGAAAGAGCAAAAAGAACTGCAAGAAGCATATTGACATTGTGTAAATGAGAGCTGAACATCAAGGAGTATACAGTTAATGAACAAAAGATCATTGCTTAGTGTCTAACTGCAGCATTAAGGCTTGGTATTGAATTCACTGAAAAGGTGATGTGACAGAGGACAAACAGGGGACAAACAGGTGAGGGGCTTCATGTTGTTCAGTGGGGGCTCCAACCTCCTCTCTCTAATACTTCCTATGTATTGTTTTGTTCTCAGAACTTAAATGTCTATTTGAGGGGGAAAATGCATTCTTCTGTCTTGTGCAGAGACATATAATATGGTGCTTATAACATGTGTACTGGTTTATATTATTCAATACAATAACTTGCATTTTTATCCAGTGGGCTAAGAAAAACATATTTAAGGAGAAAAGGCCATTCTGAAGCACATTTTAAGTGTTAGGGCTATTGATTCAAAGACTACATGTTGTAAGTGTGCAAATATTAAATGTGAATATAACTATATTTTATGATTTAATTGCTAATAAGAAAGCAGAATGATAAACATCTAAGAGGAAATGTGTAAAAACTGAATTGCTGGAATATATTTTTATCTTAAAGAAAAATTACTGAAGATACTTGTTAAAGATGATAAGGAAGACTTAATTCAAAATGGGCTACTACAATGGAGGATTGTAGCAGGTGAGAGACACTGGGCTTAATTCCAGATACAATAAGAAAAAAGGATTTATAGCAAAGGAGCAGAGTCAGGGGCTGCTGGATGGACAATTCCTAGGAGGTATGGTAATTATTTGTTCAGCTGACCTAAGGAGTTTTGCTGAAGGCAGGCCAGGTGATAAAATTCAGAGAGTAGTCAGACCAAGAACTGGGGATGGAGGGGTGCTTTTATAAATTGGCTCAGCACGATTCTTGCTAAAGCTGGACAATGCAGAGATAAACACAGAAGCCCAAAAGTCAGGGCCTAATTGAGAAGAGTTCAGAGGAGCCTGAAAAGAGCTTGGTCAAGGAGAGAATCATTGTCCCATAACGATGTTTTTAGTTAGATACATACTTTGCAGTTAGTTATGCTATGTTGATAGAGTTCCATGTGAGTGTGAGTGTGTGTATGTGTGCATGTGTAGGTATGTGTTTGTGTTTTCCATAAAGAGGACATAAAATGTATTTTACACTGTAAATTTCAGTGTGTATCTTTTCAATGGAATGTCAATTCAGTGTTTGCTAATAGCTCACAGATTTATGTTTGTGAAAAAAGAAATACTGGTTGTTAGAAAAGGAAGTTGTTATATTGTTTTCTGAGATGAAACAGTTATAAGATACATAGAAATCTTACCTTTAATGCAAACTTTATGTTTTAATCCTTCATAAGATTTGACGGTCAGCTGCCAGGTATACATCATTACCAGCACTGTAGTAATCAATTTTAAAATATTTTAGTGTTAGGAGAGATTAATCATTTGTTTAGGTTTTTTTTTTTTTTTTTTTTTTGAGACGGAGTCTCGCTCTGTCGCCCAGGCCGGACTGCGGACTGCAGTGGCGCAATCTCGGCTCACTGCAAGCTCCGCTTCCCGGGTTCACGCCATTCTCCTGCCTCAGCCTCCCGAGTAGCTGGGACTACAGGCGCCCGCCACCGCGCCCGGCTAATTTTTTGTATTTTTAGTAGAGACGGGGTTTCACCTTGTTAGCCAGGATGGTCTCGATCTCCTGACCTCATGATCCACCCGCCTCGGCCTCCCAAAGTGCTGGGATTACAGGCGTGAGCCACCGCGCCCGGCCTTGTTTAGGTTTTATAATTTAAAGACCCCTAGTGTATGCTTTAATAGCCACTCATGTAAAATTTAAAAAATACTATTTCTACTGATCCAGTACTAAAGATGCTAAAGATGAATAATGTGTACAAAAGTGCACATTTTAGAAAAAGTGAACATTTCAAAAAGGTTAAAAGAACAATTTTGTCATATCATCTTTCAATGTTCATTTAATTTCTATGGATCATTTTCCTTACCCATAAAAATTAAGGTTTAAATTAATATGCCTTTATCTTTATGGTGCTATTGCTAAAAGTCAATTGCTCACATAAATATTCTTTGTCTAACAATTAGAGACAATCTGTTTAGTAACTAACAAGTTCAATCTTTTGATTAACAAATTAACTTTTTTGAAAATATAGAAATAGAGGTAATATACAAATATGTGACATAAGCTTTATCGTAAAAAACTTTAGCATTTACCTCAAGAGGCAAATCTAACACACATGAAAGGATTCCAGACAACATAAAATTAGAACAAATGTGGATTATATGAGATACAAAAGCTGAGAAAGCTCACAGGCAAAAGAGATCAAGGAGTTTTTGTGGATAAAGCTCTCCCATCTGACAATTCAGGATATTTAATGCTTTCTGTTAATCATCTCATTGTAAATGTATACCTAAACTCTTACTGTAAATATGTAACTACATTTAGAAATGAAAGTAAGGGAAGTTCATCTTTTTTTCATTTTAAGAAGTGTTCATTGATAAAAATTAAACAATTTCCTTTGAAAAATGTGATTTCACCTTTTTTAATGTGCAATTTGCAAATATAGAGAATTAGTAATAAATGAAACATTCACAAGTTTTGGTGGCACAAAGATCAAAGAGAATAAGGCAAATCTTATTCGTTAGATTTTCACACTCAAATTTAGAAAGTAAATAATTCTAGAGGTAGGGGTTATCCCTGAAAGGACAAAAAAGATTTCCAAGTCTGAGTAATGCACACTGGTTGAAGAGTGATAAAAGGTTCTTGTTTGTTTGTTTGTTTTGAGACAGAGTCTCGCTCTGTCACTCAGGCTGGAGAGCAGTGGCATAATTATTGTAGCCTCCACCATCTGGGTTCAAGTGATTCTCCCACCTCAGCCTCCCAAGTAGTAGAGACGGGGTTTCACCATGTTAGCCAGCCTGGTCTCAAACTCCTGGCCTTAAGTGATCCTCCTGCTTTGGCCTCCCAAAGTGCTGGGATTACAGGTGTGAGCCACCACGCCTGGCCAGTAAAAGGTTCTTTAGACAGAGTTCACATTTTTAATATGGGCCAGCAGTTCCATAATGTGGCCCTTAAAATTTTAAGGCAAGAAAATTTAGATAATAATTCATTATGTGATCACTGAGAGCAATAACTCAAAATAGTGTTTAACTTACACAATAATAATAATGGAACTGTAAGCATCTGAGAGCCTAGCAGGATGAGAGTAGATGGAAAACGTATCAGAAAGGACTTTCTACCAATCTTCAAAATTAATCCAGATGAGATCTTACAATGGAGAAGATAACTTGGGGCAAACAAGGAAAATTATATGGAAAAGATATAATGGATCTGTATTAGTGGGGACTAGATAGATAAAATGTGTAATAGCTGGAAAGAAAACAAGAGGACTTTTCATGGATGATCACCAAGTGACTTTCCAATGTTGAACATATAGGACACAATTAATAAATAAATATTCCCTAGCAAATTCCTACATTCTAACATGAAGATACCTAATACCCTAGAGGAACAGAGTGCATGGATATGAAACAGGTTCTGAAAACAAAGTGGAAAAATGCTAGTTATATACCAAATGGGAAGAAAGTTCAATTTTAAAATAGCCAGTTAATAAAATATGAATACTACTTAACATTTACAGATATATCTTAAAGAAAAAAAATGTTAAGAGTAAGATACATTCATAAAATCAACAGGATACTATCAAATGTTCACATTTTTTCAATGCCTTTTAAAAAGGAACATAAGAGGCCACATGCAGTGGCTCACGCCTGTAATCCCAGCACTTTGGGAGGTCAAGGCAGGCAGATCACTTGAGGTCAGGAGTTCAAGACCAGCCTAGCCAACATGGTGAAACCCCATCTGTACTGCAAATACAAAAATTAGCCAGGGGTGGTGGCACATGTCTGTAATCCCAGCTACTCGGGAGGCTGAGGCAGTAGGATCACCTGAACGTGGGAGGCGGAGGTTTCAGTGAGTCAAGATCACACCACTGCACTCCAGCCTGGGTGACAGAGTGAGACTCTGTCTCGAAAAATGCCAAACAAAACAACAAAAACAGAAGGAGCATAAGAAAATACAGATTGTACAAAATTGTACATCAAATTATACTTTCTTTGTCATTTCCCAACATCATCTCAGTAACAATAGTTGGATAACTTCAGCAGTCATGGGTAAATAAGAATTAGATTAAAATTGGAAAAGATAAATCCAGTAAACTATTTATGACCCTTCATAAACCGTGAGGCGCTAACAAATTTAGATAAATGAGGGAGGAAAATGATCACACAAATTCAATAAGTTATTTAACTGATAGCATAATTGAAATGAATATGTTGCTGTGAGAATAAATGTTTATTACACAAGAAAAGCATGCTAAAGAAAAAGATGAAACTGAGTAAGCCTCCAAAACAAATAAAAAATACTTCTGTATTAATAAAATGGGGTTTTTGTTTTGCTTTTGCAGACTTAATAAACGTGACAGAGGAAATGACTAGATTTTAGGAATTAATTATGTTTGGCCACTTAATGCAATGGAACCAACACTGCAAGTGAATAGTTAATATCACTGTTCTTACTAATTCATTCACAAGAAAGGACAGAAAAGCAAAATATCAAAGGAGCACTGGGAATGACTCTACTAATAGTGCAGACCCTTTGGGCAAAAAGAGACTCAGAAGTGTACTTTACTCAAAAAGACCATTAGACTGTAACTTTATTAACTTACAATATAGGACATGGCAATGGGTACCAGGAGGGATTCTCTCTGAACCCAGAGCAACAAGAGTACATTCTCCGAGCAGAAGACAGGTGGCTTGCTATCCATTACCCAACTGCTTTATCTCCAAAGGGAAAAAATAATCACCTCTACGGTTTTCTGTGTTCACATTAAAATAAAGCATACATAGACCTCAAATTTACTACACTTTCCAAAGAACCATGGATACGTATTTCTTTCATATTTTAATTTCACCAGATGTAAATAATGCAAAACACATTTTTAAAAATAATAATTTTTTAATATAAAACAAGTCATATTGTGGAATTCATATTCTATTTTGTATGAATACACCCTTTAGTGAAAATTTTTTAAAAGATATCAATTTGAGTACATTTTCTATAAATTTAATGTATCAGGATATACTATAAATGATATAGAACTGTAGTAAAAGTCATTTGTAATGGCTCTAGAGAAAAGAACTAGAAATCAGATTGCAAAGTTAATTTAACTTGCTTTATTTTAATAGATATTATTTAAGCCAGAAGAAAATTCACTAGAAACATTAGAAAAATCATAGGTTACATTCTTCATAAAATAGTAATACATTTTCTTTTGTAAAGAAAATGTTTGAACCTATTAAATTTAGACAATGGAACAAAGCTTGATCTCAAGGTAAATCAAAGTATAGTAGTAAATATGCCTAATATACAGGTCTGCTAACAAGAAAATGTATGGTCATTAAAATGTGTACTTGGCTAAAAGAAGTCATTTGTTCCAATTATTCAAAAAAGTTAAAATTTTTACCGTCTGAAAAGGATAACATTACTGTTAGTGATTACTACATCTTGAAATTTTCTGGAATAGACATATAAAGTGGATCTGAGTACATGAATTGGTAAGGATGAGGGGGTAATGTTGCCAGAATAGGTTTATTATGCTGTTACTTATACCCTAAGATATTGTGAATAATTATAGTTTTTTAAAGAATGATATAGAAAATTACTCTTTAATATTTTTTCAAACAATTCACTTCACTTTGTAAGGCAAGGAATATCTTCGGGGAAATTTTCAAGTAAGAATTAAGCATGGAGACAGATCGCCTCAGAACATTTGCCTGTACTTGCAAATGAGGCATCAATGCAGAGCCTTTGTTAACATTTTCATTTTAATTACTAGCTAAATTGCACTTATTTGTAATTATGAAAATCAGCACTCCGAAAGTTATTTTTAAAGATTGTACTGTTCAGAGAAATCATTATTGTTGTTGCATAACTAAAACCTGCATCTCATATGCAATACCTAGGATTTGGGAATTGGGTTTTGTGACTTTTCTCCTCATTTGGTACACACAGACATTTACACAATTCAAAAATTAAATAATCTACTTTATCTGTATTTCAATTTTAACAGTTACATACCAGACACAAGGAACTGAGTCAATTACCTGGATGTAACTAAATATTTTCTCATTTAATATCGCACAGAGTAAGTTATAAAAATTTAGTACTCAATTTTAATTGTTTATTTGGATATTTACTGTCACATGGATAAGATGATATGTGAATTTGTTGGGATTTTACTGGGCTTAATACCTGGGTGATGTAATGTACAACAAAGCCCCAAGACACGTGTTTACCTGTGCAACAAACCTTCACATGTACCCCCAAACCTAAAATTTAAACAAATTAAAAACTACCTGAATATCTTACATTATGAGTGAAACATCCAAAAAGATTATCTTATTGATATTTGAGTTTTCTTGGAATTAAAATGTAAGTGGCATTCCAGGCAATTTTTGAGAGGCAGAATTTTATTTTTCATCCACATCTTAATTTTTTGAACCTCACCAATTGGTATCTTACTGTAACATTTGTTAAGAGGCTGGGATTATGTAAAAATGTTATGTATATTTGTGTTTTATGCAGCAGTTAAAAATATGCACATATTTTACACACATACGCCTGATTTGTTTTGAGATTTTGGCTCTAAAATGCAGAGATGACTGCTACTCTAAGACATTGAATATATTTTATTTAAAATACAGCACTAAACTTTCAAGTAAACAATAAGGTATAACTTACAATTTGAGAGACAACTACATTTTATTTTCCTTACGCAGAATGCTATAAGCAATGATTTTTGCCAAATGCTATTTGAACATAGCAACATTTACAAAAAAATAAAACTACTTAGTATTAAGAAATTTGTTTCACTCTTTTTAAATTATATCAATGAAATTCAAGCATCTATACTTGAAGGGAAAAAAATCTGCAAATTCAAATGTATACACATTCAGAACATGCATTTTGTTATAGTAAATGGACTTTTTAATGATCCATTCAGTGAGGAAAATTTGTTTCCCAGCAGGAATTCCATAGATTTCAAAACTCTCTGAATGCACAATAATAAAATTACTCAAGCTCAGGTATTGCCTTTTTTATTATTTTTTGCATCTGCCATTCTTCCATGAAAGCACATTCATTTATTCTGTCACCTAATTATCATCATGGCAAGTTATGATAAACCAAATAGCTTGGGTAGGGAATCAAAGATAACATGTTTGTACACAGAAATAATCTTATCTGTTTGCCTTCTTCTCCAGACACATCTCAGCCATTTTATTAACTCATTCTCTGAAAATCAGACGAAAGTCCAGTTGCATTGATCTGAATCATTCTGAATAAAATCTGCATTTTATGGAAAACTCAGGAATGCGAATATCGAGTATGCCAATAGAACAGACTCTCCAAATTCGGGGATTTTTGAAACTTTATTTTATATATATATATAGCAAAAACACCCCTAAATGTTCATTTTAAATTCCCTTTGTATTTTGCTTCAGTTATGTTTAAATTAGAAAAATGCAACACAATAGAGCAGATTCACCTGCTTTAGCAAACATGACCAGGATTGTGTTTCGGTTCATTTTAAGCTATTACCATGACAACTGTCTTTCTCACACAAATTAATGAATAACCTTATCAAATAAATTTATGAAACATCACTGTGATTTGAGTTGGGAAGTTTAGTACCAGTGCACTTTATAATTTATAACAGAGTCTAAAAAGGGGGTACAATTTGTTAAAGACTACCATTAACATCCTGGCTTTGAAAGCTTAAATTTAGTTATTCAGATTAATCAGAAACTCTCATATATCAATGAAAAATATTCCTGAAATATAAAACAACATTACTTTAATGTATTGTTTTTATAATTATCTAAATCATCTTTGAATAGCAAAAGTTGATGTGTATATTTTTTTATATATAGGACTCTCAGACTACTTAGATTCCGGAAATTTCCAGAGCAAAATCAAATCAGGAGTTTAATGGAACCTGCCTCAAGACAGCACTTCACTCTGCATTACACACTGCCGTAAGTCATTTAAACATGGTTCAGTCTACAAACATTTATTGACTGCCATTTGTGTGCCTGTCATTGTGCTATAATGCTAAGAACGTGGAAAAGATATTCCAGACCTCAAAGATCTGCAGAGCTACAATCCAGTGGCGAACCCAGCCAAGCAATCAATCCCATTTTATTACCGTTGTAAGGGAATATGCTGGACACAGTGGGAGTAACGAGGAAGAATACACAACCCAATCTGAAGTGGGGCAGGGAGGGCTTGTCACAGAGGCTGGCACCTCCACTGTCCTTGGTGGCTAAGATGAAGTAAGGTAGTCTGAGAAGATGAAAAGTTTTGTTGTTGTTGTTCATTTGTTCTGAGGTAATAGCAACCGCATGAACAGAAAGATGACAGGCCTACAACACACTCCATACAGCTGGCGCAGAATTTGGTGATTTCCATTAATCAAGGCAACAGATGCTTATCTTAATAATTTAGTAGTTTCTATAAGTCTGTCTATATTCTTCATTTCTATATGTATAAATTTATAAAGCAAAAAACACTACCAACATCAATTGATGTTAATATTTCTGTGTATTTCTGTTCATTGTTTTTTCAAAGTAGCTACATAAATTTTATTAAATTGGAGTCATCGAATATGTAGTTTGATACCCGGTTTTCAACTTAATATTGCAAACATTTTCACATACCATTAAATATTTTAAGTTATCTTTAAAAATTGTTTATTAGCAACTGCAAAATATGCCATCATCAAAATGTACCAAAGTATATTTAATCGTGACCTTTGTTTTGGCGTTTAGTGATTTATAGTTTTTTAAGAACTATGAAAAATTAATATACACACATTTATAATATCTGTGATTATCTTTTAGCATAGATTTTGAGAACTAGGATTATGGGGGAAAGAATACATTTTTAGAGATTTTCGTATGCATTTTCAAACTGCTTTCCAGGAAGAATACATTCTTACCAATAGTATATGAGAGGTTTCATTGTCTAAGTATCTCTTATCATACCTATATCTTTATTAGCTGGATAACTAACTGTTTTATCTTGGTCCAACTTTGCATTTTGAATATCAAAATAAACATGAAGGTTTTTGTTCACATTATATGTAGTAGTAATTCTTATTAAGCCACTATGACAGCATGAGCTCATGGTTAACATTAAAACTTAGAAAGAAAAAATCTGATACTTAAAACTGTGTTTTTTAAAATGAGAGAACTTCAAAAGGATAGCTTTTCTCGGTAACGGATTTTTTTAATCACTCCTTATCAAATGACTGGCGATGTGCTCTATTACTATTAATAAAGAAATATATAGCAGAAGTAAAACTGAAGTTATGGAATATCAAATTCACCTTTACTCCTTGACTTTCTCATTCACACTTTTTTCATTATACTACAAATTGAGATTACATAATATTGAGCTTCCTTTAGAATTCAGAATATTTCTGTACATCTTGTCATGCTTCAGCATAACCTAAAATGGGACAAGTTCTCTTAGCAGATTTTTTTTCAAGTCCAAAAGAAGAACTCTGAATAAAGTCTCAAACTCCGGGGTTAATCTCCTTGACCAACCAGTAACCAACAGTATTTCCAACTAAGATTACAACTATGCAGTAGATTCAGAAATGGCATCAACAATGTTTAATGTCAAAATGCAGTCAAAGCCAACATTTGCTATAACTGAGAAAACCATTATATAGGTGCCTTTGTTTGCTGTAGATATGAATGACGTTAATTTACTTTGAAGAGATTCTTAGGGAGGTTGCAGAACTCTGGAGTTCTAGAGAATACAAATATCTGAATTAATGTTTGAAGATTCTATAAAACATACATGTATATAAAATTGAATATGCATATATGTGAAGATTCTATAAAACAAATATACATATACGTGAAGATTCCACAAAACATGTATACCACCATTTGAATCTTATACTCCTGAGGATAATTAAATTTAGCTTCTGCAAGAGACAGACTTCAAAGTTTCCATGGCTTAAAACAACATAGATGTATTTCTGGTCCACCTGAAATCTGATACAAATCCTGTTTCATGTTGCTACTCTGCCATCAGGAACATAGGCCTCCCAAGTCACAGGAGAAGACAGTGATGGTGGAGACACACCTGCTGGCTTCTACTTCTTCTGGAATTGATGTCATTTCTGCTCATAGTTCATTAATCAGAACAAGATGGAAGGCTAGAGAATGCAGAGAAATAGAAGGAAACATTGGTTTCTGCCACGTATCTCAACTAAAGCCTATGCAATTTAAAAATCTGTAATATGTAGAAGAATTAAAAGAGGTTAGATCTCTGCCACAAAATGCTTACTAGATGAGTCCTCAATCTTATATTCGAGATTTTGTGAAACATAAAAAGTTTAAGACATAATTCCTACCCACGAAAATCCTAAAATGTATAATATAGTTAAGGAGTCAATGCAAAATGTATCAAGATTTAAGAATGATTTTTTTTGCAGCACAGAAACAGAAACATTTACTATTAAAGAAGGAGATCCATGAATAATTACAGTGGGCTTCATAAAAAAGTTGTGTGAGTTAGTCTCTCAAGGACAGAATGGTGAGATTGACATAGGAGTGGGGAAAAGAGAGTACATTAGAGGCAAGATGATGGGCTCCAGGGAAAGCAAAGGCGAGAAGGGCTATGACAGCTTCAGAGAAACTTAATAGGCCTAATTAGACAGAGAGTACATTTTGAGAATTCGTGGTAAATAAATACATGGAGCAGAGAATCTTGTAAACCACATAGCAGAACTTAGAACTGACACAGTAGAAAACTGGGAAACATTTGAAGTTCTTGAGCAAAAGCCTGAGATTTCTTGTTTAAGAATTATACTGCACTTATCTCCACGAGGACATGAAGTGGTATACACAGTACAATATGATGCAAAATTAGGCATCAGGGAATAAAACCAAGCATTGTCTGCTTGACGAATTTAATGGACTTAATGAATTTAATTAAACAGGAGGAAGAGATGGTGGGCTACACACTACTTGAAACAGCTGGATGCTGATTACTTGGCTATGCCGAATTTCACTCTTCATTTTCTTACTTAAAACAAAAAGGAAAATAGATTAGGTTAAATTATTTTCACGGTTGGGCCAAAGAAAAAATAATCCACAAAACCCTCACTCACATAGGTCACGATAGGAGCAGTGTTTGAGGAAGATTTGTCTGGCATCAGTCTGAAAGGTGAGTTGGAGCAACGGGCAGGAGAGGTGGAGGGAGCAAAGACATAGTGAGGGCCCCAGCACCACAGTGGCCAACAAACACCCAAAACACTACAGTAGTAGGGTGGTGGTGGTGATGAACCCACTGTGGTAGGAACTGTCTTTTGTGAGTGTCTCATTGAAGTCCCTAAATATTCTCTGACAAATAAGTGTTACTAAAGGAAGTCAAAGGTGTTCTAGAGTCTTCACAAAGAAAGACATCAGTGCAACCAAAACCTGAAGCCATTTACTAAGCATGCCAAATGTAGAGTCCCTTTACATTCTGTCAGTGAGCATAACATGAATGTTGCTAAAGGTCATGTGCTAACAATGATTATTTAGACAAGATAAGGAGATCATGTACATGAATAACTTACCATGACTAATGGTTGCTTGGGGAACACCCAAACTTCATTCAGAAAGTCTCACAATCTTAATGCCCTAAGAAGTATTTAGAGATCATTCACAGAGCCTTCTACTCACACAATGTCACATCTAAATCATTATAATGACTTCTATTTTAGAGTCTTTTGGAACAGAAGATGACATACTCTTTAATTGATAGGTGGCTATAGACATTTTAAAACATATCTATTTGCAGATTGCTATTTTTATAGAGAAAGATAAGTAAAACTATACTCCCAATAAGACAGAACAAAGAAACCAATACAAAAAGTTTAAAAATATAATAACAACTTTCTTTATTAACATTTTAGAACAATTAAGTGAAGCAAATGAAGGTAAAATAGTCCATTTTTTAACACTCCCTTCAAGCTTACTATGCTCCTTTTTCAAATGCCTACAACATTGTTATGTGTGTTCTTGTGTGGCCACCAAAAAAGTTGTTTTACAAAAGCATGCTATCAACAAATACACAAGATTTTATTAATTGGGAATAATAACAATAGGCTTTATTTCATTTAATGCCATCTCCCAGGTAATATATGGAAAGTCAAATTTCAAAATCTCTTCAACTAAGAAAATATGAACAACTAATTAATTACAATGAAATATCATAGCAGCAAATTATCACTCTCTCAGCTATTTTCACTACTTTTCATTATGTCTATAAATCAATCAATGTTGTTCATTCACATTTATTGATTTTTTCATCATAATATAGATTATACCGTTTTCTTCCTTGGATTAACATGTAACAGTCCTTAGAGACACTGGATGCTAAACTATGGATCTCAGAAAGTATTCAATATATTATTATGTATTTAATAATCATTTGGGACTACTTTGAAAGAGATGGTATACTAACCAGGTCATTCTAACATCTATAGGATATGCTACATCAATGCAGAATGGTTTTATAACCTTGCCAAGGTCATGAAATACCACTCTACAATGAAAATAAAGTAAGTCCAGTGAAATGTGAAAATTATGACTGAAAGCCATGTTTTCTTTCAATCAAATAAGATCTCACATTCTTTTGAGAACCTTCAAACAATGGACTGACTGCGATTCTGTCAGATTAAGTTCAAAATAGCATGTTGCAAGGTAAGAGCTTTTTTTTTCCTCTCTCTCTGCTTTTTCGTTGTTTGCTTGTTTAGTGTGTTCATCCATTTTGTTCATTTCTTTAAGATTTTTTAAATTGTTTTTAAAAATATTTTTAAAACAGTGAAAAATATACTAACAAAGACCACATAGATAAATGTATATACGGCCAGTTTTTAAAACATTTTTAAAAGAGGCAGTGCAGTCAGTTCAGCAACATGTCGCCTGACATCCTTAAGTACACATTGTCAAATTGACCCATACGGTTCCAAATAACACATCATTGACAATCAGCTTCATAAGCATTTAGACATTTTTGAACCATCCATTATTCTTTTGATAACTTATGATGACTTTTTTGTAAGCATCACAATCTATAATTTTCTAAATATATACTCCCATTTTCCCTACCTAAAGATTTTGAACATAAAAGGTCTACTAAAATATTTTAAATAAGCAGATATTTCATTCAAAAAGAAACACAAGAAGAAAAGCTCAAAACAAATGATAAGACTTTCAGTTCTTTATTTATTTTATTTTATTTTTGAGACGGAGTCTCGCTGTTGTTGGTCTGAGCTATAGGGCAATGGCGCGATCTTGGCTCACTGCAACCTCCGCCTCCCAGGTTCCAGCAATTCTCCCGCCTCAGCCTCCCGAGTAGCTGGGATTACAGGCACCTGCCACCACGCCCGGCTAATTTTTGTATTTTTAGTAGCGATGGAGTTTCACCATGTTGGCCAGGCTGGTCTCGAACTCCTGACCTCAGGTGATCCACCAGCCTCGGCCTCCCAAAGTGCTGGGATTACAGCCATGAGCCACTGCACCCAGCCTCAGTTCCTAATTATAAACTGATGAAGTCCCAAATGCTATAACTTCATATCATTTTAATTTTTAGCAATCCATCTAAATTGAAAAGACTATATTGACATTTCCGTGATTTACTAATCGCCAAAAATCATATTGCTTTTGATCCTGAAAAAAAATCAACAGGCCTTGGGATATTGACACAGAAAAAAAATTGTAATTAACGTCCAAATTGTCAAAATTTCTTATGCTCCTCTAGTATCTCAGTGCTCTAAGAATGCCATAATAAATCATTTTGTTTAATGTATCCTTATGAGTTTTTCTAGTGAAGACCGGAAAACCTGCTACACAAATTATAGAAGAGTTATAACACTAATAAATCAGTTTTGTTGGGACTAAAGTTCAGTTCTCAAAAGGTAAGTTAAAGAAGTCCCTTCCAGTGAGACACAATTTGCCAACACCCATAAAAACACAAACTTTCCTTCGAGGATTTAGATATGAATTTAATTACAAAACCTATTTTTCACCTAGGTATTTATTTAACGTGAGTAAGTGAATGTGTATGGACATGTATTTACAACCAATATATAACATTAATTTATGTGTAACATTTATATGTGTATGCATATGAATATATAATTGGTCATATTTAGATTTTAAATCCTTAATAGGTAGAGACTACATTATACATATTATAAGTATTTAATATGTGTGTGATAGAGAAACAAGTAAGTCACAGAGATGGCTGAGAACAGTAACCTCTGATACTCAAATAGATAGAGCATAAATATTTTCACACCTGTGTATTTCCAAAGGCACCTTTATTTCTACTAACTGTCATTTCGTGAGTTCTACTTCATCTTCGTAAAATATATAGTTGGCCTATAATATAGATGTATATTTTTAAAACTTGTAAGTATTACAACCCCACAGAAATCATTATAACTGTCTAATATTTTTTCTAAAAATAGGGCCTACTGTATTTTATATTTTAATAAAACAGATATTTTTCAACTTTTCTCTCTGCTAGTCCTTATCCCCATAATGCCTAATAAAAACTGGCATTTAGATACAGATTGTACATTATGCAGAAGATAACAGATGAGCTTATCAGCTGTTTTACAATTACAAGGGTAAATTTATTGATAAAACTGTGCAACATGAACTAACCTGACTCTTGTCAGTAACATGTGACAATATCAGTTTTCTGACTAGCTACCTGTTTGTAGTGCTCCTTAAACTGCAATGAAACAAATGACTTCTGTAACATTAAAACAATGGGCATTGGTTAAAAGGCTCAGAAACTATTTCTTTTCCACAAACTTACAAAAGGCTTGTTTTAAATTTAGTGTTTTAACCTCAAATATATTTTTCTTACAACTTCTTTAGTAATATTTGCACCAAAATGTACTTATTGTGCCATCTTCAGGGCGTTTTTAGGAAACAGCTCCATGAAGTAAATTAGAAATTACTTTCCTTGGTGGGGTTTTAAATTATTACTTTAAAGCTATAGAAGGTTTTGTTTATGTATAGTTATTTAAAGTTTTAAAATATTAGCTAAAATCTATAAAGCAAAATAATTTAAGCTTTAATGTAGATGAGAATGTAGACATCAAAATGTATATATGTAAATATATACACCTACAGACATACATTTTTTAAAGTTCTTTACAATTTCCAAAGCACTCACATATTATCTTATTTAGTATTTACAGTGTTCCTCTGAGGTGTTACAGCAGAAACTTGTATATCCTTTTAAAAATGAGAAAGCTCTTATTTAAAGACATGAATTACTGTTCAAAGTTTCAAAGACTGAATTATATAGCCAAGATTCAAGACTACATCTTTTTACTACAAGTAAAAAATTATTTCTACTATTATAGTGATATATAATATCCTTAAAATCAATGATGAAAATTATACATAATTTTTAATTACTTTTGTTCAATAATTGTTAAAACATCTATACTGAAAGTTGGAATAATTCCTGGATATGGTGACTATATATCAGAAAATCAGACATTTAAATATGTAGCTCAATTCTTTTATCATTTCTGAACTTTATTTAACTAAGAAATCTATAGTGAAACAAGGACACATTTGACCAATGGAAAATTATGGTAGAATTACACAAATCAATCCACAGATGAATACGATACAAATGAATTGCTCATGTGATAAAACCAGACTATACAGCAAATACAAATCTGCTGTTCTTAGACCACTAAGAAGCCCTAAAGAAAACCAACACGATTCTTTAGCGTCATTTGGGGTAACCATCTATTCTGATTTGCCTGAGACTATAGTAATTACCAGTAGAGCACCTTTTCGCATTCTAATGTGTACCAATTTGAACAACAAATTAACAGATCACTTTCAGTGACATATTTGATCCAATGGTACTAATAATGACCTAAACACAGAATGTAAAATAAGTATGAAAGACATAATGAAAGGATTCACCTTCTTAGAAATCCATTCATTTTACATGCATCTGGAAAACACATTAGAAGACACAGGTTCCAATTATAGCTTTGTGTCTTACCAAGCTGGTGAATTTATGTATCTATCTCTAACAGAAACTCTCCAAGCTTCTGTTTCCTTGTACGAGGATGATAATACCTTTTCCTCAAGGTTTTTGTTAAGTACTAAAATAACCTTGTGAAATCTACTAGAACTATGCCTAGCAGCCAGGACTTTATAAACAAATGTTCATTATTAATCTGTAAGTCTCTTAAGTTCAGAGATATGGCCTGGACATGAAAAATATCCAACCAGTACTTTTATTGAGTAAATTTTAAGTGACAAGGAAGGAATTACCTTAACATGAAGAGATTTTTATAACCTGGTCAAATTCATCTATTATTTAAGATTAACAATTCTCAAAAAATAAACCAACAGAATATGGCCCGCTCTGGTATGGAAGAATAGCCGAAAACTCCACTGGATGCTAATTGACTTTGGGAATTCCTGATTCATGAACTTCTCTAGTGAGAATATCTTTTCCTAGAACTGAAGTTCCTAAACTTAGAGGTTACAAGCCCAGTTTGAAAGCTTGATAGCAGCTACGATTCTGTCCCTAAAAACAATCTCCAGTCATATGTCATCTAGTGACAGGGATATGATCTGAGAAATGCCTCATTAGACACTTCATGGTTGTGCAGACATCATAGAGGGCACTTACATCAACCTAGGTGGTATAATAGCCTACTACACCCCAAGGCTATATGGTAGAGCCTATTGTTTCTAGGCTATATGCCCATACAGCACATTACTGAATACTGTAAGCAATTGAAACACAATGGCCATATGTGTACTTAAACATAACTAAACATAGAAAAGGTAGAGTGTAAATACAAGATTCTAATCTTTTGGGACTACCATCATATATGTGGTTCATTGGTGCTGGAAACACAGTTATGCAGCACGTGACTTGACTGTGTGTATAAAGAAATAAAATATATGTATATGCATACTATATATACATATATAGGTGCACACATATGTATATATACATATATAGTCTGTAAATCCATATATAAAACATACATAAGCACAAATATATGTACAATTTCAAGAGGTTTATGAAAACTCTAAAGCCCATATCATAGGTTTTTGGTTAAGAATCCCTAACCTAGAATAATGGCACTCTCTTTGTTGATTCTATAATACATGTATATTATAGATATTAAATGATAAGAAATTACTACTTAATGAAGTGATACTTAACCTTACTGAGTATTCTGATACATCTTACTCTGTTCCATACTAGTCTGTTCCATTTTATTATATTCTATACTATGCTGTTCTGGTTTTTAAAAAACAAACAAAGCTAGTTTAATCAACTACTGTATACTGTCAGATTTCATGCTCCAAGATTGGAAAACACTGCTGTAGAGTATGACAGCAGCTGCTTCAGGACTTGTACTACAGAAGGCAAGATAATGCTATAGCTGTTAGTAACCTAAGGGAGACAGCCCTTAGTGGGGAAAGTGTAGAGAACAATAGTGCTACAGAAACAGGAGAAATCAAAGCCCTCAGACCTCCCCCTGCTTGCCTAGAGACGTCTGGTGCACTTTCAAGGAGATATCATCCCCTACAAAGCTGTTCCTGGTGTTTATTTTAAGTAGACTAATTTGCATTTGCATAAAAATGAATGGTAGATGAGGAAAACATGAGATCTGCACAGTGCTACAGTTCTTTGAAATAAAAGAATCTTGATACTGCTTGTAAGGAAAAGTGGTTCCTTAGCAAAAAACGTAAATTAAGTAGAAAAAGAAAGTGTAATTCAACAGCAAATTTATGCATTTACTTATATTGACCCTGTTTCCAAAATGATTTGAGATGACTTCAAAAGGAATTAAGGATTTTTTTCAAGTTAATTTGGAATTAAGTGCATTAGTGATCAAACACTTAGAATCATAGAAGAGTAGTTTCAGTGGTAACTCTGGTGTGCACAAGAATAATGGACTGCTGGGTCCAAGGTCCTTAGACTCAAACAGCAGGTTCTAACTTTGGTGGAGGCAACCCATAGTCATCAGAGCTATTAACCATCTGAATGTAAGAGACAGTTGGGATGATCTTTGCTGTTGTTGCTGTGAGCAAAAAGAAGACGAATCACACATAAAGGTTAAGCAAGTAATACTTGTAGTTAGATTCATATTTCAATATAGAAATAGACATGGAGAAAACACTGTTCCTGGTGGTTGGAATACATCAGGGAACAGGACAGGCAAAAATACCTACCCATGGAATTTGCAAGTTAGAATGGGAAATTGACAATAAACAACACACATGACAAATAAGCAATTTGTATTATCTATTAAAAGATGATCAGTGCTATAGAAAAAATAGAGCAGGGAAAGGAAGATCAGGAAAGCAGGGATGGAGACAGCATGGGTGGCATTTGAGAAATGATGCAGGAATAGAAAAGAACGGTTTAAAACAGATGCAAAGAAAAAAGGCTTTTCAGAAGTTCTGTCACATAGATAATTCAGATCTTTTTGATGTACCTATGTCACCAGTGCAGCTGTCCAGGCTTTTTTTGCATATGAGTGTGTGCAAATTATAGCTTGTGGTGAGTTTTAAATAAATGAGCTTACTTTGTTTAAAAAAATAAACCTGAATGTCTCAATTTCATCCAAAAAAAAAAACCCTCCAATAAACATTATTTTAATGCATCAAATAAAAGGTTTGAGTTAAAAAGCGATTTGGGAAAGTTTTATGAATGTTATTTTGGGAAAGAACATTAATACCATTTTCTGATAATCTATGGCATCAAAACATTATGAAACAGAATCACAGTTTATTAAAGGCTATGTAACGCTTACTTTATTGTTAAGCTCCACGTGTTCCAGCAACAATATCTAGTCACTAGAAAATGGTTTAAATTCATGTCTATAGATAAAACAAATGAGTTTGTATCTAATGCTTTGGGTCAGGAAATGTAATGGTAAGTTTCAACTGCCAGCTGTACTAAAATTATAAAATACTTCTGAAAAATAGTAGATCACTTTTTGAACATTAAAAAATTTGGATTAATAACCTATATCATCTGATTGTGTATATTTTCACCAATGTTTTCATTTGATTTATATAAGCAAACAGGACTATTTGAAGTAGCTCACCACTGTAACCTTAAAAAATTAAAGGACACTCTGTGGCATTGCTTACATCCATAATTCTCAAAAATGTTCCTGATGGCCTTTATATTAAAAGGTGCCAGTATATCATATATCATGAATACTGCAGTCAAGGGGAAAAGAAAAGATATAAGAAAGAATTTTTCATGTGAAAGTTGAGTTTGAAAGCATGAGAAAGAAGTAGAGTATGGGGTATGCCTGGGCATCCATATGTGTGTGTATGGACCTATTAATCAAATACATATCCTACAGACCTATTAATCAAATACTTATCTATTAATCATCGTGCTCATTTTTAAACCATTTTCATTTGATCTATTGTAGCAGACTGGTTCCTACCACTTAGAGTTCTGGCAGTTGACATGAATGTATGTCTGTAAAATCTCTACAACTAAGCATGATTTTATCTACAATACATCCTTCACTTGGTTGTTGTCCTTGAGAGTTTGTGTTATAGTCAAATTCACAGTTGTAGTCTTGAGACCTAAGCTCAGCCCTATTCCCCTTGTTGGTGTTTCTCTCAGAGTTTTAGAATGATAGTTTCCACCATTTCATTCAGAGGTTTATGTACTTTTCCCTGTGCTTCTCCTTGAGTATGAGAAGATGATGTTGCAGGTAGCATACACCAAGTAGGAACTGCATGCCTGTATAAACATCAGCTTCGTGGAAAACCTGTTTTGGTGGCTAGGGCTGAAACAATGATTTTTATTCTCCAAGCCTTGTTTCCTTTTCCTCTATGCGATTAGCTAGATTATATTGCCCATGCTCACTTACCATTACATGGGGCCACGTAACTGGGTCCCCAGATAAACGTGGGCAGAAGTAGTGTTGGCTACATTCAGATCTTCCAGCTTCACTCTCTAGTCCCTCGTCTATAGACAACTTCAGAGCCTAAGAGCCACTAGCTGAACAGAGGTGCCGAGTTTGCTTAATGCATGAAGTTCTGGCACCTCTGCCTGAACTTAACTGTCACCTGAATCATCAGACTGGAATGTCCGTGATAAATATATTCTTAACTTGGCGAGCCACAGAAATTTTGGGTTGTTTTTTTCAGCATCAAATATAATTTACTGTGAGGTTGTTTGTTTCAGCATCAAATATAATTTACTGTGACTCGTACAGATTCTGAGGATTAACGAGAGGAGATTCTGCTTTACTTTTCAAACTTATTTTTCTGAGCCCACTTTCCTCTAGAAAAAGTTGAGATCGCTGACATTATTTTATAAACAAGTAACTGAACATGAGGGAAAAGGGTTCAGAGGACAAGGAAGACTCCAGAAAAAGAGACTTCTTTCAGATTTTAAAAGATAGATATCATATGTAAATATGTAAATTTAATCCTGAATAAGGCCTTAGAAAATCTCTTATTTTTCCTGGTTTCTTCACAAAAATGAAAATAGATGGGGTCACTAAAATATGTAAAAGTAATGTACCGCAGCATCTCATCTCATTCCTGGCAAGTGTTTGTCACCTTCATTTTGGGGGGATATATTTAGAGGAACTCAAGCCTGCAAAGAATTGGGCCGCAAAAAAAAGTGGGGGAGAGGAAAAGAAGAATTGGGAAGGAAGTGAGAATACTGTGATAATTCTTTGAATTTAAAGGGCATAATCAAAATCCTCATCCATAAGCAGCCTCAGCCATTTGCCCAAGTATTTAATATAAATATGATTCTTTTCCAAACATGCCATGGCGGGAAGGAATTGGATGAAGCACTGATATAAAAAACTGATTCCTTGGCAGAGCTGCAGTAAGTACAACATGATCCCTATCTGATTATGAGAAAGAAAGAAGTGCAATCTATTTCCTTAAAATAGAGTTGAGAAACAAGCAGCTTGTGTCTTCCCAAAAGTTAATGAATCTCAGTCTTTGAAGCAATGACTCATCAGCAAAGACACAGTCACATTTGTGGTTAACATAAATGCCTATCCACTCAATGTATGTTTTAATCCAGGGATTGGGAAACTATATCCTTTAGGCCAAATCCAGTACCCAGCCTGTTTGTATAAAGAAAGTTTTATTAGAACACATCCTTGGGAGGCCGAGGTGGGTGGATCACAATGTCTGGAGATCAAGACCATCCTGGCTAATACAGTGAAACCCCGTCTCTACTAAAAATACAAAAAATTAGCCTGGCGTGGTGGTGGGTGCCTGTAATCCCAGCTACTCAGGAGGCTGAGGGCTGAGGCAGGAGAATCGCTTGAACCCGGGAGGCAGAGCTTGCAGTGAGCTGAGATCGCGCCATTGCACTCCAGCCTGGGTGACAGAGTGAGACTCCATCTCAAAAAAAAAAAAAAAAGAACACATCCATGTCTATTCATTTATGCACTGTTGGTGGAAGATTTCTCAGTACTACAAAAAAGTTAGGTAGCTGGGACAGAGATCATATGGCCTGCAAAGCCTAAAATATTTACTATCTGGTCCTTTACAGAAGAAATTTGCCAACCCATTTTAATCCATCAGGATCTAAGTCCTCAATTTCATATTTATATATCTAGGTCATTCCAATTTAAATATTTGTATTTTGGTCTTTAGTTTCAACACAAAGACTTAAAGATAGTATTTTAAAAATTTAATTATTTTATAAACAATCATTATGTGTTAATGAAAAATAAAACAAAAAACTATTTGAACCTCATTAGCAATAAAGAAATACAATTTATAACAGTGTGATAATAAGATAATTCTTCACCTATTAGCTACAATTTTTTAGATTTAATTTTTTAAGGAAAATTTCATAGTACAAAGATTAAACATAGGTCACTTCTGTGGTTTCAATGAGTCCCCCAAAGTTCATGTGTTGTAAACTTAATCCACAATGCAACAGAGTTGAGAGATGGAACCTTTAAGAGGTGATTAGGTCATGAGGGCTCTACCCTCCTAAAAGGATTAATGTCATTATTGAGAGACTGGCTTATTTATAAAAGGATGAGTTCAGACCCCTTCTCTCACTCTCTCAAGTGCCTGCGAGTGCGTGCTCTCTCTCTCTTCCTCCTTCTTGCACATGTCGTCCCTTCTGCCATGTTATGACACAGCAAGAAGGCCCCACAAGATGCCTGCCCCTTGATCTGGGACTTACCAGCCTCCAGAACTGTAAGCTAAATAAATGTCTGTTCATTAAAAATTACCCAGTCTGTGGTATTCTATTGTAGCAGCACACAATTAAGGTCCATCATCATATGCTCTGATATTTCAAAACAAATCATTTCTACTATACTAAATACTCAGGAGATTGATGAAGATTAGCAAACTTTGGTTTGCGATTATGAAAAAGTAATACACACATTGAAAATAAAATTTGCTGACCATTAGAAACAAGTGTCAGTTTGAGTCATTGATCTCTAGTGAAATGAACACCACTTTTTATTTAACCCATTTCAACAGCTTTTATGCGAACTAAGAAACACGTGGGGTTTCTTAAGACTAAATAATACACTTCGTGAAAATATTGCCTCAGTTTAATCCCACAAAACAGGTGAGAAAACACACCTGTGTATTTATTGGTGCTAATTCCTCAGTGAATTTTGTCTTCTGTCCATTTCTGTTTGCTTTAGTTTGGGCTTTTACTTGGTTTAAGCCTTTCTTTTTTTAATTAAGAAACATTTTAATTCTGTAAAGTCACTGAAGGCTGGATGAACATCTCACCTATCTTTACTTTATAAAGTAAAGTAATACTTTACACACTTATACTTTACACAGTGCCTGGTACAAAAAAGAAACTCAACACATTTTTGTTGAGTAAACGGTGCAATTAACGAATGCTTCAAATAATAAAAATAATTTATTTTACATCTGAATTCAAAATACTTATGAATTTGATAAAGTCCCATTTTAACCTTAAAATTTTTAGTGCTGAATATTTTGGAAATATGATATACTTGTGGAAAAAGTGCTAATAATAGCTTACTATTCAAAATTGTCAAGTTAGTTATGCTTAGCTGAATTTTTTAGTGAACTGATTTATAAATTTTACTGGGTTAATGTACATACTACTGGCACAACTTCTCATTCAAATATTCATCTACCTGCTTAGATTTAATATTTTCATGTATCACTTTTGATTATGCAAAAAAAAATCAACTGAATTTGGTAGTTCACTAGGCTAAAAAGAAAACAAAGTAACTAGATCACTTAATATTTTCTATTCTCATTTAAAAATAAGTATCTAAATTTTTAAAAGAAAGAAAAATAGGCCAGGCATGGTGGCTCACACTTGTAATCCCAGCACTTTAGGAGGCCGAGGCGGGTGGATCACCTGAGGTCAGGAGTTCGAGACCAGCCTGACCACCATGGTGAAACCCCATCTCTACTAAAAATACAAAAAATTAGCCAGGCATGGTGGTGCATGCCTGCAATCCCAGCTACTCAAGAAGCTGAGGTAGGAGAATTGCTTGAACCCAGGGGCAGAGGTTGCAGTGAGCCGAGATCACACCATGGCACTCCAGCCTGGGCAACAAGAGTGAAACTCCATCTCAAAAAAATTAATTAATTAATTAATTTAATTTAATTAAGAAAAATAAGGCTCCTGAAAAGCAGCAGAGTAGATTTCTATGAATAAACTTTTTTATTTTCCCATATCAAAATCATAATTTATAAAACAGTGGTAGCATCCAAATTCCTTTTTTTTTAAGTCTTCAGGTTATCAATGTATTTCAATTAGGTATTATGTGAATGAGGGTGAATTGAGAGTAGATAACGATATCATGGAGGAGGGAGAATCGAGTGTACCCAGCCACCCATCGGCATTGCACTATATTTAGTGGATTATATTTATCCTTTTCCCTCACACTAAACAAGAATATGTTTGTTTTAACATTTACAAATGGGAAATAAAGAAATTTTTACAAGTACATCTTATACTAGAGTTCAAATATTGAAAGACTGTACTGAATTCTCAGTCACTGCTGAATAAATCAAGCTCTGTTGTATTCAGGTAAACTTTCTGTCCCCAAAGAGCATGATCTCTCTGCTTCTCATTGCCTCTCAAGAAAATTCTGTTAGTAAATGCTAAAGGGAACCCTTTTTAGTTTTGCTGATGTCACACCTGAATAATCACAGAGTCACTTTCTTAATTGTGATATTTGATAAATATGCTTCTTTCCTCTAAGAGCCGTTAATATAGTAAAAAATGTTTGTACAGAATTGAAATAGATATTAAAAGTTGCTTAAGATCAAATGAAAAATATGTTACTTAAAGACATATAAAAATGCTGATGCAATCCAATTGGAACCTAATTTAATTGAGTTCTTGATTTGAAAAGCAATATTCTATCAGGAGCTGCCATTATTCAAAAACTAATTTTATGTCATTAAGGAACTTCTACCATTTTCTTTCCTAAGATGTTGATGGCTAGGAAAAGCAGAAAGGAACTGTCACTACTACTGAGAACATATTTGTTCAAACAATGTTTTGTTACATCTGATAAAAGGCTGTAGCTGAAGAGATTTTTATTAACTTCAAAAAGTGTCACTTTTTCCTAACAAAGACACCAGAACCACCAATTAGTTCTTCCAAATATAGTCAATGTGCTATGAGGGAGTTCTGGAAGTATGTAAGCAATGATGATGGTAACCAGTGGGGGAGGTAGTTAGAAAATCTACCTGGGAATACTTATCAGGCAGGTTTCTGACATCGCTGGTTTAGAGTTTGGGTAACAAGCCTGACAGGACAGGAGATCATGGTCTATAGATTATTTATTCAGCATGTGATCACTAGCTTTAGCAAAAGAGGGGGAAAAAGCCAAAGAGTTTGAAGTTTAGATAAAGTTTAGAAGAGAAAGTGGGCCAAAGAGCTATTACTGCTGTCAAAAAAGCCAAGCATGCTGCTAAAACTGTAGCAAAGGCTGAGTATCTGTGGGGCTGGATGGAGGATCTGAAATCCTTTGAACAGCAAATGGCTCTGAGCATTATTCCACATATTTGCTTCCCCAACCGAAAGTTTGGGAAAGATTCATGTTAGGCATTTGTCCAACAATGCAATGTTTTTGCAAAGTCAAAGCTATTTGGCAAGCATGGTTATCTGGGGAAGGAATTTGGAACAACCCTATATGCTGTATACCTTGTAAATGCTGTTATCAACTGCAAAGGAGAAATGTTCATTTTCCTGAGCATAGCTTAAAAATAAATAAATAAATAAAGATGTGGGGGAAGAAGCTCATTCTTCCAAAGGCCTTTGTCAGAGAAGCAAAAAACCAAAAAAAGAAAAAAAAAAAAAAAAAACCTCTGTCAAAACACAGCTAGTTCAAAAGAATTCAGGTTATTTGTAAAACACTGATCATGAGTTTATAACAACCTTTACATTCACACACTGTTGATTAAACTTGAGAATTTAAAAAGCATTTTACATTATAGAGTCATCTCAGATATGAAATCATCGCTGTTTCAACTGTTCTTGTTATAATCTACAGGACCGAGGTTTAAATAATCCCGGCTCTAGCAAAGTAGAACTAAACATCTCACAGAACAGTAATGCAGACATTTGAAATGCCATGTATTCTTCAGCTTTTGTGGTTTTGAACTTTTCAACCATGGTCCCAGTGCTATATTTTCATAATACACAGGCATGGAAATATTCACTAAGTCATGGCAGTGGTGTTATTAAATGTTCAAAGCATATATTTCCCCAGATTCCTCTGATGCTGCTGTTCTTAAAGGTCATGGTAGTCCCCCAGATGTACAATGCTAGAATGGTCTGCATTCACTTCATATGCTAAAATAAAACAAGACTTAAAATAAAAGAATAAAAGACCAAGAGGGTGAAACGTAAAAAATAAATAAATAAACGTCAAGTCTAACCTGATGTCTGTTTAAGTGCTTCCAGTAATGATTAAACTTTCTTAAAACCAATTAACTAGAAAATGACTACTCTATAGTCACTGGCCAGAATTGCAATGCCATTCTCAAGCACAAAGTAAAACGCACCAGATACAACTAGCTGGTGATTTATACGTCACCCACACTTTAAAAATATCCCTGAATACTTCAGAAATATTAGGATGTGTCTTAAATACCATTTACAAAAGATGAGGAATAGGTACCAAAGTATAAGAACACAGGTATGAAACATATCGAGTGCCTATATTCATAGAGATGTTCCTGAATTAAATACTGTAAATGAAATTGTCAGTATAAAATTCCCGTTATGCTCTAGTGTGCTACCATTATTATTTTTTTTTTTTTTTTGAGACGGAGTTTTGCTCTGTCGTCCAGGCTGGAGTGCAGTGGCGCGATCTTGGCTCACTGCAAACTCCGCCTCCCGGGTTCAAGCCATTCTCCTGCCTCAGCCTCCCGAGTAGCTGGGACTACAGGCGCCCGCAACCACGCCCGGCTAATTTTTTGTATTTTTACTAGAGGCAGGGTTTCACCATGTTAGCCAGGATGGTCTCGATCTCCTGACCTCGTGATCCGCCCGCCTCGGCCTCTCAGAGTGCTGGGATTACAGCCGTGAGCCACCACGCCCGGCTGTGCTACCAGTATTTTTAAACCAACATTTGCTCGTTGCTATAAGAAGGTGTATTCACATTTACTGTCCTAAGTCAATGTCTTGGTACACAGTGCATCCTTTCATTCTCTGGCTTTACAGAGCACACAATGCAGTCTCAGCCTAACTTCTCTTTTGTCTGATTTGCAAGTCCATTAATTTGTTTGGAAAATATTTGAACAGCCAAGCATACTTCAGGAATCTCAGAGATCCTTTTTAAGCCATTTGATTAGAATACCAGAGGAAATAAATTACTTAAAACTAATCTAAATGAAAGGTCATAAGAAGAACTGAAACAAGTTTGGGGCAATTGTTGGTTAACTTAAGATTCCTGAGATGGATCGTTACGTTAGCAGAAAAATACTGAATTTTAACTCTTTGAGAACTTGATTTGCACCTATCTCCTACAAAAATTCAAAGTTATTTCCATCCTCCAGCCATCTCTCTTCTCTGCTCAAAGTCTGTTGTTACCTGTTGTTACCTCATTGCATTTTCCACTCAATTGAACCATTATTTTCTGAATTTTTTAACCTGTTTCTGCCTTTCATTTGGTCTTTTGTTGATTACCTTATGTTCCTTCATTCTTTAGACTTTATCTGATTCATTCAAAGAACTTTGCTCCAAGTCTGTTAACATGTTTTCATTCCCAACTCTTTCTCCACATCTTCCACAATAATAAAAATTTTAGCTGGGCACAGAGAAACAAAGAATAAGACCATATTTTCAAGTCTCCTTGCATTTATGTATAATCATGTGACTATGTTTTGGCCAATAAAATGTAAATAAAATTATTACTTAGCAGTTTTCTAAACCCTTCTGAAAAAACAACTGATGTGTTGTTTCACCATCTCTTCCTCCATACTACTGCCTGGAACCATCTTAAACCATACCATCACATACAGCTGAGAAACAGCGTAGAAAGAGCTTCAGTCCTGAACGTTGTGAAGGTCTATACTGAGCATGGACCATTCATTTGGGTGAGGGAGACATAAACTTCTCCTTTGTTTTAAGCCATTTTCTCTTGGTCTTTCTGACACGTATAGCTGATGTAATTCTAATGCATAAGTATTTAGGCAAAGTTTCTGAGGCTGGGTTCTTGCTTGTGTTTCCTCATTCACTCTCTGTAGTTTGTTTCTACATCCTTTGCGATTTTCCCATAACTTTCCTGTGCTTCTACAGGAGGAGTAGATGATCCTGTCTGACGCATTGACTTTGGACTTTGGCCAATGGAATGAGAGGACATATGCCCTTTCTGCATCCAAGCAGAAGCTTAATGTGGTTGCAACGGGCTTAGCAGGGCTTGTATTCCTGGTTCTCTACCATGAGCACAGCATTAGCCACATGGAGGCTCCTCCAGCACCTGAGTCTCAGAATGAGAAGATGTATAGAGACAAGCGGGCAAAAATAAGTGTTTGAGGTAAGTCATTGAGATTTTGACTTTTTTTGTTAGCAAAAGCTAATACATAAAATAAAAGCTAATACTAGTTAAATAATTAAAAGAGTCAAATAAAAAACAAAGCTTCAATGGCAACAAAAGCCGAAATTGACAAATTGGATCTAATTAAACTAAAGAGCTTCTGCACAGCAAAAGAAACTACCATTGGAGTGAACAGGCAACCTACAGAATGGGAGATAATTTTTGCAATCTAATCATCTGACAAAGGGCTAATATCCAGAATCTACAAAGAACTCAAACAAATTTACAAGAAAAAAACAACCCCATCAAAAAGTGGACAAAGGATATGAACAGACACTTCTCAAAAGAAGACATTTATGCAGCCAACAGACACATGATCATCACTCATCATCACTGGCCATCAGAGAAATGCAAATCAAAACCACAGTGAGATACCATCTCACACCAGTTAGAATGGCAATCATTAAAAAGTCAGGAAACAACAGGTGCTGGAGAGGATGTGGAGAAATAGGAACACTTTTACACTGTTGGTGGGACTGTAAACTAGTTCAACCATTGTGGAAGTCAGTGTGGCGATTCCTCAGGGATCTAGAACTAGAAATACCATTTGACCCAGCAATCCCATTACTGGGTATATACCCAAAGGATTATAAATCATGCTGCTATACAGACACATGCACACGTATGTTTATTGCGGCACTATTCACAATAGCAAAGACTTGGAACCAACCCATATGTCCAACAATGATAGACTGGATTAAGAAAATGTGGCACATATACACCATGGAATACTATGCAGCCATAAAAAATGATGAGTTCATGTCCTTTGGAGGGACATGGATGAAGCTGGAAACCATCATTCTCAGCAAACTATTGCAAGAACAAAAAACCAAACACTGCATGTTCTCACTCATAGGTGGGAAATGAACAATGAGAACACTTGGACACAGGAAGGGGAACATCACACATGGGGGCCTATCGTGGGGTGAGGGGAGAGGGAAGGGAAAGCATTAGGAGATATACCTAATGTAAATGACGAGTTAATGGGTGCAGCACACCAACATGGCACATGTATACATATGTAACAAACCTGCATGTTGTGCACATGTACCCTGTAACTTAAAGTATAATAATAAAACAAAACAAAACAAAACAAAACAAAAAACAAAGCTTCACAGACCAGCTTAAATATGGTTGGAAAAATGAGGCATGAATATTTACCTTTGGTAAAGCAGTAACACCATATTGCAGTAATCAAAACTGCACATGGTGTAACATGAGCTAGAAAATGAAATTTTTTATAGAAAGACCCAAAATAATCACAAGGTCAAGGAAATGGACTTTATGATTGCTTATGAGCTTAAACACTTCATCCATCCTTAAACTTCACAAGTCAGGATAATTTTCCTTCCTTGCTTTGATAAAAAACTTGTACAAACCTCTATCATTTTCCTTTGTATGTCAGATGACCACTATTTTTAATAGGTCTGCCTGGTTAAAAAATTTAAAGTCACTATTTAAAACCAAATTAGACAAATAGTGACTCCACCCATAAAATGAGGCTGGTATGGAGAGGAGAGGGGATTATGGGTAGCATATCATTATTAACCCATTGAAACATGCAGTCCACAAATATAAGATAGTATTAATATAGCCTTTCTGTGACTAACATGCAGCCAAAACACATAGGTAAACAGGGATCGAAAAAGTAAATGATGTGTGTGTGTGTGTGTGCGTGTGTGTGTATTTCCTTGCTGTGTCAGCTAAGAGTCCTAGAAACAATGACACCCAGCAGCAATGAGCGTATAAAGCTCCTAGGTGTCTGTTTCTGATACCATCCTGAAACAAAAGGAACAAGGACCCCTTGGAGAAATGGTGGATTCTAGGCTTGGGGTAGGAAATATAGAAGAGAAGCCTACAGTATCCTTTAGTGCCATGAAGTAAGGAAGAACTAAAAAAAATTAAAACATGTGCATACACACACACACACACACCCCCATACGGTGATGTGGTGTGTCAAAGGGATAGATCAGCTAAAGCAGAAACCATTCAAGCAATAACATAAAGTAGTATAGAATTATGTCCCCAAGTATTACATACATGTCCATGAATTCATACTGTTAAAATGATGAAACAAATAAATCAATAGGAGAGAAGGGATAAATCTTTTATTCAGAAAATGCCAAGCAACTTATGTAGACACTCCACCTTCAAGGAGGTGGAACATTACTCCCTATTCCCTAAGTGAGAACTGCACTAATGACTTTTTTTCTAAAGGATGTAGTATAGAAAGGGGGAGTAGGCAGAGAAACTTCCCATTGGAGAAAATTGCCACACACTATTCTTAGTCAGGTAATCAATGGCAACATCAACAGTGATTGCTTCTGCTGATAGTATGTTTCCCTGATGTAATGTGATGAAAATGGCACATTACCTTTGGTTTTCCTCCCCAAAACATTAGGAACATTTGTCACAACTGAGGGACAGTCTATGAAGTACCTGGCCATAACCTTCAAAACTATGAAAGGCCATTAAAAACAAGAAAAGTGTAAGAAATTGTTACATCCAAGAGGAATTTAAGGAGACATGAGAGCTAATATAATCCTGCATCCTGGATGGAATCTTTATACAGAAAAAAGGATACTAGGTAAACCCAAGGAAATATGAGTAAAATATAGACTTTTAAAATAATGTATCAATATCGGTCCATTAATTGTAACAAATGTACCATAGCAATTTAAGATAAATAGGGAAAACTGGGGATGGGCTATATGTGAACTCTCTGTACTATCTTTATGATTTTTCTATAAATATAAAACTCTCCTAAAATGAGAAGTTTATTTTAAAAAGTAAATGAAGCTTTTGAATTTATTTTAATGGCAATATAATCTTCATATCTCACATTTTCTTGATTAAAATGGGAATTAAAAAAATCTTTTCAGGATACATTTATTTTATGGCCCATCCTACAGTATCAAAGTTACCAAAGCACTAACTACATTAAACTTAGAATGCAATTTCATAATTCCAAAGGCTTTACCACTTAAAAATATCTAGAGGTAATTTAAAAGTCATTATAAATTATATAGATTAAAAGCTATTTAAAAGGAATTAGATTCTTATTCATACGTTAAGCCTTGTTCTATAAATATATGAAGTCTTCTAGAAAAGCTGGCATTGTCTTTTAAATATGTGAATAAAATGTGATAAAATTTATACTGTGACTAAACACAGAAGAAAAATCCAAATGTAACATTTGATCAGAATGGTTCTATATACAGTGATGAATCACTTAATGTTCTGAAAAGTGCAACATTAGGCAATTTAGTTGTTATGTGAACATCAAGACAACAAAAGTGTACTTACACAAATCTAGGTGGTATAGCCTAGTACACACCTAGGCTAAATGATACAGCCTTTTGCTCCTATGCTACAAGCCTGCACAGCATGTTACTCTACTGAATGCTGTAGGCAATTAGAACATAATAGTAAGTATTTGTATCTCTAAACATACCTAAACACAGAAAAGGTACAGTAAAAATGCGGTATAAAAGATTAAAAATGGTACACCTGTAAAGGGCTCTCAGGATGAATGGAGCTTGCAGGACTGGAAATTGACCTGAGTGACTCAGTGAATGAGTATGAGTGAATGTGAAGGCCTAGAATGTTACCATACACCACTGTAGCCTTCAGAAACACTGTGTACTTAGGCTACACTACATTCATGGGATCCAATTTTTCTTTCTTTAATAATAAATTAATGTTAGCTTACTGTAACATTATTACTTTATACATTTTATTTCTTAACTCTTTGACTAGTTTCTCTATATCCTTATTCTACATTTTTTTTCTATTTTTTTCTTTACTTTTTAAACTTCTTTGTTAAAAACTAAGACACAAATACATATACTGGCCTCGGCCTACACGGGGTCAGGATCATCAATATCACCATCTTCCAGCTCCACATCTTATCCCACTGCATGGAGCTGCCATCTGCTATGATAGCAATGCCTTCTTCTGGAATACCTCCTGAAGCACCTGCCTGAGGCTAACAGTATATATATATACACTCATAATAATAATTAGTATCAATTAGTACTAATTAACTGTTCATTAGTATTGTTATTAATTATACTAATTAACGGTATATATATATACACATATATGTAGGAGTACACTCTAAAATAATGATAAAAGCATAGTATAGTAAACATGTCAGTAAAATAGTGATTATCAAATATTATGTGCTGTACAGAATTCTATGTGTTATACTTTCATATGACTGGGAGCACAGTAGGTGTGTTTACACCAACGTCACCACAAACACATGAGTAATGCATTGATTATGATGTCATTAGGCAATAGGAAGTTTTCAGATCCATTATAATCTGGGGTCTGTCACATATGCAGTCCATCATTGACTGAAACACCGTTATGCGGTGCATGAGTGTATATTAGAAAGACTGATGAAAATGAAATTTCTAGGTTTTTACCATCTTATATCCAGTTTTGTTTCAAAATTCAATCCAGGTAAAATATAAAATAAGGATTATTCAGTATAAATACAACTTAAATTACAATAATGGATCCACTAACTAAATATATCATAAGGCATTCATGTTAATTCTATCCCTCTTTGCTTCAAATGCAAACCAAGAAAAGCATCATAGCATGAACTCTCTGAGGAACTAACTTTTCTATAATAGTGTGCATTAAGTGATTCTGTTCATTGCACGAACACACACATTCTCTAACACATATTAATTTCATTTACAAATGTTACTATAGAACTTACTTTGCTGGGTGTTTTATTGATTTTCTATTTCCTCTCTGAAGCACCTAGCTTACTTTACTTGTTGATGTTTTCATTGATTTTCTATTTCCTTTTGGAAATGAGATGAGAGCTTTTAAAGAGGTCATGCTACTTGGCAAGAATAAGATGTTAAGTTGTGTGGTTTTCCTAGGGAATTTCACCATTAAACTTACTACTTTTCTTTCCATAGAAAGTAGCAATTTATTTTTAACTCCTTATTGTATGCCGTTGTACTGTTTATCTTACTCTTAAATGTGTTATTATACAAATTAACTTCATAAGAAAAATGCGATTCTTGACTGATTTAAATGTGTCACCCAGTTAATTCCTACTATAGTGAATTCTCAAAGGTAATAACCTAAACTTTGGAAGGTTATTTCAAGTCTCGTAGGATATACATGATCTTAAAAGTTGTGACAACCTAAACAATATCAGCAGTAATGAATTGCCCAACTTGCACCTCTGAAAGTAAATAATTGCTAAGATAATTGAAGTAACTATCATCTTTATCACCCAAAGTGGGAGTAAAAAAACTTTACAACTTACCAGTATGTAGATTTCTGTGTTAATGATTACCTATCTGAGTGAGAAGACAAACTGGGCTTTCAACTTTTGTAAAAAAAGTTGAAATTTTGCTACCTACATTTGAATTCAACCATCTCAATGTCATATAGCACTAGTCAAACATACTGGAAATATCTGATTTTTTGTATGTTTTTCTTTTTGTTTTTTAGACAGTCTCACTCCATCACCCAGCCTGGAGTGCAGTGGCACAATCTCGGCTCACTACAACCTCTGCCTTTTTGGGCTCAAGCTATTCTCCTGCTTCAGCCACCCCAGTAGCTGGGATTACAAGCATGCACCACCACGCCTGGCTAATTTTTGTATTTTCAGTAGAGATGGGGTTTCACCATGTTGGCCAGGCTGGTCTCAAACTTCTGACCTCAAGTGATCTACCCACCTTGGCCTCCCAAAGTGCTGGGATTACAGGTGTGAGTCACTGTGCCGGGCCCTGAGTTTTTAAAAGGGGCTATACAAAAAACATAATAGCCAGTTATTCCACTAGAATTGTCCTGTCCAATTCAGTAGCCACCAGATCCGTGTAGCTATTGAGCAGTTAAAATATTATTAGTATCAACTGAGATGTTCTGTAAATGTAAAATACACACTAGATTATCCAAGAAAAGAATTAACATATTGCATTTATAATTTTTTATTATATGTTGAAATAATATGTTGGATGTATTGGGTACATGAAATATATATAATTTTTTTTTTTGAGACGGAGTCTCACTCTGTCACCAGGCTGGAGTGCAGTGGCACGATCTTGGCTCACTGCAACCTCTGCCTCCCAGGTTCAAGCAATTCTCCTGCCTCAGCCTCCCGAATAGCTTTGACTGCAGGTGCACGCCACCTACACCCAGCCCGAAATATATTGTACCTGTTTCTTTGTACTCTTTTTAGTGTGATCACTAGAAAACTCAGAAGTACCTAAGTGTTTTACACTAAATATAATGAGTCTCTAGTATTCTATTCCTAAAACAGATCTTTGGAATACAATGTGTCTAGGCTATCTTATCTTAGATCTCTATAGAAATGGCTTTATCAAATCAAAATTTAGTGCTATGTCCTTGAATTTTATGATATGAGAAAATGCTACATTTTAAAATAGACAATCGTAGGCCATACTATCAAACATCATTATTAAAAGCTGTTCCCCAGGAACCTGAAGCCCACAGATACTCTGTCCAAAGAAGAAAGAACTCTTATGAATGAACCATGTTAACTCACCCAAGAATTAGCATATCTCAGGAGATCTGCCCAGCAATGTTCTTTAATTACTCTTAAAAATTTCCCGGCCGGGTGCGGTGGCTCACACCTGTAATCCCAGCACTTTGGGAGGCCGAGGTGGGCGGATCACGAGGTCAGGAGATTAAGACCATCCTGGCCAACACGATGAAACCCCATCTGTACTAAAAAATAGAAAAAATTAGCCGGGTGTGGTGGCGGGCGCCTGTAGTCCCAGCTACTCGGGAGGCTGAGGCAGGAGAATGGCGTGAACGCGGGAGGCAGAGCTTGCAGTGAGCCGAGATCGCGCTGCTGCACTCCAGCCTGGGCGACAGAGCTAGACTCCGTCCCCCCCGCCACCCGCCCCAAAAAAATTCCCATGCTTTGTCTCTTCTCTAGCTGCATTTGTGACTTCATGTTCTTAATGTTACACAAAAACACTAAGCCCAAATGTCCTATCAATGACTGAAAACATAAAATTTAAAAATCAAATATAAGCATTCACATTTATTAGCAAAAAAATTAATATCTATAGTGTGAGACTTAATGTGGTATATATTGGTAATTCTCACTTACTTGAGAGTCTGGATTCTATCAGAGAAGGGACCATTGCTTTAGGAAAGAACTCTGTATGATACTTGTCTAGAAAATAAGAGATGAGATGTATATGTCTTAAAGGAATATTCAAGACCAATGATTCCAAATAGAGACTTGTGTTGGCAGCTTTTCAGGAGATGATAAAAGCAACATATAACAATATTCAGGCATTTAAAATGGGACAGAGGAACCAGAGCATAATTTTGAAGAGGCAGCTGTGACCTAGCAGCAGATGGTCACCCTGCCTGCAGTCGGCTTAGGGATAGAACAGCAGGAACCAAGCTGCAGGAAGCCCACAGAGGGATGGAACCAGCAGGAGGGTTGTAGGGTTTTTTTTGTTTGTTTGCTTTTGTTCTATAGCAGGAGGGGGGATTTGTTTGTTCCTTCTTTAATTCTGATGGAGGATTTCAAGCTATGTCCAACAAAAATCACTGTGACGGTGGTGGAAGGAGCGTTGCAATAAGAAAACTAAATAAAACATACAGAATCACTCCAATAAAGGGATGATTGTTTCTTTCTCAGGGTTATATACCTGTTACCAGTTGTATTTTCTGAGATCTAAATTCCATCTTAAATCTCTTGCCACTAAAAGGAAAAGGGGGTTAATATATACTCTCAATCTTGCATATCAGCATCCACATTTGCTATGGATCTCAAGATTAAGAACCAAGACACACTCTTCAACAGGTCGCATACTTAAACACGATGTGTTCCATAATGTCATTTCTTACCAACAACATATTTTGAGCTTAGCTGTTAAGGAACCAATGCCTCTACAATGAATCTTGCTGGACTGAGGCTCTGAATGATTTTAAAAGGACTAAAAGTAGTGTACGTTTGAAGTCTCTTAACAGTGAAGAAAGAGAAATGTGCTCTCATTCCTTCTGATGCTCTGTCAGTTGCAAATCCAGTCAAGTTTCTAACATTACTCCAATGCCTTTTGTACTTTATGTTTGATTAACATGGTATTTTGGGATTTTTTTTTTTAATGCAGTGATTTTTATCTTTGTTACAACCATAAGTTCATTCCCCAAAAAGAGCTGTGTGGTGCTGCTAGAGTGAAACGGCAACGGTTCCCTTGTCCCCCTCGCAGGGCATGTGATGGTGGTGTGGCTCGCTTCTTGAGTGCCCGGCTGCTCAAAACTCTGTGGGAGCATACAGATGCGTGGGCTGTGGGGCTCCAACCCCACGGCAGTGTCTAGGGGTGAATGTTTACAGCTGAAGGCTCAGAAAGTGTGTTATAGGGTGCTCTTTTAGTTTGCCGTCTATAGGCGGCTTGTGTTAGTCAACTCAATTAGACCCAGGACTTATTGCAAGGACAGAGGGCTTTCTGTATCCCTGGTTCTTGCCTTGTTCTATGGGAAGAATCGGATTACACGTGGGCTTGGAGACTGAATGCAAAGGTTTTTTTGTTTGTTTGTTTGTTTTTTTGAGAGGGGAGTTTCACTCTTTTCGCCCAGGCTGGAGTGCAATGGTGCGATCTCGGCTCACCACAACCTCCGCCTCCTGGGTTCAAGAGATTCTCCTGCCTTAGCCTCCCGAGTAGCTGTAGCTGGGTTTACAGGCATATGCCACCTGCCTGGCTAATTTTTGTATTTTTAGTAGAGACGGGGTTTCGCCATGTTGGCCAGGCTGGTCTCAAACTCCTGACCTCAAGTGATCCGCCCGCCACGGCCTCCCAAAGTGCTGGGATTACAGGCGTGAGCCACCGTGCCCGGCCGAATACAAAGTTTTATCAAGTGGAAGTAGCTCTCTGCAGATGGGGGAGCCAGAAGGGAGATGGTTTTCCCCCGGAGTTGGGCCGCTCCGTGGTCCAGGACTCTCCTCCAACTGCCCCGGCCAAACTCCGCCTTGTCTCGCGGGTCAATGGCCTCCTGGCCTGCCGGTGCCTGTCGCGTGCTCTTCCGCTGGCGTGCTCTCAACAACCAGCCACTTGTGTCTTCCTCCACAGATGTGTTCCTCACGACCTCCAGCCGCTTGTGTGTCTGCCCGCTAGGGTCTCGAGTTTTTATAGGTGCAGGATGGAGGCGTGGTGGGCCAGGGTGGTCTTGGCAAATGCAACATTTGGGCAGGAAGGCAGGAGTGCCCGTCCTCACCTAGGTCCCTGGGGGTGGAGCCCTAACCAGGGACCATGCCCTCCTCTACCCAGCACTTCCCTGCTCTCCTTCCGTATCAATAGCAGCGTTACAATATGCTTCTCTGCTGGCACTGATCTGGTTCACTGGCCAGCCTGCGGAAAACTAAAGTAATTGTGTCCATGGAGATCTTATTGTAAATTCGACAGTGTTTTAGAGTATAATCATGAAGAAAAAAATGTTTACACTTTAGAAAATGGATGTGAAGGTCGGGTGCAGTGGCTCACGCCTGTAATCCCAGCACTTTGGGAGGCAGAGGCAGGCGGATCATGAGGTCAGGAGATAGAGACCACCCTGGATAACACAGTGAAACCCCGTCTCTACTAAAATATAAAAAAAAAAATTAAAAAAAAATTAGCTGGGCGTGGTGGCGGGCGCCTGTAGTTCCAGCAACTCGGGAGGCTGAGGTGGGAGAATGGTGTGAACCCGGGGGGCGGAGCTTGGAGTGAGCCGAGATCATGCCACTGCAGTCCAGCATGGGCGACAGAGTAAGACGCCGTCTCAAAAAAAAAAAAAAGAAAAAAGAAAAAGAAAAAAGAAACTGGATGTGAAAAAGTTAAGAATTATATTTTTGCAAATGATACGGGCTTCCAAGAAGATCAATAACAAGAAAAGAAATAGAAGTTTTTGCCTTTTGGCTGACAGTTGAATATACTGCTTTACTTCATCAAAAAATGTCTTACCGTAATGGAATCCAGCATTCCCTAATGGAAAGAGAAAACTTTTTGCTGTTTGGTCCTCTAACTTTGTATATATTCTTTATTTTGAAAATAATCCTTTAAAATGTTACAAAATGTGAGTTAAGCTAGAAAGATAGAATATCAACTTGAGTAAAGTCAGTAAATATCAGGTCTTTAAATTTTTTGTCCAAATCCTAAATATTCCTGCACCCCAATTATCCTTGAAGAAAATAATAATAATAATAGTGTGAATAAAGCTCCATGCAAATAAATAATAAATAGAGGATTGGTTTGAAGCATACATGACTTCATTTTATGTAAGTACAAAGAAGCCATCTGATGGCTTGAATAAATTGGTCTTAAAACACTGACAATAAAGAAAAAACACAATAGCAGTTTGCTTACTCCAAAACTAGTGCACATTCAAAGGTCTTTAGCACACCAAAGACCTTTGGTTTAATTCTCATGTCTTTTTTATATATAAAAAAAGAAAATTCCCTTAGGTTGCTATAAATGATATTTAGCCAATTTGCTTTACAAATGATTCCTTTAAGATCTTTAGAGATCACACAAGTAGAAGAAACTCACTTTTCTTTTATTTCATACACTCAGCAATTCATTTTGATATATACTCACACCTAACCAAAGCAATGAAAATATATATCTGAAACCAGTTGTCAATCACAGCAACTACAAATCTCCAAAAGGCAGCCTGACAGTTTCCTAAATATCAGAAATAATCTTCCATCAAAGTGCCTCAGAGTCTACACATATGAAGTGCATTCTAGAGATGTTAAAACCCACTGTGAGGTACAAACACCGAGTTTGTATTCTGGTTGGATCATTCCAGGCTTAAGAAACAGTGCCATATTTTTGAACTGATGTATTTTGACTCAGCCATTACTCTTCTGATACGAGTTAGACTACAGGGAAACCTGGAGATTTCCTGTCAGTCTTGCGGCTGAAGGAATTCTCACATTTTTTTCTTGCCAATTCTTTTTTAGAAGCATAGTATATTACCTCATAAAGATATCATAAAAGGAAAAGTTACCTTCACACATCTCTCCCATTTTGCATATTAGAATGTTGAGGCCAAGAGGGTTAGATTGAGGCCAAGATCCCAAGATCTCACAGTTCATGGAGAAGCCAGGACTTCTCATGCCTAATTCATATGTCCTCTAAACCATAATGCCACCTGAAAGGAGATTCTCCCCTACCCCCAGGAATTAGTTGAATGACCTAGATAAATGGAGATACATAGAAACAGAACATATGCTTTTTGGACCAGGAGATCATGGATGTGGTCATTGAGATTCCATCATTTGCTACTTGAAGATGTGGTCTCTTGCACCACTAAGTCATAGTTTAAACCTACATGGCAAAAGATAGTGAGATGATGTAATAAGAAGTTATATCGACCAATTCAATACTATACTTGCCTGTACACTATTCAGTTTTCCAGATTGAAAAAACAAATGATAATGAAAACAGATTGGATTGCTTGGTTGTGCTGCCTCCTGGTGGCAACATAAAATACCGATTTGTTAAATTTTGTCACATTGGGAGTGATTGTCAGCTAAATTGTGTTTTGGGTTTTTAATGTTGTTTCTTAATTTCATATTATTTTTCACTGACAAATCATAGTTGTATACATTTATGGAGTACAAGGTGATTTTTTGATAAAGGTATACAATGTGGAATGATTAAATCAAACTACTTAACATATTCATCACAAAAAGGAAACTCTTATACATTGCTAATGGGAATATAAATTAGTGCAGCCATTATGGAAAACGATATCGAGGTTCCTTGCAAAATAAAAATAGGACTACCATATTATCTGTCAGTTCCATTTCTGGGTATATATCCAAAGCAATTGAAATTAGTACGTAGAATAGACAGTTGCATTCTCGTGTTCATTGCGGCTTTATTCACAATAGTCAAGATATGGAATGACCTAAGTGTCCATTGATGGATGAATGGATAAAGATAGCATGGTACATATACACAATGGAGTACTATTCAGCCTCTAAAAAAGAAATAAATTCTGTCATTTGCAACAACACGGATGAACCTGTAGGACATTACGCTAAGTTGTATTTTGTCTTAAGCTCCATTTGGATTAAAGTTAGTGATCAACTATCTTGTGGAAGTCAATTCATGAAGAAGTACAAAAATAGTGAGTAGTGATTTGCATGCATAATGCTAACAAATATATGCAGCAACTAGAAAGGTCTTCTTATGGAATGAATACCAAAAATAACTAGTCACATTGTGTATTCTCCCTATTTTTCTCAAAAAAATATGTTTTCAATGTCAAAGGCAATTAAAATCTAACAATTATCCTGCTTCCTTCAAATCTTTATTACAGATGGTGTAGTATAAAATGTTCCAAAATTAGTTTGTGACCAGTCTGGCCAACATGGTGAAACCCCGTCTCTACTAAAAATACAAAAATTAGCTGGACATGGTGGTGTGTGCTTGTAATCCCAGCTCAGGAGGCTGAGGCACGAGAATTGCTTGAACTGGGAGGCAGAGATTGCAGTGAGGCGAGATTGGGCCATTGAACTCCAGCATGAGCAACAGGGCAAGACTCAGTCTCAAAAAAAAAAAATTAAAATTAAAAATAAAATAAAAAGCTCCAAAATTAAAATTGGATTTGGAATCAATGAATTGGGTTCTAGATCTGATTTGTCCATGATCCAAAGTCACTTAACCTCTATGACCTCCGTTTTCTTAACAGAAAAAGTAGTGGTGCTATGCTATTGAGCTCAAAGACTACTTTTGCGACTACATATAATTGTAACACAATGATGAATACATCTATTTATTTATTTGACAATCATGGGTAGAAAACCCTATCATGTCCTTGGTACTGTCATGGTGTATTAACAAATGAGGATTTTCAAGGGAACTTCTCCCTTGCTGTGAGGAGAGCAAATATCACATTCTGAAATTAAAATGCAGGCTATTTATTGTCTCTCTGGGTTTTGATCTCCAAATCAAATAGCAAAAAGATCCTTGTCCATTAAGAATTAACCACCTACAGTACTTGCTCCTATGGCCCTTATTAATGTATCACTACAGGGGATATATTAAGATCTGAATTATTTTGACATTTACAATAAGGTTTGTGCTTATAAACACAAGATCACACCATATTAAAACTTATTAGCATATTGTAACTGATTAGATGCTCACAATGTGCAAAAGCAGTCCGTTCTGCAACCCCCTTGGGAAACAAAATCTAAAGGCAGTAACAGAAGTAATCTCAAATCACAGAAACACCAGTGAAAGTGTGTCCTTGGTTTTATAGCACTAATTTAGAAGAAAAACATGATAATAAAAAGAAAAATATTCAATTGAAGTCACCTCTTAGACCATTCATCAACACTGAACTACATAGTCAATTTGCCTCATTAGTTCAACAGGATCAAGACCCAGTGACTGAGGTACCCAAACAAAGGAGGCCTGGGAGCCAGGGAAACTTGACAACAGAAATGTGTGTTTTTCCTGTGACGAGAGAGGTGCTAACAGATCACTTCTTCTTGGGTTAATAAAGATGAATATGTACATATGTCTGTACATGTACACACACAACAGAGAAATAAATAATTTAGCTCTTTGTTTTAAACCTGTTTAAGAATACAAGTGGTTACAGGAATATGTGTTAGAAGGAATGGGTCTCTCAATTTCAGTGCTAAACCATTTAATTAGGCTGTTAAGAATTCAATTCATCAAAAATAAATGACTTCATATAATAAAGGTAAAAATCTTTACATAATAGCTAGAATTTACTAATTACTATGTACTAAGAACTGTTCTAAGCACTAGTATGTTTAAACTAATTTGATTCTCACATCCTTATAAGAAATATGTGATTATGGGCCTCATTTCTCAGGTGAAGAAACCAAGGAAAAAAGAAATTTAAGGCAGGGCGTGGTGGCTCACACCTGTAATCCCAGCACTTTGGGAGGCAGAGGCAGGCAGATCATCTGAGGTCAGGAGTTCGAGACCAGCCTGGCCAACATGGCAAAACCCTGTATCTACTAAAAATACAAAAATTAGCCAGGCATGGTGTCTCGTGACTGTAATACCAGCTACTTGGGAGGCTGAGGCAGTAGAATCACTTGAACCCGGGAGGCAGAGGTTGCAGTAAGCCAAGATCGCGCCATCACACTCCAGCCTGGGTGACAAGAGTGAAACTCCGAATCAAAAAAAAAAGCAAAACAAAAACAAGAAATCTATTAATCTGCCCAAGAATATACAACTAACAGGTGATTAAACTGATGTTCAAAGTCAAAAAAGTCTGACTGCAGAGCAATCCATTCATACCCACCATGGTCTCCTGCCTCTCTGTGCTCTCTCAAAAAGACCACTAAGGCCGGGCATGGTGGCTCATGCCTGTAATCTCAGCACTTTGGGAGGCCAAGGTGGATGGATCACGAGGTCAGGAGATCAAGACCATCCTGGCTAACACGGTGAAACCCCGTCTCTACTAAAAATACAAAAAAATTGGCGGGGTGTGGTGGCAGGCGCCTGTAGTCCCAGCTACTCGGGAGGCTGAGGCAGGAGAATGGCGTGAACCTGGGAGGTGGAGCTTGTGGTGAGCCAAGATCACACCACTGTACTCCAGCCTGGGTGACAGAGCGAGACTCTGTCTCAAAAAAACAAAACAAAACAAAACAAACTACTAAGCAGTTGAACTCATTGGCTCCTCCCAGAACCTAAATGAAAGGGCCAGATCCAAAGGGAAGCAGGCTGTACAATGAAAAGATGCAGACAAACTTGCTCTTCTAAGATGATGTATTAGTTTGCCAGACTGAAAACACACACACACACACACACACACACACACACACACACACACACACACGCAGACTGAGTGACTTAAACAGCAAATTTATTTTGTCACAATTCTAGAGGATCGAAGTTCAAGATCAAGGTGTCTGTAGGGTTGGTTTCTTTTTTTTTTTTTTTTTTTTTTTTGAGACGGAGTCCCGCTGTTTAGCCCAGGCCGGATTGCAGTGGCACAATCTCGGCTCACTGCAAGCTCCGCCTCCCAGGTTCACGCCATTCTCCTGCCTCAGCCTCCCGAGTAGCTGGGACTACAGGCGCCCGCCACCACGCCCGGCTAATTTTTTGTATTTTTAGTAGAGACGGGGTTTCACCGTGTTAGCCAAGATGGTCTCGATCTCCTGACCTTGTGATCCGCCCGCCTCGGCCTCCCAAAGTGCTGGGATTACAGGCGTGAGCCACCGCGCCCAGCCTGTAGGGTTGGTTTCTATGGCCTCCCTCCTTGGCTTGTACATAGGTGTCTTTTCCCTGTATCTTTATATGGTCCTTTCTCTGTATGTGCCTGTCTTCTAACCTCCTCTTCTTATAAGGACACCAGTCCCACACTAATGACTTCACTTAACCTTTATTACCTCCTCAAATACCCTATCTCAAAATACAGTCACATTCTGAGATACTGGGGGTTAGGATTTCAACCTATCAACTTGGGAAGGACATAGTTCAGACCATAACAAACTTTTTGTTAATTTTCTTGGGAATTTATGCAGGTCAAGAAACTGAGCAAAAGTGCTGCAGAGGTTGGATCCTCGGAACATACTACAATTAACACAGAAGTAATAAGTAATTACTGCAATACTTATTAAACATTCACCCTGTGCACAGTTCTGTATGCAATGCTCATGGAAGGATTATGAATGTTAGTACATATTAATGTTGCTGCTGTTTGAGACTGTTCAGGTGTGTTGCACTCTATGAGAAATGTGAAGAAACATAACAACCCCAACCTCTAGGTAATTAAAATCTTGTTGGAAAGAAAAGGGAAAGATATGTGTAACCGCACAAAGCAATGCTACAAGAGATGCTAATGATGGTTTATAATTACAAATAGGTAAAGGAAAGGAAGACCAAGTCTAAACTCAGAAGAGAATAGAAGAGATCTAAAGCAGATATCATGGACTGGGAAGGATTTGGGAGGGTACTAAACTTGACTTGGGCCTTCGGGTTGGAGACTGAAGGGACAAAGAGAAAAGGAGGCATTTCAGGAAAGTTAATCCCAAAGGACTGATCAAAGCGTAGTGAGGAGAAAAGTTTTACTAACATTAAGGATTCCACAGGAAAGTGATAGAAGTTGGGTACAAAAGTAGATTGGAGAGACTATGTACATTATCTATAGCCAGACAGCCTTGTAAGGTGAGTATTCATACAGTAGTGAAACTATAGATGAGAAAAGTGGGGCCAAAAAGCTGAGCTAGTTATCAACAGGTGCAATGTAATAAGTAGGTAACAAATAGCAGAGCTGAGATTTAGGAGACTTGTGCCTTTGAACGTCAATGAATCTAAAGCAAAATTTATTAGGACAAATACAACCTTGATACAGCTTCACGTTTTTTTCCTCCCTAACCAAAAACAAAATGTAATAGAAAAACAAGTCTATTTTTACTCTTTTATTATACAAAGACTCCATTATTAACTTACAGCTGAAGTGGTATGAAAGGTCTTTAAGAGAACAGGTACTAAACATTGTTTCCAGGCTCAGCCTTAACTGGAATAGGAATGCAGTAGGATTTCTTGGACGTCAAGAGGCCTATATTTGCTTCCCCAAAAAGCCTTTTTCAAATGCTTGTGATTAGGAAACAATGCCTTCCACACACCCGCTCTCTCTGTTCAGGTGTCTGCCTCTTTCATTCCTACCTTAAGGCATTAAATGTGCTTCTCATTGTCAGATGGGGACCCAGTTATTTCTTTTTTTTCATTTATTTATTTTTTTGAGACGGAGTCTTGCTCTGTCGCCCAGGCTGGAGTGCAGTGGCGCGATCTCGGCTCACTGCAAGCTCTGCCTCCCGGGTTCACGCCATTCTCCTGACTCAGCCTCTCGAGTAGCTGGGACTACAGGTGCCCGCCACCATGCCCGGCTATTTTTTTTGTATTTTTAGTAGCGACGGGGTTTCACCATGTTAGCCAGGATGGTCTCAATCTCCTGACCTCATAATCAGCCTGCCTTGGCCTCCCAAAGTGCTGGGATTATAGGCATGAGCCACCGCACCCGGCCATATCTCTTGAGTACTTATGTAATCAATAAATGAACAAAGCAACTATGTAAAACAGTTACTAAAGCATTTCAAAATTAGCCACTCTAAACAAACCCAGAAGCCTAAATTACTGACACATTCACCAGCTGGAAAGACTGTGGACTTTGAAGTCACATATAAGAAATTCAACTTCAGTTCTTTTTTTTATTTTGAGAAGGACTCTCGCTCTGTTGCCCAGGCTGGAGTGCAGTGGCACCTCCCGAGTAGCTGGGATTACAGGCACGTGCCACCCTACCCAGCTAAATTTTGTATTTTTAATAGAGATGGGATTTCACCATGTTGGCCAGGATGGTCTTGGTCTGCTGACCTCCTGATCTGCCCACCTCGGCCTCTCAAAGTGCTGGGATTACAGGTGTGAGCCACTGTGCCCGCCCTCAACTTCAGTTCTTATATGTTTGACCACAGAAATGTAACTTAACCTTTCTAAGTCACAGTTTTCTAGCCTGAAAATGGGAGTAATAATTAACTCACTGAGTTATCATGAATATCAAATAATATGTACAGTTAAGCACAGTAATTGATATACAGCAGATGCTTAGGAAATATTAATTCCCTTCCCCTTCTCCATTCTTGTGAGCTCTCTTTGATAGGAAAAAAAGATACAAATAACAGGATGCAAATTACAAATATACCAGGCATCTGAAAGAATGAGAATAGAACCTACAAAGATCTCACAAAGGAGGAGGGCAGTGGTGTACTGGCAGCTAGACTGAAAAAAAAAAAAAAGCCCTCATTTGTACTTGTGATAGTGGAAAAACTCAAACTGTTTTTCCTCTGTTCTATCACCACAAGCAACACAGAAGACTTCTGTGACCAAATGTGTGGGGTTTCTCCCCACACACTAAGCAAGCAATCAGCTCTGCAGCAGACACCAGCTGGGTGCCCTCCAATTCAATTCAATTCAGCCACTATCTGGAGACAGCCTCAGATCCCACAAGTTGGGGGCTCAGTCACACAAAACCACCCCCTCCTTCCCATCAGCATACCCCAGCCTCTAGAATTTCTAATGCACTGGCTTCAAATTGGGACTCTCAGAGCCCCCTCTTTGGGTTCAATTAATTTTCTAGAGCGGCTCATAGAACTCAAGAAAACATTTATGATGTTTAGCAGTTTATGCCAAAGGATATTTTAGAGGATACACATAAACCGCCAGATGAAGAGATACACAAGGCAAGGTCTGGAAGGGTCTCAAGCACAGGAGCTTCTGTCCCTTTGGAGTTGGGGTGCACCACTTCCCAGCACATAGATGAATTCTTGTTCACCTTCCTCTCAGCTTCCACATATTCAGCTATCCAGAAGTTCTCTTGCACCCTGTCCTCTTGGGCCTTTAATGGAGACTTCACTGCATAGACAGAATTGACCACCAGGGAGAAGTATGATTGGACAAAAAGGGTATTCTCTAACACTAATAGGCTGAACAGAAACCCAGCAAGGCTTGTCCAGATTCTTTTTGGCTTCTCTGTGCTGTATTCCTTTTTCCAGGCTAAGGGCCAGGACCCCTTCTGAAATGAGGATCTTATAACCCACAATCAGAATGGTGAAAGAAGATTAGAGTCCTGTCTCGGGCTGCTGACAGGAGAATAGGAGAAGGTCAGAGAGAGAGTTTCTGTTTTTTGAGACCTAAAGAGCCACAGCATTATAAAAACTGTTACAAAGGCTACGGGAGTTATGAGCCAGGAACAATGGATGAAAACCTATATGTGTGTGTGCCCCTGTGTGTATACAGATGACATATTTACAATATGTATACATATTCAGTATTTATGGAATCAATAAATGAACAAAGCAACTATGTTACTAAAGCACTTCAAAATTATACGTACACATATTACACATATTTATATAAAACTGGCCCAATTTTCCCATAGAACTGATATTTATGGGGTTTTTTCAATAAACATAGAGATTGATCCTCCTGATCTTGAAACTTGAAACTTAACATTTGTCTCCTCTGGGTTCCTTCCTCAGGAAACCAAACCTCAGGCAAGGGACTCACCAGATCCTGGCACCCAGACAAGGAGAAGCCAGAGCCCCCATCAATCGTGATTGCTTCCTCACCCTTCCCTAATTCCTCTAATTCCTGTTTCCCACATGTAGTTATATTTCCCCCCCACTATGTCAACACACCAATTTTAATCAATTTGGAGAGATGGATTTGAGGTTTGGCTCTCATCCCTCTGGTTGACTTCACCCAAATAAAAAGTCTTCTTCCCTGGCAGTTCTGTGCAGCGAGCCACTGAAAATAGAACAGATACACACACACACACACACACACACACACACACACACACATATATAATATACACATTTAATAGCACATATATACACACACATATATAATATACACATTTAATAGCATATATATACAAATTTAATAGCATATATATCACATTTTACATATATACACATTTAATAGCATATATATATATATATATATCAATCATACTGTCAGTAATGTTTGCCAATTTCTGTGATGTAGATGCACCCTGTGATGGCTAATTTCAAGCTATATAACAATCTATAAACTATAACATATAAACTATAAACTATAACAATCAGCCATCAAACTTCTGAAATATTTAACAATCTGCTTTTACTTTCACTAGGTGGCTCCACACCAGAGGAAACTTACAACTGTGATTTTCATCACTGGTATTGTGCTTGTTGGTACCTGTTTCCTGTCTTGTCTTCAAAGCATAAGGGTAGGGAATGGTTAGGCTGAAATTCAGAATAAACCAAAGTAAATGTTGACAGAAGAAAATTCCTCAAGGATCTAGAACCAGAAATACCATTTGATCCAGCAATCCCATTACTGGGTATATACCCAAAGGATTATAAATCATTCTACTATAAAGACACATGCACATGTATGTTTATTGCAGCACTATTCACAATAGCAAAGACATAGAACCAACCCAAATGCTCATCAATGATAGACTGGATAAAGAAAATGTGGCACATATACACCATGGAATACTATGCAGCCATAAAAAAGCATGAGTTCATGTCCTTTGGAGGGACGTGGATGAAGCTGGAAACCATCATTCTCAGCAAACTAACAGAGGAACAGAAAACCAAACACCACATGTTCCCAATCATAAGTAGGAGTTGAACAATGAGAACACATGGACTCAGGGAGGGGAACATCACACACTGGGGCCTGTCAGGGGGTGGGGGGCTAGGGGAGGAATAGCATTAGGACAAATACCTAATACCTAATGCATGCGAGGCTTAAAACCTAGATGACAGGTTGATAGGTGCAGCAAACCACCACGGCACATGTATACCTATGTAACAAACCCGCACATTCTGCACATGTATCCCAGAACTTAAAGTATAATAAATAATGAAAAAAAGAAAATATTAGTAGCTGAGCATATAAAATGCATATAGATAAATGAAGAAATAAGTATAACAAAATATTTAGTTAATTACAAAGTCCCCAAGTTATATCTTTAGTACCACCAACGGTGTTTGGCACACAGTATTGCTGTCTCTATATACTGATTAAATTATTGATTAAATATTTTCCTTTTATTGCAATTGAACTCAGAGTAAATGCTGTATTGTGCTTTCAGGTAAGTAGAAATTTCCATTTTAACTGCCATAGTAGTAATTTGTGGACACTCAGTATATCAACTCGAAAATTAGGATAATAATACCTCTTTCATAGGGTTGTGTAACTTTTTAGGCCGAGAGCCTCCTCGCGATGTTGGATGGTAAAGTATCTCAGTATAGAAATTTGGAAGCTAAATTGCCTGACTTTAAATCTTGATTCTTCCATATACTACCTGTGTATAATCGCCTAGTGACTTATTCTCTGTGTGTCTCAGTTTTCTCATCTTTAAAATAACAATCATTATACCAACTTACAAGGTTGATATGAGGATTATGTAATTTATGTGAAATTCTTAGCACAATATTCGGCTAATAATTAAGCTAATAATGAATGTTACCGATTATAATTTGTACAATACAACCAAGAAATGTTTTGTTTCCCTGCCCATCTCTACCTGTTCTTACTTCTGTTTGTTTTCTTTTTTTTTTTTTTTTGAGACAGAGTCTCGCTCTGTCACCCAGGCTAGAATGCAATGGCAGGATGTCAGCTCACTGCAACCTCCGCCTCCTAGGTTCAAGTGTTTCTCCTGCCTCAGCCTCCTGAGTAGCTGGGATTACAGATGCCCGCCACCACGCCCAGCTAATTTTTGTATTTTTAGTAGAGATGGGGTTTCACCATGTTGGTCAGGCAGGTCTTGAACTCCTGACCTCAGGTGATCTGCCTGCCTCGGCCTCCCAAAGTGCTGGGATTACAGGCATGAGCCACCACGCCCAGCCTACCTCTGTTTGTTTTCATGGCCTTCAGGTCTCTTTATAACTTAGCCCTATTCTCCACATTAGCCCCTATCCTGCTTCACTTCAACATACACTGACAGCTGTACTCACAGAGTGGCCTCACCTCAGAGCCTCACACATTCAATCCCAGCTTTTAGGTTTGCCAAAAATATCTTTCCTACTTTCTTCCAGTCATTTAAATCTGATCTAACCTTGCTAGTTCAAATTTTCATTCCCGCTTTCATAGCTCTCTTCTTAACTTCTATAGCAAATACACTTATGCCATATAATCAATCATTTAATTAGAAATTCCCTTGTATTTTTCTTTCTGCTTTCGAAAGGGAATTATGTTATCTTCCGCAACTCTGGAATTGTGCAGAAAACACAGAATTACCCCCAATAAATGTGCATTGATCGATTTATTTACTATTTAGAATTAACTTTGACTTTAGTTATTATATCAATAGAGCTTTTATCAAAAGAACTTTTCTCTTTAACTGACACTACTTGCATTAAAATGCCAATCATGTAGGAGAATATGGTTAAGTGATAATGTTTAATTGCTTAAAATTATTACATCATTTACTATAATAGTATGCCATTTGAACTAGATATTTTTAAGGTTTGATTTCTTAAGTCTATATCATGGTATCAAATTTATATAATGAAAAAAGTTTATTTTAGTATTTGGTTGGTGCAAAAGTAATTGTGGTTTTTGCCACTAAAAGCAATGGCAAAAACCACAATTACATTTGCAGCAACCATAGTACTGAAAATTTTACATACCTAAAACGCAGCTAAAATACACCACATTGGCTCTGATTTAAATTGCAACACAAAAAGGAACAAAGAAATATCCTTAACCGTATGTAATGTGTAGATTTCTTTCACACTGATGATGAATGGAGCGTAGTTGCCCAGGCCTCTAAAGTAGTCAGAATATCATGCGGGATATCCTGAGATAGCAGAAAAAACACTTAAGAAGTAGTAATGTGCTCCCAAAGAGCTCAGCCCTGCTCTTAAAAGTAAACTAGTGCTGATGCCGGGGTACCAGGGGAAATCTACTACTGCACTGTGGGCGCATGTGCCATTGCTATGTGAGACACATAGTAATGTCTGTCCATTTATTCACACTCTAAAATTTATTTGTAAATAGTTTTTAACTCTACTTAATCCCACAAGATTAGTCTTCTGTCTGCATTTGCCATACCAAAGAAATTTTGGCGGCTGTAAAATTAAGGCTATCTAGACCAGCAAATGTCACATGTGAGAAAAGCTGAACATTTTAACATTTAAAAGGCTAAACTAAGATCCATCAGGTCTCCTCAACCAATGATTCCTGAATTAGTTATCTGGGATACAGGGTTTTGGTTGTTTTTCTTTTTTAATTTCTTTCTGAAACATAAATACTGTATGTCTTATTTATCCAATCTTACTTATCCAGGAAAGCCACTGACATAAAGTAGGCACTTAAGAAACATTTGTTTCTCTATGACCTGGACCTTTTTTTTTTTTTTGACAGTCTCACTCTGTTGCCCAGGCTGGAGTGCAGTGGTGAGATCTCAGCTCACTGCAACCTTCACCTCCTGCTTCAAGCGATTCTCCTGCCTCAGCCTCCCGAGTAGCTGGGATTACAGGCATGTGCCACCACACTGGCTAATTTTTGTATTTTTAGTAGAGACGGGGCTTCACCATGTTGGTCAGGCTGGCCTCGAACTCCTGACCTTAGGTGAGCCACTCTCCTCGGCCTCCCAAAGTGCTGGGATTACAGGTGTGAGCCACCACACCTGGCCTGGCCTTTATAACATAGAACAAGAGACTGAATGAAAACAATTGCAAGCCCTGAACCAAATATAATGATATAATAATATAAAATAGTATAACTGCAAACTAAAGCCAAACTCGATCTATATCTATCTAGCTATGTATGTTTAGATATGTGCAGAATTAAACTTTCAAACACATGCAGAATTGTAAAATATGGGGTTTAACTGTAGAACCTTATAATTTGAGTAAGTAATACTGCCTGATACAACTGAATCATCCTGAGAGTAATCCATCAAGGAATAGGATCCCAATCACACCTTCTCAGTAAGGGTGACCGTAGCCACAGAAAGACATAGCACAAGAGAATGCATCCAAGGGGCAGGACCTTGTGCTGTATTTCCCCGCTATCCTCAGAGCCAACCAGAGTATGTGGCCCTCAACAAATGTTCATTACAAGAATTACAGTAATAAGGAAAAAAGAAAAGAAGGATTTCCTGAGTGAGGGAAGGTGGGGAAGTTGTCTACAGGACCAGGCCAACAAGTTTCAGACGAAGTGGGTAGGAAAGAGAGGCTATGGCAGAATTAGGATGGGGTGGGGAGGGGAAGGATGAGGAACAGTGATCACTGTTTAAATCTTTGTCTGTCCTTTTTTTTTTTTTTTTTTCACTCTATTGCCCAGGATGGAGTGCAGTGGTGAAATCTCGGCTCACTGCAACCTCCGCCTCCTGGGTTCAAGTGATTCTCCTGACTCAGCTTCCCGAGTAGCTGGGATTACAGATGCGCACCACCATGCCCAGCTAATGTGTGTGTGTGTGTGTGTGTGTGTGTGTGTCTTTAGTGTGTGTGTGTGTCTTTAGTAGAGACGGGGTTTCACCATGTTGGCCAGGCTGGTCTCGAACTCCTAACTTCGTGATCCACCCACCTCAGCCTCCCAAAGTGCTGGGATTACAGGCTTGAGCCACTGCGACCAGCCCATTTTGTCTCTCTTTTTTATCTTTCTGTCCCTTTGTTTCTCATTTCTCAGTTCTTTTTCCTCTCTACTTTTTTTCTATTTCAATGGCCCTTGTCTGCTTCTTCTATTGTAGTATCTCATTCCTTCTCTTTGTTGATCTTTCCACCTCTAGTCACCAGTACCTACTAACTCCATTCTCTCTAACTCACTATTAATTATAGTTTGGTCCAGTGTCTTGAAGCAAAGTGGCAGTAAATTGTTTTTAATGGGAACATTCTGTCACTTTCAGAAGATTTCAATAGAGATATAGGAAAGCATCACGCAAGGTCTACCATCAATAGAACAAATAAATATAAGAGTCTTTAGTCAGTTAGAAAAATAAGTATTTACTACTCTTTCTAGAATGAAGAAGTAGTGAGAGGGAGAGTGAAGAGATCTCACCACTCAATCATAACCAACTTCCAAAAGCCCCAGCTTCCACATGGCATCACCACATTCGAAGAGCCCTGTGGAAGGGACAAAGCTTCCCTTTTTATAGGTGCAATATTTTAGTTATTGCAAAATTGTAGTAATTCCATTGTGCTTCTCTGAAATATAATCACAGTAAGGACAGCATTGTGAATGAAGTAACACTTCTCCCGGATGGAAGTCTGAACATAGGCTTTGCCTTTATAACAGCTTACCGAATTCATTCAACAGTTTAGAGAATGTGATTATAGTTCCCATTATGGAAACATCTTTGAAAAGTTTCTATTGAAATATAAGATACGTAGAGAAACAAGTACCCATTGTAAGTACACAGACAGAGAGGTGACGCCAACTGGACTTCCTGGGTCGACTGGGGAGTTGGAGAACTTTTCTGTCTAGCTAGAGAATTGTAAATGCACCAAACAGCACTCTGTAAAAACACACCAATCAGCACTCTGTGTCTAGCTAAAGGATTGTAAATGCACCAATCAGCACTCTGTAAAAACGCACCAATCAGCGCTCTGTGTCTAGCTAAAGGATTGTAAATGTACCAATCAGCACTCTGTAAAAACTCACCAATCAGCGCTGTGTCTAGCTAAAGGTTTGTAAATGCACCAATTAGCACTCTGTAAAAACGCACCAATCAGTGCTCTGTGTCTAGCTAAAGGTTTGTAAACACACCAATCAGCACTCTGTAAAAACGCACCAATGAGTGCTCTGTGTCTAGCTAAAGGTTTGTAAACGCACCAATCAGCACTCTGTAAAAACGCACCAATGAGTGCTCTGTGTCTAGCTAAAGGTTTGTAAATGCACCAATCAGCACTCTGTAAAAATGCACCAATCAGCACCCTGTGTCTAGCTAAAGGTTTGTAAACACACCAATCAGTACTCTGTAAAAACACACCAATCAGCACTCTGTGTCTAGCTAAAGGTTTGTAAACGCACCAATCAGCACTCTGTAAAAATGCACCAATCAGCGCTCTGTAAAATGGACCAGTCAGTGGGACGTGGGCGGGGCCAAATAAGGGAATAAAAGCTGGGCACCCAAGCCAGCAGTGGCAACCTGCTCCGGTACCCTTCTATGCTGTGGAAGCTTTGTTCCTTTTTTTTTTTTTTTTTTTTTTTGAGACAGAGTCTCACTCTTTCGCCCAGGCTGGAGTGCAGTGGCGCGATCTCTGCTCACTGCAAGCTCCGCCTCCCGGGTTCACGCCATTCTCCTGCCTCAGCCTCCCAAGTAGCTGGGATTACAGGTGCCCGCCACCACGCCCGGCTAATTTTTTATATTTTCAGTAGAGATGGGGTTTCACCGTGTTAGCCAGGATGGTCTCGATCTCCTGACCTCGTGATCCGCCTGCCTCGGCCTCCCAAAGTGCTGGGATTACAGGCGTGAGCCACCGCGCCCGGCCTTGTTCTTTTGTTCTTCATAGTAAATCTTGCTGCTGCTCACTCTTAGGGTTTACACTACATTTATGAGCTGTAACACTCACCATGAGGGTCTGCGGCTTCATTCCTGAAGTCAGCGAGACCACGAACCCACTGGGAGGAACAAACAACTCCAGACGTGCCACCTTTAAGAGCTGTAACACTCACTGCGAAGGTCTGCAGCTTCACTCCTGAAGTCAGCAAGACCATGAACTCACCAGAAGGAACTCCAGACACATCTGAACATCTGAAGGTACAAACTCTGCACACACCATCTTTAAGAGCTGTAACACTCATCGTGCGGGTCCGTGGCTTCGTTCTTGAAGTCAGCGAGACCAAGAACCCACCAGAAGGAATAAATTCTGGACACAAGATGACTTTTCATCAATCATATATCTAATTTCCAGACCAAGAAACAAATAATCCACATCCTATAACCAGTCCCCATCCCCACTTCTATTACAATCCACTGAAGCCCAAGGATAACCACTATCCTAATGTCAAACATCATGGCTTATTTTTGCCTGGTTGTGTACCTCATACGGTCTTTAGTATAATTTTTATTTATTATTCATTTTACTATTGATGTTTAAATTTTTTAAATGGTCGTTATGCGAGCAGATTATCTTAGAAGTAACATGAATGGAATGGAAAAAGCCTATAAATTAATAATTCACATAAAAATTTACCAATGATATATTTAATTTTTTTTTTTTCTTGAGACAGGGTCTCACTCTGTCACCCAGGCTGGAGTGCAGTGGTGTGATCATGGGCTCACTGCAGCCTCGACTGCCCAGACTCAAGTGATCTTCCCACCTTAGCCTCCCATGTAGCTGGGACTAAAGGCACACATCACCACACCTGGCTAATTTTTTTATTTTTTGTAGAGACAGGGTTTCACCATGTTGCCCAGGCTGGTCTTGCTCAAACTCTTGGGCTCAAATGATCTGTCTATATCTGCCTCCCAAAGTGCTGGGATTAAAGGCATGAGCCATCCATGCCCAGCCAATATTTTTAACATTGATATACTTGAAACAAGTGTATCAAAGATTATACTGCACAGTTAGAAAATTATAGCAATAGGTAATCCCAAAGAATCTAATAAACTAAGGGGAAAATATTTCACTTATCAATTATGTTTATAAACACACACAAACTTAAATGTTTAAGTTGTAACTCTATGGAATTAAAATTAAGTAATATTTACTTTAACAATGTATATGGTATTACAAATAAAGCTCTTCTGTTGTTTCCCAGAAACCTATCACAAAAGAAAAGGACAGAGGAAGGAGAAAAACATCCTAGGGAGTTTAGAGGATCCAGTTGCTTGATTCAATCTCTAAAAAAACTAATGCAGTCCCAGGCTGTGGTAACAGAAGTATAACACCCAGGAAGAATAATCCTCATATACTCAGAAACCGTTGTACCCCATCTGGCATGCCAAACGTCCTTCTTGTTGTACCTTTAAAAAGGCATTTATACATTAAGGTATCTAGAGGAGAGCAATCAATTTCTTCAAATGGTGTCATAAAGGTTTCCTATAATGAATGGTTGAGAAACCATATTTAGGGCTAGATAGTAGACTCAGGGGACATGACAGCTGTCTTCAAATATTTCAAGAATTGTCACGTGAACAGTGGAATACATTTAATCTAACCTTTTCTTGAGTGTAGGCCTTGCAAAAATTAAATAAAAAAAGACTTTGATAAATATATATGTAATATATATTATATATATATATAAATCCTACCTAATTATTATAGCTGTCCAGCAGTAGAACTGGCTGACACAGAAAACAATTTCCTATTAGGACAGAGCTTAACCGTCAAGAAAATAATTTCCTCTAAATTTAAGAAAGTTCTACCTAACAATCATAATTTTCAACAATAGAATTTGCTGACTCAGAAAGACCATGAGTTATATAGCTACCAAATATCCACAAAGACTTATGGATGTTTCTATGTACATGGGACAGTAAAATAGATTACAGAACTCTAAGATCTCCTTAATTTATTTTTTTAAATAATTTATTAATTTTTTTATTTTTTATTCTACTTTAATAAAATATCCTGGGATACATGTACAGAATGTGCAGGTTTGTTACATAGGTATACAAGTGCCATAGTGGTTTGCTGCACCCATCAACCTGTCATCTACATTAGGTATTTCTCCTAATGCTATCCCTCCTCTAACACCCCACTCCCTGACAGGCCCTGGTGTGTGATGTTCCCCTCCCTCTGTCCATGTGTTCTCATTTTTCAACTCCCACTTATGAGTGAGAACATGAGGTGTTTGGTTTTCTGTTCCTGTGTTAGTTTGCTGAGAATGATGGTTTCCAGCTTCATTCATGTCCCTGCAAAGGGCATGAACTCATAGGTTTTTATGGCTGCATAGTATTCAATGGTGTATATGTGCCACATTTTCTTTATCCAGCCTATCCTTGATGGGTGTTTGGGTTGGTTCCAAGTCTTTGCTATTGTGAATAGTGCTGCAATAAACATACATGTGCATGTGTCTTTATAGTAGAATGATTTTTAATCCTTTGGGTATATACCCAGTAATAGGATTGCTGGGTCAAATGGTATTTCTGGTTCTAGATCCCTGAGGAATCACCACACTGTCTTCCACAATGGTTGAACTAATTTACACTCCTACCAACAGTGTAAAAGCATTTTTGTTTCTCCACATCCTCTCTAGTATCTGTTGTTTCCTGACTTTTTAATGATTGCTTTTTTTTTTTTTTTTTGAGATGGAGTCTCCGTCGCCCAGGCTGGAATGCAATGGTGTGACCTCGGCTCACTGCAAGCTCTGCCTCCCGGGTTCACGCCATTCTCCTGCTTCAGCCTGAGTAGCTGGGACTACAGGCGTCCGCCACCATGCCCGGCTACTTTTTTGTATTTTTATAGAGACAGGGTTTCACTGTGTTAGCCAGGATGGTCTCAATCTCCTGACCTCGTAATCCTCCTGCCTCAGCCTCCCAAAGTGCTGAGATTACAGGTGTGAGCCACTGCACCCAGCCTAATGATCGACATTCTAACTGGCTGGCGTGAGATGGTATCTCATTGTGGTTTTGATTTGCCAAATAGGAACAGCTCTGGTCTGCAGCTCCCAGCGAGATCAACGCAGAAGGTGGGTGATTTCTGCATTTCCAACTGAGGTACCTGGCTCCTCTCATTGGGACTGGTTAGACAGTGGGTGCAGCCCACAGAGGGTGAGCCAAAGCAGGATGTGGCACTGCCTCACCCGGGAAGCTCAAGGGGTTGGTGAATTCCCTCCCCTAGCCAAGGGAAGCCATGGCTAGGTATCATGGGCATTCCGGCCCAGATACTACACTTTTTCCACAGTCTTCGCAACCCGCAGACCAGGAGATTTCCTCAGGTGCCTACACCACCACAGCCCTGGGTTTCAAGCACAGAACTGGGCAGCCATTTGGGCAGACCCTGAGCTAGCTGCAGGAGGTTTTTTTTTTTTCTTTTTTGTACCCCAGTGGTGCCTGGAATGCCAGGGAGACGGAACCGTTCACTCCCCTGAAAAGGGGGCTAAAGCCAGGGAGCCAAGTGGTCTAGCTCAGTGGATCCCACCCCCATGGAGCCCAGCAAACTAAGATCTACTGGCTTGAAATTCCCACTGGCAGCACAGCAGCCTGAAGTTGACCTGGGACACTCCATCTTGGTGGGGGAGAGGCGTCCACAATTACTGACGCTTGAGTAGGCGTTTTTCCCCTCACAGTGTAAACAAAGCCTCTGGAAAGTTCGGACTGGGCAGAGCCCACCACAGCTTGGCAAAGCCACTGTGGCCAGACTGCCTCTCTAGATTCCTCCTCTCTGGGCAGGGCATGTCTGAAAGAAAGGCAGCAGCCCCAGTCAGGGACTTACAGATAAAACTCTCATCTCCCTGGGACAGAGTACCCAGGGGAAGGGGTGGCTGTGGTCGCAGCTTCAGCAGACTTAAATGTTCCTGCCTGCTGGCTCTGAAGAGAGCAGCAGATCTCCCAGCACAGCGCTTGAGCTCTGCTAAGGGACAGACAGCCTCCCAAAGTGGGTGTCTGATGCCCGTGCCTCCTGACTAGGGAGACACCTCCCAGAAGGGATCGACAGACACCTCAGAAAGTAATAGCATCATCAACAAAAGGACGTCCACACAAAAACCCCATCCAAAGGTCACCAACATCAAAGACCAAAGGTAAATCAATCCACGAAGATGAGGAAAAACCAGTGCAAAAAGGCTGAAAATTCCAAAAAACAGAACACCTCTTCTCCCTCAAAGGATCACAACTCCTCACCAGCAAGGGAACAAAACTGGATGGAGAATAAGTTTGATGAACTGACAGAAATAGGCTTTTTTTAAATTTAAAGAGATATTATTTTTAATTGACATATAATTGTGTACATTTATGGGTCCTTGAATTTAATTTTCAATAATTCTATATTTTGTAGTTATTAAATATGTTTTAATATTACCTTTCTTTTTTAAATGTTGATATTATGTAAATTTTTCCATAAATATTAAACCTTGGGTAAAATCTATATCCATGAATAACTATAAACCCATTGAAACATTCTGCATTATCAACTAGTGAATTGCCCAATTATTATATACCTCTTGTATTCATCAGAATGATCTAAGAAGTGAGGCAGCAACCAACAGGCCCCAAGTCTCAGCAGGTTTAAAGAATCGTTTATTACTTTCTCTTACTTCACATTTATTACAGGTTGGCTGGATCAAAATTCCACATCTTCCTCATTCCTGGATCCCAGTTGGCAGAGTAGCCACTCTCTACAACATTGCTGATCATTCCAGCAGAGGGAGAAAAAATAGCAAACCACACACATTCTTTTTTTTTTTTTTTTTTTGAGACAGAGTCTCACACTGTCGACCAGGCTGGAGGGCAATGGCACAATCTCGACTCACTGCAACCTCTGTCTCCCAGGTTCAAGCAATTCTCCTGCCTCAGCCTCCCTAGTAGCTGGGATTATAGGCGCACACCACCACACCCAGCTAATTTTTTTGTACTTTTAGTAGAGACGGGGTTTCACTATTGTGGCCAGACTTGTCTCAAACTCCTGACCTCATGATCTGCCCACCTTGGCCTCCCAAAGTGCTGGGATTACAGGCGTGGGCCACCACGCCTGGCCGCAAGCCACACACATTCTTAAAGCTCCTACCAGTAGCATATATATCACATCTGCTCACATTTCACTGGTTACAAGTTTAATAATAAGGAAGTTTAACAATGGGTGGGAGAACCTCTTGATTACACCTCCCCTGTGATATAGTTTGTCTGTGTCCCCACCCAAATCTCATATTGAATTATAGCGCCCATAATCTTCACGTGTTGTGGGTGGGACCCAGTGAGAGGTAACTGAATCACTGGGGCAGGTTTTTCCCATGTTCTCATGATAGTGAATAAGTCTCATGAGACCTGATGGTTTTATAAAGGGCAGTTCCCCTGCACACACTCTCTTGCCTGCCATCATGTAGGACGTGCCTTTGCTCCTCCTTCACCTTCCACCATGATTGTGAGGCCTCCCCAGGCATGTGGACTATGCGTCTGTTAAACCTCTTTTTCTTGATGAATTACCCAATCTCGGGTATTTCTTCATAGCAGTATGAAAATGGACTAATACACCCTGTTTTGCAATTTTACTATCTGGCCCACTTCTGGGTAAGATAATAACTGTTTATAAAGATGCAGCTAGGAAGCACAGCTTTCTTGCAGTGATTTCTCTGTAGCTTTAAGAAACCCTGTGCAGCACACATATGACACCAGAGTGCAAACTGTAGCTAAGGTTGGAATGAAAGATACTAAAACTCTGAAATTGGGATAGATTAACTCATTTTCAGTCAGTGTTCTAATGAGAGTTCTTAGTTATTCATTTGTTGTTATTCAGTGATTAGAAATAAATGTTTCCTGATAAATCAGAGTCTATGCACTAATTTCATGCTAAAATATACAAATCTTGAAAAGATTGCCTTTGATCTGCCTAGGAAGAACATGAAGTTGAAGAAATAAACACACACACATACACAAATCTTCATTTATCGCTGTAGAAACTAGGAAAATAAATTTTCTTATGTTACAATGTGGTTTTTTTTTTCTGCAATGTATCTTCTATTACTTTGTTTCTCTCTCAGGAAACAGAAAATAAAATTAAAAATTCTTCTGAAGGATGTCTGTTTTTATTTCAAAATTCCATTTTTGTGGGCAACAGACTAAACGATATGACCAGGAGTAACACTATCCTGTTGTAACAGTGAAACATTCAATACACTGAGATATTTTCTATAAATGACCTTAAAAGAAAGGTGGCTGTTATACGTCAACTTTTGATGCTTTCAAAATCATTTTCTGCATGCTTCCAACATTTGCCTGTTTTTCTACCCATTTCCTCGCTCATGTTTTCTCCCTACTCCCTCCTGCTTCTCCAGAGAGGTGTTTCTTTCTTTTAATGATATATTATTTTTCAAAGAACTGCCTTCAAACATGTCCTGATAGACACTCATGAAGCCATGCCCATTGATAATGGGTCAGACAGTCTCTATATTTAGCAAACATGGATGGCGCACTCCCATGTGTCAGGAAGGAGTCAAGGTCTAGGGAATTCATGGGTGAACAAGCTGAAGTAAGTTCCAGCCCTCGAAGAAGTCCTAGACACCAGACTGAAAACCAAATAGATGATCAAAATAGAGCTCCTCATAAATATATGTAGCTTTGTCATCTGTATTATTTCATTTACCCCAAGTATTTAAACACAATTAGTCCCGAATGTGTTAACTAAACACCAGGGGTTCGGTCTGGGTCCTGCTGCTCGCCACACAGAAAGCCAATTACTGAGACAGCAGTTACTGCCGAGGAAGAAGGCTTCCATCTGGTGCCACAGCCAAGGAGATGGGAGGTCAGTCTCAAATCCAACTCTCTGACTAAAATTAGGGGTTTTATAGCAGGGAAGAAATGTAACTATGTGTGGGAAAACAGGAACAAGGGAGGAGTAAGGAGGCAATCATGATGAATAAGGGGCCTGATGTCTCATTGTCTGGATGTGATAATCTGGTGAGTTTCAGTTCTTCAATACCTTTTGAGGGGCCTGGTATCTCATTGTCTGGACCTGGTGAGTTTCAAGCTTTAAGACCAGAAGGGTCAATTTCTATGTTTATTAAAACAAAAAGAAAAACTCACAACCTGTCTGTGGGACTTGGGTCAATTTCAAATGGAGAAATATTTAGTATTGGTTTCCAAATGCCTATCAGAAGACTGACTTGCCAAAGATTCTCAGTGGAGGCTTATTCAAATATAGGTTCTTGGGACCTTTATCAGGAAATTCAAATCTGCAAGTTCGAAGTAAATCCTAGGGAATCTGTATTTTTCAAAGCTCCTCATGTGATTCTGATACATAACCAAGTTTTGGAACTCCTGTGTTAGAACAAATAGTGAGATAGCCTTTCCTTATATATAAACAAATATAAACACACACAAAGAAAAACATAGACAATGAGGAACATTTTAATGAAGTGAGTAAATGTATCAGTGTATTCCTATGAACCAAAATATCAGAGATAATATGTCTAGTGGTAAAAATAAAAATTAGTGAGTAATTTGTGGGTGTGGGGAAAATATTGTTTCTTAACATGAAATGGTAAAAATGGAACAGCATCCAACTTATTCAGTAGTAACGTGAATGACAGATTAGAAATATACAGCGGACCAGCTGAAATACTGACTACAATCAATTATCACTAAGGTAACATTTAATGGGTAAACAGTTTAAAGAAAACAAACGTTGGAAGCTGACTCAAAGTATATGAAATTAAATATATGTAATCAATAACTATACAAAATCCCAAAAATGGCAATTATTAAAGGGCAACTAATCTTGCCCAAGAATCGGAAGGCTCAACTAGTAAGGAAAATACCCTGAATAAAATGGACCAAAATAGATAAATAAGAAAAACAAGAAGTAATCAAATTTGAGAAAGAGGCATTTGGGAGAGCTAAAAAGATTATAAAATGAAGTTAAGGAAGTGATAAATAAATCAATATACATCAGCTCAGGCAAGGAAAGGGAGATTGTGCAAGAGTTTAAAGTACATGCTAAGGCAATTTGCAGGTACCAGAGCAACTGATGTGAAAATTTATTGAGCAAAAAAACGGAATGTATATCTCATACATAACCACATAGCTAAGTGCCCTGGCTTATTCCCAGAGCTGAATATGGGAATTCAACTACCAAAGTGGGGTTTGGAAGAGGATCATTTAAATTCTATTGTATGTCCAGATCCCAAGCCCTGGGAATAGAGCATCCAGCCACAAAGAAAGGAATTGCAAATATTATATACAAACCAGCTGATGGTGCAGAACTAGACTGTATCAGACAAAGAAGGGATACAATAAAATCCAGCAACACATAAACTACTAAGCTAGAAGAGTCCATACAGTTATAATAAATCTGTAAAAATGTGCAATTAGTACTTAGGTTGAATCAGTAGAGGTATTTGATATCAGATAAGGCTATTACATTTAAAAATGTGAAAAATGGGAGTGGGGGCAAAAATGTGAATATTAATTCATCAGCAATTAGAAACACAGAGTAAAAAAAAATACAATGCACAATTTAGCAAATTCAAAGTAGACAAGTAATTTAGGGTTTAGTGAAAAATCCAGTTGGAATTTTTGGCATAGTTCTTGAAGTAGAACATAATATTCTAGAACATATTAAATGTTCTTTAAGTATAAGAACACAGATGAACATTGCAAGCAAGTGTGAGAATTAAGTCTATCTCTGGAAAATTATGGACAGTTTGGGTCATCTCATTAGGGGATTGGTCACATTCCATTGCGTGACATCTGACACTAACTGTTTTTAAACACAGGGCTGCTTCTTCAATTATTAATTTCTACCTAAGGGCAAATGCCAAGAGAACTTACTTTAGTTTCTACCTCCTGCTGCCATTTCAACTGTCAAGAACAGCAGGAGTCAAAAATGAAAGGCACCACCTTAGAGAAAGGCTGTGGCACAGTGTCATTTTAAAAACTGACAGCTTTGTGCAGTCCCAAATCTTAAGGAAAAGGGATTGTCACTTGTGCCTCCTATTGCCATTTTGACAAAGGAAGACATTCTCCCACATCCAAAGGCAACAGTAATTTAAAAATGGCAAGTAGAAACATATTTGCAAGAAGCAAGTGGGAACTTCTTTACTGTAAGCTCATGTGGGAAAGGGAACAGCTGAAAGTCTATTCATTCATTGAAAAAACAACCACATTTTAATGTCTGCCTATTAATATAATAAAAAGAGGCTAACTTCCAATGAGAGAGGGTACACAATAAGCCAAGATGATAAAGCAATGCCAAAATTTTAGTTAATTTTTCTAAAAAATTAAGAGAAACCATATTAGCTTTGCATTAAAAAAAAAAGAAAAGATAACACTGAAGGATTTGAATGCTGAAATGAAGACAGTGGACAGATATTTCAAGATTTATCATTAAAATCCAGAATATACATTTTAAAAATTTATTTTCAAACATTGAGGTTCAGTGTTAAGAAAGGGCCAAAAGGATCCTGAAATCATTTCTTTCCTCAGAGTTCAGTTGCTATTAAAGAGGCAGAAAAGTAGAATAATGATAATGAGGCATAAATGTTGGTGCCATAAATGTTGTGGAATAAGTCTAACAATTGCAAGAAAAACCAGGATGTATATGCATCCTTTTTCCCTTCAGATAACTGTTGCCACAAGATATAAGCATTCCAAAGAAATACGAATTACCACAATTGCTAATGTAATTTATAATAAAAGATATATTGAGTTTTGTTCTGTCCTCTTCATATGAGAATGACTAGGACTTTCTATATGCAAATATCTTCAACAAAATCTTTTGGTACTATGAATGGTTGCATTGCTTTGTCATTCTACTGTGCAGATGGAATGTGGGATAGAGAGGGACAGGGCAGAAGGAGAGATGTTAATTTAAGCAAACATCTCCTTGTGCTATTTTTTCCACTAGCCAATGTAGACAAACCCATTTCAGAATAACACAACAGGAGTGCAGACACAGGCAAAAAAAAAAAAAAAATATATATATATATATATATATATATATGATATTCTATCTAGTAAAATGTAAGATAGGTCCAGTTTGACTGAACCAAGGAAGCCTGGTCACCCCTCCCAAATGTTCTATGGCTTGAGATTATCAGAGGAAGATCACAATTGGCAACTGTTAACAACAAATAAGGATACCTAAAGGAACAAGAGTCATTGTCTCTCACAACAAGTACTGTATATTCTATTGTGAGTCTGAGCTGTAATTGCAACAATATCATGGAGAGACCTGCAACAATTTATCTCCAGATCATCTTTAAGCAGGCAAATGATTTCTTTTACTGAGCCAGTGTGAGGGTCCGCTTTGAAAGGATGAGTTGGGCGGTTGCTCAGTAATTCAAGTAGCTGTTTGTGATGGTCAGAGTGGTGTATGGTGTTACCTGTGACAATTTACGGGGTACATTTCTTCATCCCTTCCCCAACCAGAGGAACCTCTAATCACCTTCATTTACAGCAGCCAGTAATTCATGATTTAAGGGTTATTTTTCTGTCACTGAATTAGGATACAGAGATCAGTTCTCATCTCATGGCCCTTGGATGCTCCACAATTACATCCTTCCAAGTTATGCCAGTGGAAAGAGAATGTTTTTTCCCTATAGGTCCAATTAAAGGTTAGGAATTAAAGTTCATACAGGATACAGGTTATGTTCTGCTCCTTTCCCATTTCCATGTCTATGCATAATCTAATTTCTGACTATTTCATATATGAAACAATAGCCACTCTTTTGATAGCAGCTGCCTTAAAAGTGTTGATCAAGCCACAATTAAGTGGTAAATTAACTTTCCTTTGTCAAGATCATTTGAACACAGGCTTGGAAATTTGAAGTTTGAAATATACAAACTGGCCAGGCGCCGTGGCTCATGCCTGTAATCCCAGCACTTTGGGAAGCCGGGGAGGAGGTTGGATTACAAGGTCAGGAGATCGAGACCATCCTGGCTAACATGGTGAAACCCCGTCTATACTAAATATACAAAAAATTAGCTGGGCGTAGTGGCGGGCGCCTGTAGTCCAAGCTACTCGGGAGGCTGAGGCAGGAGAATGGCGTGAACCTGGGAGGCGGAGCTTGCAGTGAGCTGAGATCACGCCACTGCACTCCAGCCTGGGCGACAGAGCGAGACTCCGTCTCAAAAAAAGAAAGAAAAAAAAAAGAAATATACAAACTACATAGAGAGTATTCATATAAATACATACTTCATATATACATTCTTTAGGAGAGAGAACTCAAAACCACAGGTCTTCCAAGAATCTACCATTACTAGTGATATAACTTTGAAAAAAACAAGTGAATAGCTCTCATCCTAATGTGAGGATAAGAAGCCAAACTCAGAGAATGGAAAAAGTAAGCAATATAAAGTACTTGACATTTAAGCACATGACGAATTAAATTAGTTACTTTAACTAATATGCCTTCACTTTAAATATAAGAAGAAATTTTCCTATTTCTAGGAATACTAAGAAAAGTAAGTTATACCTAAGGAGAGTAGATATTTTCATATGAGATATTGCTACAAAACCTCAATAGAAATGAAGGTTAATTAATTTTTGTTCAATTCATTTTTGTATCAAATGCCTGGCTGACTGGGTCAGGTATTATATTCCTGTTCACATTCATCTGAGACTGAAGTAGATCAGACTGCCGAAGACCTGACGCCCTCGTGCCTGCCCTGAGGCCCTAAGGCTTGGGCTGCCCTCATGCCTGCCCAGATATCAAATTTTGGCTCTTGCAAGAGTGAGGAGTGAATGAGGAACTCTGCCTGCGTCACGCCTGTCTCTGCTTCATTGTCCCCTCCTCCCTTATGACTTGCCTGTTTTGCAGACTGCCCCAGCTTGGCCTACAACTGCATGTAGTCTTTGGCTTTTGAGAAATTACATAGCCTTGACCTTCTACTGCTTTACACCTCTGACTTCTTGGTCCACCTTGGTTTCATATACTCTTTTCAGTCCAGCCCTCAGTTTAATTCTCAACTTCAAGCGCGGCTCTCTGTGTCCTGCTTTCTAGGTCAGCTGGCGCCCACGGATCAGTCTGACAGCTAGAGTATGCTCAGTGTAAGTTGACAATTTAACAATTGGGGGTGGGCATATTTGTGTCATGATTCCCAAAAGATTTAAATATAGATTACATGAGGAGTGTGATCAGGTTTTACAATGAGGGAGACTTGTGCAGTCGCTACTACATCATGCATTATATGCCTCCAATTTGACAAGCCACAATCAATTTTGTGTTCCCTGTTGGCAATTGGCTACACCCATTCTCTACTTTGGAGCTTCTAAAAGAAGGTTTTCATTACATACCTTTTTGCTCCCACTACAAATGCAGCAAATTACCCTTTACTTCTTGCAGCTCTTCTGTATAGAAAAATACGATATTGCTTTTTATGTTCTAATTTTCATATTTAGATTATCTAGAATGTGTGACAAATCAAAAGTTTCTCAGTGCTTCTAACCCCTCCAATTTCTGGAAATTGCATTGTTAATGTTCTTCAGGGAAAATTTAATTATTCGTTTTACTCCCCATTCTCTGTATTTCATGCCAGGCCATAAGCGTTGAACAAACACAAGGATCAAATAGGTAATCAGTGCTCCAGAATACATGGCAAAATTTTAAGGAGCCCCAGAGGCTAGATGATGTCAGTCTCAGACAATACATCCCGAGGATAAAACAAACCTATCCATCAAAAATTTTAGGCAAGCATAGTGTTCATATGCCAGATGGGCACCAAAACCAAAGACCCGATTAGAATCAGGAAAGATAGAATAAGTTCAAAAAATGTCAGGCGGCAGACTGCATATACAGCTAAATGTTGTTTCCCAGGGTGTTAAAAGCCAGCATCTGAGGATTCGCTGCTAGCAAAACCCAGTGATCCACAGCTGGGGCAAAGGGTGCTTTTCAGTGTTTTTTGCCAAGAGCAGGAACTCATCTCTGAGGCTACTGGTAGAGGCAAAAGTGAACACATGACTGGAGTAGGGAATCAGAGATGGAAAATAATAGCAGATCCTGATATGACCACTGAAGATGCTGAAGACTTTAACAACAAATTCTATACTAAAATCTTTCTTTCCTTACTTTGTAAGACGTCCTTCTGTCTCTCTTATTCTTCAATCTCTATTTTCTTTGAGAGTTCTTTTTTCCCCCAACTCTAAATTTAAATCAGAGCTTGGATCACTCTCTTTCCCTTTCTCTCTTTATATCTATCTTTCTATCTCGCTATCTCTCTATCCACATACATGCATGTGTTTAAATATGTGTATAAATATATATAGTATATAATGTGTATATAACATATTTGTATATATACATGTAAATAGTCTATTCACATATATACACACATATAAGTATATATGTGTATATTTGTATATATAATATGTATATAGTATACATTTCTATAGACACATATTTTGGATATACATACACTGTAATATGTGTACATTGTGTGTGGTTCTGGGTCTGTGGGTGTATATTCTCATCTTTAAATATATTATCTCCTCATTGCTAAAACTAAGGCACATTAATGTAGATAAATTGAGAGAGAGTAATTTTGCCACAATCTTACCAGTGATACAGGCACAGTCCTGTATCACAGCAACCAAATAGACAGATCTAAGGTATGAGAGCCTACATTGCCTCAAATTTGACATATCAGCTACTAACTCATCTACAAAATTAACTTACTTAGGTTTAAAAAAGAGAGTGGGGACAGGGACATTTATTGGATCCCATGAGAGAGAATTTACAACTGCGTCAAGATAGATAAATGATGTCATCTGCATCACCTCTTTCCTTCCACGGGCTCTGTTTCTGTCTATGCTGACTCCCTCCTTTCTTAATCAGTTCTCATCTCATGGCCCTTGGATGCTCCACAATTACATCCTTCCAGCTTATGCCAGTGGGAAGAGAATTTTTTTCCCTATAGACCCAATTAAAGATTAGGAATCAAATTTCATTTTCATATTTGGGTTAAAAGTTCATCCTTAAATCAAAGACATTATTGTAGCCTGAGGGAATATCGACTATCTAGGCCTAAGCCACAGAAGCCAGAAACATGGACATGGGCTATGAGTGGGAGAGGGTTTGTTCCCCAAAGAGACTGAAATGCCATTCCTACAAGTGGGAAATGAATATTGGGCAAATAAATCAGATAGCTAAAATAATTATTTCTCTTATTGTCTATGGAATCATACAGCCATTTTTTGACTACCTTTTTAAAAATAGGCCCTCTGTTAATTACTTATTTAATGCATCATTATTTCCTTCATATACTTTATAATATTTCTAATTATTTTTCATTTGTTCATTTTCTGTCTAACACACTACAGGTAAGTTCTATGAGGGTCAGAATCTTGCGAGACTTTTTTCTCTTTAAAATCTCAAATGAGTAGCACCATCCCTGGCAAATTTTTTTTAAAAGCTCAATAAATATATGTTTTCTTAAAAAAAAAAAAACCAGGCCTGGCGTGGTGGCTCACGCCTGTAATCCTAGTACTTTGAGAGGCCAAGGTGGGAGGATCATGAGGTCAGGAGATCAAGACCAATACAAAAAATTAGCCGGGCGTGGTGGTGGGCGCCTGTAGTCCCAGCTACTCGGGAGGCTGAGGCAGGAGAATGGCGTGAAGCCAGGAGGCGGAGCTTGCAGTGAGCTGAGATCGTACCTGGGCGAGACACAACAAAAAAAGAAAATTTCAGGCAAAAAATAATAATAATAATAATAAAATAAAATCAATCAAAGAATTCTTCCTACTCATGAGCATGGAATGTTTTCCCATTTGTTTGTGTCCTCTTTTTTTTTTTTTTTTTTTTTTTGAGACGGAGTCTCGCTCTGTCGCCCAGGCTGAAGTGCTGTGTCATGATCTCGGCTCACTGCAAGCTCCACCTCCCGGGTTCACGCCATTCTCCTGCCTCAGCCTCCCAAGCAGCTTGGACTACAGGTGCCCGCCACCACTCCCGGCTAATTTTTTGTATTTTTAGTAGAGACGGGGTTTCACTGTGCTAGCCAGGATGGTCTTCATCTCCTTACCTCCTTGATCCGCCTGCCTCGGCCTCCCAAACTGCTGGGATTACAGGCTTGAGCCATCGCGCCCAGCCTTGTTTGTGTCCTCTTTTATTTCCTTGAGCAGTGGTTTGTAGCTCTCCTTGCAGAGGTCCTTCACATCCCTTGTAAATTGCATTCCTAGGTATTTTATTCTCTTTGTAGCAATTGTGAATGGGAGTTCACTCATGATTTGGCTCTGTTTGTCTATTATTGGTGTATAGGAATGCTTGTAATTTTTGCAAACTGATTTTGTATCCTGAGATTTTGCTGAAGTTGCTTATCAGCTTAAGGACATTTTGGGCTGAGATGATGGGGTTTTCTAAATATACAATCATGTCATCTGCAAACAGAGACAATTTGACTTCCTCTCTTGCAGGGGTCTGTCCTGCAGACCCTGACCCAATGACAGATGAATGAAATACACTGAAACACAGATATTCTGCTTTGCCAGTTTGGCTGAGCATCCAGGCCGCTTACAGACTCCAGAGTGCTGTAAACAGTTGCGACCATGGCCCCAATCAGCTAGTGAGACATACGTTTAATCAGTAAAGATTAATTGACAAAGGCTTGAGTCAACACCACTAAAGGGTAATTGACATTGTGGACTTCCCAAGTAGAAAGCAATTAAGAAACCCGGTAAATTAAAGGTTAGTCCTAGGACCACATGAGTAAACAAGCTAATTAGATAAATTACTCTACCTTCCTTTGTACCCACTTTAAGCTATTTACTTAAGGTAAGGATTAGGTTGCCTTTAGCTGTAGCCTTATCCTGAGACTTTTGCAAAAACCTTCAGGCCTTCCAAAAAGGTGTGTGGCTATTGTAACTATCTTTAATATTTTTCTCAGCAGCCTGATTGAACTCCCACACTCTCTTCCTATTTGAATAACCTTTATTTCTTTCTCTTGCCTGATTGCCCTGGCCAGAACTTCCAATACTATGTTGAATAGGAGTGGTGAGAGAGGGCATCCTTGTGCCAGTTTTCAAAGGGGATGCTTCCATCTTTTGCCCATTCAGTATGATATTGGCTGTGGGTTTGTCACAGAGTTCTTATTATTTTGAGATATGTTCCATCAATACCTAGTTTACTGAGAGTTTTTAGCATGAAGGGGTGTTGAATTTTATTGAAGGCCTTTTGTTTTTTGCTGTCGTTGTTTTGGAGATGGAGTCTCACTCTGTTGCCAGGCTGGAGTGCAGTAGTGTGATCTCGGCTCACTGCAACCTCCGCTTCCTGGTTCAAGCGATTCTCCTTCCTCAGCCTCCTGAATAGCTGGGATTACAGGCACCTGCCACCACACCCAGCTAATTTTTGTATTTTTAGTAGAGGTGTGGTTTCACCATGTTGGCCAGGATGATCTCAATCTCCTGACGTCGTGATCTGCCTGCCTCGGCCTCTCAAAGTGCTGAGATTACAGGCGTGAGCCACTGCGCCCAGCCAGACCTTTTCCGCATCTATTGAGATAATCATTTGATTTTGTCATTGGTTCTGATTACGTGATAGATTATGTTTATTGATTTGCATATGTTGAACCAGCCTTGCATCGCAGGGATGAAGCTGACTTGACCGTGGTGGATAAGCTTTTTGATGTGCTGCTGGATTCGGTTTGCCAGTATTTTATTGAGGATTTTGCATCAATGTTCATCAGGGATATTGGCCTGAAATTTTCTTTTTTTGTTGTGTCTCTGCCAGGTTTTGGTATCAGGATGATGCTGGCCTCATAAAATGAGTTAGGAAGGAGTCCCTCTTTTTCTACTGTTTGGAATAGTTTCAGAAAGAATGGTACCAGCTCCTCTTTGTACCTCTGGTAGAATTCGGCTGTGAATCCATCTGGTCCTGGGCTTTTTTTGGTTGGTAGGCTATTAATTAATTACTGCCTCAATTTCAGAACTTGTTATTGGTGTATTCAGGGATTAGACTTCTTCCTGGTTTAGTCTTGAGAGGTTGTAAGTGTCCAGAAATCTATCCATTTCTTCTAGATTTTCTAGTTTATTCACATAGAGGTGTTTATAGTATTCTCTGATGGTAGTTTGTATTTTTGTGGGATCAGTGGTGATATCCCCTTTATCATTTTTTATTGTATCTATTTGATTCTTCTCTCTTTTCTCCTTTATTAGTCTGGCTAGCAGTCTATTTTGATAATCTTCAAAAAACCAGCTTCTGGATTCACTGCTTTTTTTGAAGGGTTTTTCGTGTTTCTATCTCCTTTAGTTCTGCTCTGATCTTAGTTATTTCTTGTCTTCTGCTAGCTTTGGAATTTGTTTGCTCTTGCTTCTCCAGTTCTTTTAATTGTGATGTTAGGGTGTCAGTTTTAGATCTTTCCCGATTTCTCCTGTGGGCATTTAGTGCTATACATTTCTTTCTAAACACTGCTTTAGCTGTGTCCCAGAGATTCTGATACATTGTGTTTTTGTTCTGATTGGTTTCAAAGAACTTATTTATTTCTGCCTTAATTTCGTTAAGTACCCAGTTGTCATTCAGGAGCAGGTTGTTCAGCTTCCATGTAGTTGTGTGGTTTTGAGTGACTTTCTTAATCCTAAATTCTAATTTGATTGCACTGTGGTCTGAGAGACTGTTTGTTATTATTTCCATTCTTTTGCATTTGCTGAGGCGTGTTTTACTTCCAATTATGTGGTCAATTTTTAGAATGAGTGTGATGTGGTGCTGAGAAGAATGTATATTCTGTTGATTTGGGGTGGAGAGTTCTGTAGATGCCGATTAGGTCTGCTTGGAATATTGTGAAAATGGTCATACTCCCCAAAGTAATTTATAGATTCAATGCTATCCCCATCAAGCTACCGACTTTCTTCACAGAATTAGAAAAAACTACAGCCTGTATAGCCAAGACAATCCTAAGCAAAAAAGAACAAAGCCGGAGGCATCATGCTACCTGACTTCAAACTATACTACAAGGCTACAGTAACCAAAACAGCATGGTATTGGTACCAAAACAGATATATAGACCAACGGAACAGAACAGAGGCCTCAGAAATAACACCACACATCTACAACCATCTGATCTTTGACAAACCTGACAAAAACAAGCAATGGGGAAAGAATTTCCTATTTAAGAAATGGTGTTGGAAAAATTGGCTAGCCATATGCAGAAAACTGAAACTGGACCCCTTCCTTACACACCTTATACAAAAATTAACTCAAGATGGATTAAAAACTTAAACATAGGACCTAAAACCATAAAAACCTAGAAGAAAACCTAGGCAATAACATTCAAAACATAGGCATGGGCAAAGACTTCATGGCTAAAACACCAAAAGCAATGACAAATGGGATGTAATTAAACTAAAGAGCTTCTGAACAGCAAAAGAAACTACCATCAGAGTGAACAGGCAACCTACAGAATGGGAGAAAATTTTTGCAATCTATCCATCTGACAAAGGGCTAATATCCAGAATCTACAAGGAACTGAAAGAAATTTACAGACAAAAAAAAACCATCAAAAAGTGGGCAAAGGATATGAACAGACACTTCTCAAAAGAAGACATTTATGTGGCCAAAAAACATATTTAAAAAAGCTTATCATCACCACAATGAGATACCATCCCATGCCAGTTAGAATGGCGATCATTAAGAAGTCAGGAAACAACAGATGCTGGAGAGGATTTGGAGAAATAAGAATGCTTTTATACTGTTGGTGGGTGTGTAAATTAGTTCAACCACTGTGGAAGACAGTGTAGTGATTCCTCAAGGATGTAGAACTAGAAATGCCATTTGAACAAGCAATCCCATTACTGGGTATGTACCCAAAGGATTATAAATCATTCTACTATATAGACACATGCACATGTATGTTTATTGCAGCACTATTCTCAATAGCAAACACTTGGAACCAACCCAAATGCCCATCAATGATAGACTGGATAGATAAAATGTGGCACATATACACCATGGAATACTATGCAGCTATAAAAAATGATGAGTTCATGTCCTTTGCAGGGACATGAATGAAGCTGGAAACTATCATTCTCAGCAAACTAACACAGGAACAGAAAACCAAACGCCGCATGTTCCCACTCATAAGTGGGAGTTGAACAACAAGAACATATATATGTGTGTATGTATATATATACACACACATACATACGTATATATATGTGTGTATATATACGTATATATGTGTATATATACTATATATGTATATGTGTATAATATACGTATATATGTGTGTATATATGTATATATGTGTATATATATACACGTATACATATGTATATATATGTGTGTGTGTATATATATGTGTGTGTGTGTGTGTATATATATATATATATATATATATATTTTTTTTTTTTTTTTTTTTTTTTTTGAGATGAAGTCTCACACTGTCGCCCAGGCTGGAGTGCAGTGGTTCGATCTCAGCTCACTGCAACCTCCGCTTCCCGGGTTCAAGCAATTCTGCCTCAGTCTCCCAAGTAGCTGGGACTACCAAGTAGCAGTCTCCCAAGTAGCAGGCACGTGCCTCCACGCACAGCTAATTTTTTGTATTTTTAGTAGAGATGGAGTTTCACCGTGTTAGCCAGGATGGTCTCCATCTCCTGTCCTCGTGATCTGCCCACCTTGGCCTCCCAAAGTGCTGGGATTACAGGTGTGAGTCACCTCACCCGGCCTCACACTTATATTAATTTTTTCCCTTATTCTGTTTGAATCGCCTCAATACATCCATTTCTTATGCCTGCTCATATAATGGCTGCCTTAGATGTAAATCCTTACCAAGACTTCCACATTGTGAGATAGTTCTCAGAGACTTAACCTGGAACAACAATGAGTTATTTGGGAAGAACACCATAGCCTGAAATGACCTGTCGCAATGTTAGTATCAGGTGCTTAAAGACTGACAAATGAAGTCCATTTTAAAAAAAAAAAAAAAAAAGCAAATAAGTGTAATATAAATGTTATCTATTATTTATCTTTTTTTTTTTTTTTTTTTTTTGAGATGGAGTCTTGCTCTGTCGCCCAGGCTGGAGTGCAGTGGTGCGATCTCGGCTCACTGCAAGCTCTACCTCCCGGGTTCACATCATTCTCCTGGCTCAGCCTCCCAAGTAGCTGGGACTACAGGCGCCCGTCACCATGCCCGGCTAATTTTTTGTATTTTTAGTAGAGACGGGGTTTCGCCGTGTTAGCCAGGATGGTCTCCATCTCCTGACCTCGTGATCCACCCGCCCTGGCCTCCCAAAGTGCTGGGATTACAGGCGTGAGCCACTGTAAATTTCATTATTGTTCTCGAAGTTTGACCTCAGAACTGCCAGTGTTGGAATTTAAAGAAAATAATTTTAAAATTGATACTAATGGGCTAGGGGAGGTGCCCAAACACCAGTGGGACCTGGACCCCGGCCAGTGTCCAACCTCTTGACACTGTTGCAGTTAGGAATTCAAGGACAAGTGAGAAAAGAGTGAAAGTACCGAGATGTATTGCGAAGTCAAAGTACACACTCAGGAAAGGGGAGTGCAGGCGTACTCAAGCGAGTGAGTCGCTCCCAAGGGGGTTTGGGGTTTTATCCTTATGAGTTTCTTTAACCAGGGGGTGGAATATTCCCAGAAAAAGGTGGAGATTTCTTGGAAGTGTGATGCCATCCATTTTTACACAAAATATGGGTGTTCCTGGAACTGTCATGGTGCTGGAGGGTGTGTGATTTCTAGGCTAATGGGCATATAATGAGGCCCTAGGAGAAAGCTGAGTCAAATCCAGCACTGTGATGGGTCCAGTCGGTGTTGGGGAGCTTCACACACATGCTGGTTTTCAGGGTCTTATCAGCCCCTAGCTTATGATGCTATTTCAACTGTATCCTTTTTGCTAATCATATGAAACTGCTGCCTGGAATTTTCTATTCTGCAACCACTCTGTATCATTCCTATCATTCCTGTCTCAGAATTACTTTTAAAAGCATATAGTAAGTGGTTACATTGTAGAGATTAAAAAAAAAAATACAACCACAGAACAAATGGGAAAAAAAGTGTGTTCATTTGTATAAATTTTCCAGTGACAGTATCATACACATACTGAGAAAGTGCTTTGTTTTCAGATAACTTAGATAGATGTAAAGACAATCTGCTCTAAAAACTGTGTCTCTGATGATGATAAAGATCCTTATGGTAAAAACAATCTTCTCAGAATTTGAATAAATCATTTCATGAAAATTGAGAAACAAAGCAATGTCATTAAATTATCATTTTATACAATATGTTTGTAAAAATGTACACTGTAACAAACTTCAATATATTAAATATTTTAAAGAGACATTTGACCATTTCTGCGACATCTCACAGATAGGCAATAGAGAACAGGAGCTAGAGACTTGAGTTCTTAACCCAGACACCCTCCTCTGCATTCACACTGCATCACTTATTACTTCTATGACCTTGGGCAACTTTTAAAACTTTTCTATGTCTTAATTTTATCCTTGCTAAAACAGGGATAAACATAGTATCTACCTCATAGGGGTATTCTGAGAACTAAATGAACTATATTCTCTGTGGTAGCTATTACCACTGTATACAGACTTTATAAAGCATTTCTTGCCCATTCGACTTTTTTAGCACATATAGATCCATGTAACAGTTAGTTGCCTATTTGTTATTTTGTCATTGTCCAACCCAACTGGAAACATAAAAGAGAACAGAAGCCAGGTCATACATTTTCAGATTGCCACTCCACCCCCAAGGACCCATGCACGATGAAGGCACTCAATGATGCTTTTTGATTAATGACATTTAACTAATCAACTAGTCAATTTAATCAAACGACTAAGCACCTCGGCATTTTAAGCATCACGAGCCAGAACAGAGTTTATAAATGCATCAGATCAATTATTTTACTAAACATGTTAAATAACATGTTGCTAACAAAATAGCAAGCCACTCAGCGAGAATCCTAGGCCCTGCTAATTTTTTGCTGTAGCTATCTTTATCTAAATCAAATTGTTTCTTTCCAGTTGGATCAGTGTTGATAGGTGGATATTCTTAGTCTATCTCCTTTGACAAGATTTGCCTCTTCCCAGAAAGGCCACATAAGTCTAAGGAAATAGAGTGGTCTTTGGTATTTCGTACATAGTATCTCTAATAAGAAACAATATCATCTGATGTTCCCCCAATGACCGAGCCATAGGGTGGGCTAACTCGTGAGGATGCAAAGGCTGAGCAAAATCTGCACAGTGTGGTTTTAGGTAACCAGGAATTGTCCAGTGCCCCCATATGTCTTCCCCATTCTGCCTGTCAATCTCCCCATCTCCCCTTTGCTTGGTTCCATTGCCTGAAATACCAGAGATTTATTTGTATTAACAATCACCTGGAGCGATAAACTGCCTGTTATATTCAAATATCCTAAAGAGATATGCTGATAGAAGAATAGGGGGAGAAAAGTAATAAATTATTCATGAGCAAGTAATTCACTGGAAAACTTTCTCCTCCCAAAGGAAGTAACTTTCTCATAAGTAAGAGAAGGGATGTCCTGCAGTGCCTGAGAGCAGTTGAATTTCGTAAGGATATATCATCTGCTTCAGGAACATCTGTGAGAATAGAGCAAGGCAGAATAATAGACTTCACCAGATGTTATGAGACAAATATTATATAGTAAAAAAAGAGATTGATATTTGCATTAGAGGATTTTACTCAATCCTACTACATTTTATTTTCACTAAATTTACTAGCTACACAAGATGATGATAATTTAACTCCTCTGAGCCTCAATTTCCGCAACAAATGACAATTATGATGGCAATATGAGGTTATGAATATAATATGAGATTACCTTTCTTAAGATGTTAGTATTGTGCCCCGTAGAAGCTAAATAAAGGTTAATTCCTCTTCCTATTAAAGGGATTAACAGAACTCTTGTCATGGGGGTAACAGGGAGAATTAAATGAGATAATATGTATGCAAAAAGACCTTTGAAGAATGTAAACCAACATATTTACATTCATTATTACTACTACTAGTACAAGAATTATGTCCAGTCAGTTGACAAGGATCTGTGTCTCCAACCGAGCATTGAATGGCTATAGTTAGTTTCATGTTATAGTTGATTGCTTCTGTGAAGAAGAAAAGCCTCTGTCCTGGAAATCAAGAACCCAGGTCTGATTTTAGCTCTGATACTTAGTATATCTGGGAGTATGTCCCATCATAACTGAGCCTTGGTTTCCCTTTTATAAAATGGAAATTATAATACTCAACAGTATTTATGATATTTAAACAAAGTTATAGGAATGAAAATCCTTTTAGAATTGTAGGGAAGCAGCAGGTCAGAGGGGGAGCTATCACTGAATTAGATTCTTAGATCTGAAGCCCAACAAATTGCTTAATTTCTCAGAGTCTCTCTTTTCAACCATGAAAAATCAATATCTCAGGGGCCATTGTAAAGATTAAGTTGTATATCATTGCTTCTCAAACACTTCAAGTCCCTCTAAAAGTAGGGGAGATTGACTTGTACATTTGCAGGAATCAAGGGGAGAAATGGAAAGGAGAGCTATAAGCTTCAAGCTTCTTTGAGACTTCTTGTTATATTTTATGCAAATAGCACATTCTACTACAGAATGAGTGTTTAATTTTTAAAAATCTTCCAATAATGTTGATTTTCCAGGAAGAAAAGCTAAGTTTACCTACTTGCTTACAATAATCCAATGCATCAACTACCTGGTATATATGCCCAGTTTAAGAAACAGAATGTTTTTATTTTATTTCCTTGATTTTATTTTATTTTTTGAGACAGGGTCTTACTCTATTACCCAGGCTGGAGTGCAGTGGCGGAATCATGGCTTACTGCAGCCTTGACCTCCCAGGCTCAAGTGATTCTCCTACCTCAGCCTCTGGAGTAGCAGGGACCACATACATGTGCCACCATGCCCAACTAATTTTTTTTTCTTTTTTTCTTTTTTTTTTTTTTTTGAGATGGGAGTCTCACTCTGTCGCCAGGCTGCAGTGCAGTGGCGCAATCTCGGCTCACTACAACCTCTGCCTCCCAAGTTCAAGTGATTCTCCTGCCTCAGCCTCCCAAGTAGCTGGGACTACAGGCGCCCGCCACCACGCCCAGCTAATTTTTGTATTTTTAGTAGAGACAGGATTTCACCATGTTGGTCAGGATGGTCTCGATCTCTTGACCTTGTGATCCACCCACCTCGGCCTCCCAGAGTGCTGGGATTACAAGTGTGAGCCACCGTACCCAGCCCCAACTAATTTTTTAGAAGTTATTTTTTGTAGAGATGGGGTCTCCCTATGTTGCCCAGGGTGGTCTTGAACTCCTGGGCTCAAGTGATCCTCCTGCCTTGGCCTCCCAAAGTACTGGGATTACAGGTGTGAGTCATGCACCAGGCCCAGAATAATTTTAAAAGGTTTAACAGGTCTTGGATTATCATTATCATAACATCATATTCATTCCCTCCAAAGGGCAATTGAATTATCCCTATCAGAGATTTCTTGGCTCAGTTACCAACTACATCTCCTTCCCTCTCCACTATCAGGAAGGATGCAACCCACAAGAGTTCTTTGCAACATAAATAATTCATCTCACTACCAACTGACAGCAGGTTCTTTTGTAACATAACTTCTTTCCAAAAAAGTATATTATAGTTTCAAGTTCATTCTGAACATTTTAAGGTTATTTAGAATGCATCAAAATTGTTTTAAACTTGAATTATACAATGGTTAACTCACAGATAATTTTCTTTTTGTTTTTCTTTTTTCTTCTTTTTTTTTTTTTTTGAGACACTGTTTCACTAAGAACTAGTGTCACCTAGGCTGGAGTGCAATGGCACTATCTTGGCTCACTGCAACCTCCGCCTTCCAGGTTCAACTGATTCTCCTGCCTCAGCCTCCCGAGTAGCTGGGATTACAGGCACTCACCACCATGCCCAGCTAATTTTTTTTTGTATTTTTAGTAGAGATGGCATTTCACCATGTTAGCCAGGCTAGTCTCAAACTCCTGGCCTCAAGTGATCCACCCGCCTCGGCCTCCCAAAGTGCTGGGATTACAGGTGTGAGACACCATGCCAAGCCTGATTTTCAATAGTGGTGAATTCAGTCGTATGTGGCTATATGTAAAGTTATATAATTTAAGAATGTAAAAACTGGCCAGGTGCAGTGGCTCACACCTGTAATCCCAACACTTTGGGAGGCCGAGGCAGGCAGATCACGAGGTAAAGAGATAGAGACAATCCTGGACAATATGGCGAAACCCCATCTCTGCTAAAAATACAAAAATTAGCTGGGCGTGGTGGCACACGCCTGTAGTCCCAGCTACTTGGGAGGCTGAGGCAGGAGAATCGCTTGAACCTGGGAGGTGGAGGTTGCAGTGAGCCAAGATCGTGCCACTGCACTCCAGCCTGGAGACAGAGTAAGACTCCATCTCAAAAAAAAAAGAATGTAAAAACTGATTTGCGGTCTTAAATAAAAGTACAAATTGCTGTCATCCTGTATGTTTATAGATATTTCTATCTGGACATAAGTTCCACATGTAGTGTATAAATTTAGGCTATTTTCAGCTTGCAAATTCAATCTATAAAAATTCTTGGTTAGTATTTCAGTATCCTAGCTATAGCATTAAAACAGTATATTCCTCATGTGTAGCCACCACATCTTTGGAAGGCAGCCTTTTCTAATATAAGAGCTTAGAAAAGGTTTGTTCAATACAGGAATTATGGATCTTTCCATACAAATATGCTTTGAGATTTAATGACTGACTTTCTCTCACAAAATGCTCTATGGACATTGTAATTTAACCCACAATTGTGACCTTCATTACAAAAATATCTGTAATCCAACCAAATTTGTTTCTCTGAAGTTTGAGAATTCTTTCTGTCTGCATCCTTCAAGTAAAAAGCCTATATATTATCATTAGTAAAAATCTTCTCTAATAATGAAAAGCAATTCTCACAGGCACTATAAGAATTTTCTAATTTGCTATAAAAAATCAGTAAATGGTTTTAATAAAACATTTTTAAAAATCAATTATCTTATGTAACTAAACTCTAGCATGTCCCCAGAAGATTCAAGTTGGTTCATATTCTACTGTGTGGCTTTTCATTATTCTTTTTTTTTTTTTTTTGAGATGGAGTTTCGCTCTGTTGCCCAGGCTAGAGTGCAGTGGCATGATCTCAGCTCTCTGCATCCTCCGCCTCCCGGGTTTAAGCAATTGTCTGCCTCAGCCTCCCGAGTAGCTAGGATTACAGGCACCCACCACCATGCCCAGCTAAAGTTTTTTTTTTTGTATTTTTAGTAGAGACAGGGTTTTGCCATCTTGGCCAGGCTGATCTTGAACTCCTAACCTCGTGATCCACCCACCTGGGCCTCCCAAAGTGCTGGGATTGCAGGCATGAGCCACTGGGCCCGGCCTAATTATTCTTCTTTTTTTTTTTAATGTAACAGTGTGACTCTTTAATAGCAATGTACAGTAAAGTATCTTTGTTCTCACTGGCCTTGACTTATGAAATCTGAGTTCCTTATTTAAAATCATAAGATGTTTACGTTACAGTGTCTTCATGGCACAATTTTTTTTCTATTCCCTCCATTCTTTAAAACTCAAGTAATCTCTTCATCGTTTTCCTTTTTTGCTAACTGATCCTAATTTGCCAGTTATTTTTCGAGAAGTGTTTGATTTCAATTATGGAAAATAATTATTAGAAGGATGCTATCTAACTGAATAAAAAAATAACACCTTGTATCTATGTCACCAGAATACTGTATCTTCTAAATAGAAAATATTTTTGTTATAAAAATATCCTATTAAAATATTCCTTGTGGCCAGGCGCAGTGGCTCACACCTGTAATCCCAGCACTTTGGGAGGCAGAGGCGGGCGGATCACGAGGTCAGGAGATCAAGACCAACCTGGCGAACACGGTGAAACCGCGTCTCTACTAAAAATACAAAAAAATTAGCCGGGCGTGGTGGCAGGCGCCTGGAGTCCCAGCTACTCGGGAAGCTGAGGCAGGAGAATGGCGTGAACCCAGGAGGTGGAGCTTGCAGTGAGCAGAGATCGCGCCACTGCACTCCAGCCTAAGCGACAGAGTGAGACTCCGTCTCAAAATAAATAAATACATAAAATAAAAATAAAACAAAATATTCCTTGTATCAGGGACTAAATGTGTCTCCCCAAAATTCATATGTTACAATCCTAATTCCCAGTGTGGTGGTGGTAGGAGATGTGGCTTTTGGGTTTTAGCTCATGAGGTGGAGTGCTCATGAGCAGGCTAGTCCCCTTATAAAAGAGTCCGCGGAGAACCCTCAGCCTGTTCTACCACATGAGGATACATGGAGAAGTTGGCAGTTTCCCACCCAGAGTAGGACCCTCCTCAGAACCCAACCATCCCGCACCCTAATCTCAGACTTTCTGGCCTCTAGAACTATGAGAAATAAATGTTTATTTAAGCATACCTAGTCCATGGTATTTTTGTTATAGCAGATCAAATGCACTAAGACACCATTTTATTATGTAACTCCTAGTTTTAAAAATGAAGATGTTATTTGGTAGGCATACTAGATTACATATACCATACTTCAAGTTAGCACTTTTCTGTTTTCCAAAGACCAAAGGCTAATTTTTTTCTTAGATCTGGAAAAAAAAAGACTAAAAATGCAGTAACTACCAAATTTTTAGAGCTGTCCACCAGAAACAACAATCAAACCAGTCTAAACATGTACCAGCTCCTGAGTCTGAACAGAAAATTCCCACCCTTTCTGCTTACTATGTACTTATGTAATTATGTATTTGTCACCTCTCATTCCTACTAATACTAAAATGCATTATCATTTTATCCATTTATAAGGGAGTATTACCTCATTCCTTTTATCTATATGACCAAGAGGTTTACAAACTACTACCACCATAGGTACCAGTGCAGAATTATGAGTATTTTCTGGTTATAATCAAAAAGCAAAGGTGTCTTTCCAAGTCTTCATACAAGAGCGGCTCTTCAGCCACTGACCTCAGCGGAAGTCACTGATATTTACTTAATGAAACAGTTTTCAGTCTCTGCACACAGATTCTATGAATGCAAGTTTCAATTAGAAATATATTCACAGTCAGGGCCGGGCACGGTGGCTCACGCCTGTAATCCCAGCACTTTGGGAGGCCAAGGCGGGTGGATCACCTAAGGTCAGGAGTTTGAGACCAGCCTGACCAACATGGTGAAATCCCATCTCCACTAAAAATACAAAAATCAGCTGCCTATGGTGGCGCGCGCCTGTAATTCCAGCTCCTTGGGAGGCAGAGGCAGGAGAATCGCTTGAACCTGAGAGGCGAAAATTGCAGTGAGCCAAGATAGAACCACTGCACTCCAGCCTGGGGTGACAGAGTGAGACTCCATCTCAAAAAAAAAAAAAAAGAAAAAGAAAAAGAAAAAAGAAATATATTCAGAGTCTAAAGTACACCATGCTTGAAAAAGGACAAAGACACAAGAAAAAAAAAGTGATCCGAAGGCAGTCAAATTAGATAACATGCAATCATAATGTAAGATGTGATGAAACAACACTTCCCACATTTGCTTCTTTTCTTATAGAATTAGTTATCTTATGCCTTATGTAAATACACATCTTGAAGATGTTATTCAATATATTGAATAAAGAATATTGAGCAAAGGGTATGAGCTAGAATTGAGCTGACAGTAGATAAGAACATATAGAAGGTGGAGACCTTCTGGGGCAAGAAAATTACATGCCCAGGTCTCAGTAAGAACTTTGCCTGGTCGAACAGGAAGAACAGGTTGAACAGGAAGAATGCATGCTCCACATATGCCTCCAGCAGGTTTGAACATCAGCCACAGTAAATAAATAGGGTGATGAGGGCTGGGAGGGTGAAGATGGGTAAAAGGAGTCCAGAAACCTGCAGGGCAAAACCAAAAAGACTGAAAATAGTCTAAGATAAAGAGGGAGTCGAGAAGAGAACGCATAGACAAGTTTTAGAAATTGAAGGTCTTTGTGAGAAGGGAATGGGAAGTTAGAAACTCAGGGAGCATTGTGGGAGGACTGGTAGATACTGAGTAGAGAATCAGAAAAGGACAAAGCTGTTAGAGATCTCTCCAGAGCCTGAGCAATGCCACATGATGTTTATGTTCAAGGGGTAGTCATTCTGGTCTGACAATGTGAATTTATTTATTTATTTATTTATTTTTATTTATTTATTTTTTTTTTTTTTGAGGCAGAGTCTCGCCCTGTCACCCACGCTTTGAGTGCAATGGCGTGATCTGGGCTCACTGCAAGCTCTGCCTCCTGGGTTCACGTCATTCTCCTGCCTCAGCCTCCCGAGTAGCTGGGACTACAGACGCCCGTCACCATGCCCGGCTAATTTTTTGTATTTTTTTAGTAGAGACGGGGTTTCACCATGTTAGCCAGGGTCGTCTCTATCTCCTGACCTCGTGATCCACCCGCCTCGGCCTCCCAAAGTGCTGGGATTATAGGCGTAAGCCGCCGCACCCAGCCAACAATGTGAATTTAAAACAAAAATCTATAAAGTCTGGGAAACTGAACAACAGGGAAAAGACTGAAAATCATGAAAATTGCTGCTGAAATAACTAAAGATACAGAAGAAGTGTAGATTGTACTCCAAGTGATGTAATTATGAGGTAAAGTGGAAACTGGTGAATTCATTCCGCTGAAGACTGAATTTGGAGCTTGTTGAAAAAGAACATTATCTAAATCAAAACCAAAATGAGGTACCATTTCGCTCCACTAGAATGGCTATTTTTTAAAAGTCAAAAAATAACAGATGCTGGCGAGGTTACAGAGAAAAGGGAATGCTTATCCACTGCTGGTGGGAGTGTAAATTAGTTCAACCATGTGGAAAGCAGAGTGGTGGTTCCTCAAATAACTAAAAACAGAACTATCGGCTGGGCACAGTGGCTCACGCCTTGCAATCCCAGCACTTTGGGAGGCCGAGGCGGGTGGATCACAAGGTCAAGAGATCAAGACCATCCTGGCCAACATGGTGAAACCCTGTCTCTACTAAAAATACAAAAATTAGCTGGGCATGGTGGTGCGTGCCTGTAGTCCCAGCTACTCAGGAGGCTGAGGCAGGAGAACCGCTTGAACCCGGGAGAGAGATTGCAGTGAGCCGAGATTGCACCACTGCACTCCAGCCTGACAACAGAGTGAGACTCTGTCAAAAAAAAAAAAAAAAAAAAAAACCGTCATCCAACCCAGCAATCCCATTACTAGGTATCTACCCAAGGAAATACAATTCTTTCCACCATAAGACACATGCATGTGTTATGTTCACTGTGGCACTATTCACAACAGCAGAGACATGAAATCAAACTAAATGCCCATCAATGGTATTGGATAAAGAAAATGTGGTACATATACACCAGGGAATACTATGCAGCCATTAAAAAAGAATGAGATCATGTCCTTTGCAGGAACATGGATGGAGCTGGAGGCCAGTATCCTTAGCAAACTAAGTACAGAAAACCAAATATTTTGCATGTTCTCTCACTTGTAAGTGGGAGCTAAATGATGAGGACAGATGGACACATAGATAGGAACAACAGACACTGGGGCCTACCTAGGCGTGGAGCATGGAAGGAGGGAGACGATCAGGAAAAGTAACTAATGGGTACTAGGCTTAACACATGCGTGACAAAATAATCTGTACAATAAGCCTCTGTGACACAAGTTTATCTATATAACAAACCTGCACATGGACCCCTGAACATAAAATAAAATTTTTAAAAGGAGCATTCTCACACATAAGTTTTATGTAAGTTGCATTTTAAAGCAATCAACTCCAAGGTTAGAGATTTTTGCAAAGGCAGTCAAATGACATCAAGCCAGGGATGTTCAGTAAGCAGTGCAGCCCTTTCACTCATGAGAGATACTCTCAGATTTAGTGGTGGTTTTCAGTTCACTCAGGAGGAAGACATGCTGGAAATGAAAGCCAGGGCTGGAGCTCTCTGCATGTTTTATTCCCCAGACTTGTCATAATTACCTCTTACGGTTGTGAAACAACATTGATAAACCAAATTACCCAAATCATAACTTCCAGGGCATAAGTACAGTTTCCTGTATGCTTCCAATGCTATATTACTGCATTACCCAAAGGTTATGTAATAATGAGTAGGCATCCTGCATGCACAGCCACATTGTAATTACATTTTGATGACCATCATGTAAGAATGGACCATCATGTATCTTCTGCTCCACATGGCCTGAGGGAACTAAGCTCAGCGGGCCTAGGTGAGGTCTATCACCACAGGCTTAAGGAAACAAATAGGTGTGGAGGGAGATCCTGGGGTCATATGAGCTGTGATGAAATTTGATCCCAGCAATAAAGAATTCTAATAGACCTCTGGTCAAAGAATTTAAGGGAGTCATTAGCTCCTGAGCTCTGTTAGATTACAAACTATTTTTATAGTGCCATAAGTAAGTAGAGAGCTATCATAAGTAATGTAGACAAGATTTGTAAAATGAGTCTTACATGTCCATGTATTTACTATTCACTACTGTTACATTTGAAGCATGGTGCCCTATCTCCAACTCCACCCTGGTTCATCATTTTTTATCGGTATTTTTAAAAGGAGAGAAATTCTGTGATCTTATGAAATCGGACCAGTTTAAAAAATTACCTGAACAAAAGTCAAAATGCAAAAAGCAAAACAAAAAGCTAGAGGCTAAGATAATGAATGTAACAGAACACAGTATTTGGTTGGGATAGAAACGACTCGTCAGCACTAAATGCATCATTTAGGGTTTCTAACAGGCGACAGCCCCTTCTAAAGTTTCCCTTCCACAGTCCTGGCTGCAGGTGCGCTGTATATGGTACAATGTACCAGCTTGCCCCAGAGGATTTGAAAGTGGGCATCTGATCTGAAGACCCCATTTACAGATTGTTCAGTGAGTTACAGAGGGTACAAGAAAAATAACAAATTGTAGCCCCTTCTTGGGTATTTGAGCTGGAATGTACAAAAATCGTATAATTTTCAAGAGCTATAATTGAAGGAATGCTAGAGGAGCGGCAAAAGGAGAAATTGTGTTTTTTTAAAAGATGAAACTGTAAAATAGAAAAAAGATTAACAGTGTGAAAGAAAAGCACACTGAGAACTAAAGGCAGTGGCGTAAGGGTAATATCACCGGAAAATTGAGCTCTCTTCCTACTTTGTATGGGTCACAAAGCAAGAACACCCAACTGGACCAAAGGGCAAACATTTCTGGCCAGAGATGGAGGAGTAAGCGCATGCTCTAAAGACCCCTTCTCCCCAGGTAATAAAAAACGTGAGGTTTTTAAGGACTGAGTCTGGGGGTTGGAGAGGAATGTTAGCATGTGTAAGGTGGGACTCCACATGTTCAGGCTTCATTCATAAACATGCATCTTCACACAGCCCATATACATAAGATGGTGGAGATTCTCTCCTTGGGGTGGGAATTTTAGCACTATAATGATATAGTCATGAACTGAAGGCAACTAGGGATCCTGTTCCAGTTTGGGCTGGTTTTGGGGTCTGATCCCCCTCTAATACCTGGTCAGGGGTCACAAAGCTCTGGTGCCATCCCAGTCCACCTGATTTTTTTTAGCTGTGCCTATAAGTCAGGCACTAAAGAAAGAGTAAGAAAAAGAATTTTCTCAGCTATTTCATCAGGTGAAAGTGCCCTGGTAAAAGTAAATGAGTAATGGGCTGAAGTAGAGAAGAGATCTTTGATTTGCAGCATTGACAACTGATAATTTCTGTGGAGTAAATGCTTCCAGCCTGACCAAATTAAAGCATCCAATGTGAAGTCACTGAATGCTCAGTTCAGAAGAAATGCTACAGCTGCCTCCACCACGCCACTGAAAAGGGGATGTCCAAGAATTCCTGCTGCTGAGCTCCCTGGACTTGCTTGGATCTGTTTCCAGTCTCCATGAGGCTTGATTTTACCATAGTTACTATTTTCAGATTGCAGTAAACTTGCCATTAATTATTAAGGATAACCGAAACTTAACCTAAGTGCATTTATATTCACAGTACTTTTTAAAACTTAATTTAGGCCAGGCATGGTGGCTCACGCCTGTAATCCCAGCACTTTGGGAGGCCGAGGCGGGTGGATCACAAGGTCAGGAGATCAAGACCATCCTGGCTAACACGGTGAAACCCTGTCTCTACTAAAAATACAAAAAAATTACCCAGGCGTGGTGGTGGGTGCCTGTAGTCCCAGCTACTCAGGAGGCTGAGGCAGGAGAACGGCGTGAACCCAGGAAGCGGAGGTTGCAGTGAGCCGACATCGCACCACTGCACTCCAGCCTGGGCAACAGAGCGAGACTCTGCCTCAAAAAAAAAAACTCAATTTAAAAAAATGCAAGTGCGAAATGCAAAAGAGATTTTTCAGTAGCACAGGCTAAAAATGCTATAGATAGGAGAAAGCTGTGGTGAGTTCTCCATCTTTGTTTAAGCATAACCTGTGAGAACTCCATTTCCAACTTCCTTTGCTTATCTTTTCACAGCATTAATGGATACAATGATGGCAACAAAAGTTGTCTTTGGCCCTACTCCTGCTCTAAAGGCATTGCAGTAAGGAAACTCTTGCTGTTTACTCCCTTCCATGAAGAATTGGGACTTGGATCCTTTGATTCTATTTAGGGCCCTGCTCCATTCTCTGCGCAGCTTCTTGTGTTCATTTCCACTGTAATCCAGTGGTTTTCAAAGTGTCATCCCCAGACCACGAACAGCAGCAGTGTCACCTGGTAACTTTCTGAACTAGAGATTCCCTACTGCGGACCTACTGAGTCAAAGCTCTGGGGGTGGAGTCCAATCATTTTGTTTGTTTGTTTCAGACAGAATTTCACTCTTGTTGCCCAAGCTGGAGTGCAATGGCGCGATCTTGGCTCACCACAACCTCTGCCTCTCGGGTTCAAGCAATTCTCCTGCCTCAGCCTCCCAAGTAGCTGGGATGACAGGCATGCACCGCCATGCCGGGCTAATTTTGTACGTTTAGTAGAGGCGGGGTTTCTCCATGTTAGTCAGGCTAGTCTCAAACTCCCGACCTCAGGTGATCTGCCCGCCTCGGCCTCCCAAAGTGCTGGGATTACAGGCATGAGCCACCGCTCCTAGGCACACTTTTTGTTTCAATGAGTCCTCCAGGAGATTCAAATGTGTGCTCAAGTCTGAGGACCACTGCTCTAATACTCTGTGGCCTTAAACATCCAACTCTAGCATTATTCTTCCCTAGGGTGGTGCACACAGAATCAAAGATAAATTTCTTCCCATTTCAGATGACCTGACAGTTAACTCAGAATGTCAGTGGCAGGTGTCACTTCAATTTTCTACATAATAACAGAGATGGAGGGGATCATGGCAGACAGGAGGCAGGACTAGATTGCAGCTCCAGACAGAGCAGCATCGGGAGGCTTGCATTGTGAATTTTAGCTCCAGATCAACTGCAAGAACAAACCAGCAATCCCGAGAGGACCCACAGACCCTATGAAGGAAGCGGACTGCTCCTGCAGGACCCCAGAGACACCCCAAATACTGTGAGTGCCCCAACTGTGGAAGTGGGAAAGGGAGACCCTTCTCTCCCGAACACACACCCTCACTGGAGAAGCTGAAGGTCTGTTTGCGGGAGAAGTTTCCGACTTGACTTGGAGCTGAGTCAAGTTAGAGAGCCAAGTGAACTACAGGGGTAGAGGAAGCAGCAGAAAGGCCCTGGAAGCTTGCTGGGTCCCCAAGCAGCCCATGCCTGCCTGGCACCACAGGGAACCATCGTGAGTGTGGCCAGAGGTGCAGGGGGTAAAGCTCCACAGGGAGAAAGAATTCTCTAGCCCAACTTTGTAACAATTTGAATGAGGCGAGAAGCCTCCTGGCCAGAAGTCCACAGAGGTTGTGAATCCAGCAGGCCGACTTCACGGTGCAGGGGCAGAGGGGGAACAACTAAAGCCCTTTTCTTTGGCAGCGGGGAGGCGGATAGCCTCAGGTAAATTTTCAGGCCCCTCTTGCCCTCCTCTTGGAAAGACTCTGAGCTGTTGGGGGAGCACAGTGGGAGTGAGACCGGCCTTTCAGTTTGCGTGGGAGCTGGGTGCGGCATATGACTGCCGGCTTTTCCCCACTTCCCTGATAACCTGCATGACTCAGCAGAGGCAACCCTAATCCTCCTAGGTACACAACTCCAGTGACCTGGGACTCTCACCTCCATCCCCCACAGCAGCTGAAGCAAGACCTGCCCAAAGAGAGTCTGAGCTCAGGCATGCCTAGCCCCGCCCCGATCTGATGGTCCTTCTCTACCCACCATGGTAGCTGAAGACAAAGGGTATATAATCTTGGGAGTTCTAGGGCCCTGCCAGTCCTCCACACTACTACAGCTGATGTTTTCCGGAAAGCGCCACCTCCTGGCAGGAGCATTAAACCACCAAAGCTAAGACCCCTCACGGAGTCTATTAGGCCCCTCTGCCACCACCACTGGAACAAGCGCCTATATCCACAGCTGAGAGACCCCATAGACGGTTCCCATCATAGGACTCCTCTGTGCAGACAACCCCCAGTACCAGCTCAGAGCCTGGTAGACTCGCTAGGTGGCTAGACCCAGAAGAAAGACAACAATCACTGCAGTTCAGCTCACAGGAAGCCACATCCATAGGAAAAGGGGGAGAGCACTACATCAAAGGAACACCCCGTGGAACAAAAGAACCTGAACAACAGCCTTCAGCCCTAGACCTTCCCTCTGACAGAGCCTACCCAAATGAGAAGGAACCAGAAAACCAACCCTGAAGGCTCTTCAACACCCCCCAAAAATCATACTAGTTCACCAGCAATAGACCCAAACCAAGAAGAAATCCCTGATTTACCTGAAAAAGAATTCAAGAGGTTAGTTATTAAGCTAATCAGGGAGGGACCAGAGAAAGGCAAAGCCCAGGCCCGGCATGGTAGCTCATGCCTGTAATCTCAGCACTTTGGAAGGCTGAGGCAGGCAGATCACCTGAGGTCAGGAGTTTGAGACCAGCCTGGCCAACATGGTGAAACTCTGTCTCTACTAGAAATACAAAAATTAGCTGGGTGTGGTAGTGGGCACCTGTAGCCCCAACTACTCAGGAGGCTGCAGCAGGAGAATCACTTGAACCCAGGAGGTGGAGATTGCAGCGAGCTGAGATCTCGCCACTGCCCTCCAGCCTGGGTGACAGAGCAAGACTCTGTCTCAAAAAAAAACAATAAAAAATAAATAAATAAAAGCAAAGCTCAATGCAAGAAAATCCAAAATAAAGATACAAGAAGTGAAAGGAGAAATAATCACTGAAATAGAGAATTAAAGAAAAAACAATAAAAAAAGTCAGGAAACTTTGGGCACACTTTTACAAATGTGAAATGCTCTGGAAATTCCCAGCCATAGAACAGAACAAGTAGAAGAAAGAAATTCAGAGCTCAAAGACATGCTCTTTGAATTAACCCAATCCAACAAAGACAAAGAAAAAAGAATAAGAAAATAAGAACAAAGCCTCCAAGAAGTCTGGGATTATGTTAAATGATCAAACCTAAGCATAATCAGTGTTCCTGAGGAAGAAGAGAATTATAAAAGCTTGGAAAACATATTTGGGGGAATAATCAAAGAAAACTCCCCCAGCCTAGCTAGAGACCTAGACATCTAAATACAAGAAGCACAAAGGATACCTGGGAAATTCATCACAAAAAGATCTTCACCTAGGCACATTTTCATCAGGTTATTCAAAGTTAAGATGAAGGAAAGATTCTTAAGAGCTGTGAGACAGCAGCACCAGGTAACCTATAAAAGAAAACCTATCAGATTAACAGCAGATTTCTCAGCAGAAACCCTACATGCTAGAAGGGATTGGGGCCCTATCTTAAGCCTCCTCAAACAAAACAATTATCAGCCAAGAATTTCGTATCCAGCAGAACTAAGCATCATATATGAAGGAAAGATGCAGTCATTTTCAGACAAACAAATGCTGAGAGAATTTGCCATTACCAAGTCACCACTACAAGAACTGCTAAAAGGAGCTCTAAATCTTGAAACAAATCCTGGAAACACATCAAAACAGAATCTCTTTAAAGCATAAATCACACAGGACCTATGAAACAAAAATAAAAGCTGAAAAGCAAAAGCAAAAAACAAAAAAACCCGAAGTACACAAGCAACAAAGAGCACAATGAATGCAACGTTACCTCACATTTCAATACTAACATTGAATGTAAATGGCCAAAAGGCTCCACTTAAAAGATACAGAACTGCAGAATGGATAAGAACTCACCAACCATCTGCTGCCTTAAGAAGACTCACCTAACACATAAGGACTCACATAAACTTAAAGTAAAGGAGTGGAGAAATACATTTTATGCAAATGAACACCAAAAGAGAGCAGGGTTAGCTATTCTTATATCAGACAAAACAAACTTTAAAGCAACATCGGTTAAAAGACAGAAAGAGGGACATTATATAATGGTAAAAGGTCTTGTCCAACAGGAAAATATCACAATCCTAAACATATATGCACCTAATACTGGAGCTCCCAAATTTATAAAACAATTACTAATAGACGTAAGAAATGAGATAGAGAGCAACACAATAATATTGGGGGACTTCAATACTCCAGTGACAGCACTAGACAGGTCATCAAGACAGAAAGTCAACAAAGAAACCATGGATTTAAACCTTGGAACAAATGGACTTAATAGATATATACAGAACATTTTATCCAACAACCACAGAATATGCATTCTATTCAACAGCACATGGAACTCTCTCCAAGACAGACCATATAATGAGCCTCAATAAATTAAAGAAAATTGAAATTATATCAAGCACTCTCTCATACCACAGTGGAATAAAACTGGAAATCAACTCTAAAAGGAACCTTGAAAACCATGCAAATACATGGAAATTAAATAACTTGCTCATGAATGAGCATTGGGTAAAAAATGAAATCAAGATGGAAAGTTAAAAATTCTTTGAACTGAATGACAATAATGACACACAACCTATCAAAACCTCTGGGATACAGCAAAGGCAGTTCTAAGATGCCAACAGGAGGTTCATAGCCCTAAACGCCTACTTCAAAAAGTCTGAAAGAGCACAAACAGACAATCTAAGGTCATAGCTCAAGGAACTAGAGAAACAAGAACAAACCAAACCCAAACCCAGCAGAAGAAAGGAAATAACCAAGATCAGAGCAGAACCAAATGAAATTGAAACAAAAAATACAAAAGATAAATGAAACAAAAAGCTAGTTCTTTGCAAAGATAAATAAAATTGAAAGACCATTAGCAAGATTAACCAAAAAAGAAGAGAGAAAATCCAAATAACCTCACTAAGAAACAAAACAGGAGATATTACAACTGACACCACTGAAATACAATAGATCATTCAAGGCTACTATGAACACCTTTACACACATAAACTAGAAAACCTAGAAGAGATTGATAAATTCCTGGAAAAATACAACCCTTCGAGCTTAAATCAGGAAAAATTAGATACAGAACAGAACAATAACAAGCAGCAAGATTGAAATGGTAATTTAAAAATTACCAACAACAACAAAGAAACTCCAGAACAAGATGGATTCACAGCAGAATTCAACCAGACATTCAAAGAAGAATTGGTACCAATCCTTTTGACACTATTCCACAAAATAGAGAAACAAGGAATCCTCCCTAACTCATTCCATGAAGCCAGCATCAGCCTAATATCGAAATCAGGAAAGGACACAAACAAAAAAGAAAACTATAGACCAATATCCTTGATGAACACAAATGCTAAAATTTTTAAGAAAATACTAGTTACCCGAATCCAACAGCATATCAAAAAGATAATCCACCATGATGATTAAGTTGGTTTCATACCAGGGAGCAGGGATGGTTTAACATGCTCAAGTCAGTGAATGTGATACACCACATAAACAGAATTAAAGACAAAAATCACATGATAATCTCAATTGATGCAGAAAAAGCATTTGAAAAATCCAGCATCCCTTTATGATTAAAACTCTCAGCAAAATCGGCATACTAGGCACATACCTTAATGTAATAAAAGCCATCTATAACAAACCCACAGCCAACGTAATACTAAATGGGGAAAAGTTGAGAACATTCCCTCTGAGAACTGGGACAAGACAAGGATGCCCACTCTCACCACTCCTCTTCAACATAGTACTGGAAGTCCTAGCCAGAGCAATCAGACAAGAGAAAGAAATAAAGGGCATCCAAATCAGTAAAGAGAAAATCAGACTGTCACTGTTTGATGATGATGTGATTGCTTACCTTGAAAACCCTAAGGACTCCTCCAGAAAGCTCCTAGAACTGATAAAAGAATTCAGCAAAGTTTCCAGGTCCAAGATTAATGTACACAAATCGGTAGTTCTTCTATACACCAACAGCGACCAAGCAGTGAATCAAATCAAGAACTCAACCCCTTTCGCAATAGCTGCAAAATAAATAAATAAATAAAATACTTAGGAATACACCTAACCAAGGAGTTGAAAGACCTCTACAAGGAAAACTACAAAACACTACTGAAAGAAATAATAGATGACACAAACAAATGGAAACACATCCCATGCTTATGGATGGGTAGAATCAATATTGTGAAAATGATCATACTGCCATAAGGAATCTACAAATTCAATGCAAACCCCATCAAAATACCACCATCATTCCTCACAGAATTAGAAAAAACAATTCTAAAATTCATAGGGAACCAAAAAAGAGCCTGCATAGCCAAAGCAAGATTAAGCAAAAGAACAAATCTGGAGGCATCACACTACCTGATTTTAAACTATACTATAAGGCCACAGTCACCAAAACAGCACGGTACTGGCATAAAAATAGGCACATAGACCAATGTAACAGAATAGAGAACACAGAAATAAACCCAAATACTTATGTGTCCGGAATTGGTGGGTTCTTGGTCTCGCTGACTTCAAGAATGAAGCCATGGACCATCGCGGTGAGTGTTACAGTTCTTAAAGATGATGTGTTGTTCCTTCAGATGTTCAGATGTGTCCAGAGTTTCTTCCTTCTGGTGGGTCCGTGGTCGCACTGACTTCAGGAGTGAAGCTGCAGACCTTCACGGTGAGTGTTACAGCTCTTAAAGGCGGCACGTCTGGATTGTTCATTCCTTCCAGTGGGTTCATGGTCTCGCTGGCCTCAGGACTGAAGCTGCAGACTTTCACAGTGAGTGTTACAGTTCATAAAGGTGGCATGTCCGGAGTGGTTTGCTCCACCTGTCCGGAGTTGTTCGTCCCTCCCAGTGGGTTCATGGTCTCGCTGGCTTCAGGAGTGAAGCTGCAGACCTTTGTTGTGAGTGTAACAGCTCATAAAGGTGACGCAGACCCAAACAGTGAGCAGCAACAAAATTTATTGCGAAGAGTGAAACAACAAACGTTCCACGGGCGTGGAAGGTGACCCGAGCAGGTTGCCGCTGCTGGCTCAGGTGGCCTGCTTTTATTCCCATATCTGGCCCCACCCACATCCTGCTGATTGGTCCATTTTACAGAGAGCTGATTGGTGTGTTTACAAACCTTTAGCTAGACACCAAGTGCTGATTGGTGCATTTACAATCCTTTAGCTAGACACAAAAGTTCTCCAAGTCCCCTACCTGATTAGCTAGACACAGAGCACTGATTGGTGCATTTACAAACCTTTAGCTAGACATAGAGTGCTTATTGGTGCATTTACAAACCTTTAGTTAGAAAAGTTCTCCAGGTCCCCACCCGACCCAGAAGCCCAGCCAGCTTCACCTCTCAATGGCATTCGCGGCAGGACTTTGTGGCACCTAGCCTGGGCACTCTCCAACAGCCCAGAGGGAGCTTGTCCCCCATCAAGCCCAGCAGGCGGCCAGCCTGCCATGCCCAGTGCAGGCCCCTGGGAGCCCGCGCCCACCCAGAACCCATGCTGGCCCGTGAGCACTGCGCGCAGCCCTGGCTCCTGCCCACGCCTCTCCCTCCACACCTCCCTGCAAGCAGAGAGAGCCAGCTCTGGCCTCCGCTGGCCCCAGAAAGGGGCCCCCACAGCCCAGCAGCAAGCTGAAGGGCTCCTGAAGCGTGGCCAGAGCAGATGCTGAGACCGAGGAGGCACCGAGAGTGAGCAAGGGCTGCTAGCACGTTGTCACCTGTCACAGCCAACTGATCTTCAAGAAAGCAAACAAAAACATAAAGTAGGGAAAGGACACCCTTTCTAACAAATGGTGCTGGGGTATTTGGCTAGCCACATGTAGGAGAATGAAATTGGATCCTCATCTCTCACCTTATACAAAAATCAACTCAAGATGGAGTAAAGACTTAAACCTAAGACTTGAAACTATAAAAATTCTAGAAGATAACATTGGAAAATCCCTTCTAGACATTGGCATGGGCAAGGATTTCATGACCAAGAACCCAAAAGCAAATGCAATATAAACAAAAGATAAATAGCTGGGACCTAACTAAACTAAAGAGCTTTTGCATGGCAAAAGGAACAGTCAGCAGAATAAACAGACAACCCACAGAGTGGGAGAAAATCTTCACAATCTACACATCTGAGAAAGGACTAATATCCAGAATCTGCAATTAACTCAAACAAATCAGTAAGAAAAAAACCAATCACATCAAAAAGAGGGCTAAGTACATGAATAGACAATTCTCAAACGAAGATATACAAATGACTAATAAACATATGAGAAAATGCTCAACATCACTAATGATTAGGGAAATGTAAATCAAAACCACAGTGCAATACCACCTTACTCCTGCAAGAATGGCCATAATCAAAAAACAGTAGATGTTAGCGTGGATGCAGGGAACAGGGAACACTTCTACACTGCTGGTGGGAATGGAAAGTAGTGCAGCCACTATGGAAAATGGTGTGGAGATTCTTAAAGAACTATTAATAGAACTACCCTTTGATCCAGCAATCCCACTACTGGGTATCTACCCAGAGGAAAAGAAGTCATTATTTGAAAAAGATACTTGCATACGCATGTTTATAGCAGCACAATTCACAATTGCAAAACCATGGAACCAGCCCAAATGCCCATTAATCAATGAGTGAATAAAGAAACTGGGGCATATATATATATATATATATATCTCCCAATAAATTATGGAAAAATAAAATAAAATAAATTTTAAAAATTCTACATAATAATTACTATTATTAGCAGTCGTAATTAAAATTCCACTGGCGTATGCCCTGTTTATATCTGCTTAACACACAACCCTACCTTCCCTTCAAGTCTCTTTCCTATCTGGTAGTCTCAGAGGACATCTGGTAGCTTCTGAAAGGAACCCTAACATCTTCTGGTTCTGAGTCCCCTTGTTTATGTCCCAAAGGCTACCTGGGAGCTTCGCCAGAGCCACAGAACTTCCACATAGCAGGGCCTAGGAGCAGCAGGCTTGCTGGGGAAGGGACTAGAGGATTTTTTTAAGTTACAGTTTAGAAGCAAGTGTACTGCTTTTATGTTGTTTATATGTCACAGATTTAAAAAAAAAAAAAAGACAAAATGTCCAGAGATGCTTTCCTGCACTTTTACATTAGATTCAAAAAAATGTCAATTTTCTTCATCGTTTTGCAGGTGACTGGAGAACTAATAGGGTTATGAGAGAAAGGACCTTAGAGCTCATTTCTCTGTCCCTAGTCAACCCTTAGTAGACAGAAAATCTAAGAGATTAGCAAGAGGTCACATGAATTTGGGTGAACTATGTAAGGAGAGTTTATGAAACCTAATCAGTGAAGAAATGCCGGAAGCAATAATTGTAATTGACAAGTCTAGTGACATCGTTGAGGGAGGAAAAGCTGAGAGACATGACCAACAGCCACTAGGAGACAAAATGTTGTTGACAGTAAAGCTAATGTCCTTGGCCACCACAGGAACAATAAAATGCAGCAGTATGTAATTTTCACAGAAGACAAAAGAATTGATGGGCCCATCCAACTCCTCATTGAATATTTTCTCTCTGTTTAGAAGAATTGTGTCCGTTTCTTCAAATATGAACCATCCTCAGGAAGAGCAGAGGACAAGACACTGCAGTAAAAAAGTGTAAGTTCTTCAATACGATACCAGGGACAAAATTCCATCTCCATCCTCTTAGGGTCCTGGCTGGGCCCAAGAATTTAACTGACATAAAAGAGATTAATAGGAGAAAAGCAGACAAAGTTACTCAATACAAGTTTTATGTGGCACGAGAGCCTTCATAAGGAAATGAAAACCCAATGAAGCAGTTGGAGTCAGTTACTTCAATACCGAGTTGGATAAACAACAGTGAGTTGTGAAGAAGCAACTAAATTATGTGGGGAGGCTTAAAAGAGAGGAGTTATTTTAACAAAGTCTGTACAGAATTATTTGGGTCTCAATTTTTCATCCATGAAAATAAGAATGTTATTCCTTTTGGTACAGGGAAAGTGTCTTTCACATAGGAATTTCATCTTCCGCTTTTAAGAAGTAGAAAAGAGGTCACAATGATCTTCTTGCACCTGCTGTTTTTTTAAGTACCTTTAATTCAAAATTGTCAATAATGCCAGAGTGGTACAGGTTTAACTCCTTCAATACCTCGGCCACATGCAATAATTGTTCTCATTTTTCACACTGTTTTTAAACTGCAGCTTCAGCATTACTTCAACCACAGTAGAATATACTTGCCTTGGTCGTATTTACCCATGTTAGAGGAACTACCGCAAAAAAGCACAATAATTTATTTTAAATTTAATTCCAATCAAAACCATTTACACAGAAAACTGATGTGATAACAATTCCTAAACTTCAAAAACTTTTTTAAAACTGAAATGTAACAGATGTTCAATATTGTGTCCGGAATTGGTGGGTTCTTCGTCTCACTGACTTCAAGAACGAAGCCGCGGACCCTCGTGGTGAGTGTTACAGCTCTTAAGGTGGCGCGTCTGGCGTTTGTCCCTTCTGATGGTCGGATGTGTTCAGAATTTTTTCCTTCTGGTGGGTTCGTGGTCTCGCTGGTTCGGGAGTGAAGCTGCAGACCTTCGCAGTGAGTGTTACAGCTCTTAAGGCAGCATGTCTGGAGTTGTTCGTTCCTCCCGGCGGGCTCGTGGTCTCACTGGCTTCAGGAGTGAAGCTGCAGACCTTCACGGTGAGTGTTACAGCTCATAAAAGCAGCATGGACCCAAAGAGTGAGCGGTAGCAAGATTTATTGCACAGAGCGAAAGAACAAAGCTTCCACAGTGTGGAAGGAGACCCGGGCGTGTTGCCACTGCTGGCTGGGGCAGCCTGCTTTTATTCTCTTATCGGGCCCCACCCACATCCTGCTGATTGGTAGAGCCCAGTGGTCTGTTTTGACAGGGCACTGATTGGTGCGTTTACAATCCCTGAGCTAGACACAAAGGTTCTCCACCTCCCCACCAGATTAGTTAGATAGAGTATCCACACAAAGGTTTTCCAAAGCACCACCAGAGTAGCTAGATACAGAGTGTGGATTGGTGCATTCACAAACCCTGAGCTAGTCACAGGCTGCTGATTGGTATGTTTACAAACCTTGAGCTAGATACAGAGTGCCCATTGGTGTATTTACAATCCCGGAGCTAGACATAAAGATTCTCCACGTCCCCACCAAACTCAGGAGCCCAGCTGGCTTCCCCCAGTGGATCCCGCACAGGGGCTGCAGGTGGAGCTGCCTGCCAGTCCTGTGCCATGGGCCCGCACTCCTCAGCCCTTGGGTGGTCGATGGGACTGGGCACCGTGGAGCAGGGGGTGGCGCTCATCCGGGAGGCCCGGGCTGCACAGGAGCCCACGGAGGGGGTGGGAGGCTCAGGCATGGCGGGCTGCAGGTCCCGAGCCCTGCCCTGCGGGAAGGCAACTAAGGCCCGGTGAGAAATCGAGCGCAGCGCCGGTTGGCTGGCACTGCTGGGGGACCCAGTACACCCTCCGCAGCCGCTGGCCCGGGTGCTAAGCCCCTCATTGCCCGGGGCCGGCAGGGCCGGCCGGCTGCTCCAAGTGTGGGGCCGCCAAGCCCATGCCCACCCGGAACTCCAGCTGGCCCGCAAGCGCTGCGTGCAGCCCCAGTTCCTGCTCGCGCCTCTCCCTCCACACCTCCCTGCAAGCTGAGGGAGTGGGCTCCAGCCTTGGCCAGCCCAGAAAGGGGCTCCCACAGTGCAGTGGTGGGCTGAAGGGCTCCTCAAATGCCGCCAAAGTGGGAGCCCGGGCAGAGGAGGTGCCCAGAGCGAGCGAGGGGCTGTGAGGACTGCCAGCACGCTGTCACCTCTGAATATGGCATTTATATGAATAAAGAAAAGTATGTTATTCAAAAGAATTTAAGGAGACAAAATATCATTAACCCAGTTGAAATTTAGCCAGATTAATATAGTTTGTCCTACTGAACCTTATAGCAGTGTCTCCTTTGTGCTGACATCAAGGACTTTTTAAAATATCTTAAAAAGGCAATTCAACAGCGAAACTTCTACTCAGTGAATATCCAAGAGAACTAATTTCAGCTTTTATTAGCTTGCAGTGTAACATAAAGCAAGTCTAGTCCAGCATTCTGTGTCTATTTGGTGAAGCAGCTACAGTATGGATTTTAATAAAGCTTCTCAACTCAAAACTGTACTTTGCATTTTAAGGATAGTATCAAACTGTGCTCCCTTCATACCTTTGCTCCCAAGAGGAAACCTATCATACACACAAGGGAATGGACAAAAGCCTTCTTTTACTGACTTATGATAATTTCCGGAGCAGTGGTCAGCGTGAGATCATGGACTGGCAACATCTCAGAAATAAGAAAATACAGCCCTCTTCATATTTGCCAATACTTATGTTTAAATATGCTATAGTCTTTGCCATGATATGTACATATTTTAAAATGTCAAATTCTAGGCATAATGAAAAGGTATTAGTAAAAAAATTTTTTAACTCACAAGTTAATATTTACTTTTAAAATTGCAATGAACTCCATTTTTGTGCTATGGAAGATTTTGCCCTTGAGTAAATACATCACATATTCATACCAGAAACCATAAAATACAAACACTTTTAGAATAAAGTTGTATTTTCTAGCTGATTACAAAAACTATCTTTTCTTAAATTGTGGTATAATGGCATGTACCTCAGGGTAAGAGATTTTTTTTTTTTCAACACCAGAAGGGGAAGAAAGTAAGTTGATACACAGTTCGGTGGCTGTCTTTCCTGTCTAAAAGCTCAGAGAAACAAAGGTAACATTGTCATTGTTTTATGATTTTAACTCTGCTGGGAAGCTTCTCTAGTAAGTTTCAACTGCAGGGGATGCATTTGATGAAAATCTTAAAAGCAGTTGAGTGGTATAAACTGTTGACTTTTATCCTTCCCTATCATGAGTTGCTTATTCTTTGAAGGATCTTTACCTGGGAAGCTTTCAACTGCCATTGTCATGTGAAGCCTCCTGTATCCGGAGATAAAACAAAATTAACTTTTCAAGGACATGGTGGTCTGGCAAAAGAAAAGTTATTTAGGAACTAAACATAAGTTCAAAAATCTAATCAGTACCCCACTGAATTTAAGTTTTGTGAGCAACCTATTTCCTCCCTTGTATCTATAGAGATTGTACATGAAGCTGTACAAAAAAAAAAAACAAATCCTGAAAAATAGATCATCTGTATCATTTCTTCCTTGGGTTAGTCTTACATACATTTTCATATGAATTATTATACAATTCAATGAGTTTTGAAGCCAGTTTTGGCTAACACAAAGTTTCTAAAAATTTCTTAATTTTAAATATTTTATGCTCTGCAAATAATAGTATAACTACTGTTTTCATCCCAATGAGCTTAAATTTCCTCTAGCAAGAAAGGATTTTCTCTTTTCAAAAAATTTCAAGACTAGCATTATTACTCAGCACTCACATATAGAGTAAAATAAACTGAAAATTAACCTCTTCAATCTATAGTTTGAGGTTGTTAGTGACAGGTAATAATTGAACACTGGCTACTTCGTACAATGGTGGTAATAACAGAGACTGAGGAAATGTGGGTTTTTGTACTGCTAAAGGCAGATGTAGCTACTCATCTCTGAAAAAGAACACTGATCATAATGAAAAATTTCAGTTTAAAATGTAGAGGAAAAAGTAAGCCAAGCCTTTTGTGCTATTTTTTTAGATGTATTTAACCTGTATTTCTAAAACGTCTACTCTGTAAAATACGTTCTAATTACATTCATCTTGTACTCCATTTCCATTTCATTTCATTCTGTCCTTAAAAGTTGACTAGTACATTTTTAAAAATTGTATTAACCCTTTAACTTACTAATACTATGCCTTAATGGACTGTTTGTGGAATTGTAGCCATTGTCATTGTAGCCATTGTCATTGTAGCAGTGTCAATATTAGCCTAGAGGAAATTAAAATTATTCATTCCAGAGCCTTAATTTGGTACCATTATATTATATTATATTTGATTGATATAAGCACTTCATGGGCAACCATGTCTGAGACCAGTTGCCATATGCTTCTTCTCTTTTCACAAGCATTTCTGAATGAGAAGGTGAATATTTCAGAGCCGCAGTAAATTTGATTGTGAATGTCAGGAGATTATGAATGTCAGTAACTGAAAAAGAATCAAGGAAGTCTAGTCCTCACTATAAAGCCAATGTGTTGAACAGATACAGACTTTAGAGAACTTAAACAACGCATTTATTTTTATGAAGAGATTAAAGAGCTCTAGTTATTTGTTTTGTTGAGGGTATGATAGGATAGTGCTAGAAACCAGGCTTTGTGGTCCCCGTTCAGTACATCTTTCATTCTGCCATCAATGTTTCCAAACAGAAATAGATCTTCAGTATGGAATAATTTACATAAATGCTTTACAAAAAAGAATGATGGTAGAGATTAGTCAATTTTTTCATTGAAAGCAGTTTTTCATTATCCTATTAGCTAACTGCTTTTCACATTATGACAGTCACCAATTCCAATTGTTAAAAAAAAATTGTATTCAAGTAAACTCAACTTCCATATGAATTAAAACATTCAATTCATTGGCGTGAACCCAGGAGGTGGAGCTTGCAATGAGCCGAGATCCCGCCACTGCACTCCGGCCTGGGCGACAGAGCAAAACGCCATCTCAAAAAAAAAAAAAAAATTCAATTCATTATTTTTATTTGATTTTTCTCCTTTTTTCCCTTCTTCCTTTTTCTCCATTTCTCCCTTTTTAATTAAGATTATGAATATTTTCTACCTTAGCAGCTTTCTCTATCAATATCAAATAAGATGATATGAACAACCAAATAAAGAGATATGTAGTCCTCCTTTATCCGCAGTTTTACTTTCTGCTGTTTCAGTTACCCACGGTCAACCTCGGTCTGAAAATATTAAGTGGAAAATTTCAGAAATAAACAATTCATAAATGTTAAATTAGATGCCATTCTGAGTAGTGTGATGAAATCTCACACCATCCTGTGGCATCCTTCCTGGGATGTGAATCCTCCTTTTGTCCAGCTACCCACCCATTAGTCACTTAGCAGCTGTATCAGATGGAAAAAAATGGTATGACACAGAGAGAGTTTGGTGCGCTCCATGGTTTCAGGCAATCACTGGGGGTCTTGGAATGTACCTCCCACAGATAAGGGGATACTGCTGTAGAGACTTTGGTGGACATGACTCCATAAACGTATATTCTCCTTTGTCATTGTACTCACATTTTCACCTCAGATGTTTATATCTGTGTTTAATATGGGAACTTAAAAGCCACTGCATGATCAGGAATGTGCACATTATAAACATTATAATCCTGCTCTTTTGTCTCCTACACTACATATAGTTTCAAATTCAGGAAATATTCTGTAACAACCTCCCTGTTACTGTCCTTAAAATGTTAAAGATATATTTAGCGCCATCCTTTTCCTCATCTCCCAGAATTAATTGATCATAAAGCCATTCTGATTTTTCTCATGAATAATTTTCATATTTATTCCCTCTTTTCCATCTGTCCCTACTATTCCTACCCTTTCTATCTCTCACCTGAATGATGGCAATATACTTCTAATTGGCCTTTCTGCCTCAAAGCACCACCTCAATACTACTGTCAAGATGAACTGTCTATATCAAAAACTGCTGAAAAGCCTTCAATGACACTTATGAATGTGTGCAAGTTCTTTACTCTCTTATACAGAGTTCCTTGGGATTCTACCTTTCCAGTACCTACCTCTTCAGTATCCCTTCCCTTAATCCACCATCATGAGTTCACTACAGAAATTCTGAACTGCATATCGATCGCTGAACATTGCTTGTGTTATTCTGTCCTGCTGAACATTGCCTGGTTAATTTCAAAACATTTTCACAACTTGGTTCTGACATCACTTTCTCCAAGAAGCCTTACTGACTTCCCATTTTGGAGCTAGGTACCCTATCTTCTGAACTTTTAGAAAACTCTGAGCATTACTCTAATAACATCAAACCACTGTATTTGAATCATCTATTTATACAACTATTTCTCTTAGAAATTTGCAAGCTCCTCTCACAGAAAGGGTCTCCTTAAATATGGTACAGGTGGTTACCTATTCAAAATGGGTTTAATTCTTCCATCAATTAATTAATTAATGAGATATTCCCCAAAAAACTATAATGAAGATTTTTGAGAAGAGAGATCATATTCAGACAGGAAAATAGCAAGAAAGAATTCACAATGGCAGTAGCACTTGATATGAACATCGGAAAATGTGTGAAATCCAATAAGCAGTGTTCCATGAAAGGACATGTCAGAAAAAGATGTCAAAACACAGAAGTGAGAGACTTGTCAGAAAACATGATGTAATCCAGCTAAGCAAAAATGAAACGTGGTTGGTGTAAAATAACAGTGAAGGGTAAGATGATAATAAGAGGATGAAGGGCTTTTATTGGCAAACTAAAGATATTGATCTACATTCAATAAAAATAATAGCTATCACTTATTGAACACTTATTTTGTGCTTGATACTATTCTAACCACTTTAATTGTTCTCACAATTAATCCACAGAATTAATCCATGAGACAGGTACTATAATCTGTTTTACAGATAAGGAAACTAAGGCATTTAAATCTTATGACACTTATCTAAGATCTTACAACTAGTGAGTATAAAACCACCAGAATTTTTGGTGGTAACTAATTAATAATAAATTCTCTAATGACCCAAATTATTACATATCCAAAAATATTTAGGTATAGCAAATATAAGTTGAATAACTTGACCCTTGTAGAATGTCACATTGAGTGTTGAGCCATGTCATGGTTCTTCAATCAATTATAAGACCTGAATAAATTAATGTACTCATGGTTCCTGAAAGAATGGAAAATCAGATATGTTTGAGAAAGAACCCCAAGAAACCATCAAAGACTATTCTGTAATTCTTTCTCCTGGCCTTTGCCAGGAGCTTGTGACTATCTACTAATTTCTTTGAGTATTGAGAGAGAAATACGTGGACTTACTGTCAGACTCTGGTTCTGCTAATCCCTGGAGACCTAGAATGCTACTGTGGAAACCCCACTCAGAGTGAGGGCCTGGGTCTGTCTCATGGTAAACACATTCTCCTGTTGCTCAGTATCAGAGTGTAAACTGAAATGGGTATACTCAACAACTAGCAAAATCCCTACATTGACTCTGAATCACGGAGTGAGGACTAGATGGAACCACAGGCCAATTTGGTGTCTGTGGAATTCCCCTTCCCTAAGATGAGTAAGACCAAAGCAGCATGATATCTCCAGTGGGAATCTGTATATTAGTGCCACTATTAATTACTTAAAAGATGCAGTGATTTTGGTCCCTTATGTGTCCTCTTTCAATTTGCCTTTCAGTCTGTACAGAAAATCAATAAGACTTACAGAAGAATAGTAGATTAGGGAGAGTTTAAGCAATAGTTACTCAAATTCAAGCTGCTGAACCAAATATTGTCTCATAACAGAGCAAATTAAGCCCTTCAGCTTAGTATGCAGCTGGACTATTTTTCCTCTCCATCATACTATATAGAGAATACCAGAAACAGTTTGCTTTCACTGGGCATGGACAGCAGTATATTTTCACTTTCCTGTCTTGTGATATGTCAGTTTTTGTGTAGTATGTGAGCTATGTGTGGTAATTCTATCTCTGTGTCATAATTTAGTCTATAGGAATGATAATGATTTCACCATTCCACAGTAAGTCAAGTTTTACTCTTATACTGATTATTTTTTAAAGATAGAATTTTATGAACACTAACTAAAAGCAATTAACCTAGTGGTCTTGCTAAGACACAAGTAAATAAAAAGGTCCAAGATAAACCCATTAAAATATAGTGCTCAGTGGACTAAATAACATTATAATATCTTTGCCACAGTGAAAGGCAACTTGCTGTACCTTGCATTGCCCACAACTAAGAAAGATAAAGTGCACACCACGGTCCTATTTCAATTTGGTAGGCAACATACAACTTTTGGCATATTTTTCTAAACTAGCAAGCCATCTATAAGGTTGCCAGTTTTGAATGGAATCCAGAGAAAGACAAAGTTTTACAGCTGATAAAGCTGTAGCAAAAGCATCCCTGCCTCTTAGCTCTTATGACTTTGTGGACCCATTAGTACTTGAAATGACTGTAGCAGATCAGGGTACTTAGTGGAGCCAATGGCAGGCTCCTGGAAGAAAATCATAGTAAACACTCATTGAATGCCCCCTGAGGAAAAACCCTCGCTGGAAACAATTTTTCTCTTCTTTTGTACTAACTGCAACCGTATTACTAGGATCTGGTAGACTAAACACTCAATCATGAGATACCAAATGGCCATGCAACCTGACCTGTCCAGCATGAATTAGGTGTTACTGAACCCAGAAAATCATCACGTTGTCAGCAACACTCCATCATGAAGTCAATGTAAAGACATAGGCAAGTTGCATGCAGAGACAACTCAAATTCTCACCATCTCTACTCTTATTGTCCTGCCTCCTCTCCCTCATAAAGTCTCATGAGAATGACTTTTGTTACTACTCGACTGAGGAAGAAAACATTTGGACTTGGTTTACATAAACATGGTATGTTATAACCATGCAGAGGTAGACCAATATAGCATTTCAGGACAGTCAGGGTGTCCCTGATGGACAGTAGGAAAGATTAATCCTCCCAGTGAGCACCAATCCCACCGTGGTTGGGGCACTGTCTTTCAGGATGTGGTATATGCTTCAAACCATCATCTCGTATATGATGCCAAGTCTCTCAAAACCAAAAATACATGAGCCTGGGACCAAGGAATGAAAGTGGCACCTTGCTCTCAAACCTGCTGTCTTGTTCATAATTTTGTTTTCCATCCTGGAACTTTGGTCTCCAGTTGTTTAGAGGTTTCAATACTAATAATGTCCCCAAGACTAATGATCCCTTTCTACATCTTAATTATAGAGCACCCTAAGTATTTAGCACATGGCTGCCCGGTTAGAGACTACATGTTACAATTTTCCATTGCACCTATTAGGTAGTCATGTGGTTAAGTTATGACTAATGGGGTGTGAGCAGAGTGATGCATGCAACTTTCAGGTCAAATCTTTAATAATGGAAAATGCCTGAACTCTACTTTCTTTCCACATTCATATGTAGAAATACATACAAATTCTACAGATGTAATGCAGATGATCCAGTTCTGACCATGCCTGCAAAACCCTACAGCACTACAGAGCAACAAGACAGAACAAGACTGAAGAAGCCCCTATGTAATCTTATAAAGCAGAGATAGTTTTATGCCCTAAACCATCTGCCAGTACTGGACTCATGGGAGGGGAAAAGAGTATCTTGTTTGAGCTACCGTATTTTGTGGTTTCTTCATGGTAGCAGGTTATCTTGTTCTGTAACTGAAACAGTATCCAAGGGAGTAATGTTCTCAACCAAAAAAATAAAAATGATCCCACTGCACTAGCAGATGGCATTGTCGCCTGGTCATTTGGGAGTCCACATGTTACTGAACCGACAAAGGAACAAGGGGTGTTACTGTTTTAGTGGGTGATTAATACATCTTACGGGGAAATAGTCATTGCTATATTGTGAAGACTGAAAGAATATTCTGGAAGATGCAATGCTCTGGGCAAGGTTACTTCCCAATTCTGCTACAACAAGGAAGATTTGAGTTACCCACAAGGAATAAACCCTGATTTGCTATGTGTCATTTGAGGGAAAAGGGAATTTAGAATGGGTGGTGGTGTGTGGTTAATTTTATATGTCAACTTGACTGGGCCATGGGGTGCCCAGCTACTTGGTTAAACATTATTCTGAGTGTGTCTGTGAGGGTGTTTTTGGATAAGATTAATATTTGAATTATTAAACTGAGTAAAGCAGATTACTTTCCATAATGTGGATGGCCCTCAACTAATCAGCTGAAAACTTGAACAAGACAAAATTTGACCCTCCCTTGAGTAAGAGGGAATTACTTCTGTCGGACTGCTTGCACTGGAAAGTTGGTTTTTCCAGCCTTTGGGCTCAGACTGAAATGGTTCATTTTGGGTCTCAAGCCTGCTACCTTTGGACTGGAACTTAGACCACTGTTCTGTTTCTCAGGCCTTTTGACTTGGACTGGTACTACACCATCAGCTCTTTTGGTTTTCTAGCTTGCCAGTTGAAGATCTTCAGACTTCTCCACCTCTATAATAGTGTAAACCAATTATTTATATTAATTAAGTATGTCTCACCATTCTCTCTCTCTCTCTGTCTTTCTATTTCTTCCTTTAGTGGGAGATAGGAGAACTATAAAATGCTATATCAAGAAAGCCAGGGTGATTGATTTCTGCAAAAAGGGTTGGGGGAATCAGTGTTAGTCATTGACAACTTATCAAGGTAGATGAAAATTGAAAAGAGACCATTGTTTGTGTTATGATACAATCACATGTGACGGCTGCTGCTCACTTGCTAAGGAGTTAAGGTGGAAGGTAGATTATTTAGGGTTGAAGAATGCAAAGATAAAAAGCATAGAGGACAGAAACAGTTTCTGTCAAAGAGTTTTTGTTTTGTTTTGTTTGGTTTGGTTTGGTTAAAAATGTGCATGATAAGTCAGTTCCTCAAGGGAATGGCATGGCTAAAGGAAAATTTCTATTTTATTTTCTGTTTATAAATAAGAGGTCTGGGCCTGTGAATAGGCAGAGAAAAAGAGGTCCATGGGGAGGAAGACATGGAAGATGGAATAGAAAGGGAGGATAATTAATACGGAAGGGTTCAGAAATAATAGAGAAGAATTAGGATGAGAAGATGAGGTTATGCAGGTGGTCTAATCAGAAAATAGAAACAATTATTTTTTCCACAAAATTCACTTACTGTATAAATTTTTAAATTAATGTAACCAATATATCTCTTAATAGTAAGTTTCTCTACTTTCTCTCCTCATCGAAAGGCATACTGAAACATCATTTTGTTGTTGTTGTTTTTGTCGTTACGATGCTGCTAGGAAATTGTGTCTTACTATTCATGTTTCTAGAGAACAAGAGTTCATTGCCAGTCTAATTAAAATTCAGAACAACTCTGTATGTTTTTGAAACATAACTGAAGAATATTTCATCCGGAATACACCTTGCAAGAGAATGTTGAATTCTTTACTCTTCATTTAAATTAAGGTTTTAAAAGAGGTCAGGCACAATATAAGCAGAGGAATACTAATTGAAAAAGCAATCATAAATTTTTTTTCTCTTCTAAATATACTTCAGAAATAGTTCATATAAATTGTGTAGTTCAAGGATACTTTTTCAAAGTACACACAAATTAATTAGTAACAAAATATTAATTATGTGTGTTTGATTGAACTGATGAGGCAAAATAGAATACATCTCAGTGCTTCAAGACCAAATAAAATCATAGCAACTCTTATCTTAGAACACTATTTTTCTCTTTTTATCTTACATTATACAGGTTGATTATTCATACTAAATTCAACAGACACTTTTCTTTACATCATTTTGTGATTCATCCTCATAATTTAGTTTTAAGTCAATGACTTAAAGACATGACGTGGTTTCTCATGAGCCATGAAGGGCAAAATATTCTGTGAATCACACTTTGGGGGCTGTATGGACAAAGAAGCTATTATATTTCAGTCCTTCTGAGATTTCTTCCAAGAAGCCATAGTCTTGACTAAATTATATAAGTAAATCCACAAATCAGAGTGGAACAAGAGCTTCAGAGGAAAGAAGCAGTATTAGTTCCAACCCTGGGGGAGTTCTACTTGGCGACTTTCAAGTTACCATGGTCTTTCTATCTTTTAAAGACAGACAATGGACTAACAGAAACTTTAATGAACAACCTGGCATCTGAGACAAACTTTAAGTTGAGCAAATAAAGTTCATTCAAAGATTGCCAAATTTCTGGAGATTTTAAGTGACTTTCATTTCTCTCTTACTGGAAGAACTATAAATACAGTTTCTAAACACTGTGTACTTAAATACATTCTATTTAGCATTTATAGGCTAAGAAAAATACTAATCATCTCTGTGGTTGGTATCTCATAAGATGGTCACCAAAGAAATCCACCTTCTGGTATTCAGACCCTTGTGTAAATCCTTTCCCTTGAGTGTGGCCCAGACCCAGTGACTTGCTTATAACAAACAAAATGCAGTAAAAGTGATAGAATATCATTTCATCATAAAACAGTGGCTTCCTCTGTGGTGCCCTTTCTTACTTCCTCCATTCCGCAGTCTGAGGGAAGCCAGTTGCCATGTTATAAAATGTCCCATGAGGTCCATGTGACATGGAACTGATGTCTCCATCTGACAACCTACAAACACCTGAGACCTGCCAATCATCACAACAATGACCTTCGAAGCTGATCCTTCCCTATTCAAGACCTAAGATGATTGCAGCCCCAGCTCACAGCTTAGTTGCTGCCTTAAGTGACCCTGAATCAGAGACAAATAGCTAACTAGGTATTCACATGCCTGACAATAGGTTTGTTGTTTTAAGCTGCTAGGTTTGGGGGTAATTTGTTACACAATAGATGACTAATACCATCTGTGCATTCCTAATGTTAGATCTATCCTTGGTATAAGCAAAGCATTTTAACTATTTTTAAACAATTATTTGACTCCAGGCACTGTTCTAAGTGCCTTACAACTATTAACTCATTTAAGCCCTGCAACAAGCCTATGAGGTAAATTCTGTTACTAACTATTTTTGGTAAATGAAGAAACAGGCATCAGATGATCAAACCACTTTTCCAATGGTCAACACTAGAAAGTGGTGAAATCAGAGTCCAAGCTTTTAACTACTATGCTATCCTGTCTTTACAAGTCAATAAGTTTTAAGTATCTTCATTGTTATTAGTTAGGCTCTTCCCCCAAAATAAATTCTTTACAACTTCTAAGCAGTTAGCTTATGAGTTCCTCAAGCCAAGGGAGACCATAAGTGATTAAGACTATATTTTATTCATATGTGTGCGTTCAGCTTACTACCTAGCATGTTCAGGAAATGTCTGTTGAAAATAATTGATTTAGAGGATAGAACAAGACTTAGGGCATGTAAAGAAGAATTCATTCTTTGTGAAATGAAATATTCTAAAGGCCTAATCTATAATTATTGCAACCTAGCCTACAGGAGAAAGTCCAGCTGTACATTTACATGTATGCATTTTCCAGCTTCTGTTTTTTCACTTGCATTTTGTGCAATAAAAAGGAAAGTTTTAAGAGCTAGTGGATGGCAAAGTAATTTATGGTGACTGGAAGTAATCTGGGAACATCAGAAGCTCACCTAGGTGTTGTGAGACCTTACCATCGCTGTTAGCATTCGTACTATGTCACATCTGCATTCTTCTTTGAAGCTGTGTAAACTGGTTCTGGATGAAGCCTTCTGAGTTTGTTTTACAGACAAAATGCAGAATCACTTTCAAGTAGAGCATGAATTGCACCGGACATGCATAAAACTGGGACAATTCTTCCCATCTATAAATGCTCCTTTTTAAAAAAAATAATACACATGAGTTTGGCAATGATGTAAAACAAAAGAAAGAGGAAAAAATTCAGTAGTAAAAAGTTCAGGCAGAAAACACAAAGAAGAAAGAATCCAAGTAGCCTGTGAGCTTTCAACAGTTCAAGGAAAAAGATGTCCTACAGCTGGATCAGTAGCAAGAGATTAACCACTTTAACTGGTCTGCAAAAGGACTTGGTCCACAGAATTAAAGGAGCTCATTTGTGATTCCCTAAGAAAGGCTGCTTTTTTTGTTTTCTCAGAAGAAAGGGGCAATTACTCAAAACAGAGCAATAACAGGAAGAAACCAAGAGGGAAATAAGATTGAGTCACCCCACCCTTTCCACATGGTACCACATCTGTATGCTCAGGCATTTGAACTTCACCTTTCCTTACTAGGAAAAGCTCAAAGATATGGTCAGAAATAGCTCTCAAGTCACCTGAAACGAAGAATCCCCTGCTTAATATCATATTAATAACATTAAAGAAACCCTATAGAAAATATGGAAATGAGATGTGTATTCATCCCAGCATAATTACCACTATATTTTGTGACAGTTTGGAAAAATGGTGGTTATTTCTGCTACTGTGAACTTACAGAATGAAATGTCTCAAAACGATCTCAATAATGTATATTTTCACTTTCCATATTTACTACCATATTTTTGCACATACTCAAAGATTTTATTATCTGGATTGTTACTAAGATACCATAAAGAGGTCATCATGTGCATTGTTTTATACTGATATTTGTATAAAACATACTAATAGACATACAAGTGGAATAATAAATCAAAAAAGTGCAAGAGAATATGTAGCAAAAAAAAAGAGTGGGGAGAAGGATCAGCTGTTAGAACAAACTCTGCCTCAAAATAAAATATAATCATGTGTCGCTTAATGAGGATATATTCTGAGAAATGTATCATAAGACAATGTTGTCATTGCACAAACACCATAGAGTGTACTGACACACCTACTGCACACCTAGACTATATGGGGTAATCTGTTGCCCCTAAGTTACAAACCTGTACAGTGTGTGTGTAACTGTACTACATACTATAAACAACTGTAACACAGTGGTTAAGTTTTTGTGTTTCTAAACTTAGAAAAGATAAAGTAAAAATTAAAGGAGTATAAAAGGTAAAATACAGTAAAAACACAGGTACACCTGTATAGGTGCCTAACTTGAATGAAGCTTGCAGAACTGGAAGTGGAGCTGGGTGAATCAGTGAGTGGTGAGTGAATGTGAAGGCCTAGGGCATCACTGTACACTACTACAGAGTTTATGAACATTGTATACTTAGGCTACAGTACATTTATTTTAAAAGTATTTTTTCTTTCTTCAATAATAAATTACTTAGATTACTGTAACTTTTACTTTATAAACTTTTTAATATTTTAAACTTTTTGACTTTTGTAATAGCACAGCTTAAAACACAAATACAGTGTACAGTTGAACAAAAAAATTTTCTTCCTTTATATCCTTATTCTATAAGCTTTTCCTATTTGAAAATATTTTTTTCACTTTTTGAGCTTTTTTGTTAAAAATAAAGACACGAACACACATAAGCACACACATTAGCTTAGGCCTACACAGGGTCAGGAGCATCAATATCACTGTCCTCCACCTCCACATCTTGTCCTACTGGAAGGTCTTCAGAAGCAATAGTCCATTTGGAGTGTGATAATATGGATAAAATTTTATCCTATGATTATAGGATAAAATTATCCTATGATAATAAAGCCTTCTTCTGGAATACCTCCCAAAGAACCTCCCCGAGGCTGTTTCACAGTTAATTTATATATATATGTGTGTGTGTGTGTGTGTATATATATATGTATATATATATATATATAAATACATATGTATGTGTATATATACAAAAAATATGTGTATATATACAAAAATATATATGTGTATATATATGCATATATATGTATGAGTACTCTAAAATAACAGTAAATAGTATGGTATAGTAAATACTAATAGATAGGAATTTTTAGAGCCATTATAATCTTATGGGATCACCATCATACATGTGATCCTTTGTTAAGTGAAAGGTCCTTATGCAGTGCATGACTGTACTAAAGTAAGCTGCTACATACTTTGTTTCTTATCAATAAAATCTTTGCTTCCACTAGACCAGTGCTATAAATAACTAATATTATCAAATAGTCTTTTTTATTTTTTTGAGACTGAGTCTTGCTCTATCACCCAAGCTGTGGTGCAGTGGGGCAATCTCGGCTCACTGCAAACTCTGGCCTCTTAGGCTCAAGTGATCCTCCCGCCTCAGCCTCCCAAGTAGCTGGGACTACAGGCAAGCACCACCACACCCGGCTAATTTTTGTATTTTTTGCAAAGACCAGTTTTTCTATGTTGCATAGGCTGATCTGGAACTCCTGGGCTCAAGCAATCCACCTGCCTCAGCCTCCCAAAGCACTGGGATTACAGGCCTGAGCCACCAGCCTCAAAGACTCTTATAGCTTACAAAGTGCTTTTATATTTATTTTAATTCTCAACATAAGTCATGAACTACTACTATCTATCTGACAAATAACAAAAGAAGCTCAAAACAACAACGCGGATGAGCCTGGAGAACACTACGTTAAGTGAAATAAGGCAGGCACAGAAAGACAAATACCAGATGATCTTACTCATATGTGGAAGCTAAAAAGTTTGATCTCATAGAAGTAGAGATTAGAAGGGTGGTTATCAGGGCCTGAGGTTGTTGGGGGTAGGGGGGAATGTGGAGAGGTTAGTCAAGATACAAAATTTCAGTAAGATAGGGAGAATAAGTTCAAGAGCTCTACTGTAGAGTATGCTGACTAAAGTTAATAATATATTCTTGGAAAATGCCAAGAGAGTGAATGTCAAGTGTTCTCACCACAGAAATAAAACTATGTGAGGTAATCCATATGTTAATTAGCTAGTCATTCCACAGTGTATACATACTTTAAAACCATATGTTGGGCTGAGCGTGGTGGCTCATGCCTATAAACCCAGAATGTGGGGGGCCAAGGTGGGAGGGTTGCCTAAGGCCAGGAGTTTAAGGCCAGCCGAGGCAACACAGCAAGACCCCATCGCTACAAAAAGCTAAAAACAAAACCCAGAAACCCATGTGTTGTACACAGCAAATACAATCTTATGTCAGTTATAAAGAATAATAAATAATTTTTTGAAAAGCAAAGTGACTTGTCCATAACCACAATATTTTTCATTTTCAAATCTCATTTTTATTTCTTATGCCACATTGCCTATAATTATACAGCTAACAATTATCCCATGCTCAGAAGAAATAAAACTGACGTAGTTAGTAATCAGTAATATATCTTTCCCTTAAAACAAGTATTGCTGACTTAATATGCATAAAACTGCTGTCACATACCAAATATGACCAACAGGTAAAGGGTGAGAACAATTTCACTGACTACAATATTTATAGCAAATAAGTGTCTATATAGTGGAAGAAATATGCTTAAAAGAAATAGGAAAATGCCAGTAGAGAAATAAACTAAATTATGCAACTGCACTTAGAAATAAAGGCCTTTATTGTTATTTCAACTACCAGATTTTTTTAAACAGTGCAAATGCATTTCAATGATTTAATTTCAAGTATGATTGACACCAATATAATAATATGAGAATTTATAATGAAAATAACACCTGTGAAAAATGATCTCAAAATATTTCTATAAAATATCCTATACAATATAATTAACATTATAAGCAAAATACAAAATGTTTCTTTCACCAACAAGAAACCCATGAGAGTGATGGCTATGATGTTACCATGCATAGCAGAGTATGCATATAAATTAATATGCTTTTAATCCAGATTCTATCAACTGTGTCCATTTTAAATGGTATTCTTAAATATTACAATGCTAAGATTTTAAAGGATTTCTTAAAGTACCTAGGAAAGCTACACAGAAAGAATCAGTACTATTGAAAGAAAACAAATTAAACAAGTCACTTTAGTCTTGACCTAAATTCAATGACACTTCTGATATTCTGAATCTGTCTGGGAAAAATATATTCCACAAGTGCTTGAAAAAACTATAGGGCATTGTGATTTATAATAGTAGTTCTGAACAAATAAAAACCCAACGTTTTTACAGTTGAACAAAATTCGGCTTGGACAATAGGGAACCTAAAACTCATTTGGATTCATGCAGTGTTTCAAAAACACATCACTAGGACCTCTTACAATCAATCTAGTAGCTCACTGGCAGCTAGAACCAAAATCTCTAAGTCTAGGTGTATGTTGACCAGATTCTGCGTGCTTAAAATCTCAGGGGTTGCATACTTGTACAAGCTATCTTTTCTTTTTCCAGTGGGACACCTGAAGGAGACAGAGAATTACAGTAATCTAAGTTGGCTATCATAAAAGTATGAATTAAAGTTTCACTGCTTATTTGTGACATTACATTCTAATTCACTCTATTTCTAAACTCATTACACATAGGTTTTCCCCAGTAGACTGAATGTAACTCAGGAAGAACAGCCATCAATTAACTTGTTTATACCTTGTGCACAGATAAGAGAATGGCTATCATTTTAGTTTCGTAACAGGAAGAGATGAAAATCTGCAGGAACAGAGCTTTAGAGGCTTCAGCGTGCATCCTTTTCATATTATCTGAATTATATTTCAGGATGTCTGAAGCCTCCAAAGTCAGGGTTCCGATATCATACGCTATTGAAGCAGATCTTCTTCCAAGCTAATAGTGAAAAATATTCTCTAATAGCTAGGTCAACTTCACAATTTTATTCTTATTCTTTTCTTGATCCATAATATCTATTTATTCCTGAAATCTTCAGGCACAGACAGAGCCACATCAATGCAAAAATGATGGCAAGAAAAGAATATCTAACTTCTATTCCTTTACCAGAAGGGGTTGCAGCAGAAGTTAATAGGAGCAAAACTGGATAAGGGGCAACCCAGATTGATAAAAGACAGTATGATCCTCCATAGGCAGCTTAATATTGTGCAGAGGCTTCTAAGTCCTCACAGGGCACAGAAGGATATCAAAGTTCCTAGGCTGGATTCAGTAAATCCAGTTAACATTACCTTTTAGCCTGAACACGTGGTTTGAATACAATAGATGCTTTTCATTCTGTATTATAGAGTCACACGGTATTTTGGGATTTGACCCAACTATTCAGAAAATTTGTACTTTTCCCATAAAAAGGTAAACAGATAGGTATTTTTTGTTAGCAATACAGCTTTACTTTTCTAAATTTGATTAAGCATTTCATTCCCTAAACTATGCTACATAAGTAATGTTTTCTTTCATCTTTTTCCTTCATTATCACTAAACCTTTATAGTCTCGTCATATCAGAGCACAAGGAATTACATTTCATGGAGTTATAAACTGTCATGGACATTGCAGCCTGGGCCTTGGAGAGTTCTGTGTACAAAAAGATTATTTTATAATAAAGATGAAACTGATAATGATGGATAATGAGTATAATGTTAATATCCACACATCTTTGCTCCAGAGTTTTTGCTTTGGGGGCTTCCTTCTCAGAAATCCTCAAAATAAAAATGTGGAAATGCATTAGTTACATGTTTTTGTAACCAGAAACCTATGGCTTTACCAACCTAGGCAGAGCAAACAGGACTTGTAAGCAATGACCAAATTGCACAAGTGATAAACCTATACAGGCCTATAACAAATGCTATGCTATTTCTAGAAAGGATTTTTTTCTTCTAAATGGCCCAGATGAAGTCCTGAACTCCCTGCTTCTCTCCTTTTGCTTTGGCAGAGAGAAGCTAAGGATGATGAAGCATGATGTGACATCCTGGCTAATACAACTTTCTTCTCCCTAGTAAATTTTACCGGGCAGGTCTTCACAGAGCATTCAGATCACTAGTTTTTCAAGTACTGATGCTTAATGTCGTTTTTTTTTTCCATATCAGAATATCAAATTTTATTTCAGTGTTTTATATTCACTGCCAGTTGAATCTGCCTAGATTTTAAATAAGAAAACATACCATCTAAACATGATTTCATGCCATCTTTCTGTAATGGTTTTATTTTAACTTGGGGACTTATTCTCCTACATATACCCCAAATGATACATAGTAAGTGATATATCACTTTCTGAAGACATCTCATATGGTTCCTGCTTTCATGGGCTTTCTCCTGCCAGTCCTGCTTGGATTACTCATCCCCAATCTTTACCCATTATAAATCTTTCAAGAGCCACTGCTAACTCTTCAATGATTACCCCCAGACAAATAAAATTCTCCCCTACTCTGGGCTTTTATGCATTTGGGGCTACACTTATGGCATGTGTTTATATGATACTTATTTGAATATTTTCAAGCTAATTATAGTAGGCATGATAGTAAGAAGAAGAGGGATGATAGTCTCATCGCCAATAGGTGCTTAATGCAAACGTACTAAGTAAAACATTGTCCTGGCAAGTAAGAGCAAGTCTAAGTTTTAGTTATATATTGCCTATTAAATGTCACGTATTAAAATTTATGAACTTTTGGGAAACATTTTAACTACAACTTTTCTTTTATGAATTTAAGTACAGAAAATGATATTTTGTATTCAAAACCACTGTTAAACATCCAAGGTGCTGTTAAAACTATGAATATCAGAAATCCCTGGTCAACATATAAAAATAAAAGGAAAGAAAATCTGGCCGGCATGGTGGCGCAAGCCTGTAATCCCAGCACTTTGGGAGGCCTAGACGGGTGGATCACCTGAGGTCAAGAGTTCGAGATCAGCCTGGCCAATATGGTGAAACCCTGTCTCTACTAAAAATACAAAAATTAGCCAGGCACGGTGGTGGACACCTGTAATCCCAGCTACTCAGGAGGCTGAGGCACGAGAATCGCTTGAACCTGGGAGGCGGAGGTTGCAGTGAGCCAAGATTGCACCACTGCACTCCAGCTTGGGTGATAGAGCGAGACCCTGTCTCAAAAAACAAACAAACAAAAAAGAAAATCTCATCTTTCTGGTAACTCACCTTTTGTAATCACTAACATTTTCAGTGCTGCCTCATCATAACAAAATGTGGATAAGGAGACGAGCATAAGAAATATATTTCTTTTTCAATTTTTGCCATTTCTTTTTTAGTGTCAGAGGTTGTCAAAATAAGAGAGAAAATTCATCTCATACTCCTCTTAGTGTGATTTTAAAGCTTTCTTCATCTTTTATACGTGTATCAAGTTATTATTCTCTATATACTTTTTCTAATCCACAGGTAGGGATGCGAGTTTTATATGATGTCTGCTTTGTTTTAAATCAAGATTGTTTATTTTTCTTATCCTAAGAGTTATTTTATCTAAATGAAATCCCTGGGGTTTTTTATTAGTTTACTTAAAATTGGTGTTTGAATTTTATCAATTAGTTTTAAAAGTCTTCCTTTCATTTTCAAGCAGGAAGTTCTTAGTGTTCTTCAAATTTATGCACCTTCTCAATCTTTTCCAGAATCCCACAGGCTGGATCATCTTTATATGACTATGCCCTATAGCTACTAACCTTGATTCCAGAAGAATGACAACAGAGAAACAGCAGAGTACCTGATGCTAGTTTGACTTCAAATTCCAATGAAAATTCCTAGTTCTATATTGTCTCTATGGATTCATTGGTATAAATGGCTTAAATAATGACTTCCAATGTAATATACATTTATTTGACAATTTGAAATCCTTTAGGGAACATTTCTTATGAAAAGCACTGTTCTAATACTTTAGAGTGTTAGAAATACTTCTATAAATTTCTAAAAGTTGCAGATCTCAACTTTATAGTGCAGATCTGTAAACTTTTCTGTAAGGGGATGGACAGTAAATATGTTAGGCTTTATACAGCCTCTGTCATAAGGATGAAATCCTTTTGACATTGAGAAGTGTAAAAATCACTCAACTCATGAACTTTATAAAAACAGATGGTTGGCTAGATGGCCCATGAGCCATAGTTTGTTGGAACATGAGAGCCATCAGATTTTGTATCTGTAACTAGTAGGGGAGAAAGAATATAAATAATAGGCTACATGGTTCTATAAGAAATGTATACATTATTAAGAGAGTTCAGAGAAACCATCAATAAAATTGTATGAAGTATCATTTTATGCTTAAATCTGAAGGTTAACTTTAATGAAATATTTCTAATAAAGCAAAAAGTTGTGAAAATATGTATTTAATATTAACTCTGACTAACTGTAAATGTAGTATCACAAATTAGAACCACCAAAGAATTCTCAAGTCTATCTGTTAATTAGAAGCAGGACACAATCTCAATAAGTAAAGCAGGAAGAAGAGAAGTAATGCAGAACAGTTCCATGTCAAAGCAGATGACAAAGATGACAGAATGGGATAGCAAAGTAAATACACGACATTGAGGAAATAACTCCTTGAATCTACTGCTCTCAAGCAAGGAATGAATGTGAGAACAGGATCAAAGTAACTAATGCAGGTCAGGCGCAGTAGCTCACGCCTATAATCCCAGCACTCTGGGAGGCCTAGGTGGGCGGATCACCTGAGGTCAGGAGTTCGAGACCAGCCTGGCCAACATGGTGAAACCTCATCTCTACTAAAAATACAAAAATTAGCCAGGCGTGGTGGTGGGCACCTTTAATCCCAGCTATTCAAGAGGTTGAGGCAGGAGAATCGCTTGAACCCAGGAGGCAGAGGTTGCAGTGAGCCGAGATGGCACTATTGTACTCCAGCCTGGGCAACAAGAGCGAGGATCTGTCTCAAAACAACAACAACAACAACAACAACAACAACAACAACAAAGTAATGCAGGCAACAAAAAATGCAAACCACTTGAAAAATATTCACATAAAAATTAACTGAGCCCCCCAACAGTGGTCATAAATGGGATAACTGAAAAACAAATATGGTGTACCCATCCTCACCCCCAAACTATTACAAATGCCAGGTCAAAACAGCACAAAATAAGCTGAATGCTTAACACTGCTGCAAGAAATCGTGCTGAGGAGAAATGGATTTGAATTATTTAGGATAACAAGTTAAAAATCAGTCCAAACACAATTTTCTTTCTGAGTTAGTACCTAATACTGCAGACTCTCAATTGTGCTGTGCAGACATCATTAATGAGCAATTTATTCAGATACAATTCTTTGCTCTATTAGAAATATTCTTATTTAGAGCTAATCAAAGACGATTTTCATTTATCATAAATGGCATCAAAATGCCATTTTGTGATTTCATGCTTATTTCACTTGTATGACTGGATAAAATAATTATAAAGGGCTTTGCCTAGCAAAAGTCAAAATCAGACTGTCTTTATGTAGACGAGTTTTGACTTCCTCTCCATTGACAGCAGCTTTTCTCTTCTAATTTTCCTCTCTCCAAACCATCTCCGGACACCCAACAGTACCAAGACTGGAAATTCTGCCCCATGTCGATGTGAAAAATGGATTAGCATTTGCGACTTCTACAACTCCATGGTTAGCCTATATAGCAGAGAATAGTTCTCTGTTTCACTCCCACACACCTCAAAACTGTAATGTCTTTCATTTTTACTCCAGGGGAGCTGTCTCATGCTTCTTGAGATGGGGTAAATTTGTACATAATAAGAGCAAAAGGTCTAAAGAGGGAGCTTAATTGTCCAATTAGATGTTATCAAAGCCTAATTGGTGGGAACAGAGTGTACCCTGTGACCTAATTCTTAAGAGGTCAATTGGGAGAAAAACATCATGTTTCCCACTAAATGCAACCACTTGCAAAGTCTTAGATGTCAGGTCTGCAGAAGTGCTCCTTTGAAAATAGCTCTTTGTAGAATTTTCTGATTTAAAAAATCCTGTAAATCAAACATCTCTTTTTAGGCTCTATGTATCACCAGCTATTTGGTTACATTTTATGATTATACAAATTTGGGTTAGGCATCAGAGCCAATAAACATCTTATGTTTTACAGATTCTTCCAAGAAAAAAGTGGACTATCAATCCAAACTGCTTATTTCTAGAATTAGATACTTAAGGAAATTTTGTTAAGGTCCCCAACATAAGCTACATAAACTTAACATTAAAGCCACTGGGATCAAAAGGGAGAAAGGAAGGGAAATAGCAATTATTGAGTTGCTACAAGGCATTAGGCAGGGTACTTTAGCTACTTTATGTGTGGTTCAGAATTTGATTTTCTCAGCCCTGTTAGGCAGATGTCATTGTCATTTTACAGAGGCACAGAGACTGATTTTCTAAAGTCATCCAACAACTCACTGGCAGTAGAGTCTAATGACTGCAAAGTCTACAGGCTTTCCACGACAAAACACTGTCCTATTTATTAAATTTGAGGATGAAAAAAGATAAACTTTGAGTAGAAACGGCATTAAGTGTTTTTCTTTGCAAAATTTGTCTTTGCTTAAACCCCAGCCAACCTTCCAGGCCTAAATTATATACCTCCTCTTCCATTTTCTTCCCTTTCCCTGCATAACTAGCCAGAAGTGACCAATCTCTCTCCTAACACTCCCCAAATATTGTTTTCACTATGACCAAATCATTCATATACTACATTCACGGTATGGCACTAAACACCAGAGTCCTTGACCTCTCATTACCAAGCACTCAGTGGGCTCACTGCCCTGTGTGCATAGAGGCCAACACCACCGTACTGGCTTTTGAGAAAAGACCAGCTGTTGGCCCTCAAGGAGACTGAGGAAAAGCTCAAATCTATTTCTCTGAGCTGGGGACTGGGTTGGGTTTTATAAGCATAAGGTAATGAGGTGTGCTCTGATTGGATCTTGCAACTAGGTGATGCTGGAAGGCATGATCTGACTGGATCTTGCTATGGGATGAAGCCAAAACTCAATCTGATTGGATCCTGGATCTTGCCATGTGGTGTCGGCTTCCTAACTCATTCTCCACTCCTTGGTGGGAGCACTCAAGTTCCACCTGTGGTTACACCCTTGGTTCAACTGGGCATGCTCAGGTTTCGTGACCTTCATGGCAACTTAAAATCAACTCGGAACTTTATTACATAAAAGTTGAACCAGATTGGTCTTGTGCAGTTACACTCTCACAAATGTTTCTTTAGTTTAATAGTCATGATGTCAGCTGATCAAATGTCAAGGAGTCCCCTGGCCCAAGCTCAGGGTAAATAACAGCCCAGGATTATTGCTAATGTCTTTGCACATCCCAATTACTGTCTTTAATCTTCCTTTTCCTTCCAAAAAATGGAATGAAAGAGTTTGCTCAAAATAATATTAATTTGGTAACTCTAATAGATACTTATGTTTCTGTGCTTCTACATTTTTTGGGCAAATTTGTTCCAGAGTCCATCCTATTTACATATGCAAACTTCCAGTTAGATTTGTAGGACCAGAAAATGAGGGGAGCCCTGAGTTTCATTCCATGGGGAGAACACAAGGCCAGCAGCATGGCTGGAGCAGGAGCTATGCCTCCGACTGTCTAGGCAGACAGGACTTCAAACAGCCTCACAGTTTCTCTGTGTGCCCAGGGACAGATGAAAAATCGACATATCAAACATATATTAGAAATGACCTAGATTGTGAAGGCCAGTCAGTATGATGGACGGCTCATGTCAGCAGACAACTGTATGAGCAAGGACTCTGAGGGTCGGATCTGTTGCCCTAGCACCCCCACTAAAGCCTGTTACTCTGTAAGCTCCTGCAATATAGACAATCCTAGAATGAAGGAAAGAGAAGCCTTTACATTGGCTGAGATGATGTGTCTGCTAGGGAAGGGGAATTAGCTCAAAGTATAACTTTTGTTGAATAGAAAAATGAAAACATATATTGCATGTATTATGTTCTAAGTGCTTTATATGAATTAAATGAATTGATCCTCAGAAAAAAACTATTTTTTTTTTTTTGAGACGGAGTGTCGCTCTGTCACCCAAGCTGGAGTGCAGTGGCACGATCTCGGCTCACTGCAAGCTCCACCTTCCGGGTTCACGCCATTCTCCTGCCTCAGCCTGCCCAGTAGCTGGGACTACAGGTGCCCGCCACTACGCCCAAATAATTTTTTTTTTTTTTTGTATTTTTAGTAGAGACGGGGTTTCACCGTGTTAGCCAGGATGGTCTCGATCTCCTGACCTCGTGATCCGCCCGTCTCTGCCTCCCAGAGTGCTGGGATTACAGGCGTGAGCCACCGCGCCCGGCCAAAAACTATTATTTACATTGCAAACTTACACACATGTACACAGAGACATTTTACTGAAGAGGAAGAAAAGTCAATTAGCTTGCCCAAGGTTACAAATAAGGTTGCAAATAAGTAGCAAAGTTGAAATTTTAATCAAGTAATGTTGATACGGGGTCAGGGAAGTGCCCGGTAAAGAAAAGCAAGTCCCTAGCTAGGGCTCCAACCCTATGGACCTGGGTGAGGACAGGCACTCCTGCTTTCGTATCCAAATGTTGCATTTTCCAAGACCACTCTGGCCCACCATGCCCCCATCCTGGGCTTATACCCTAGCAGGTAGACACGCAGGCGGCCTGATGTCAAGAGGAGCACATCAGCAGAAAAAGAAGCTGCTGGACATCGTGAAGAACACATCGGTGGAAGAAGACACAAGCTATTTCTCGACAAGGCTGTCGAGAGCACGCCAGCGGGAGAGCACGCCAATAGGCGCTGCCACGCCAGCAGGCCATCAACCGGCGGGACGAGGCAGAGTTTGGCGGAGGCAGTCAAAGGAGAGCCGGGGCCAGTGAGGAGCCAAACTGCAGCTCCCTTCTGGCTTCCCCATCCGCTGAGAGCTACTTCTAGTCAATAAAACTTTGCACTCGGCCGGGCGCGGTGGCTCACGCCTGTAATCCCAGCACTTTGGGAGGCCGAGGCGGTCGGATCACGAGGTCAGGAGATGGAGACCATCCTGGCTAACAAGGTAAAACCCCGTCTCTACTAAAAACACAAAAAAATTAGCTGGGCATGGTAGCAGGTGCCTGTAGTCCCAGCTACTTGAGAGGCTGAGGCAGGAGAACCGCGTGAACCCAGGAGGCGGAGCTTGCAGTGAGCCCAGATGGAGCCACTGCACTCCAGCCTGGGCGACAGAGCGAGACTCCGTCTCAAAAAAAAAAACAAACAAACAAACAAAAAAAACTTTGCACTCATTCTCCAAGCCCACGTGTGGTCCGATTCTTCCGGTACACCAAGGCAACAACCCAGGATACGGAAAACCCTCTGCCCTAGGGACAAGGTAGAGGGTCTTACTGAGCTGGTTAATACAAGCTGCCTATAAACAGCAAACTAAAAGAGCATCATGTAACACACACCCACTGGGGCTTCAGCTGTAAACATTCACTCCTAGACACTGCTGTAGGCTCGGAGCCCCACAGCCTGCATGTCTGTATGCTCCCCTAGAGCAGTGGGGCACTGAAGAAGTGAGCCACACCCCCATCGCACGCCCTGCGAGGGAGACAAGGGAACCTTTCCTGTTTCAGTGTCATTATTTACTATTAGCATTAGGAATAACATAAACTACTTAATTGCCACTTTTTGCAGTTATCAACGCATAGTGTTATTTTTCAAACAATGACAATAGTTTCCTAGTTCATTCACCTAAAAAAAAAAAATCTATGGTAAATAAGATTAGGCCAGGCATGGTGGCTCATGTCTGTAATGCCAGCACTTTGGGAGGTCCAGGTGGGAGGATTAATTGAGGCCAGGAGTTTGAGACAAGCCTGGCCAACACGGTGAAACCCCATCTTTACTGAAAATAAAAAAATTAGGCGTGGTGGTGCATGTTTGTAGTCCTAGCTACTTGGGAGGCTGAGGCAGGAGACTCACCTGAACCAGGGAGGCAGAGGTTGCAGTGCACCACTACCCTCCAGCCTGGGTGACAGCCAGACTCCATATCAAAAAAAAAAAAAAAAAAGATCATGAAACTAGCAATTGCTTTATAAGGTCTTTTTTTCTCTAAATGAATTAATTTAATTAGAAGCACATTCATGTGTTATATGCAATTACTAGAAAATGCAGCCAATAAAAATGTATGCGATTGATATATTCAATAGTATTTTATAGTTACTAAAATCCATCAGTTTTGCTTTTATATATATATAAAAAGGATTATTAGCACACCAATCTTTATTATAATCTCTCAACCATCCACAGAAGATTTAAAGATGTGGTTTTGTTTTCTAGCAGGACAAGAAAATGGCGTTCTTTAATTAAAGGTCTATTTTTCAAATCAAGATGCTTTAGCTCCTGCCTTTGACCATCTCTCTTTTGAAAAGGAAAGGAAGAAGACCCAACTTTGGAGAGTCTTGCCCTTCCTATCAAATTTACACTAACAAAACCACATCCAAATGGAAATAAAACTTTTTCTGAGACACTGGTTTCTTTAGCAAAATTAACACTAACCAGGGTAAAATATCTGCTCCTCATAACCGTAACTAACACACCTCTAAAACATGTTTCATTGCCACCAAACTGAGTTAGAATTGCTTTGATTGCAGAAGAACCTGGAATTTCAATTAACCTTATATGTTTTAAAACTCTCTTTACACTTTTTTCTTCCTTAACCTTTCCATAGTCAATGATGCACAAGGACCCTATTCCTTATACAAAATAAAATATAACTATGCAAGAATCTCATTAAAAACCAATTGGTTGAGCTGTAGATTTGGTTATTATTTAAATTCAATCATAGGCTTCATATTGAGCGAGATGGATACTACATTTCAATAAGAATAACCTAGCACCCTATTACAGGGCCTTGATTTCTTGATGAGTGGCACTACGTGAATTTTGTTAGCTGATTAACAAAAGGCAAAGTCCTCATAGAAGGGAGAAAGGAGAGCAAGAAGGAGACACCCAGATATAATGCAGATTTAAGTACAGCTTGGGCTACATTTGTTTGGAATAAAACCAGTTACTGGGAACTATTGTGGCAAAGCTGTCCCTTGAGATGGTCAGGAAGAAAACAGGTAGACATGTGTATGAAATTACTTAGATATTTTTCAGAGGTAATTAAAAGTAGATGCTTCCTTTGTCTCCTTTTCTTCCTGTGCCATTAATGCACATTTCATATATGCCTGATGCTATGGATTAAACCCCCCAAATGAATCATTATAAGCAGTCCCTAAATTATAAACAGACTTAGAATTCTAAACAATGTATTATTTGGACTTTGTAATGTTTCTTACAGAAACATTAATTTAGGTGGTGCTGAAGTAAGCTAATATGTATGCTATGTATTATACGAAGGAAGTACTGAAAATTTATAACAAATTTTTTAAAATATTCAGTCATAAAACAAGTAGAAAATATACTAAATTCTTAAATACATATAACTGTACAATAACAGTAATTAAATAAAAATACATGAAACAAATTGAATAAATGTTTTATCTGATTTTAATGATTATAGTGGAAGAAAGTAGTATTCATAATAAGTAAAATGAACACTCCATTGACATTATAGAAACAAAAAGCCTGGCATTTAATGGAGTTTAAATGTTCTTTTTTAAAATTTTAACAAATACTTAGAAAATACCCATCACATGGTGAGGTTGGTTCTTTGCTAGGTTTTATGATAATACCAATCCTTAAGGAGCTCACAGTCTTGTTTAATAAGCATTCTTTTTTTTTCCAGAATAATACCAACAAAAATTTATTTTTATAGTTAACTAACAAAATACTATAAAGGTAATTTGTTTGTTCTAAGTCCTTTTGTTCATATATCCATAAAGGAATTAAGCTTACTGTCTTTGTATTTCCACCAATAATTCTCTGAAATGAAATTCTTTTGAAGGCATGCTATTTTACTCCTAGCTTCTATTTTGTAACTTTTTCCAAAATGAACAAACGTTACCTGAATTTGAAATGCACTGATTGGAAATGTGTGGACTGGCATACAGCCATTAACATTCGTTAGCAAAATTAGATGGGAAATTTGATTTGGCTGCATTTCTGAACTTTCTCTTCATACATCTCTGCTGTTTGATTTGACGTAAGGAGTATATGACTTATAATTTAAAAAAAGAAAAAAGCAAGAACAGAATCTATTGAGGCTGGCACCACCAACCTTATGTCTCAGATGTGTTTGGAGCCACCTTACCAAATATTGAATCTGGAGCCCTCCATAGGCGGGTGCCTTGTCACTTATCTTGACAATAGAAGACTTGAAGGGACTTTCAAAATAGTCAACTACCTGGAGTTTGCAACAAAAATTGTGTGAGTTGGCACTTTCCACATGATATATGTAGTCTATGGTTTCTCCTGGGTAAACGTTAGGATAGTGATACTAATAGCTAGTACTTATTGATCTCTCTCTATATGCAGAAACTCTTGTAAGGGCTTTATAAACTCCCTTAATGTTGAGCTTTCATGCATGGCATACAGTCAAAAAAGTTTTGTTTTTTATCTGTCATAATCATTTTCCTATTTCCTGTTGCCCATATGTTGCAGAATTTTTTACATATTATGTTTCAGAATCACTCCAATTTTAAAAAACATTTAGCCATGTACATTTAGGACATCTTTGACTTTTCTTATTTTCGCTTTTTCAAAAAAGGACTGTTCCCACTTTTGTGTCATCATCATATGTATGTTCTTATTAGCACTTAATCCACTACAGAAAATCCTTTTCTGCTTAAAATAGCCAGATCAGTTTCTATTCACCAATCCAAAGTAAAATTTATTTCACTCTTTTTATTCTTTCTCCATCTTAGTTTCTCCATTTTTTTCTCACCTCTCTCACTTTTTCATTGTATTTTCTCTTAGTTTTAGAAAAGTAATGTGGTAAAATGTAGCATGCACAGTTCTTGTAGTCAAATGATAAGTTCAAACCTCAGTTCTTCTCACAAGCTATATGACTCTAGACCAATAACTTAATCTCTCATACATCTGGTTCTTCACCAGGAAAATAACTCCCAAGATTATAATAATGAAATAATATTAGCACCGTAGCATGTTGAAAGATCCTACGACATGAATATGAATGAGATTTTCTATTCCTGAGAAATCAATCTTTAGCCAGGAAGAGTTAGCACTCAGACGCTCCCGACCACTGTAAGCCCACAGCCTCAATGCTGGAGGGTGATTTTGGACTCTGACTCCTCCTTTATTCAAGTTCTAATTCAGGAGAAAGATTTGCAGCATTTACTTGCCTTGGAGCTGCAATATACCCATCTTGGACCTCTTTGTGAGTGACCAGGACCCAGACCTAAGCCAGGGATAGGCAGACAGGTATGTGGAAGGTCTGTACCTAGAGCTTAAGTCCTCTATGTGTAGATCCATCCCCCTGGCTGAGAAAAAGAGATGGGCAAGGCTTAGATATCAAAAAGTGAAAGGAAGCATGAATAAAGAGAGAGAGAAGTAGCCTGGGCAAAATGGTGAAACGCCATCTCTACAAAAAAGATAATAAAAAATAGCTGGGAATAATGGCGCATACCTGTAGTCCCAGCTACTTGGGAGACTGAGGTAGGAGGATCACCTGAGTCCAGGAGGTTGAGGCTATGGTGCACTGTGATAGTGTCACTGCACTCCAGCCCAGGAATAGAGTGAGACCCTATTGAGAGAGAGAAAGAAAGAAAGAGAGAGAGAGAGAGAGAAGTGACTGGCCTTCAGCCTATAGGACAAGGATTTCCCACTTGCACCATTCTCCTAAGAAAATGGTGGATTCTGCCCCTCTAACAGAGAGGAATAATCAAAGACCCACAGCCAGCCAACTCACTTGAAAGTCCAACTGTGTCCAGTCCAAGCAGACACAGTCCTTCCTGTGTATCAGAAGGAAGTTGAATGTAAAATATAGCGGCATAGGTAAGCAAGTAAAAGCAAAAGACTCCTTGACTTTTTTTTTTTTTTTGAGACAAAGTCTCCCTCTGTCGCCCAGGCTGGAGTGCAGTGGGGCAATCTGGGCTCGCTGCAATCTCCACCTCCTGGGTTTAAGCTATTCTCCTGCCTCAGCCTCCTGAGTAGCTGGGATTACAGGCGCCCGCCACTACACCTGGCTAGTTTTTTGTGTTTTCAATAGAGAGGGGATTTCACCATATCGGCCAGGCTGATCTCGAACTCCTGGCCTCAAGTGATCGACCTGTGTCAGTATGGGGATTACATGTGTGAGGCACCACGCCCAGATGACTATTTCTGGAAGGAAAGTCTAGGGTTGCAAATAGAACAAAAGCAACAAAAGCCTTACAAACCAGAGAATCCATAAGCTACAATTAGCTACTTGTAGCAAATCCAGATCCCAGAACCTTGAGTAATCCTCATTTTTTTCACTGAAAAACACTAATCAGAGAATGAGTTCCAAGCACGCTATATGCCAGGGTGATAATGTCTTAGTGAATAAGACAAGGTGTCTATCTTCATGCACTTACATGCTTGTGAGGAAGAGCACCAATAAACAGGTAAAGAAGCAAGTAATATAATTTCATATAAAAACTAAAAATATACAGGGTAAAAAAATAGTCATTAGGTAGGTTCGTTGGGGAAAATATATTTGAAAAGGTAACATTTGAGCAGAGACCTCTTTGTGTGAAAGAATAGCTCATGCAAATATCTGGGGCAAGAATGATCCATGCTTTGGGGTGGAAAGGATCAGAGTGTGCTCAAAACACAGCAAGTAAGCAACTGGGGTGGAGATAGAGAGAGGAAGAGAGTGGTGGAAGGATCCTAGAGTAGCTCTCAATCTTGGTTATACATCAGAAACTTCTGGGAAGCTTTTAAATTCCCTGTGCCGGCTGGGCGCGGTGGCTCACGCCTGTAATCCCAGCACTTTGGGAGGCCGAGGCAGGTGGATCACCTGAGGTCAGGAGTTCGAGACCAGCCTGACCAACATGGAGAAACCCCCGTCTCTACCAAAAATAGAAAAAATTAGCCGGGCGTCATGGTGCATGCCTGTAATCCCACCTACTCGGGAGGCTGAGGCAGGAGAACGGCTTGAACTGGGGAGGCGGAGGTTGCGGTGAGCTGAGATGGTGCCATTGCACTGTAGCCCGGGCAATAAAAGCGAAGCTCCATCTCACACACACATACACACACACACAATTCCCCAGACCCAGCTAAAGTCAGTATTTTTCAAGTCCCCAGGTGATTTCCCATGTGCAGTCAAGACTGAGAATCTAGGCCCTTCTGGGCCAAGTAAGGATTTTCGGCTAGGTGTAACAGGGGGTCACTAGACATTTTTATTTTGTTCTTTCATTTTGTTTTCTGTTTTGTTTTTTTTTTAACAGTGGAATGTCATTATCTAACTTACATTTGCAAAAAATAATTACAGTTCCAGTGGGCATGGAAGACAATAGAAACAAGTCAAAAGTAGAAGCAGGAACACCAACAACAAGCCGCTGTGGCCAATGTGGGTGAGAGATGATGCTGCAGGGACAAGAGGCAGCAGTGGAGGCGGTGGGAAGCAGTTGTGTTTGGAGCGTTTCATCGAGTCAAAAGCACGTGCTGATGAATGGAGACAGATTTGAGAGGAGAAAATCAAGGATGACTTCTAGGTTTTAATTCTGAGCAATCGGATGAAGGTGAGGCCACTTACTGAGTCACGTCGTAGGGTCTTCTAAACTTGGAGCTAGATCAATTTTGAGACAGAAACCAAACAAGAAAACATCGCTGATTCATTATGCCTTGTCAAATGCAATTCCTAAGCATATGTAAACATAATTCACACTGCTTTTCCTTCCTCTGCCTGAAGGTATAAGTCATGAGGCAGAGAAGAGCTGGCATTTCTCTCTCAAAGATCAGGGTGCTGTAAGAAGCTGTGCATGCCTCTTACATTTTTGTAGGAATGAGTTGGAAATTGCTGCAGGTAATGACAGTTTCTGAAATGTTTGGATTAGCTTTTCTGGAGCAGAGAATTTGGGCTGAGACCGTGGGTTTAATGATAAAATTATCATTTTTTCTTTTTTTTGATCTCTGCCTGTGGCATAGTCCTGTTAGACCTTCATGCTTAAATCTTACGAGCTATCACTTCAACTCTGTTTTGCTTTCTTGACAAAACAGAAGCTTTTATTAGGGAGATAGATGAACATATCAAATGAGCAAGGAAACAATTCCTACACAAAGAGGATTTCAGCATATGAAGGGAGTTAATCTCCCTTTAGGCAGATAGGTAGAATCCAAGAAATGGACAAAGGTGCCTTACTTACCTTGCTTAAGAGCAATGAGTTGTAGGTACACACACTACAGAAATGAATGCTTATGTCTACTCGAGAACATATGCAAACATACTAGTAACAGCTAGCCCAAATTGGAAACAATGCAATCAATCAATACCACAATGGATAAACAGGCTGTAGAACAATGTGCTACACAAGAATGAAAAAGAAGGAACTATAGCTACGTGCAGTGATGTATATGAATTTCACAGATGTAGTGTTGAAATAAAGAAGCCACACATAAAAGAATGCAGACTGTATGGTTTCATGTATGTGAAGTTCAAGAGCAGGCAAACTGTTCTGTGGCAATAGAGATAAGAACAGGGCTTATTTTTGGAAGGAGGTAGAAATTAACTAAGGGGAGATGCTGAAAATGTTCTATAACTTGATCTAACTGGTGATTGCATTGGTGAATTTTTACATGTAAAAATTCATCAAGTTATATACTTAATATTTGTACACTCATACATACACACATGTATACTTTTATACTTTCTATAAGAAATATATGTAAGCTATACATACAAATCTAGTATAACTTATATACTTCAATAAAAGTGATTAAATTGAAAATAATCTAAATGGTCCCAGGCTGGCCAACATAGCGAACTCACATCTCTACTAAAAAATACAAAAATTAGCTGGGCATGATGGCACACGCCTATAATCCCAGCAACTTGGGAGGCTGAGGCAAGAGAATCACTTGAATCCAGGAGGCGGAGAAGGCTACAGTGAGCTGAGATTGTGCCACTGCACTCCAGCCTGGGTGACACAGCAAATAGCTGGGATTACAGGTGTGCGCCACAGGGCCCAGCTAATTTTTGTTATTTTCAGTGGAGACGGGGTTTCGGCATGATGGCCAGATTGGTTACAAACCCCTGATCACAGGTGATCCACCTGCCTCGGCCTCCCAAAGTGCTGAGATTACAGATATGAGCCACCGCGCTCGGCCCAAATGATTTATTTTTGACTCATCAGCACTAGCTAATCAGAAAGGATACCCAGACTCTCAGAAGAGACACCAGCTTTTATGACACAACTGTGTGCACTACCCAGACATCTCCTCTGCCTTTTATGAAGATGATAAAAGAATCCACTGAAGAAACTGAAATTCTTGGCAAAACAGAGGATTTTATTAGGAAGATGGACTAACACATCAAATAAGCAAGGAAATAGTTAGATGAAATGAAAACTTTCTACAATATGAAAAACATAGTTCTATACTACAAACAACAAAATTTATATAGTGGGTTCAAACAGATACACCTGAAGACTCCAGGGTTTGTAGTCTTACCCACTCTGCTGTGCTTCCTTTGCACCAGGACATCAGGCATACGTTTTTGAATTTCCTCACTAGTAAGCCTTAGCCTTTGCTTGCACTTGCTCAAATATATATCTTTAAGCACGAGTCTATATCACCTAATTTATATGAAAGGTTTGCTTTTCTCATTCAACTCTGGGTATGACTGCATGGTGCTTCAGCTCTGCAGTTTCTTTTTCTTTTGAGATAGAGTCTCACGCTGTCACCCAGGCTGGAGCGCAGTGGCATGATCACCACTCACTGCAGCCTTGACCTCCCTGGGCTGAAGCCATCCTCCCATCTCAGCCTCCTGAGTAGCTGGGACCACAGGCGCACACCACCATGCCTGGCTAATTTTTATAGTTTTTGTCCAGAAGTGGTTTTGCCACGTTCCCCAGGCTGGTCTCAAACTCACGTGCTGAGACTCAGCCTCATGAAGTTCTGGGACTATTGGTGTAAGCCACTGTGCCCAGCCCCAGCTCTGGATTTTCAACCGAGCCCTGGGTACTGCATTTTTCTGAAAAGTGAGTGGGAAGCTTGGGCCTTTAAAGTCACTCTGACAAGACGATCTCCTACGCCTCCATCACTAGGCAGCCTCAAGTATGCCATGACATTCCCATTAATCACCGTTAAACAGTCTCTTCTACTCTGAGAATAGTGCCTTAGACAGCTACCATTTCATCACTTCCTACCCAAGATTGTATATGTCATACCTACATTCATGAGATGAGTTTTTAAGGTTAACTACTTCCTTCCCAATTCTCCTAAAATTATTACAATTACTTCACGTCAGATAAATGAGAATGTTTATAACCAACAGATAAAAGAGGGTAATTTATATTCAAGTATATAAAATCTAATAAGCCTCTTTGTGAAGAAACGTCTCATATTTAAATAACCTAATGTTGGCTGAGCGCAGTTGCTCCCGCCTGTAATCCCAGCACTTTGGGAGGCCAAGGCAGGCAGATCACTTGAGGTCAGGGGTTCGAGACCAGCCTGGCCAAATGGCAGAACCCTTCTCTAATAAAATACAAAAATTAGCTGGGTGTGGTGGCATGCACCTGTAATCCCAGCTACTCGGGAGGCTGAGGTGGGAGAATCTCTTGGACTTGGGAAGTGGAGTTTGCAGTGAGCCAAGATTGCTTCACTGCAATCCAGCCTGGGTGACAGAGGAAGACTCCATCTCAAAACAAATAAATAAATAAATAAAAATAAAAAATAACCTAATATTTTGGGCTTCATCTTAACCAGATTTTCTTTCATATTATCCTCAGTAGTTATTAACCTTGAAATGTCACCAAACCTGTTGAAAGGGATGAAGAATTTTGGAAGATGGGATGAAATTTAATAGTGACTTAGAATAAATTATTGAAGGAACCAGAACTTTTAAAACTGCTCATTAAGATCAAACGGGTTACATACATAGGAAATATAGCCTGATAGAACATAGATTCAAACACATACCACAAGTTTGCAATGTCATATCTTTGTATTAAAAAAATGATAAAGAAGTGTTCCATTTTGTTCCTCCAGGCCCTATTTTACCAATAATCTAGGTTTCATAACTTGGGGTGGACCGAGAAAATTTGGAACAGCCAGATAATAGCAATATGATGATTAAAGGATTAGTAATACATAGATTTGCACTTGCAAGATTAATTGATGCTTCATAAGACTTACCGTTTTTATAAATGTCAAGTAACTGTTTAGATAATTTAGTTTTTGTTCAAAATGAAATGTTCTTTTGTTCCTCTTCCAAACAACTAGCAATGAGCTGACTGTGCATTTTTTTATGTTAAAATTTAGCTTAAAATCTTTCCTTCAGAGAGGATTATGTCTTCTATTAAATTGTAATTTTGATTATCATAATGTTTTCCCAGCAAGAATATTTGTTTGTTTGTTTTTAACCTAAACTAGATGCTTGACTAGAGGATTCTAACCCACGAATAGGCTAAATCCATGATTATCAAACCCATGTTGGTTAGAATTTAATTAAGTTTATCTGAGATATTATATAAAGATTTGAAAATAAATTGTAAAACACCACCATTCAGCTCCCATAGGATGGTAATAATACTGGATTTTTAAGCTTTTTATTATTATGAATTCATACTAGTTGTACATATTTATGGGGTACATGTGATACTTTGATACAAGCACACAATGTATAACGATCAAATCAGGAAAATTGGAGTATCCATCACGAATCAAGCATTCATCATACTGCTTTTTCTGTAATTCCCCAATGATTAAATAATCACCTTTAGCAGTTATTTGTATCACAGCCCTTATAATCAAGTCATATCAGTTTGAATAGTAGGGGGACAGAGCATCTACCTTGACTGTTGGTTAGGTTCAATAAAATTATAGAGGTGGAAGAAATGTTAGTGATACAGTATTGACCTTAACAGGTACATGAGTTGTGATAACAGTGACCAAGTGATTCTCTATGGCTTTGATTTAGGTCACAGAGTCCTGGAAAGATTTATTTATGTCTAAACTAAACCTACCTGTTGAGCAAAATTCTTCTTGTCCTGTCTTCAGGGTATATATGGATATGGAAACTTTGTCCTTTGCTGTTTGGGATTTTTGAAATGCATTTGATTACAATTTAGGTAACCCTCTTAAAGTCAAAGCTGCTTAAGTTCTCTGTACTCTAATACCCATTTTAGAAGCTAAATTATTCTGTTGCCTTTCACTTCATCATCTTCAAGTTACTTTCCTTAAATTATTTTACTTAAAGAAAAATAATGAGAGGATTACTAATCTAGCATATTTAAAATATCCTCAACATAATCATTTCTTTGGTTGGTTGTTTAAGGAGAAAGAGTGCAGGTGGGTGGTGTGTGGGTACATTCTGAGTCTTAGTTGTTTATGAGACACAATCGGATGTTATTATGTAATATAACATGACCTATTAGTTTGGAAGAAGTATAATTTAAAAGAAAATAATGTGGTTTCTGGAATTAGATATTATGGGTTGGTATGCTAGCTGTACTATTTGGGAGAATTTGGACAAGTTGCTTAACCTTTCTGGGTTTCTTTTCCTCGCCTATAAAGCATGGATAATAATAGTGAGAGGATTAAATAAGTTAACACATGAAATACTCAGGATAGTACTAGGTTCTTGGTAAGTACACAATATGTGGTAGCTGTTCATCGTCATGATGTTATTGTATACATACATGACATATTGACATATTTAGGCTCCTCACATCTCCTAGAGGGAAACCAAAACTCATGGCAGAGTCAGGAAAATGAAAAATAAGCCAAAAACCTCTTTTTTATTGTAGAAGGTCTGACTCTTCAACCTGTCCCTTAATATGAACACTAATTGACTTGGGTACTTTCCACCATTCCCCATTTTTCCCTTACATTTTCCCATACAGGGATTATATTATATATTTATCCTCAAGTATTTTTATTTTTTTCTTTTTTTTTCGAGACGGAGTTTCGCTTTTGTCACCCAGACTGGAGTGCAATGGTGCGATCTCGGCTCATGCAACCTCCGCCTCCTGGGTTCAAGTAATTGTCCTGCCTCAGCCTCCCGAGTAGCTGGGATTACAGGCGTGTGCCACCACGCCTGGCTAATTTTTGTATTTTTAGCAGTGACGGGGTTTCACCATGTTGGCCAGGCTGGACTCGAACTCCTGACCTCAGGTGACCCACCTGCCTTGGCCTCCCAAAGTGCTGGGATTACAGGCGTGAGCCACCGTGCCCGGCCTACCTTCAAGTATTTTTAAAATTCACTAACTCAGGAGATTCTTGCTCACCTCCCATTTTCAAAAGAAAGAGAATTCACATAAAGTGAACAGCCGAAGTCGCTGAAAATTGGTTTTCCTTACACTTTCCCTCCCAGTTACAGCCTTTTTGTTGTAAGGAAGAAGGGGCTATTTGCCATCACTGAAGGGCTTTGGAGCGGCATGGTGAGTTCAGTAAAATTAATTTTTTTTCAGTCAAGTAATGAAACCTCTAACACCAAGTAGCAGCAACTTTCAGTTTAGTTTTTCATTGTCTTCAATTCAATGTACAAAACCTTGTAGTAAAAAAAGCATGAAAAAATTATTTTTTAAGTATTCTAGATGAGAAGAGAAATAGTCTCAAATTTAACAACTGTCAACAGTTAAAATCTAAAAACAGGAGGCATAGTAGGAGTTTAGAACCTTTGTAAATTTAGAATTTTGGTAAACTTGTTTTCTCCTTGTTGTTTCTCACTTTTGACTAATAATTTCCGTGAAATCAAGGCCTGCCTTTCTGTGCTCCACAAAGTTGCTTATATTGCTACTGTTAGCCCCAGTTAGTCCAGGGAATGGAATGTAGAGTACAGGCACCTATAGAATTTAAAGGGGAGATTTCTTTATTTTGTATTCAATGTATTAATAAGATTTTTAAAACATATTTTGGAGAAATTGCTAATTAGTGTATAATCCTGATGCCAATTCTAAAAAACCTTTTTTTTTTTTGTAGAGACAGGGTCTTATTCTGTCACCCGGGCTGGAGTGCTCTGGTATGATCCTAGTTCACTGTAACCTCAAATACCTGGTCTCAAGCAATCCTCCTACCTCAGCCTCCCCAGTAGCTGTCTCTATAAGCATGCACCACCACACCTGGCTAATTTTCTTATTATTTTTGGTAGAGACAGTCTCACTATGTTGCCCAGGCTGGTCTTGAACTCCTAACCTCAAGCAAACATCCCTCCTCGTGCTCCCAAAATGCTGGGATTACAAGCATAAGCCTTACAAGCATAAGCTACCATGACTGGCTTCCAAAAAATATTTGTTTAAATTCTCTTCCCTCCACAAACACACGCAAAAGAAATATAATCTCCCTTCAGTTTTTTTGACAATATACCACTTTCAGTGGTTTATCTTAGACATCTCAAACCTTTAGAAACAAGTCCTGAACTTAAGCGTTCTGCATGTAGAATCAAAAGGAAAATAAACTGCCAAATCTGAAGGTTTGCATTTGAAGTTTGCATTAGTATACTTATCTCTGGATTCCGTTGATTCACATACTCCTCCTACAAGATTTTCCCTAAACACATTTTGAAAAGAAAATGTTGTCTTTACTGAATAATTTCTCTACACACACCCACAATCACTTCTTAGTTTATTTAAATTAGCAATTGTGTCTGCCAGAAGAAAGTTCCATCTAGAGATACAAGGTTGGTTTTCCAATCAGTAGCTGTGGGATAGAATTAAATAAATTAGTCTATGGCCATACCACCCTGAACATGCCTGCTCTCGTCTGAGCTCAGAAGCTAAGCAGGGTCGGGCCTGGTTAGTACTTGGATGGGAGAATTACATAAATTAGTTTTGTTTTTGTTTTCTTCAGACAGAATCTCACTCTGTTACCCAGGCTGGAGTGCAGTGGCATGATCTCAGCTCACTGCAACCTCCGCCTCCTGCGTTCAAGCAATTCTTTCTGCCTCAGCCTCCCAAGCAGCTGGGATTACAGGCCTGTGCCCCACACTTGGCTAGTTTTTTGTATTTTTGTTATAGGCGGGGTTTCACCATGTTGGCCAGGCTGGTCTGTAACTCCTGGCCTCAAGTGATCTGCCCACCTTGGCCTATCAAAGTGCTGGGATTACAGGCCTGAGCCACCACCCCAGCCAGAATTAAGTAAATTAGTTTTAAAGAAAGAAGAAACCATTTTACCTGTATATTGGCTAAATTATTTGATAGCTAACATACATAATATATACCATAACTCTATCTCACTCATTACTTAATATATCCTAGTGTTATTTGCTTTAGATAAAATAATCTATACAGTATTCACTAAAATGTTGCAGTAAGTTACAGTAAAAGTCTACTCCTTTGAAGATGTTTAACAGTAATATAGATTAATTCCATAATTGGGTAGTTATACACAAACATGCCTGAAGACAGTGGAGAAGGCTCACTTTTTCAGGTTTTTTTTCCTTCTTGGACTCCATGATTAGCCACACATACAAAAGGGCAAGGCAGGATTTTAACGTCCTTTCCTTGAAAACATTCGAAATCGAGAAAGAGGTGTGTCTAAGCACAAGAAACGACTGTTGTTAAAACGGTGTTGCTTTCTCATATTTCACATATCTCCAGACATAATGATTCTGGAAATTAGGATAATTACCACTTTGCTCTCCTACTCAGCTTTTATGGATCACCTGATTTTTCTTTTTGTCATCTAGAGAGATGTGTGAACCCAGGTAATTTGACAGCAGATTGTCCCTGAACAGATGTAATTTGAAGAAGACTGAAGAAGCTTCATTCTCTTTAACTATTTGGTTTTATTTCATACAAAGAAAATGAAACGACGGAACAGTTTTTCATTTGGTTTTATTCTGGCAAATGCTATAATTGAAAGTGTAAAACCAATCAATGACACCACCTCTGGTTAAAATTTATTTCTGAGAATTATCCCGAAGGAGTGATTTCTGAGGAATAATATGCAGCCTTCAATTTACTTTATCACAGCTGGATATGAAGTTAAATCCCCAGCTGGAATTTAACCACCTAGAACCAGGCACCAGATGGCTTATCTGCACCTCAACCTGACAGCTGTGTCCTGATATGCACAGCTGGTCTTCACATTTGAATGACAATATTTAAATGATAACATTATGTAATGTAGAAAAATGTGTTTGGGTAGCACGGGTCTTGAAAACTAGATTGCACAGTTGCTCTTAATAGTAAACGCACAGCCTCCACGGCTAATTCACATTCCTTCTATTTGCGTTCATGGGTCTTGGCTGGAGATAAGGGTTTACTGCCACATGGCAACATTCCAGGGCCATTCATACTATACTGCTGTCTATCCATAACGACTCTCCTGGGTACTCACCATGTTAGATTTTCCTTCACATTAAAATAAGCGCAACAGAGTTTCCACTGTGAAGCGGGAGACTTTTAAAATTTTGCAATAATTAATAGCGCATTCTGCTATGGTGGAGGAATTAAAAAGTACGTGACTGGAAGGCAGCTGCTGTGGAGATTCTTCAACATTGTTGGAATATTATTATATCTTAGTTGAACCACAAATATCACCAGGTCAACAAACAGAACAAAATTAATACCAGAATTCAGCACTTTAAATTAAACACTCCGTGAAGGGCAATTCTCAAGGAAATATATTTGAATACATTTCAGATACCAGTGAAAAATCTGACATGTTTCAAATGTGAGATGGATGAATGAATGTGAAAGGGTTCCAGAAAATATAAAGTGGCAAGTTTTCTATTTTCACAATTTGACAGAGATTCCCTATGCTGCTGCTCAAACTCTGATGCATGTATGCACCACCCCAGTGACAAAAAGAAAACTTATCCTTAATGTATCTCCAAAGTAGTCATGGTGAGAAGAAAGAAACATTGTATTTGTAGTAAGGAGCTGTAGATATAGTATCTCACTGCTACTTTTAGTTTCTATAGGTTTGGTCCTGTCATTTAACTTCTATAAACCTCAATGCCTTCACCAGAAAAATGGGAGCTATAGATGATAACACACATGTGACTCTGTTTTGCAAACTGCTATGAAACAGAAGAAAGTGGTGTGACTCTCTTACTGCTTCTTGGTTCTCTAGGGGACTCAGTAAAGAGTAATTCTCTTCCCCACCAGGGTTCTCAGTAAACTGAAATATAAAATTAAGGAGTGGCACAGAGAGGACTGAAGACCACTTTCATAGTTAATAAAGGCTAAGTCAGAGGCCATCCCTTGCTTCGAGAGTCAAATGGACTTCCTAGCATTCAACCCCAGATTTACGCAGCAAGGCAAGACAAAGCAGAGGCAAAGAACACAGTCCCTGTAAGCAGCTCCGGATCAACAGGAACAAGGTCAAAGATGAGGCTGGCATGCCCGGTTTTGTCTTTCAAAATTTATCAATCAAAGAAGCCACTCAAAGCAAAGGAATAGAAAGACAGTGGTTCACTGAATACCCTCGACATGAAAGGAAATATAAGGAGTGTCTTCCTCTAACATTCCTCAGCTTTTCTTCTTATTCCAGATGACTTAAACATTAACGCTTGGTCAGTCAGGGATATGGCTCTCCTCTTTGGAGGAAGATATCATAATCAAGCAGGAGAGTCCTACTCCTACTTTCATGAAGCTACTCTCTCAATACCAGCAATCACTTCTGTGAGTATTTTCCTGAGTCCACTGTGAACAATATAGATTTCAGTCTCATAAGGCTCAGAAAGCTGCTAGAGTACTACATTCATTAAATCAACTCCAAGGTCACTCTGTACCCAAGGCCGAAAATGTATTCCTCATCCTAAACTATGTCCAGTCACATTGTTCAACATAACTAGGTAAAGTTCGGTGCTTCACTTACTCTACTCTACACCACATATCCAAGCCATCACCAAGCCCTGTAGGTTCTTCCTTCAAAACCACTTCTTGGCCAGGCGGTGGCTCACGCCTGTAATCCCAGCATTCTGGGAGGCCAGGGCGGGCGGATCACCTGTGGTCAGGAGTTCCAGTCCAGCCTGGCCAACATGGCGAAACCCTGTCTCTACTAAAACTATAAAAATTAGTCAGGCATGGTGGTGGGCGCCTGTAATCCCAGCTACTCAGTAGGCTGAGGCAGAAGAATCGCATGAACCAGGGAGGCAGAGGTTGCAGTGAGCCGAGATCGTGCCACTGTACTCCAGCCTGGGCTATAAGAGCAAAACTTCATCTCAAACAAAAACAACGACAACAAAAATAAAAAAACAACAAAACAAAAAAAATCCACTTCTCATCACCTCACCATGAGCATCGCACCTCAGCAATTCCATTATGCTGCTTCAATTTCCTCCATGAGTTCTAAACTCTTACTATGCATTTGTTTAGTAGCTTAGGTAAGTTCCATCAGAGTAGGAATTTTGTCTGTTTTATTCACTACTATATCCACAACACCTAAAAACATGCCTGATACATGGTAGGCAACCAATAAATACTTGTGAAAAGAAAAGGGAAAGGAGAGGAGAGCAGAGGAAGGGAGGGGAGGGGAGAGCAGGGGAGGGGAGGGGAGAGCAGGGGAGGGGAGGGGAGGGGAGAGTAGGGAAGGGGAGAGGAAAAAGTAAAAGAGAAGGGAGGAAGGAAGAGGCAGGGAGGGAAAAAGAAGTAAGGAAAAAAGGAAGGCAAATGAAAAGCAACAATTGTTAGGGTTTCTAAGGCTAAGTCACCCTTATATTGCAAGACACCCTCTTCAATTTGTGGTTGAACCTACCTTTGAAGCCTAGAATACAATGTTAGTGGTATATGAAAAGGGCTGTTATCATTTATTACAAACTCCTTATTTTCCAACTCCAGCCTGCACTTTGTCATTATCAGCAATACCAATAGATTTCCCATCAACCAACTAGACTCCCTCTACAGTAAGGGATAACCCTCACTTTTAGTGTTATAACTTAGGTGTTTTAAAATGATACTGAAGAAAGGCAAAAGACTGTGATTAACTAGGATTCAGCAATGTTAGGCTACTTGATTCAAATGGACCCCCATTCATGTTTCACAATCTTTTTTGTTCAGTTATTGCCCATCTTCATAAGACTTTCCATAATAAATCTTTTAAAATGCTTCACCAATTTCTAGTCACCAATTCGATTTCAAATCTGTTGTAATCTTGGCAGGTGATTTTTACTACTCTTAGAGAAGATCAAGATTAGCAGGCATTAATCCCCCATGTTCCTTTAATCTCTTATTCTGAAAAATAACCATCTTTTTCTCCCAGATGGAGAACTGTCATTTTCCTTTCTATCTCTCCTTGAGCACCACAGTCATAATTCTGATGTTGAATGAGGCTTCTTTGGTCCTTGAGATCTAAATAAGATAGGTTTAGACTCTGAATTTATTCTCTTCTGAAGTCCAAAGTCCTTTAAAACGTTTCTAGACATTTACATAGGTCTTAAATTTTCAAGCTCACCTAAGTATCTGAGCTTCTGTTTCTGCATGTGCTATTCCCATTATATACCATGTGGGGTTTGGGGGCTTTTTTGTTTGTTTTTTGAAACATAGTCTCGTTCTATTGCCTACACTGGAGTGCAGTGGCCTGATCTGAGCTCACGGCAACCTCTGACACATGGCAGCCAATAAATACTTTTGAAAAGAAAAGGGAGAGGAGAGGAGAGGAAAGGAGAGGCGGGGAGAGGAGGGGTGGGGAGGGGAGAGGCTGAAGCAATTCTCCTGCTTCAGCCTCCTGAGTAGCTGTGATTACTGGCATGCACCACCATACCCAGCTAATTTTTTGTATTTTTAGAAGACACGGGTTTCGCCATGTTGGCCATGCTGGTCTCGAACTCCTGGCCTCAAGTGATCTGCCTGGTCTGGCCTCACAAAGTGCTGGGATTACAGGCGTGAGCCACTGCTCCCGGCCCCACTGTATACTATGTTGATCCGGAAGCGAAATCCAGATCCTTCAAAATTTTTTGAAAAAAAGAAAGCAATATTGTTGAGTACTGGAGACTTCATTGAAAAGGCCAGGTGGCATCGTTCTGATGATGAGAATAAAGCAGTATTCTACTGGGAGTGTCTGAGAAGGCTTTTGCTTTCTGGATGAAAAGGGAAAGATGTGGCTGATACCAGGTCCTTGTCCTTTTCCCCAGCTTGAATGTGGATGTATGTCTGGAGCAACAGTAGCTGTCTTGTGAAAACAAAGCAGCAAGTAAGTTCTCACAGTTTAGAGCTACTGAACCAATGCCAGCAACTTTCTTATTAGGTGCAAAAAAGTAAAGCCTTGTCGCTTTAAATCACCATTAAGTTTTCTGTTATTTGCAACCGAAAGCACTTAAAGCTAATACAAAATTGCAGAGTTACCATGATCATAACTCTAAACCTATGAAATTCAAGGGGTTTAATGATTTATGAGTTGGGTGCGGTGGTACATACCTGTTAGTCGCAGCTGAGGCAGGAGGATCGCTTGAGTCCAGGAGTTCCAGGCTGCAGTGAGCTATCATTGTACCTTTGAATAGCCACTGCACCCAGCCTGGGAAACACAGCGAGACCTGGCATTAAAAAAAAACATTTTTAAGCTGTGCCTTTATTCTAAGGGCCATCCAGTAATAAGGGAACCTAAACTACTGAGTGTCCTCAGAGCTCTGGGTGCAATTAAAAGTTAGTGGTTTCACAGCTACCCAATTCTGTGGTTAGTAGAAAATTATAAAGATGATAGGAGGATCAAAAAGCCTCTTCCACAGAAGCTACATTAGCTGGGTGTGGTGGCCCATGCCTGGGATTCCAGCTGCTCAGGAGGGTGAGGTGGAAGGGTTGCTTGAACCCAAGAGGCAGAGGATGCACTGCCAATCCTCTCAATCTTGAGCCAAGATTGGACCACTGCATTCCAGCCTGGGCAACAGAGCAAGACACTGTCTCAAGCCCCTCTGATATGAGGGGCTTCCTCATATCAGAGTTCTTATGATACCATTCTCTCAAACCACCTGACTCCCTGAATTTGTCCTGAATTTGGAGAACTGCTTAATCTCTAAATCTGCCCTCTTGAGAAACCTTAGTGTTAGTAACAGACAGCGCTAACTCTGCTTTGTCAGAGTCCTGAATTCCTAATACTGACCTTCACTCATGATCTAGCGTGATGCTATTTTAATTGCTACTGACTATCATATAAACTCAACATAGTATCTGACAGATTAATTCTGAAAAAATTCTTCGTATACAAAGCCAAAAATTTTTACAGCAACAGAAATCAATGGTTAAGTAATTTCTGTGCATCATAAATAGATTTTATACATCCTTTAAAATTACATTGTATCTGCACATGGAATTTTTTTTCAGAGACAAGGTCTCACTGTGTTGCCCCAGGCTGGAGGGCCGTGGTGCAAACAGCTCATTCTAGTTTTGAAACACTGAGCTTGAGCAATCCTCCTGCCTCAGCCTTCCATTTAATAGCTGGGACTACAGGCAGCAGTTGCCACCACAAAGTTAACTTAAAAAAATTTTTTTTTAGAAACAGAGTCTAGCTGCATTGCTCAGGCTGGTCTCTAACTCCTGGCCTCAAGCAATCCTCATGCCTCAGCCTTCCCAGTAACTAGGATTACAGACATGCACCACCACACCCAGGTGCACATGGATGTTTACAGCAGCTTTATTCATAATTCCCAAAACTTGGAAGCAGCCAAGATGTCCTTCAGTAGGAGAATGAATAAACTGTGATACATCCAGACAATGGAATATTATTCAGCGCTTAAATAAAATGAGCTATCAAGCCATGAAAAGACATGGAGGAACCTTAAATGCGTATTACAAAGTGAAAGAAGCCAATCTAAAAAAGTCTCCATACTGCACAATTCCAACTAAATGACCTTCCAGAAAAGGCAAAAACCATGGAGACAGTAAAAAGGTCAGTTGGTTGCCATGAGTTAGAGGGGAGGGAGGGATGAATAGATGGAGTAGAGGATTCTTGCAATACTCTAATGGAATATATGCCAGTATACATTTGTCAAACCCACAGAATGTATAATACCAAGTGTGAACCTTAATATGAATTATGGATGTGGAATGATAATGATGTGTACAATTTGTTCATCAACTGTAACAAATGTGCCATGAGGTCACGAGATCAAGACCACCGCTAACGCAGTGAAACCCTGTCTCTACTAAAAATACAAAAAATTAGCTGGGCCTGGTGGTGGGTGCCTGTAGTCCCAGCTACTCGGGCGGCTGAGGCAGGAGGATGGCGTGAACCCAGGAGGCGGAGCTTGCAGTGAGCCGAGATGGCGCCACTGCACTCCAGCCTGGGCAACACAGCAAGATTCCGTCTCAAAAAAAAAAAAATATGAACTATGGATGTGGAATGATAATGATGTGTAGAATTTGTTCATCAAGTGTAACAAATGTGCCACTCTGGTGGGAAGGCTATCATGTGTGGGGGCAGGGGTATATTTTGTACTTTCTGCTCAATTTTGCTGTGAACCAAAAATTGTTCTTAAGAAATAAAGTCTTCAACTTAAATGTAAGACCTGAAACTATAAAAATTCTAGAATAAAATCATAAAATCTAGGAAAAACTCTTTTGGACATTGGTCTAGGCAAAGAACTTATCACTAGGTCCTCAAAAGGAAATGTGACAAAACCAAAAATAGACTAATGGGACTTCATTAAACCTAAAGGCTTCTGCACAGCAAAAGAAGTAATCAACAGAGTAAACACACAACCTTCAGAATGGGAGAAAATATTTGGAAACAATGCATCTGGCAAAGGACTAATATCCAGAATTTAGGAAGAAATCAAACAATACAATGACAAAAACAACAAATAACCCCATTAAAGAGTAGGCAAAGACATGAACACATATTTTTCAAAAGAAGACATACAAGTGGCAAACAACCATATGAAAAAAATGTTCAGCATCAGTAATCATCAGAAAAATGCAATTTAAAACCACAATGAGATACCATCTCATACCAGTCAGAATGGCTATTACTAAAAAAGCAAGAAACAGCAGATGTTGGCAAGGATGTGTAGAAAAAGAAACACTTATACACAGTTGGTGGGAATGTAAATTAGTATAATCTCTATGGAAAACAGCATGGAGATTTCTCAAAGAACTAAAAATAGATCTACCCTTCGATCCAGCAATCCCACTACTGGGTATCTAACCAAAGGGAAAGAAAGCATTTTATCAAAAAGACACCTGCACTCAAATGTTTATCACAACACTATTCACAATAGCAAAGTCATGGAATCAACCTAAATGTCCATCAGCAAACAACTGGATTAAAAATGTGATATATGTATATATACACACACACACCATGGAATACTACTCATCCATAAAAATGAATGAAATCATGTCGTTTGCAGCAATGTTAATGGAACCGAAGGCCATTATCCTTAGTGAAATAACTCAGAAACAGAAAGTAAAAAACTGGATGTTTTCATTCGTAAGTGGGAGCTAAACAATGAGTACACACAGACATTTAGAGTGGAATAACAGAAGACTCCAAAAGGTAGGAGGGAAGGAGGGGGTGAGGAATGAAATACTACCTTTTGGGTGCAATGTATCCTGTTTGGGTGATGGGTACACTAAAAGCCCAGACGTCACCGTTACTCAATATATACATATAACACAACTACACTTATACCCCGTATCTATAAAAATAAAAAATTAAATAAAATTTTTTTAAATCTTCAGAGAACATGTTATAGAGGTCCTTAGCGGTTTTCTGGGGTACTGACAATATTCTGTTTGTTTATATAAGTGGTGATTACATAGCTGTTCATTTTCTACAAAATTATTTAATCTATTTATTTACATTTTATGTCCTTTACTGTATTTACATTGCACAATGAAGGTTTTTAAAAAGCATAAATTTTAATGATATGCAGAGGTCAAAGAGATATTAAATAAAAAAGCAGGTTCTACAACAGTGTGTATAATACCAAGATTTTTCACCAAACAGATACATATCAAAATGTTAAGAGGCTGGTGATTTTCAACAAGAGCTAGAGTATTTCAGAGATATTTGAAGGACACAAAAGTGTTTCTAAAAAATGAAAAAAATAAGCTATGTTATGTGAAAATCTTTCCTTTCATATTTTTATATGAATGATTGAGAATTAACAGACTATTTGTGTAGCTACACACAGGATACATGTGTTCATTATTTGGATAGTTTTCTAATACTCATTGTCATGATCGACAAGTAGATATCATTTTAAATGCATAATGTACTTCCTGTAAGTCACTGTTAGTTTAGAAGTTTGCTTTTATTGTTGAATTTCTTTATTGAAATCATCTGTCACACTACCTTAACAATGTCAAAGTCATTTTTTAAGTGGTAGGAAGACATCCTGACATCTACTCTGTTGCCCTAAGGCTTTACTATTGTAATGGATCACATTTATGATGACATCATAATGTTATAAACAACTGTCACAAAAAGCAAGATCCACCATGTTTAATAGTCTACTATGTCCTTGTTATGAAAACTATATCACAGCAGTGGCCCAGTATTACAATTACACATTGAAAATATGTTGTACATAATTTATTTTGATAAGAAATAACTTAATAGGCCCACATTCTACTGCACAATCTTGGTCTTTATAAGTCACTAAGATGACTTTTAAAGGTTAAAAAGTCAAAAAAGTTTGTGATTAGAATCTGCTATTGATTTGACAAATGGTTTTGGGGGCATGACCCAGAAAAATTATTTCAGAAGAGAAGAATGCTCTCTTTTCTCATTTAGAGAATAAGAGGATGACACTTATTTCTGTATAATGACTCTAATTACATCCAGAATGTACAATCAGGTAGTAACATCAAATGTTCCCAGATTAATGTAGACATTGATTTAAATTAGAAACACAGTACCACAATGCTCTAACATCAGCAAAAATCATTACTTACAGTTTATGAAACTGACAGGAGCAAATGCCAATCAAGTAAATAGCCTATATTTAGATAACCTAGGTAATAGTTCAGTGGGGAGTTTTGAAAAAGAAATTATCATTTCAATGCCAAGTCAGGCTTACAGCTTTGAACAAGTAGCAAAACATGGACATGTTTCTCAAATGGATTTCACAGCATCAGTGCAAAAGCCGGAGGGGATGGCTTAGTTTTTTAAGCCTCAGAATTGAAATACCTAGACTCCCTGCAACTACAGCATTAAATCCTCTGTGGAACCACAGCTTCAAATGCTATCAGGAGGGACTCAACTCTTCATCCTTCTGAGACTGATAAATTGAAAGCCATGAAGTTTAGAGGAAATAAGAGAGCCTGCAGCGGTCTGAAACTCCTCCACCCACCTCCAACACACACACATACACAAACACAAACACACAAAGGCTCTATTTGCAACATCACTTAAGATTCCATTTGAGGCTTTCCCCTTGTTAAGACTTAAGGGTGTTGTTTTTAAGACATCCAGAAATCTCACAGTCCTGCCATGCACCATCTTTATAAGCATTCAAACCAAATTTCAGGCAGCTCCAAGTAAACTAAAAACATTATTTTTAATTCTCATTTAATATATTCAAGGAAATTCTAAGTGATTACTTTCAAATGCATTATAGGTATTGGGCCAACTCTTTATTCTTCCTGTGGAAATTTCTGTGTCTCAAATTGATCAAATTGATTTCTTTTTACTGCCTTGTATGTTTCTGGACTGCCTCCTTGACATCAATTATAGGTACTTGGGAATGGCAAATTAGAATAAGAGAATTTTATTTAATTTGCCTGGTATTACACCATTCTCCCACATCTCCTACCTCATTCACAAAGCTTTGTAAAATAAGAAAGAATACTATTATTATCTCCATTTTATAGATGAGAAAAGCATGGCTTAGGAAGCTTACATGAGTTAACCACAGCTGATACACAGTCACCTTTTTTTAATTTTTTTTTTAATAGAGACAGGAATCTCGCTATGTTGCCCAGGCTGGTCTCAAACTCTTGGGCTCAAGCCATCCACCCACCTCAGCCTCCCAAAGTGCCAGGATTATGGACATGAGCCACTAGGCCTGGCCACACCCTAAGTTTTAAAATCTAAGTCTGGAAAATCCTCCTGAAGTATTGCTAGTTATAAGTAAGCTCTACTTAGGAACAGAAACATTTTGCCAAACAAAATTGTGTAATGCATTCTAAATTTAAATAAAAATACTTTTACAAATAGTTCCTTTGATTTATCAGTAACACTAAATATCTCTGCCCTGTGTATAATGATTTAAAAGAATGAAAAATTGGAGAGGATGCTGGAAAAACTGAGGATCATTTATTTTACGGTCTACTACTGAAACAGGAAAAGTTCCCTTGTCGCCCTTGCAGGGCGTGTGATGGGGGTGTGGCTCGCTTCTTCAGTGTCCTGCTGCTCAAACCTCTATAGGGGCATACAGACGGGCAGATTGTGAGGCTCTGACCCCACAGCAGTGTCTAGGTGTGAATGTTTACAGCTGAAGCCCCAGTGGGCATGTGTTACAGGGTGCTCTTTTAGTTTAACCGTCTGTAGGCGGCTTGTGTTAGCTCAATTAGACCCCTGCCTTATCGCAAAGACAGAGGGCTTTCTGTATCCCGGGTTCTTACCTTGGTGTACGGGAAGAATTGGATCACACGTGGGCTTGAAGAATGAGTGGAAAGTTTTATTGAGTGGAAGTAGCTCTCGGCAGACGGGGGAACCAGAAGGGAGACGGTTTTCTCCTGGAGTCAGGTATGGCGGCCTGACTCTTCTCTGACCTCCCGCGACAAACTCTGCATTCTTCCGCTGGTCAATGGCCTGCCAGCATGCCGGTGTGCTCCTATGCTGGTGCGTTCCTTTCGACATCCAGCAGCCCCTGTATTCTCTGCCTATATGCTCCTCTCAATGTCCAGCTGCTTGTGCGTCTGCCTGCCAGGGTCTCGGGGGTTTTTAAAGGCACAGGATGAGGGCATGGCAGGCCAGGGTGGTCTTGGGAAATGCAACATCCGGGCAGGAAAACAAAAATGCCTGTCTTCACCTAGGTAGGCCCAGGCCCAGGGATGAAGCCCTAGCTGGGGACCACGCCCTCCTCTACCCAGCACTTCCCGCCCCCCTTCCTTATCATTTAAAGGGACCACGCCCTTCCCTTCCCAGCATTCCCTTCCCAGCACTTTCCTGCGGCATCACTACCTGTTAACAGGTGTTCCTTTTCGTTTAGATTTACCTCAAAACAACGGCGAAGGATCTAATTATATTTAGGCCCAAAAGAGCACCTAAGTGAGAGTAACAGAAGGTTACTTCTAGAACTAAAATGAAAATTATTCTTCAAGTGTTAGTCAAAGGAAAACTACTCCAGAAGGAACCAAATATCCAGACGAATTTAACTTAAGAAACAGCTACAATTTAGGCAAACTGGACAGTGGATCCAGTAGGTATTTTAGTAGCCACTAAGAAGACACTGAATCGGGTAGATTCTATAGGGATTGCATATTAGTTATTTAAATACAAATATCCGGCTGGGCACGGTGGCTCACACCTGTAATCCCAGCATTTTGGGAGGTCGGGGGGGTGGGGGCGGTGGGTGGATCACCTGTGTCAGGAGTTCAAGACCAACCTGGCCAAAATGGCAAAACCTGTCTCTACTTAAAATACAAAAATTAGCCGGGCATGGTAGTAGGCAGTAGCAATCCCAGCTACTCAGGAGGCTGGGGCAAGAGAATCGCTTGAATGCAGGAGGTGGAGGTTGCAGTGAGCTGAGATTACACCAGTGAACTCCAGCCTGGGCGATAGAGCAAGACTCCATCTCAAAAAATAAATACATACATACATACATACATACAAATATCCATGGAAAAGTTGATATATTGAGACCTTCTATCAGCCATTCCCACTATAGTGTAATTTAGCTGTTTCTCTGACAGGAATTTTTATTTAAGAAGAAAGAATTTGGAGAAATAGACATAGTAGGAGGTAACAGATCAGGCTCTTTCCACCAGAAGAAACACAAATACCTTAAAAAACAGGAAGAGGCTAGAGAGATCAGTGGGGTACTAAGACCAATTTTCCATGTATTGTATTTTACAATTTTTGCTAAAGGCATGTCCTAATTCCTTAAGGCTGCATAAAAATACTCAGCCCAGGAGCTAAGGAAAATTTACTCAGAGGACAATGTATGTTTTTCTGGCTTTCTTACCCTGTTTCACCCAAGTTTCCAGTTTCACCTGCCATTGGGTTATGATTACTCCAGCACAGATGACTTGTTCCTCTTCCAAACCCCATGAAAGGAACTTAGAAAATTTGTCTTTATTATATCTTTTAATTAACACTTCCCCAACGGGATAATGATACTTCTGGGCTATCTTATGTTCTTTAAATTATGTATTTAATTTCCTAGCAATCAATAAGAGCCTTGAAGGTTTTGTAAGTCTCACAACTCCTACCTAGTTTATATTTTTACATTTATTTATTTATTTATTTTTGAGACAGAATCTCACTCTGTTGTCCAGGCTGGAGTGAAGTGGTGCGATCTCGGCTCACCACAATCTCCACCTCCCGGCTTCAAGCAATTCTGCCTCAGCCTCCCAAGTAGTTGGGACTACAGGCATGCACCACCACGCCCGGCTAATTTTTGTATTTTTAGTAGAGACGGGTTTCACTATGTTGGCCAGGCTGGTCTCGAACTCCTGACCTCGTGATCCACCCACCTCAGCATCCCAAAGTGTTGGGATTACAGGCGTGAGCCATCGTGCCCAGCCTAGTTCATATTTTTAAAGTTTGTATAGATTTATAGATGCTTTTAAAAATTATGTGATTATGTGTCTTGCCTTGGCAACCTGGGCAGGCATTCCAGACACCCAAAGGGATTATTAGTTCATGTTCGCACGTCTGCCCAGCAACAAAACTGAGCAGCCTCCACCAAGCACGTAAAATCCCCATTCCTCCTCTTATTCATTTATTTAGCACTTAATAGTGCCAGGCAGGAAGGTAAAAATACATTTAAAAAGGAATGGAGGTAGCCGTCTTGCCCTGGAGGTGCAGGAAGCTGCACTTCAGTGTGCTAGGTAGAGGGTACATAGGCCGTTTCTGTTTTTCTTCCAGCTCAGGGATTTATAATGAGAGGAAGTGCTACAAAAAGCTGTGGTGCGAAAATGACGGACGCTATGAATGGAAAAAAAATCTAAAATCAATCCGGTCCTAAGCAAACACGCTTCACCTACACTCATAACTATTGCAGACCTCCGAGGCCTGGGATCCCCAAGAATATACTGAGTTTGACAAACTTTTCAACTTCAACTTTAAATTAAAAAGACAGTAAAAGAACCAAATCCATAGTACACAGCAATCGGCTAAAGTTCCTGGGGCCCTGCAACCCAGAGTTGAATAATTTTGTATTAAATTCCCAATATCAAGCTAAATCTATTTTAACCACAGGAAAAGCAGCAACTTGTCTGGCTATTTTAAAAATCTGAACAGCACTTAGGAAGAAGCACCTTAGCGCAGGGAACAGCTCAGTGCCCCGTGACACAACTCTCCCGCGGGCCCAGGGACGCCTCGTCTCGCGAGAGTTGAGGGACGCCTGAGCGAACCCCCGAGAGAGCGGGCGTGGGCGCCAGGCGGGCGGGGCACTGGGGATTAATTGTTCGGCGATCGCTGGCTGCCGGGACTTTTCTCGCGCTGGTCTCTTCGGTGGTCAGGGATGGCGCGGAAGTCGAACTTGCCTGTGCTTCTCGTGCCGTTTCTGCTCTGCCAGGCCCTAGTGCGCTGCTCCAGCCCTCTGCCCCTGGTCGTCAACACTTGGCCCTTTAAGAATGCAACCGAAGCAGGTGCGGGTTGGCGGCCTGGGCGGGCGGCTGCGCCGCGAGAGCTTGCGGGTGGGGATGACTAGCCCGCCCCGCTGCAGTCACCCGGCAGGGCGGACGGAAGAGCGCCGGGCTGGGCCGGGCCTCGCGGTCCCGCCCTCTAGGTCTTCCCGAGTCTCCAGCGCCGCTCAGTCTCTTGCAAGTGGCCTTTACTGCATCCTCCCCACCTACCGCTGTTGCATTTTAGGTCCTCCCTTCATGCAGCCCCCAGCGCAATGTATTTTCCACCCTGCTGCTGACCATAGTTATGGCCTTTGTGCTTTAATCAAGTAGCAGCTACGCTTTTCTGCCTGACAGTCTTTTCACGGGCTGTGTACGTCTCCACCTCTCGTTTCTAATCCTTCACTTCTTTGCAATTTTGTAGACGACTAATAGTGTCCCAGCCATAGCCTACTCTTTTCCCATTTACTTTTTTTGCCACGTGTTGTCATACTTTACCTGCCACTTAGAATTCAAGGTTCCAACCTTTGCTGTACATTCACACTATCTGGGGAGCTTCTCAAAAATCATCCTGCCGGGGCCCACCTCCTGTGACTGTGATCTAACTGCTGGAATCAGGGCCACTGTTTTTCTTTAAAAAGCTCCCTAGGTGATTTCGATTTGCAGACAGGGTTGAGAACCACTAAGCTAAGGTATCACCTCTTCCAGGAAGCGTTCCCTGACTTAACTGCCCTCGTGTCCAGAATGAGTTAGGTTCCTGCCTTCTACACCTTGTTAATAGCCTTTACGTACCATTATCTTGGCATTTTCGCATTGTACTATGCTTGTTTCTTTCATTTGCTTAATGACCAGAAGAGTCATTTTCAGACCCCTCCTCCTCCATCTGAGGTTGCTAACGTATTAACTTTCTAGGGCAGAATTGGCTCCAGAATTTGGTGGCAGTGCATACGATTCAGAGAAAATGAAGAAGCAGGCTGTGAGAAAGATATTCCCAGCCATAATGAGACGAAAAGAAATTGCATCAGCCTGGGCGGGGGACAGTTCTGTGTTTAAGTTGCCTGTATTGAAAGAGGGAACTTGCGTAAATACACTTTCAAGCCTGTAGGTGCTGTAGTGTTTACCAACCAGAGCACCCACTCTTCAAGGAATTCTGTTGTTACCAGAAAAGAAATTGTCCATCAAAGACCCTTCCCCCCACACCCCCAAATGTATGGGATCCTGGCTCTGCTACTTACCAGCTGTGTGACCTTAAACTAACTGCCTGACCTGTGGCTCTGTTTACTTTTCTTTAAAATGAGGGTCGTGATTGTACAGTACCTACCACAGAAGCTGTTATGAAGACTCAATGAACTAATCCATATGAAGTCCACGTTGTAATTGTTTGCTGTTCAGTATTATTAAGACTTCCTGGGATAGGTGTTACCTCAATACACATATCAATTATGCATATTTTAATCTAATGATGCAGAAGAAATGTGTGAAGAAGGCTGCGGTTTAGTGGATTTTTTATTTAACTGCCTTTTAGTGGTTTCGATTGTACCTTTTAAAATAAAGGAGGGGATACTGATTTCGTTTCTCGCACACAGAAGAGATAGATATTAGTAAGTGAAAAAAAAAAAAACCTTCAGCTTGCACCAATAGCCAGTTTTTTGAGTTCTTCTGATAACTAGTTAAATAATTTTGACTCTTCACTGACTCCTTTGTAACACTTGATAAACTAATGTGTTAAAAAATCAGCTTAACTCAGTAAATGTGAAAAAGTTGTTAAATTGGAGTTGGTTTGTTGCATTTGGCATTGAAAAAAAAATATATATATAAACAAGCATTATTGGGATTTGATTAACAGCGTGGAGGGCATTAGCATCTGGAGGCTCTGCCCTGGATGCAGTGGAGAGCGGCTGTGCCATGTGTGAGAGAGAGCAGTGTGACGGCTCTGTAGGCTTTGGAGGAAGTCCTGATGAACTTGGAGAAACCACACTAGATGCCATGATCATGGATGGGTAAGAACACCGTTCAGGTCCTATTTATTATGTTGAGTTACATTTAGAGTTGTGGTCTTCTGAGAGCAAGATGAAAGAATGCATGAGTTTTGACACAGATCAAAACCCCTAGCTTATTATACTTGACCTTTCTAAACACAGTTTCCCTCTCAACTGAAAAAAAAAAATCAGAGTAATAGAAATATCACATGGAGAGATAGGTAGTCCCTTAGAACTGGGAGAATGCCAAGCTAAAAAACTATGTCTCTGACCTTATAAACAATCATTTATCTGCTGTCCACAAATGCTGTGGTTTGCCTGACCTGAAGCCTTCAGGCCCCTTTCAAAAGCCATATTTAAAATTAGCTTGGAGAAACTGAGAATTTTAGTGCTGTTGTGGTACATGGCAAGTTGATTTTCTATTTTTTTTCCTTAATTTTGTCTGATTGTGGGAATCTATATGAACTTCGTGGATGTGCTGTCACTTCTGTGTTAAGATGGTGGAGTTTAACCGCAAAACACTATTGATTGGAGAAAAGCAATGTTTTTAATCTATGAACCTCTGAAAACTCCTTAATTCCTAACTGCATTCTATTTTCTTGCAGCACTACTATGGATGTAGGAGCAGTAGGAGATCTCAGACGAATTAAAAATGCTATTGGTGTGGCACGGAAAGTACTGGAACATACAACACACACACTTTTAGTAGGAGAGTCAGGTATTTTTTTAACTACACTGAAATTTTTTCTAGTCTTTTGACTATAGTTTTCACTGAAAAATAGTACAAAATCATGGATAAAACCAGATCTAAGTTCAAATTCCAGCTGTTTTACTTAACATCTATTGAACTGGATAAGTAACTTTTAAATCTCTTTACTTCTTCATCTCTAAGAAGAAGGCAATGGAAGTTTTGAGACGGAGTTTCGCTCTTGTCACCCAGGCTGGAGTGCAATGGCGCGATCTCAGCTCCCGACAACCTCTGCCTCCTGGGTTCAAGTGATTCTCCTACCTCAGCCTTCCAAGTAGCTGGGATTACAGGCACGTGCCACCATGCCCAGCTAATTTTTATATTTTTAGTAGAGACGGGGTTTCACCATGTTGGCCAGGATGGTCTCAATCTCTTGACTTCGTGATCCACCCGCCTCAGCCTCCCAAAGTGCTGGGATTACAGGTGTGAGCCACCGCGCCTGGCCGGGACGAGAACTCTTATAATGCATGCCCCAAAGGTTTTAAGTGGATCTGTTTTAGGAAAGGCATAAGGAAATCGAAGGTCTAAAAATTGAGTCTCTTAAAACTGTTCATGTGTGAATATTCCTTTGAAAGTCTTTGTGTAGCTCACTTAAGATGCTGCTGACCCAGAATGTCTCTAGTACATATATTTTTGTTGAAAAGACAATACTTGAATAATTTATACTTTCCTTTTTTCCAATCTCCAGCCACCACATTTGCTCAAAGTATGGGGTTTATCAATGAAGACTTATCTACCACTGCTTCTCAAGCTCTTCATTCAGATTGGCTTGCTCGGAATTGCCAGCCAAATTATTGGAGGGTATGCACACATTTAATTTAAAAAAATAAGTTAATTGAAAATATTCAGTGACATCCTTTCTGCTCAGTGTTGCCTGCCTGTTGTCCAGGGTACTGGTTAGCATCCTGGCTGTACATTAGAACTAGTGGTTTTAGTTGACTCTCCAGGTATGGATGTTCCTGAAACACCTCTAGCTGCATTGGGTGCATATCCAGCATGGAGAGCTACTGGTCTCTCACAATAGTTTTCAAACTGAAGTTTCTGCCATGTGGAGGTGGCTGCCTCAATCAGGGCTGCTCTGCTTGTATTTCTTTCTAACTAAGTCTAAAAAATCAGTTTGGAAACTATGAGTCTAAAATATTTCTTAGATTTTACGTGCAGTGTATCCAGTATCTTGTTCTTGACTTGAGGACATGTAATATTACATGTCTAGTATGTTACCAGTGGAATAATTTTTCTTTAATGAGACTTTTGGCATAAATCAGTTTGCCTTTGCCGTACAGGGTCCTTCTGTGGGATATCTTAGTCTCTCATCTATTTCTTCCCTAAGTCCTAATTACTTTCGAGTAGCCATCAAGTCAGAAGTCCCTTGGGTTAGCACTTGAAAGAGGCTAATCATAAAACGAAGTTAGGGGAGGCACCTAGCGCACTGATGTGTAAGACATGAGGAATAGGAATAGGTTTCTTGCTTTAATACCAGTCTACATACACAACCTAAATTTATGAGTTTGCATTATATTCTTGAGCCCTTTAGATTTATAAAGGAATCTTAAAGCACAACTTAGAATATATTCACATAAACCTAGCTTTGAAGAAACAATAAAAGCTTTTAAAACATATTTTACTTTAAGTCTCAGAATTCTTTGGCCAAGGAACAAATTTCTGAAATTTAAAGGTCCAGTGTGTATCTAATTTCTTTAAGGATTAATATCTAATTTTAAAAAATTTTACTATTGTGTTGAGAATTTTAGATATATATAAAGAGAGAAATTAGGGACCTGTGTCATGCAATATAGATACCTCACCTGTATTATTTAATTCTTAGACTAGAATGGATATTCAGTAAAATTATTTATCTTATTTGTTTTTATATAAGACTTAGTGATTTCTTAGCTTTTAATTCTTATCTTTAAGTTACCAGATGTCTTTTTTTGGTTTCTTGCTAGTGTTTAGCGATTGTACATAATTTCTTGGCAATTTCTAAAAATACCCTTTGTAAGAAATAAAACTTAAATCTTGTTTACAGAATGTTATACCAGATCCCTCAAAATACTGCGGACCCTACAAACCACCTGGTATCTTAAAGCAGGATATTCCTATCCATAAAGAAACAGAAGATGATCGTGGTCATGACACTATTGGTAATTTGCCTTTTGTGCAGTTTTTATGGATAAAGTTTAGTTAATTATCTTCCTGTAGCTCTTCCCTATTCTTCTACCAGAAGTTGATTTTGATTGTTTTAACTGCCAATTAAGTGTGCCTCTCTATAGATAGATCCATCTTGTCTTAGGATCTGTATAAAATTTGGCAAATTATTTATACAAGACACCTAAAACCCAATGACTATTCACTTGCGGATTTTTAAATCTTTATTTGACATTTCATTTTTTGGCAGTTTTATGTTGCTGTATTTTAGTGACCTTAAATAACTTTTTCCAAGTTACAATGTTGAAAATTTACATTAGTCTATGTCTTAGTTTGTTTTTCGCTGTTATAACAGACTACCACAGACTGGGTAATTTATAAACAAAAGTTTATTTGCCTCACAGTTCTGGAGCCTGAGAAGTTCAAGAACAGGGCACTGGCATCTGGCAAGGGCCATCCCAAGGTGGAAGTCAAGAGAATGAGACAGGAAATCGGGTAGAACTCATCCTTTATATCAGGAACCCACTCCCTGCGATAATGGCATTAAGCCCTTTTAGCCTAATCGCCTCTTAAAGGCCCCACCTGTTAATAATAATTAATAATGTTAATTGCCTGTTATAGTGGCAGTTAACAAAATACCCAGACTGGATGGCTTATAAACAACAGAAATTTATTTCTCACAGTTACGGAGGCTGGGAAGTTCAAGGTCAAGGCGCTGGCAGGTTCAGAGTTTGGAGACAGCTTGTTTTCCTGGCTCATGGATGGCGTCTTCTTGCTGTGTCGTCACGTGGTGGAAGGGGCGAGGAAGCTCTCTGGGGCCTCATTTATAAGGGATGAATTCCATTCATGGGGGCTCTGTCCTCATGACCTAATGAGCTCCCAAAGGCCTCACCTCTTGATACCATCACCTTGTGGAATAGGATGTTGACATGAATTTGGGGGAACACAAACATTCAGAGCACAGCAGTTATTACCAGTTGCTCAATTATTTGGTTATATTTGAGGTAAACTTTATACACCTACAGTGATTTTTTTTTTTTAACTTCTAGGCATGGTTGTAATCCATAAGACAGGACATATTGCTGCTGGTACATCTACAAATGGTATAAAATTCAAAATACATGGGTTAGTGTTTCCAAAAGAACAGAGCTCTCAAATATACACTGAATGCAGAGCAATATATGCCGGGTGCTATGGGGGTTGCAAAGCACAGCCCTAGTCTCACAGCTGCGATGAATGAGTGTGAAAGAAAATGCAGTACTCTCTGCTGAGTGCCACAGGAGAGGGAGTCACAGCCAGTGCTATAGGGTTTAGGGGTGGCAGAGGTGATCTCTTTAAGCTGGGGTAGTTAGGAACACCAGTAAAGTGATGCTTGGAGCTCAGCCCTGAGTCATGGTAGTTGAGGTTCAGCGCTCCTACTGGCTAGGAAAGTTGTGTGTGTATATGTGTGTGTGTGTTCAGGGCTCCCACTGGGGTGTGTGTATGTGTGCATGTGTTCAGAACTCCCACTGGCTTGGAAAGAAGGGGTGTGTGTGTGTGTGTGTGTGTGCGTGCACGCAGAACTACTGGCTTGGAAAGAAGGGGTGTGTGTGTGTATGTGTGCGTGTGCGTGCACGCTCAGGGCTCCCACTGGTGTGGGTGTGTGTGTGTGTATTCAGGGCTCCCACTGGCTAGGGAAGAAGGGGTGTGGGGGTGTGTGTGTATTTTGGGGTAGGGGAAGTGGTATTGGAAGATAAGACTACAAGGGAAGACTGGGGCCAGATTTAAGGAGTCTTAAGTCAGTTGAAGGCATTCTGGATTTAATTTTGAAATAGAAAAGCATTAAACATTTCTTACTAGAAAAAAATCTGGTAAAAGTTTGGCACATTACATAGGAAGCGGAAATAGATTATAGATGAGGGAAACCAATTTTGAACATGTTGCAATCATCTGGAAATTAGATGATAAAGGATGGTAATAATAGAATAGTCACTGTAAATCTGTGCCATCCTGGTATATACCTGGCTGATAACAAGTTCTTTTAAAAAATTAATTTTAATGACAATGAAAATTATGTGTATTTGTGGTGTACAACATGATACTTTGATATATGTATATGTTGTAGAATGGCTAAATCAAGCTATTTAACTTATTATCTCACAGACCTATTTTATTATGGTGAGAACACTTAAAATCTACTTAGCAGTTTTCAGCTGGGTGCAGTGGCTCACGCCTGTAATCCCAGCTCTTTGGGAGGCCAAGGCAGGCAGATCACCTGAGGTCAGGAGTTCGAGACCAGCCTGGCCAACATGGTGAAACCCAGTCTCTACTGAAAAAAAAAAAAATACAAAAAATTAGCTGAGCTTGGTGGTTCGTGTCTGTAGTCCCAGCTACTCAGGAGGCTGAGGCAGGGAGAATCGCTTGAACCCAGGAGGCGGAGGTTGCAGTGAGCCAAGATCAATGCCATTGCACTCCAGCTGGGTGACAGAGCAAGACTCCTGTCTCAAAAAAAAAAAATCTACTTCGCAGTTTTCAAATGTGCACTCTATTGTTATTAACCTTAGTCAGCATGATCCGCAGTAGGCCTCTGGAACTTACCCTCCTGCCTAACTGGAATTGTGTGTCCTTTGACCCGCATCTCGCCAGGTCCCCCTCCCCCCAGCCTCCAGTAACCACCATTTTAGTCTCTGTTTCTGTGAGTTCAGCTGTTGTACACTCCACGTCTGATAACAAATTCTTACATAATTAATGCAGGTTTGTGAAAACCTTAGTTAAAAAACTAATGAAGACCTGTTCTGTCTTTGTTCCGATGAAGAATTTACTTAAAACGGTATCAGAGGCTAAGTGGAACTATCCCTTATTTGGAACAGCTTATGACTTAATGTGTTTTACACTCGATTTCCTGCCGTAAATTGTTAATACCCTCTCAAAGCCGTGTAGGAGACTCACCAATACCTGGAGCTGGAGCCTATGCTGACGATACTGCAGGGGCAGCCGCAGCCACTGGGAATGGTGATATATTGATGCGCTTCCTGCCAAGGTATGACTTCTTAGTTTGTGAATTTTAGAGACCTTTGGAGAAGATATTTTTTTCTTTTAAGATAGAAAATAATTTTTGAGGCTGGGTGCAGTGGCTCACGACTGTAATCCTAGCATTTTGGGAGACTGAGGCAGGTGGATCACCTGAGGTCAGGAGTTTGAGACCAGCCTGGCCAACATGGTCTCGAACTCCTGACCGTTTCTACTAAAAATACAAAAAATTTAGCTGGGCATGGTGGCACAAGTCTATAGTCCCAGCTACTCGGGAGGCTGTGGTAGGAGAATCGCTTGAACCTGGGAGACAGAGGTTGCAGTGAACCAAGATCGCGCCACTGCACTCCAGTGTGGGCAACAAGAATGAGACTGTGTCTCAAGAAAATAAAAGAAAGAAAACATAATTTTTGTATTGTGTAACCTGAATTTCTGTGCACAAGAGCTTCTTAGAAACTGCATACAAACTTGTTGCCTATCATTTTGATAATGATAATCATTCAAGTTAAGTAATCATAGTCCTGTGAAATAAAGTAGTATTTCTCACCCTGCTTCCCAGATGAGAATACTTATGATCTATTTAGTAATTGATGTAAAGCTACTGAGTAAAGGAGCTGTGATAATTGATGGTAAAAGTAGGAAGTGCAGTCATCGTGTACCTTTAACCACCCTAGCTAGATGTTGTGCCCATGCACACTACTTTCCCCTTTGATTGTAGCTGTTTTTCTCATTGAAAATCTGTATTCTTTTTGAGTTCTGGCCATTACATTTGACTGTCGGTATCATTACTGACAGTTATTCAGCCAAAGCCAAAAATAATATTCCACATCTGAAATTCATGGGTGGATTAGTTGAAAAGATAGACTCTGTATCAAAGTGGACTTGCTTTGTGGATGCTTTAACAGAAGTAACCGACTCTTGTTCATTTATGTGTATTCTATCACATGTGGCAATTTTGGTGGTTTTAATTTCTAACTTCAAGTAACCCAATTTGGAGTTAGTATTTATTCTGAGACACTAAGGTTTCACCTCTGTTTCAATCAGCTACCAAGCTGTAGAATACATGAGAAGAGGAGAAGATCCAACCATAGCTTGCCAAAAAGTGATTTCAAGAATCCAGAAGCATTTTCCAGAATTCTTTGGGGCTGTTATATGTGCCAATGTGACTGGAAGTTACGGTAAGTTGTGTTTGGATTTTGTATTTGTGTGAACTTCCAAATATTTCTAAAACATACACTTTTTAAATATTGTTTTGTACAATACACTATATTCAATAGAAAAAGAGACTCCTTAAGTGGGCATTGAGTAAATGTTCATTGATGATCTCAAGACCCACAGCGTTAAAAATATACCTAAAAGCCTCTTTGGATTGACTGCTGGTAGTTATGACCCAGTCTCTGACTAGTAGTTCTTATCTTTCACATGTGTCTTAAATGAAGTTTAGCTTCAGCTCCAGTACACGTTGACATAGGCTAATCTAGTCAAATGTTTATACTAATTAAAAATAGACAAGGATAAATTATCTTCCCTATTTCTTTTCTATTCATTATTTAAATGCCTCAGCCATTTAGATCTTCTCGGGGCTCCAAAGAACAAAATGTATTACTAATTAGTAAACCGAAGAGGTTAGCAGAATTATTTTTGCACTGTTTGAGGCTTGTCTTTCACTTCATTTACTTTCCATATGAGCCTATCACAGTTTCAAAGCATTTTAAGATCAGCCACTGCTGATTCTCATTAGTGAATTTTCAGATGGGGAAGATACACAGCTTACTGATCAATATGACTTATTAGGTTGGACTGCTTATTATTGTTCTTTGATCTTTTACTTCCCACAGTTCTATATTTGAAAAACTTGTTTGAGGAATGCTTTATTCTTTTTTAAGCACTAAGACACAAAAGTCAATAAAAATTATGAAGGGGAAAAGCTTTATGTATCAAATAAGGCAGTTCTATTGATTCCCTCTTAAGAAATAAACCTTATTAGAAAGCTCAAAGTTGGATTTAACAGAATGAAAAAAATGATAATTATATAATTGTGGATGAATTTACAGGTGACTAGTTTCTTCTATTTAATGACCAAAGAGGACCCTCCCCCAGGTGTTTGAGCATGAGAAGATGAACTTGATTAGACAAAGCATCTTGACAAATTACTCTTGACTCTTCCTGTGAGAGTAGAAGAATAGGGAGCAATGGTGGGGTATGGGGTTATGAATGAATGATGAGAATGTTCTAGTGGCTAGAGAAATAAAATGTGGGAGATGTGCCTGAATAGTTTTTTCTAAGAAAAACACGTAAGAACAGTTAAATAATCGTAGCAGTGACAGCATGTGTATAGATCAACAACAACAACAAAAACCAGCCAGTTTTCTGAAGTTCAAAGAGATAGTTTACCAGCTACCTCATTCCTTTCATGGACTGTTCACTGCTCAGTTCTGAGGAGGATGACACTAGTGTATTTCCATGTGGCTTAGACATAAGGTATACAGTAGCCAGTGTCTAGTCAAATAAGCAGTATCTGTATTGGTTATAAATATGTGCATCCTATAGTTCACCAAACTTCTTTCTCATTTTTGGCCCCAGGTGCTGCTTGCAATAAACTTTCAACATTTACTCAGTTTAGTTTCATGGTTTATAATTCCGAAAAAAATCAGCCAACTGAGGAAAAAGTGGACTGCATCTAATCCATCTTTACTGTCAACATCTGTATTTAAAGAAGAAAGAAACAAAGGCTGAAAAGGCTGCTCACTCTCATCATCTAGTGTTCCTCATGTGTTCTAAAGTCTTTTTGTAAAATAAACACAAAAATAAATTTATGTTGAATTGGCACTTTCTATATCTGAAATTGTATTATCTATTTTTATTTAACCTTTCTTATATTATCTGAAGATGAATATGTATGTGGCTGTATTTTGTATATATTTAAGTTTTAAGTGACACTTGGATTTCTGATCAGTGTTGCAAAAAATTGCTACTTTGAGATTTATTTCCACAGTGATATATTAAACCCAAAAGGAATCATCATATTTGGATGCTTAAAATAGAGTATACAAGTTTTTTAGACCCAAAGAAAAAAACAGCAGAGTCTCAGCATGATCAGTCCTGATTGAATTTCATTATGTCACAGTGATGCATGTCTTAGCACTGATTATTGGTTTTACTTAATATTCCCTAAAAACTTGAGGAAGGAAGATGATAGAACATGAGATACTCTTTGTTTTGTACATACTAGAAAATACAGCTATCTTCTGATGAGCAATTGTGTTGATTTTCTTTGCTTTTTTCCTCTTATGGAGCTCTCAGTGTGTGAAAGTTCTAAAGCCACAAGAATCAATGATGTTTTAGCTGCTAATATTTAGTATTGATCGTTTCTTTTAAAAATGATTTGGGGAACTTGATCTGTACTGTAATTTTACTAATTCCTTGTGCAGAGGTGGGTATGGCAATTAGAAGTCAAGAAATGGGTTGTTTAGCTTGGTTTGTTTCCCTAACTTCTGATTAACTCTCTGTATGACAACTCTACAGAAGTTGTGCGCGTGCTTTCTCAGCAGCATTTTTCCTTCAAAATCATCTTTTTAATCAACAGTCATTAATAAATGTACATGTACGATATTCAAACTTTAGAATTTCAGCTGTTTTTTCTATGCTCATCTTATGTTCTTTCTAATTTAGGGGAGAAAGCTATCATTTTAAGAACAGTGTAAGTCACTTGTTCTGGGACCTTGCTGTGTATCAGAATTGTTTGGGGAGCCTCTTTCTTTAAAAATGCCCTCTGTCCCACTAAGTCAGATTCTCCATAAGTGAGGACTTGAAACCTGGAATTAGCAACTACTAATGGCAGCCCTACAGCTTCACACTCTCAGAGAAGGAATCTTCCTCCAGGGTTATCTGAGGTATGCTAACCTGCTTAAACCTGGTGCTGGGCCTTGGAAAAAGAAAAAAATCAGATTTAAACTTGCGGTTACATTAAGATGATACTTTTGTATATTTGCTTTCCATTAATAAATAAGGCAGTCATTTACAAAATCACCAGGAAAAGGAGAATGAAGTATTCATGGCCTGTCACTTCCCAGCAAATTGGGAGTTGAGCTGACAAAAGCAATCCACATATGTTTCTAAAAGATGTTTTCTTTTTAAGTCGCATTCTTCCTCAGAGAAATAATTTCCCTATATTTCTTAAGTAATGGAATTACTTTGTAAATACATTCGTAAAATTCAGTTTTGACTGTAATATTATTTAAATAATATAGGTGTGTCTTCTTTTGAAAAGAATTGTTTGTGTGTCCCTAGTGATGTTGTATACGGAGGGAACTTCTTTGATGATGTGATACCAGTGTTCACGGGGGTTGTGGGAAATACATGTAGGAAACTGGTGAAATATTAATAACACAGCTGGGAAAGAGAATTGTGAGCCAATCAGAAATACATTGAATTTGGAAGCGGTTCACTAAAATGGGAAAAGCAAGAAAGTAACTTGGGAAGGGAGCCTTAGAAAATGTAATCATGGTTTAACTTTTTTTTTTTTTTTTTTTGTTTTGAGACGGAGTCTCACTCTGTCGCCCAGGCTGGAGTGCAGTGGTGCGATCTCGGCTCACCGCAAGCCCCGCCTCATGGGTTCACACCATTCTCCTGCCTCAGCCTCCCGTGTAGCTGGGACTACAGGCACCCGCCACCACACCCGGCTAATTTTTGTATTTTTAGTAGAGATGGGGTTTCACCATGTTGGTCAGGCTGGCCTCAAACTCCAGACCTTGTGATCCACCTGCCTCGGCCTCCCAAAGTGCTGGGATTACGGGCGTGAGCCACCGCAGCTGGACTTGATTTAACTTTTTATGCCAGACAGTAGTTAATGGTTTGCCTCACATCTGTCCTGGTTGTATCATTGTATAGATTGCATGGCTATTACATAGCATAAGGTAAGGGATCTAGTTGCAGAATTTTCTTCCCCATTCTGGCAAGTTGCTTTTTGTTGTTGTTGTTGTTTTCCTTTGATCTTATAAAAAAATGTTCTATCACTTGCCTACTGCTAAGGTGAAATTAGATTGTCCTAAGCACATATATGGATTAAGCAACTTTTCTAAGTGATTCTGAGAACGAACATATTGTCACTTAGATTTTTATTATCAGCTTTTGTATTCTCTTTCTCTCTAAATGGATAAAAATTTCAGTGACAATATATATCAAGTGACAATATCTATAGATACATGTAGATATATATAAAGAGAAAAGTATATATGTATATGTATACATATATAATAAGTATGTATATGGAAAGAGGTATAAGTACTTGCCACCTGATTCTATTCTCTCCTGTTTTCTGCTTACACCTTTCATCTCATAACATTACTATTACAGAATAGCCTAGGAGTGTAGTGGGCAGTAGTTTGAGCATTCTTTTAGCTCAATTTAACACCCCCACTTAGAAAAAGAAACTGATTTTTGATATTAGCAATATTAAAATTTCTTGATTAATACTCCTGAGACTTCAGATAAACATCACTCAAGTGCTTTGTGTTTTTAGCACAATAGGCAAAGAGGAAAATGTTAACCACGGTATGTAGTAAAGATTTTGGTAGTTTCATGCTCTTTATTTGCTTTGATCAATCCCTGGAACTTAAAAAAATTATTTCACTGATTTAAATGGGCAACAAAGACTAATTGTAGGTTGATTCTTATTTCTGCTAGCCACAGTGTAAACTGGTTGTCATGAATCCTGTTCACCAAACATTTCCAGCTCTTCCTACCTGGCACATGGTAGGATTGTTCTTTTTTGCCTCTTGTGATCTGGTCCAGCCATGTGACGTTCCGGTCATGAGTTTTGAGCATTTTTTTTCAAACCTGACAACATGATGGTGGTTGTCCTTGAGGGACCGTAATGAAGAGAACCCCAGGACAGTGCAGGATGCACGTGTAGTGTGAACAAGAAATAAGCCCTTTTTTTTAAATTTATTATTATTATTTTTTTGAGACAGAGTCTCCCTCTGTTGCCCAGAATGGAATGCAGTGGTGCAATCTCAGCTCACTGCAAGCTCCACCTCCTGGGTTCACACCATTCTCCCGCCTCAGCCTCCCAAGTAGCTGGGACTACAGGTGCCCACCACCACACCTGGCTGATTTTTTTGTATTTTCAGTAGAGACGGGGTTTCATGTGTTAGCCAGGACGGTCTTGATCTCCTGACCTCATGATCCGCCCGCCTCGGCCTCCCAAAGTGCTGGGATTACAGGCATGAGCTACTGCGCCCGGCCAAAATAAGCCTTTCTGTTGTGACACAGCATAAACTACCCTATCCTGACTGATACGTAGAGCATGGTTAGGCCAGGCACAGGGGCTCTTGCCTATAATCCCAGCACTTTGGGAGGCCGAGACAGGAGGATCACTTGAGCCCAGGGGTTTGAGACCAGCCTGGGCAATAACATAATTTTGTAGAGACCTGGTCTCTACAAAAAATACGCAAAATTAACTGGATGTGGTGGCTCATGCCTGTAGTTTCAGCCACCGCAGAAGCTGAGGTGGTGAGATTACTTGAGCCTGGGAGGTTGAAGCTGCAGTGAGCTGAGATCGTGCCACTCCGCTCCAGCCTGGATGACAAAGTGAGACCATCTCAAAAAAAAAGAAAGAAAGAATTTAAAGAGTTTTTGTGGAGGTTATTAAACTGGTGACAAATGAAACTCTCTAAAGGACAAAAGGAATTTAAAAAAAATAGATGCCTAGAAAGGTATCATTAGGAAATTAATCAAAAAGTTAAAGGTACTACTTTGTAGGAAGGTTGTGGGTGACTTTATCTTAATAATATTTGTACGTTTTTAAAAAAGAAGCATCCATACCATAAGATTCCAACTGTATGACACCAGACAGGGAAAAACTATGAAGACAGTATAAAGATCAGAGGCTGCCAGCAGTTGTGGGGAGGGAGGAATGAATCAGCAAAGCACAGACTACTTTTAGGGCAGTGAAACTGTTCTCTATAATACTGCAAATGGTGGATGTCATTTTATCATTTCTCCAAACCCATAGAATATGCAACACTGAGTGAACCCTGTCGTGAACTATGGACTCTGGGTAATAATGATGTATCAATGTCAGGTGTACCAGCTGTAACATGTACAACTCTGCTGGGGAATGTGGGTGGTGTGGAAGAAAGACTGTGTATGTGTGAGGGCAGGGAATATCAGGGAAATCTTTGTACCTTCCTCCCAATTTTGCTGTGAACTTAAAACTGCTCTAAAAAATAAAGTCTATTTAAAAGGAAAAAAAGAAGCATATATTATTTTTATGATGGAGGCGGGAAACTCAAGTATTAAAGTTCTTTCATCTGAGTATGTGCTGTTGTATAAGAGTAGCCAGCATTGATTGAACACCTAACAATAGTAAGCACTTTGATGTATTATCATTTAATTCTACCAAAAGCCAGTGAGGAAGGTAATAGCATCCTGGGTTTAGATAATTTTATACATAGTAGCTGCAATTCCTTCAGGCATGCATGGTGCTGGCTTTTGTTCAGGACTATCTTTTCAAGAATGTTTCTATAGCAAAAAACCCTTGGAAGATTGAGATTCCAAGGGGTTTCCCTCCTGGGCAAGGGGCATGTTTGTTGCTGTCTAGTACAATAAAAATAATGTCTCCCTTGGAGGCAAAGGTTAGGCAGGTTTGCTTGCAACCCTTATAAAAGACTGGGGTTTCCTAAGCATGAGGTCCCTCAGCTGAGATGCACGCAAACTTAACGTTTGCAGTATCCACCTGAACCTGCCCCCTCTGTACCCCCACTGGGACCCTAGTAGGGATCAGAACATCAAAGTCCTGTTGTTTACTGTGCTGTGACTAATAATGTCATTTGTCTCTGACCCACGTGTCTCATGCTTTCTGCCTGTTTTCATGAAGCTATGGCAAGCTAACTTGTTAGCTGGCAAGTAGGGTGAAACCTCTGACCCTTCACAATTCTTGATACTGTCAACAGTGCTTAGTAAAAGAGCCTTATTTTGTTATTATTTGCTTTCCCTTGCAATACGTATTTGAGATTAAAAAAAATTGTACACTTGCAGGTAAATCGAAGATAAGATCAAAGACTGCAGTTTTGCAAGTTCGAAACCTAAAGAATGACTTAACAAAAGCCAAGGACAACCTTCTGAGATTGTTTTATAAATAGTTCATATAATGAACATTGAATTAATTGCGATAAAGTTTTCAAAGGAACACTTATTCTATTCAGGAATACCATCTAAAACATCTAAATGTTAATCTCTTTCCTTTGAAGAAAATAATCAGATAGTAACTAACATAATTCAAATGTAAACAGGCTGCGTTTAAAATGATGAATATTCTCATCTTTCAAAATAGAAAATCAGGAGACACTGTCAGTAGGAAATAAAACAAGAAACAAAGGTGTAAATGGTTATAGGTATTCAAGAAAGGATCTCTCTCACTACAGTGATTTAACTGCAATGGGGAGTGTGAGGAAAATCCTCGTTATCTACACTCAATTAATCAAAAAAAAGAGGTATAAGTACCACTTCCCTTTTAGAATACGGAGGTTATCACCAGGAGAAGTCAATAGTGATTTCTTATAGGGAGTGGAGGTGGAGGTATAAGAAGATCACCGATAATTCCATAAGCCTTTCTCTACTAGAATTTTTAAAAAATCATACCTACCTATTATTTTCATAATATATCAAGGTTGATTAAAGCTAACTATAAATGTGAAACCGTAAATGGTTCATAGGATCAGAATTTAGAACTAGAATACACCTTTGAGATCAGCTACAGAAATCTAACTCCTGTATTTTATAGGTAAGCTGACACTTAAAAGTGCCTCATAACTCAGGAGGCGACATGACTAGTTAGTGTCAAGAACATATCATTTCTCTCTGCCTGTGATCATGCTTATCCTACCAAGGGTGCTACCCTACCAAGGGTGCACACACTACAGTTAATTCTGTCCTTCAAGAGTCTGGTGTTTCATTTCTTTTCTTCGGCAACAGCAGTAAATCATAAGGTTCTCAAATTCTAAGTCAGATATAATACTCAGATAATCTCCAGTATAGTCATAGAATTATGCATAAATGCAGATCATACATAAATTATAAACCCAAGTTTCTATATTCTTAAACAAAATGTGTTCAACACTCTATGTTCTTACTAACTTACTAGGTTTCCTGACATTTAATTTGTATGCAGAATTATAGAAATGGTGAATAAATTAATTGAATTCATAATTCTGATATTCTGAGCCACAAAGGATCCAATCCATATTTTTAATGGCAGCTGTAGAACTTAAGTCCATTTAATATGGACTGTTACTTATAGAGTAACTTTTTTTAATTTTTTAATTTTTTTTGAGATGGAATTTTGCTCTTTTTGCCCAGGCTGGAGTGCAATGGCGCAATCTAGGCTCACTGCAACCTCTGCCTCCCAGGTTCAAGCGATTCTCCTGCCTCAGCCTCCAAGTAGCTGGGATTACAGGTGAGTGCCACCACGTCTGGCTAATTTTGTATTTTTAGTAGAGAAAGGGTTTCACCATGTTCGCCAGGCTGGTCTCAAACTCCTGACCTCAGGTGATCCGCCCGCCTTGACCTCCCAAAGTGCTAGGATTACAGGCGTAAGCTACTGCGCCCAGCCTAGAGTAATACTTTTAAAACATATATTTTGTAACATTTGCTTGAATTATTTGATACCTTCACATTAAAAGATGACTTGAAGATAAGTTATCAGTTAAAATAAGATGCAGAAACCATGATAACACCTACTTCTTTCTCTGGATTTGGTTCATTTTGTAAATAATTAAGTGGGCATACCTTACCCAGGTGTCTCATCTAACCACATTGGAAAGGAACTGCCAGCTGCTACTATTTAATTTGATTAACAGTCCATTGCCAACCAAATAATCCCCTAGTCAGAGGAACATTTTGAAGCCAAGTTACACAAGTTGAAATTCTATGGCAGATATACAAAATGGAAGGGAAGGAAGTCCCTGAATATGAATATGAAGAATAGGACAAGCAGAAATACATACATATGTTATCATCCAAAATTGATTGAGAATTGTTCAAATCCCTCCAACACCCTGGAGGATCCTAGATATTCTCAGAGGAACCAATCCTCAAATGAAAATTTGAGCACGGTTGTTTACTGAGATACTAAGCAGTGGTAGAAAAGTTTAGCCTTCTGAACTAGCCTTTCTGAATTAATTTTAATATCTTATAGTTTGGTTTGGAAACAAACCAAATCATGGTTTGATTCCAGTGAGATGAGGTACCTAGAAGAGTCAAACTGATAGAAACAGAAAGTAGATGAGTGGTTATCAGCGGCTGAGGAGAAGAAAAAACGGAGAGTTGTTTAACAGGTACAAAGTTTTAGTTAGAGAAGATGAAAGTGGTTAATGATGGCTAAGATGGTAATTTAGTAATAATAATGGTTAAGATGGTAAATGTTCTGTTATGTGTATTTTGCTGTCAAAGAGAGAAAGGAAGAAAGAAAGAGGTGGTTGATTTTATAACCATGTCCAAGACTTAACCCTTGATTAGGGCCTCATATATATCCCTCTCTTTCTCCCATCATGTATTGAGACTGAGTTGTCTGTGTAATTTATTATAATATCTCTAGTTTCTGGCAACTCCAGTTGTAAAGATTCATTCACACTCAGTCCTATCACTAGTTAGCTATTGGAAGGGTATGTAGACCAGAATAGGGCCTTTATAAGACTCATTCTCTTAGTCATTTTAGTATCGTAAATACCTGAATATAAAGTAGCTAATCATTATGCAGATCATGTCTAAAATAGTTTTGGTTAAAAAAGTTGATTCCAGCCAGGCCCGGTGGCTCACACCTGTAATCCTAGCACTTCGAGAGGCCGAGGTGGGCAGATCACTTGAGGGCGAGAGTTCACAACCAGCCTGGCCAATATGGTGAAACCTCATCTCTACTAAAAATACAAAACATTAGCCAGGCATGGTGGCATGTGTCTGTAATCCCAACTACTCAGGAGGCTGAGGCACCAGAATCACTTGAACCCAGGAGGTGGAGGTTGCAGTGAGCCAAGATTGTGCCACTGCACCCCAGCTTAGGTGACAGAGTGAGACACTGTCTCAAAAAAAAACAAAAGAAGTTGATTCCAATAATCTGAAAGTGCATAGTTTTTCCACACAAGGATGTGGGGCAGAGGTCACAATCTGCTAGCTCTCTAGCTAAATATATATCTCCATATGTATTTTGTCTAGCTAGCCCAGCATTTAAAAATATTTGAGTTTTTGGCTAGCCACAGTGGCTCACGCCTGTAATCCCAGCACTTTGGGAGGCCAAGGTGGGTGGATCACTTGAGGTCAGGAGCTTAAAATCAGCCTGGGTAACATGGTGAAACCCTGTCTCTACTAAAAATATAAAAATGTGCCAGGCATGGTGGCGCAAACCTGTAATTCCAGCTACTTGAGAGGACGCGGCAGGAGAATAGTTTGAACTGGGGAGGCGGAGGTTGCAGTGAGCCAAGATCACACCACTGCACTCCAGCCTGGGCAACAGAGCAAAGCTCTGTCTCAAAAAAAAAAATACATATATATATATATGTGTATGTATGTATATACACACACACACACATATTTATGTATATATATGTATGTATTTATATACATACATATTACATATATACAATATATATACAATATATACATATATACAATATATATGTATATACTATATAGTTTTCTTTCAAATATTTAAAAATAATAATTTAAAAAATTATGTGCCCTCTCATCATTCCTTTTCAGTGTTGTACTGGAAATCCTAGCTAGTCCAATAAGATAAGACAAGAAAAGAGAAGTTATCCAGATTGGGAAGAAATAAATAAAACTGTCTTTGTTTGCAGATAACATGAAAAGATTGCCTATGTAGAAAATCTGAATCAATAAGAAATCTCCTGAAACTAACAAGCTGTTATAGCAAGATAGAAGCATTCAAGGTTAGTATTCAGAAGTCAGTCACTTTCTAATATATTATCAATGGACAAATGGAATTTAAAATTAAAAACAAAATAATGCCTATATTATCACCAAAAGCATAAAATAATTACATATAAATCTAACAAAAATATGTACAAGATCTATATGAAGAAGACTATAAAACTCTTATTTAAAAAAATCAAAGAAGAACTAAATAAATTGAGAGATACCCCATATTCATGGATAGAAAGACACAATATTGCCAAGATGCCAGGTCTTCCCAACTTGACCTGCAGATTCAATACAATTCCATTCAAAATTCCAGCAAGTTATTTCTTGTATATTGACAAACTGATTCTACAATGTATATAAAGAAGTACACGACCAAGAATAGCTAACACAATATTGAAGGCGATGATAAAGTTGAAAGTCTGACTCTACCCAACTTCAAGACTTACAAAAAAAACAACAGTAATTAAGATACTGTGGTATTGTCAACAGACTAGACATATAGATCAATAGAACAAAATAGAGAGACCAGAAATAAACCCACATAAATATAGTCAACTGATCTTTGACAAATGAGCAAAGGCAATACCATCGAGAAAAAAAATAATCTCTTCAACAAATGGTACTACACCAAGTAGACATACACATGCAGAAAACTGAATTGAGAAACAAAACTTATACCATTTCCCAAAATTAACTCAAAATAGAGCATATACTTAAATGAAAAATGCAAAACAATAAAACTCCTAGAAAATCTAGAGGACCTGGGTATGGCAATGAGTTTTAGATATAATACCAAAGGCAAGATACATGAAAAAAAATTGATACACTGGAATTTAAGACTTCTACTCTGTGAAAGATGCTATCAAGAGAGTGAGAAGACAGCTACAAGCTGAGAGAAAATATGTGCAAAAGACTTGGCTGATAAAGCATTGTTATCCAAAATATACAAAGAACATTTACAGTGCAACAATAAGAAAATGGACAGCAAGATTTTAAAATGGGCAAAAGGCTTGAAAAGACACTTCACTAAAGAAGATATACAGATTGCAAGTAAGCATATGAAAATTTGCTGCTCATCATATGTTATTGGGGAAATGCAAATTAAAACAATGATGAGATACCACTATCTACCTATTAGAATAGCCAAAATCAAAACAAAACACTGACAACATCAAATGTTGGGGAGGATGTGGAGCAACAGGAACTCTCATTCATTACTGGTGAGAATGCACAGTGGTACGTGCAAAATAGAATACAATTTGGCAGCTTCTTACAAAACTAAATATGCTCTTACCATGTGATCCAGTAACCACATTCCTTGGTATTTACCCAAGTGGGTTGAAAACTTGTGTCCAGATAAACACCTGTACATGGATGCTTATAACCATTTTATTCACAATTGCCATAACTTGGAAGCAACCGAGATGTTTTTTGGTAGATGAGTGAATAAATAAATTGTCATACAATAAATATGAGCTACTCTATATAATAAATAGATATAAATATTTATTATTTATTTGTTATTAATAGTAAAATATTATTCACTGCTAAAAAGAAAATAGCTTTTGAGCCATGAGAAGACATGGAGAAACCTTAAATGCATATTACTAACTGAAGTAAGCCAATCTGAAAAGGTCACATACTCTATGATTCCAACCATATGATATTCTGGGAAAGCAAAACTATGGAGACTATAAAAAAATCAGTGGTTGCCAGGAGTAGTATGGAGGGAGGGATGAATAGGCGGAACACAGAGGACTTTTAGGGCAGTCACAGTACATGTCATTATGCATTTGTCAAAACCCATAGGATGTACAACACCAAGAATAAGAGCTAATGTAAACTGTGGACTATGGATGTGGTTCTGGGTTTGTAACAAAGGAACCACTGTGGTGGGGGATATTGATACGGGGGAGAAAATGGGGAGGCAGTGGTATATGAGAACTTCATGTTTTGCTTGATTTTGCTGCAAACCCAAAGCTGCTCTAAAAAGACTATTTTTAAATGGTCTATTTAAAATAATCCATATTTCCAACTTCTCCGAAAACCTGGAAGATCAGTCAGCATTAAGGTTGCATTCCACATGGTGGTGACCACCAGGACATGTGTATCAGCTGCCCTCTTGGGATGGACACGAGCGCTCAGTTTTGTCAGTACCCACGAGGACCGTGTTATTCCTTTACATTACCTGCCTGACCATGGACATTTGAGTTTGTGGCTCCTGCTGTGGGGGAATCATAATGGTTTCATTTCATTTCTCATTTGTATATGCCACTTTGAGATGTAACAACTCAGTTACAGTAGAAAGAGCACCAAGTAGAAGTCAGAACACAGAGGTTCACAGTGATGATGACTCCAGAGTTCCAATAGAAGACAGGGACAGCAATCCCATTGAAATAGGGGCCTAGGGAGTTCTTGTAACTGAATTTGCATAGCAAGTACATGCACTTTTATGTGGGTCTGCTTTGGTGGAATGATGGAGAATAGGAGGGGGCTACCTCCAAAACCACCTTTTGGCATTGACACTGGCTCAAACTCAGCACCAGTCAGGGATCTTAGGCTCTTTCTCTGAACATTAGGTTTCTACATCTGAACCTGAGAGGGTAAACTAGAGACTATCTACCATAAGTGTAGTCCCCAAGCCAACACCATCTACATCATCAGGGTGCTTTAAAAAATGCAGGATATTAGGCCCCTCCCCACACCTACTGAATCAGAAACTGCATTTTCACAAGATCTAATGTGCTGATTCATATGCACATTGGAATTGAGCAGTGCATTAGAATTAGAAAAGAGCTAGATGATATCTAGTTCTTTTCCTGAGTCAGCCTTCAATTAGAAAGAACAATAACATTGGAACCTGACAGCCCTAAATTAGAACTCTTTTTCTGCTACCACGTTATCCACGTGGCATTGGAGAAAGTACTTGACTTCTCTGAGCCTTTTTCACATCTGCCAAATGAGAGACATGAATACGTGCTTTATAAGACTAATACAGCAATGATAAATTATGAAGCACCTACCAGAGTGCCTGGCATACAATAGGAATTTAATGTATTCTAATTCTCCTCCCTTGCCTGCTCTCTCCTGCAGAATCCATATTCTATAATTCTATGGCTCCCATTTCCTTCTGTAGACCTTATTTCCTACTGCTGTTGTCCCTAACTTAAGAAGAAAATAAACAAAGTACAAAATCTTGCAAAAGTGACATCCTATTCTGGAAACCAGTAGTTATTGTGTGTCAACACATGGTATTAATTCAGGTCTTGATATGCAATATCCCTTAGAAATAAACAAACTAGTTTCTTTCTCTATGAGTGTCAGTTCAGCTAGAGGCCATCAAACTAACATTTTTGTTCTTCAAATTATCAAAATGATGCTGTTGCTTGGAGGCAAGTTGAGTGCATCCCTAGAGTGTTGTCTCAAAACAAGATTGTTGACCCAATTACCTTTTAAGTGTTACAGTCTTTCAAAGTAACCCTGAAGAAATCTGTTTATTCTAAAGAGTTGTTAGGGGAGAGAAATGTCTCCCAAGATATCTACTTTAATGTTGTTCCATTGTATTTCGAGGTGATATGTTTTATCTTTTACTGAATATGTTATTATTCAAAAATTGCTCACTTATCTTACACTCTTCATTTTGAATTCAACTACATTGTGACTTTTCTGCAAATCTTTTATGAACAAGGTCTCTGGTGGGTCCTATTTAATTGGTTAAGGATTATCAGCAGAGAGCACTGTCAAAGCTCTAGACAGTATTTCTTTTAAAAAATCATGGCACAAAACTTTTCCAGGGATAGAATGTCTGGGTGCAGATAAAAACAAACCATGTTCTCATGCCCACAAATACTATTTGAACTTGGCTTGTTGAGTCCGAATATGCTTCAAGTGCTCCATTAACAGTCATTTTCTAGAACAGCTTTGTTTTTTAAAACTGAATTATTTGTGTCATGATTATGACAAAACTTGCTGAAAGAAGAAAGGGGATTGGAGATCTTTGCTTATAAAATACTCTTGTAGCTATTCTTTCAGGACATAGATTTACAGAAGGATCAAATTCAAGAGCCTCTGAAGGGTTTCCTTCTGTCATCTTATAAATCTAGGCAATATTTTTATTACCCAGTATAGAAAAATACACATAAACACACACAACCACCCACTTGTCACATCAACAACATTTCCTCCTTTTTTCCCTCCTCCCTAGGTTATTGTCTAACCCATAAATTCGTCTCAATCCTGTAATCCCAGCACTTTGGGAGGCCAAGGCGGGTGGATCACTTGAGGTCGGATGGAGTTCGAGACCAGCCTGGCCAACATGGTGAAACCCCGTCTCTACCAAAAATAAAAATTAGCCAGGCGTGGTGGTGGGTGCCTGTAATCCCAGCTACTTGGGAGGCTGAGGCAGGAGAATTGCTTGAACCCGGGAGGCAGAGGTTGCAGTGAGCCGAGGTTGCACCACTGCACTCCAGCAGAGGTGACAGAGCAAGACTCCATCTAAAAAAAAAAAAAAAAAAAAAAACGAAACAAAACAGAATTCATGCTTAACTATATATTGATATATTGGCCTAGTTCAAAGTATCCTCAGACCCACTTCTTCCATTCCTAGCCCACACTTATGAGTAGCTTCTCAATTCTTTCTCAATGCTCATATCACAGCATGAATATGCGTTTTGTAGATTTTGCTACATGCATCCTTGGATTGCCACACTGACTACTGTGACTGTTACTACGTTTGTAATGAAAAAGTAATTCTGGTTAGGTGTGGTGATCCACACCTGTAATTCCAACATTTTGGAAGGCTAAGGTGGGAGGATCACTTGAGGCTAGGAGTTCAAGACCAGCCTAGGCAACATAGCAAGACCTCAGCTCTACAAAAAAAAAAAAATTAAAAATAGCCTGGTATGGAGGTACATGCCTGTAGTATCAGCTACTCTGGAGGCTGAGATGGGAGGATCGCTTGAGCTCAGGAGGCTGCAATGATCTATGATTGTACCACTGCACTCAAGCTTGGGTGACAGAGTGAGGCCTTATCTCTAAAAAAAAAAAAAAAAAAAAAAAAAAAAAAAATTCTAAATACAGGGATATCTCATTTTATTGTGCTTTATTTTATTATTCTTTGCAGATATTGCATATTTTATAAACTGAAGTTTTGTGGCAACCTTGCATTGATAGCAAGTCTATCAGTCCATTTTTCCAACAGCATGTGTTCACTTTGTTTCTCTATGTCACAATTTGTTAATTCTCACAATATTTCAAACTTTTTCATTATTATTTTATCTAGTTATGGTGCTCTGTGATCAGTGATCTTTGAAGTTACCACTGCAATTGTTTTAGGGCACCACCAACTGTGCACATATAAGACAGCAAACTTAGTCGATACATGTGTGTGTGTTCTGACTGCTTCACCCTCCGGCCATTCTCCCATCTCTCTTCTCCTCCAGCCTCCCTGTTCCTCGAGACAAAACAATATTGAAATTAGGCCAATTAACAACCTATAATGGCCTCTAAGTGTTCAAGTGAAAGAGAGTCACATGCCTCTCACTTTAGATAAAAAGCTAGAAATGATTAAGCTTAGTGAGGAAGGCAACGTTGAAAACCAAAATAGGTCAAAAGCCAGACCTCTTGTGCCAAACAATTAGCCAAGTTATGAATGCAAAGGAAAAGTTCTTGAAGGAAATTAAAAGTGCTACTCCAGCGAACACACAAAAGATAAAAGAGAGAAACAGCATTATTGTTGATACGCAGAAAGTGTGAGTGGTCTGGATAGGAGATCAAACCAGCCGTAACATTCCCTTAAGTCAAAGCCTAATCCAGAGAAAGGCCCTAGTTCTCTTCAATTTTATAAAGGCTGAGAGAGGTAAGAAAGCAGGAGAAGAAAACTTGGAAGCCATCAGAGGTTTAAGGAAAGAAGCTGTCTCCATAACATAGAAGTACAAGATGAAGTGGTAAGTGCTGAGGTAGAAGCTACAGCAAGTTATCCAGAAGAACTAGCTAAGATAATTGGTAAAGATGGTTACACTAAACAACAGATTTTCAAGGTAGATGAAACAGCCTTTATTGAAAGAAGATGCTATCTAGTACTTTCTTAGCTAGAGAGGAGAAGTCAAGGCTTGGTTTCAAAGTTTCAAAGGACAGGCTGACTCTTATTAGGGGCTAATGCAGCTGGTGACTTGAAGTTAAAGCCAATGTTCATTTATCATTTCAAAAACCATAGGGCCCTTAAGAATTATACTAAATCTACTCTGCCTGTGCTCTATAAATGGAACAACAAAACCTGGATGACAGCATATCTACTTATTTTGCAGCATATGTTAAGCCCACTTTTTTTACATTGTTTATAGCATATTTTAAGCCCACTTTACTGAATATTTTAACCCCACTGTTGAGACCTACTGCTCAGAAAAGAAGGATCCCTTTCAAGATATTACTGTTCACTGAAAATGCATGTGGTCATCCAAAAGCTTGGATGGAGAGGTACAAGGAGATTAATGTTTTCTTGCCTGCTAACACAATATTTATTCTGCAGTCCATAAATCAAGGAGTAATTTTGACTTCCAAGTTTAATTGTTTAAGAAATAGATTTCATAAGGTTATAGCTGTCATAGACAGTGATTCCTCTGATGGGTCTAGGCAAAGTAAATTGAAAACCTTTCAGGAAAGATTCACCATTCTAGATCCCATTGAGAACATTCATGATTCATGAGAGGGGGTCAAGTATCAACATAACAGGAGCTTGAAAGAAGTTAATTCGAGCTCTCATGGATGACTTTGAGGGGTTTGAGACTCCAGTGGGGAAAGTAACAGCAGATGTGGTAGAAATAGCAAAAGAACTAGAATTAGAAGTGAAGCCTGATGATGTGACTGCATTGCTAAAATTTCATGATAAAACATTAACAGATGAGAAGTTGCTTCTTAGGGATGAGCAAAAAAGTAGTTTCGTGAGATGACATCAACTCTTGGTGATTATGTGAACATTGTTGAAATGACAACAAGGAATTTAGAATATTCCATAAACTTATTTGTTAAAGCAGTGACAGGATTTGAGAGGATTAACTCCAATTTTGAAAATTTCTACTGTGAGTATAATGCTATCAACCAGTATTGCATGCTACAGAAAAATATTTCATGAGAGGAAGAGTCAATCGATATGGCAAATTTCATTGTTGTCTTATTTGAAGAAATTGCCACAGGCACCCCAACCTTCAGTAACCACCACGACCCTGATCGGTCAACAGCCATCAATATCGAGGCAAGACCCTCTACTAGCAAAAAGATTATAACTTGCTGACAATTCAAATGATTTTTAGCATTTTTTAGCAATAAAGTATTTTTATTTTATTTTACTTTATGGTAGAAAAGAGGTCTCACTATGTTGCCCAGACTGGTCTCAAACTCCTGGCCTCAAGCAATCCTCCCGCCTCAGTCTCCTGAGTAGCTAAGACTGCAGGTGCCCACCACCACACCCAGTTAATCATTATTTATTTTTGTAGAGATGGGGGTCTTACTCAGTTGCTTAGGCTGGTCTCAAACTCCTGGCCTCAAGCAATCCTCCCGCCTCAGTCTCCTGAGTAGCTAAGACTGCAGGTGCCCACCACCACACCCAGTTAATCATTATTTATTTTTGTAGAGATGGGGGTCTTACTCAGTTGCTTAGGCTGGTCTCAAACTCCTGGCCTCCAGCAAAATCTTCCAGGCTTGGCTTCCCAAAATGTCAGGATTACAGGCATGAGCCACCACACCTGGCCTATTTTTAAATTGTTATATACACTATTTTTTTAGACATCATGCTATTGCACACCTAATAGACTACAGCATAGTGTAAACATAATTTTTTTGAGACAGGTTCTCACTCTGTTGCCCAAGTTGGAGTGCAGTGGCATGACCATGGTTCACTGTAGCCTCAACCTCTCAGGCTCAAGTGATCCCTCTGTCTCTGCTTTCCAAAGTGCTGAGATTACAGGCATGAGCAACTGTACCTGGCCTATAACTTTTATATGCAGTGGGAAACCAAAAAAAATTGTGTGATTAAGTTTATTGCAATATTTGCTTTGTTGTGTTGGTCTGGAACTAAACCCGCAATATCTCTGAGGTATGCCTGTACTGTATTAAACTTAGAAGTGAAAATGAAGACAATGTTAGTAACTTTAATTTAATTCTAAAAATTTTTATGCTATTATGCTTACACATTACCCAAGCTATTTTAATCGGTTATAAAATCATTTTTTAGATAAAACTGGCATTCAAAATTAGGACTACTGTCAAAATCAAAACCTGGGCAATATTCTGCATGACATCATAAGTAGAACGCAGGGAAAGCAAGCTGATTCTAATATTTTTGTAAGTTAAATATCATTAAGAAGATACATATTCTGCCACGGTGTTCATATCAGATATTCCAAATCTAATACTGCATCAACAATTTTCTGATTGTCTGTAGTTTTTGGCTTATCATTCTATTTCTCTTCACCATTCTATTGGCTATAACAGCCCTCTGCTGTTTAAGATATATGGAAAGTGTTTGTCAGCTCTGAGAACCTGTTTTGGTTGACATAATCAATCATCAGAATTAACCTTAATCATATTATTTTTAAATTATCCCTTATTCAGCATCTTTTGGACTTACAATGTCTTTAAAGATATCTTTATATCTATTGTATGTACACTTTAGAAAATTATTCTCAGTCACTTGTCTATTCAGGAAGTTCATTCATTAATCTCAGCACATATAAGTTGGGGTTTCCCCCAAACCTGCTTTTCTTTTGGCAACTCCTAGTCAGTAGTTAATAGAGAGGGCTTTTCCCACCACTTGTGCCACATGAGAGAGAAATTTTCACCAGGGAATGGGACCAGGACTGTCCATTCCAAACACAGATGCCTTCCCCCTTCCCTTGAGATTCTGATCTACTTCCACAGAATGGCTCAAAGGGTCAGGGATAGTTGAAAGAACTTGCATGGGGGGCAATTTTTCTATATCTCTTTCACCTGGGAGATCTTTCATAAGCCAGCTCAGAGCCTCGCTGCTTGCCATGCAATACAGAAATAACTGGGTAAGTCTCTCATAAATTGAATTGAACTGACCATGGATTTGAAGTTACTGCCTTTCCCACTGAGTTAAAGCCAAATAGAGTTGCCTCCCTGGGCCAGACTTTGATCAGTAACACAGTACTTTCCTCTTCCTGACTTAAATGCATCCAGTCCTGAGCATGGGTTTTATTTAATGTTCTTGTTCACTTCACTGGAAATGCTTTAACTCTGGCACCTGCTGGCTGTGAAAGTGATTAGGATTTCATGGGACCAGAGCATTTCATTTCTAGTAAGCCACACCATGGCCCATAAATTAATACAGGATTATGCTTCAGCATTTACTCTGCAGGCTTGTTTTGAACTGAAAAGGAAAGGCAATTGAAGGATGAAGAAAAAAGAAGAAAATGATGAGATGAAAAGCGAACAGTGCTACAAAACCTGACGGTGTGCATTAGCATAAGCACTTTCTTATGAGGAAACCGAAGAACTTACACCACTACACCATTGTACTTTGTTAATGCTCATAAGTATCATTCCTTCCTCTCCAAACCTGACTCATTTTACATGTGGAAAAGATCATACCCTCTATCAAAATGTATATTGGTAATCTCCAGTCTCTCTGAAAGTCCAGAAATTGGAGTCACAATCCCAGCTGAGCTCAGCCTTTCCAGCACTCCCACCAAGGTGCCAGAAATACGAATAAAGCTGCTGTAGCACCGCACTCCAGCCTGGGTGACAGAGTGAGACTCCATCTAAGAAAAAAAAAAAAAGCTTTCTTACACTCGCCAGGCCAACACATCCAAAGACGAATACTACCAACTGGCCTCTGTCAATATCAAGACGAGCAGGAGAATCAACCTGCTATGATCTGTCTTAATCCTTAACCCCCAAAGAGTCAAAGATAATAAAAATATTATTGTTGGCAAACTATGGCCTATGGGTCAAATCTAGGCTATGGCCTGTTTCTGTATAGCCTGTGAGCTGAGAATGAGTCCTACATTATTGAAAGGTTGCAAAAAGAATCAAAATAGCAATAATATCTGTGACATAATAAAATCATCTGAAACGGAAATTGCAGTGTCCATTGGTACAGCTGTATTGGAGCACAGCCACACCTATTTTTTTGTGTACCGTTGTTGGCTGCTTTTGTACTACGATGACAGAGTGAAGTAGTTGCAACAGAGATCTCTAAAATATTTACTATATGACTCTTTACAGAAAAAGTTTGTCAACTCCCAGAAAAAGTTCGTCAACTCCTGTTTCAAACTACCAAGTTTTGGGTTAATTAGTTACACAGTAATCAATAAACAGCAGTAATCTAAGTCAAAAGTCAATACTGACTTTGCAAATGGAATCCATAAGAAACACCTTTAATAAAATAGTAGATTTCTTAACTACATACCTTTATAGTTGATTCGAAAGGAAGCTAACAACTGAAAAAAATTAACATTGAACTTCCTGAAATTTTTTCTCATTTATTGCATAGCATGGCAACATTTTGTTCCAATGAGGAGCAGGATGAATGGAGCTTTTCTTGAACTCCTACCATATGCCAGGCACTGTATTAGGCCACGGAGAAGCAACGGTAAGTTAAAACAGATAAAGACCCTGCCCTCTTGGAGCTTATAGTCAAATGGAGAAGACAGCAAATAATTTCACAAAACAATCTGCAATAGGATTATCAAAAAAAAATTGTGTACAGAGCTGTGATAACTATACCAGGAAAATCTGACCTTGCTTTTGTGAGAGCTAAGCTTCCCTTCAAGATGGGATACATGAGCTGAGATTCTAACGGTAAAATAGAGTTAATTAAGCAAAATGAGCTGGGGGTGCTGAAGAGGGGAGACTTGTTTAGACTGAAGGAGTGCGGCACATTTGAGAAACTAGAAGGTTAGTGTGGCTAGAGACAAGAAGGGTACAAGATAAAGCCCGAGATTGTAGGCCTGCGCAAACTCTATTACTGGTTGTAATTTTAATGCTAAGATCACTGTAGTATTTTAAATAAGTAGTAAGGGGAAAGAGATGGACCTGGGCTTTGATGTAGTCACGTTCACATTTGAAAAATCATGCTGCAGTGTGTTAAAAAAAAATGGTCGGTAGACAGAAAGATAATATTACACAGAATGGAAAATGGTGACATTCTGTTGGTGACAACCAGTGTAGGGGAAATATAATTTAAAACAAAACCTTCTTGCAACTCAGAAATCCTCTCCACAAAGGAAGAAGAGAAAGAAAACATTTTTAAAAAGTATTGAGCAAGCAAGCCTCACAGGCGATCTGCTAAGAAATTGAAAAGACAAAAAGAAATCTCAGCCTTTTCTATAGCCAAGCAGACACAACCGATTCTCATTCTCAAGTTAAACAATAACTAGTCCTAGAGTTAGAGGACTTACCAGCACCATTTGTCACTTATAGCTCACCCTCACTTCATCTGGTAATTGGGATGAGCATGTGTGATGGGTAAATATGGCATGGTCTAGAGGGAAAACAAACTTCTCATATCTTTATGACAGAAGGTCATTTTCCAACTTGGAGAGAGGCACTCACTAAATGTAGGCCCCTACCTTAACACAGAAACTGGGAGACAGTGTTTCTATCTCCCCAGATGTTTACATTGCAAAGAGAGGGCTCCCAGTTCTTTGAGAAAGACATTCCCTAGGTCATAAAGCTGACAAAAGGCCTATTAATCTTCCAGGGATTTATATACATTTCAAAACAGGAAAAGGTACTCAGGAGTTTAATTCTAAAGTAAGTGTCCTGAGATAAAGGAGGTGGGGTAGAAAGATCTCTTCTCTTAATTGTCATCAGGGACAGTCAAGCCTCTTATTTTCAAATTGTGTTTGTCCTTACACCTGTCCAAAGGAAAACAGGATGTATTTCAAAAAGGATGAAGTGGCCGGGCGTGGTGGCTCATGCCAGTAATCCCAGCACTTTGAGAGGCTGAGGCAGGTGGGTCACTTGAGGTCAGGAGTTCGACACCAGCCTGGTCAACATGGTGAAACACCATCTCTACTAAAAATACAAAAAAAAAAAAAAAAATTAGGCAGGAGTGGTGGCGCACGCCTGTAATCCCAGCTACTCGGGAGGCTGAGGCAGGAGAATCACTTGATCCCAGGAGGTGGAGGTTTCAGTGAGCTGAGATTGCACCACCGAACTTCAGCCTGGGTAACAAGAGCAAGACTCTGTCTCAAAAACAAAAAACAAAAAACAAAAAAAAAGAAAGAAAAAAGAAAAAGGATGAAGTGTTAAGGAATGAATAATATCTGTTGAATTTAGAGACACAGAAATCATTCATGACTTTAATGGGGATTGTTTCTAGAATATACTTAGAGCAGAAGCCAGATAGAGTGAGCTAAATATGACTGTAGGTGGGGCAAGAGAGAGAGTAAATAAAAATCACTTGAGTAATTTACTGAAGTTGCCTTTGAGGAGAGGATAGGCCAATACATGGAGGGAAGTGGGTGGAGTCAAAGGCTGGCTGCTTTTCCTTAAGATGAGAGGAACCTGAGTGTGGTCAAAGCCTATGAGGAGAATCCAGTAGAAAGGGAAAAATTAAAAATTCAGAGTAGAGAAGGAATAATGGATGGCGTGAGCGACCTGGGGAAGAGGGTGGGATTCAAAGCTTAAGAAGAATTGCTTCTGCTCCTCTGTATGCTTCTATGACTTCCCTTCTTGTGCCTAATCTTGAATGTCTGCCTTCCTCGAAGCTCTGTCCTAGGCCCTATCGTCTTCCACACCCTCCCTGGGCTGTCTCATTGACCCCTATGGCTCTATGTCGTCTTTAGGAAGTGATGAGTCCCACATCTGCTTCTCCTGCCATCACGCTCCATCTCTCGCTGAAAGTTTGGTCTCATAGACCCACGTGCCTACTGGAAAGTTCCACTGGGATATCCCGCAATTATCATCAAACTCATCAGGTACAACTTGAACTCATGTTTCTCAAAAAATGTGTTCCTTCTACTGTGTTTTCTGTCTCAGGCAATGGCAATAGCATCCATCCAGCTATTCAAGAACTTCAACACTCATTTACTCAAACAGAATCAATCATGGAGTTCACTGTACTTCCAATATATTCCAAATCCATCTATTTCTCACCATCCTCGCCAGTGATTCTGTAGGTTGGCCACCGTTTCCTCCCATGTAGATTATCCCAGCAGCTACCTAACTGATTTTCTTACCCCTAGTCTAAGGCTCTTCTCTGATCCATTCTCTAAACTCCAGCCAGAGTAATGTTATTATAACCCAAATGTAATTCATCTAATTTTTTAGTTATTACATTGGTCCTAGGATCCTACTAATCCTTCATGTAGTTTGAGAATGTGACATGATGTGGACTTTGCTGACATCGCTGTAGGGGCTAAGGGGAAAGTTCATTGGACCTTGCTAATAGACTGGGTGGGGTCACCCTGCAAGACCTTTCTGTTTAGATTCTTCTTGGCCTCTCTGTGCAGCTTTCCTTCCTTCTGGGTGTGGGGCAGGACCCTCTTTGGAATGAGGCTTTTACAAGGTAGATCAGATAATTTTTTTATGATCGGTTTTACACGGATAGAGAGGAAGGCAAATTAAGAGTAGTATGTTTAGGTCTTATTATTGGCTTTGGGGAAAAGAAATTCTGGTTTCTAAGATACACCCTGTGGATGGGTCTAAGTTTCTGTGGCTAGCCTTGGTAGGGAATGCAATAAGAGGACAGGAGGGCAGGAGAAGGTCAGAGAAAACGTTTGCTGCTGAGGCCTTCTAATTGAGAGACAGGACTAGCTGGATTTCCTAGGCCGACTAAGAATTCCTAAGCCTAGCTGGGGAAGGTGACCGCACCCGCTTTTAAACACAGGGCTTGTAACTCAGCTCACACCTGACCAATCAGGAAGTAAAGACAGCTCACTAAAATACCAATTAGGCTAAAAGCAGGAGGTAAAGAAATACTCAATCATCTATCGCCTGAGAGCACAGGGAGAGACAATGACCGGGATATAAACCCAGGCATTGGATCCGGTGTGGCAACCCCCTTTGGGTCCCCTCCCCTTGTATGGGAGCTCTGTTTTCACTCTATTATATCTTGCAACTGCGCGCTCTTCTGGTCCGTGTTTGTTCTGGCTCGAGCTGAGCTTTCACTCACCGTCCGCCACTGCTGATTGCTGCCGTCGCAGACCCGCCACTGACTTCCACCCTCCAGATCCAGCCCGGTGCCTGCTGTGCTCCTGATCCAGCGAGGCGCCCGTTGCCGCTCCCGGTCGGGCTAGAGGCTCGCCATTGTTGCTGCGCGGCTAAGTGCCCAGGTTCATCCTAATTGAGCTGAACGCTAGTCGCTGGGTTCCACGGTTCTCTTCTGTGACCCACGGCTTCTAATAGAGCTATAACAACTCACCTCATGGCCCAACGTTCCATTCCCTGGAATCCGTGAGGCCAAGAACCCCAGGTCAGGGAACAAAAGGCTTGTGCCATCTTGGGAGCGGCCCCCCCACCATCTTGGGAGCTCTAAGAACAAAGACCTGCTGGTAACACAATTTTGGTACCGTTTTCTGAGCCCCAACATCACCAACCCCATTTTTTCACAACTCCCCACTCTTCACACTCTACCTCCAACCACAAGCCCTTCTTTGCCGGGATGACTCTTGATTACCCTCCACCTTCTATTTTAAAGTTCACCGCATCTTACAGGGAGCTTTCGCTGACTCCCTTAATCCTGATCAGGTATCCTTCACAAGTTCTCCATCAGCACCTGTTCACCCCCAGCATAACATTTATCACACTAACTTACATTGCCTGTGATTGTCCTTTCTAGATGCTAAGACGGAGAACTATCTCTGTGTTAAGTATTGTCTCCCCAGTTCTGAGTGTAATGCATTCACCTTAGTGGGAAATCCATAGATATTTGCTTGTAAAAGAAGAAAGAAAAGAAACAATGAAACTCTTGTGGAGCAACGTTGGAACCTGTCATAAGGGAATTTTGCAAAAATGTAGTAGCTAAGACTGTTGACGAGGGTGGTTTAACGTTTAAAGGGCGGGAGAGGGCAGGCTTATTTACTATTCATGATATTTGTAGGCAAATATCAAAAATTACTTTCTTGGGCTTGAAGTTACAGGTAGAATTAATTACATTAAAGCCTTCATAACAAAAACATGTTTATTAGTGACAAAAATATGGTATCTGTTTATATTGGTATATGACAAGTAGTACGATGTGACAGACTGTGAATTAGTCTGCAATCACTCATGCCTCAGGCGTTTTCCACAAGTGTGATAATAGGTTACCATCTTGATGGGAGACAGGATTCTGAACCCAGCCTATAAAATATTAAATTTGGCCGGGGCGGTGGCTCACGCTTGTAATCCCAGCACTTTGGGAGGCCAAAGCGGGTGGATCACGAGGTCAGGAGATCGAGACCACCCTGGCTAACACAGTGAAACCCCGTCTCTACTAAAAATACAAAAGAATTAGCAGGGCGTGGTGGCGGGCACCTGTAGTCCCAGCTACTAGGGAGGCTGAGGCAGGAGAATGGTATGAACCCAGGAGGCGGAGCTTGCAGTGAGCCGAGATTGCGCCACTGCACTCCAGCCTGGGTGACAGAGCGAGACTCTGTCTAAAAAAAAAAAAAATTAAATTCAAGTTTCCTTGTAAAAATCATTTTCCTAGATGTTATTTCCCCTCTAAATGCTTTAGTATAAAAGTAGAAAATCAAAAATAAAGGAATTTGAACTTTCTATTTTATTTAATTTCTGGACTTTTTTGGAGATCAGCCTTGGAATCCAAAGACAGTTCCCCTTCCTCCGCTGAGTAGGAGGTGGCAAGCACTGGGGTGGAGCAGGGGGGCGGCCTTTCCCTGTGCCTAGCTGGTTGCTGGTCTCACTACCCCATCAATTTGCTGCCACCTTGAAGAAAGGAATTGCTTCATACCATGGCTGTTGGCCTAGGGGATATTTAGACATTTCTCTCCCAGGAGAGATGACCCTTCAGATTTTGGAAATCATGTGCAACATCTTGGTAAGGTTGGTAGATGCTCCTAAGTCAGAGACGTCCTAGAAAGAAACAAGGAAAGAGACAGAGAGACAGAGAGAGAAAAAGAGAGAGAGAGAGATCACACGTGAGCGGGAGGGAAACAAGCAGAAAGACAGGGATACCTTGCGAAAATTGTCCTTGGCAAAATAACTTCAAAGATCCACTTCCTGATACGACATAAATAAGAACAATGTATTTATCAAGTCAGCTTTTTTTTTTTCTTACAAGCAGGTGAATTTCTAAAATCAGCATATGTGTTTGTGCCCAATGCTTAGGAATCTGCTTCCAGGCATAAGGAAGATGGGGGTGTGTGAATACCAGTGTGTTAAGATTTACCTGGGTCCATTTTGCTTTCCAATTAACTTTGTGGCCAGGTGACATCATTTTCTACAAGTATTATGGAAATCATTGTCCTTTCTTGCATTTAGAATTACTTTTGTGAAACTTTTGGTCTGTTAGACCAAAGTACTAGTTTAACACTTTAACTCAGCTGAATTTATTGGGCAGTATCCCCTTATGCACGTATGATATCCTTACATGGAGGCTGGGGCAAAGGGATTGTCACATCTTTCTTTCCTATAACTTCCATTCAAGTTAGCTATGAAAGCACATTATGCCACTGAATACCAGATGTGGCAGATTCTTCCGGCTTTGTGAATAGATTTGTCATTTTTGTTTGGGTTGCTGAGTCAGGAAATTGACATTCTACTCTTGTGCTTTTAAAAGTATTTGCTGCGACTTCAATTTTTTTTCTCTGACAGTTGAAGCAGAAAGGTGGATTAGCTTTCTTGATTCCAATTATCTTCCCTGTAGTATATTGCTGATATGCTCCTGTGTCAGATAAGTTATGTGAAGTAGAAGAAAATGTCACCTGGTAAATGTGACACTGTTTGAGGGAGAGCTTGAAAGGTATTTTTTGTCATTGATGGGTCTCCAATAACTTTTTAAAAGAACAGGTGGAATTCTTTTGAAATATTTGAATTGGGTTTTTTTTCTGCCAAATTTGCTGAAAGATTACCATGCAAATGTCAAATTTTGTTTTTAGAAAATATATAAATTGAGATAGTCAGAGTAGCGTTCTGCTTGATTTCATTCTACATGTCAGAAAAAGGAAAATCTGAAGGGAAAATATTTAAAAGCAGCCCAAGATGGTTACAGGTTGGATATATGGTAATGGAAACGACGCCCATGAACTAGAGCTGAACCTTTGTCTGCAAGGCTTGAGGCTGTCAAATATTTCACTGACCTGTACTGATTACAGCCTTGCCTAGCAGATGATTCACAAGGGCACAGTAGAACAGGTCATTCCTCTCTGGCCCTAAGATGCCCACATGTTCTTAAACATTTTACCCTCTATGCCTTAACCACATATTTGCTGTATCTTATGTATAAGACCACTGAGCAACAAACAGAATTGTAAGATTGTCGCCTTTGCTTGACTGCCCCCTTCTCCCATTCCTGCGTAGGAGGAATGTATAAATACTGTGCCTCGTGTAGCCCACTTGGGGACACATTGTCGTTTTGCCCTGACTCTGTGTTTCCTGGGCTATCATCCTCAAACTTGGCCCAGAATAAAGCTCACTTTAAATTTCTTTAAGTTACAGTGCTTGTTATTTAACCTTTCAGTTGACACATTTGAGAGTTAGATTGAAAGGGGTTCTTCGTGGCACTTGAACCTTCCTCTGTTTTTTTCAGATTGTCAGACAGTAGGTCCTATCTCAGACCAGGCTCTCACTGCTACAGGGAGAGAAAGATTTGAAACAATGACTGTATCATAACTGGCGATCCAATGTGTGTCTGTGTGCTTCTGTGCTTTCAGATTTGTTTTTTGTGTTTCTGAAACTGCCTTTGCAAAAATTATAACTGAGGAAATGATGACAGTAAAAGAACCTAACCGACTCCATCTTGCTTCTGACCTTTAAGCTGTCCTTGTTATTCCTGGGCATAGACCAAACTAACTTCGGGAAGGAATTCAGTTCATGGTTTGACTCTGAAACAAAATGGATAATAGCTCTTTCTGGAAAAAAATTCCTTCTTGCCTGGGAACCAGTCTGCCTTTGCAGGATTAACAAATTAGCTACAAGATTAGAAATTACAGTTCAGCGGTCACGCAGCCTCTGGCTCCAAGAGTCTGAACCTCCCCAAATTGCTCCTGGGGATACCATCACTATTGTCAAACCTGGGATCAGTAATTGAGATAATTTGCTGATTCTGCACCCCTCAGTGGATCAGCTGACACCACCCAGACCCGTAATTCGGCTGAAATGGTTCTGCCACCCCACCCAGGAAGAGGAAACAGCAAGAAAAACTCGCTTTGACTCCCTGTGTTTCCATCTCCAACCTGACCAATCAGCACTCCCTACTTCCCAAGCCCCTACTCGCCAAATTATCTTCAAAAACTCTGATCCCAGAATGCTCTGGGAGACTGATTTGAGTAATAATAAAACTCCGCTCTCCCGCACAGCTGGCTCTGAATGAATTACTCTTTCTCCACTGCAAGTTCCCTGTCTTGATAAACGGGCTCTGTCCAGGCTGTGGGCAAGGTGAACCTGTTGGGTCGTTACATTTCAAGGTGGTGAAAAAAAGCTTATCTTATTCAAAGCATTTTGAGTATACAGAACTCCTAGAAGTCTCTGACCATCTGGTGAAGTTTAGTTGTTGTTTTTTTTATTTCCATATATGTTTTATAATAGTTTAATATTATTTTTTAAATGTTCAACTTTCCTGTTTTTCCTGGTGAATCATGTTTATCTTCTTACCACAGTGAGATAATTTAAGTCTCAGTGAAAATGCTATCCGTATATTTAAGGTAAGGATACAACCCTCAGAACTTTGTGAGTCAGATGAAGGAATTGCTTACAGAGGTAAGATTAAAAAGGAAACTAGGTGATTCTTTATACAGGGTAGGCAGAAAGTGACAGCTGGGTGTGAAATTTGAGCTCTTTGCCTTATGGATTAAATCACTGTCTTGTGTGATATTAGGATATCATTATGAGCTAACACATAAAACAAGGTTTTTTTGTGGTTAAGCTACTGGCTTTCTTAATTTTTCACAAAATGGAAACTAAAGCCAATGTCTCTGAAATGCTACAATGAATCATGACTTCTACTAGATAAGAGTGCAGAGTACTTAATCTGTTGATTTTTTCAGTCAGATGGGAAGTTCTGAATCATTTTCAACACTGTGTTAAATATGTTTTTCTTTAATTAATTAATTAATTAATTTTTGAGACAGAGTCTCACTCTGTCACCCAGGCTGGAGTGCAATGGCCAGATCTCGGTTCACTGCAACCTCCGCCTCCTGGGTTCAAGCAATTCTCTTGCCTCAGCCTCCTGAGTATCTGGGATTACAGATGCACGCCACCACGCCCAGCTAATTTTTGTATTTTTAGTAGAGACAGGGTTTCACCATGTTGGCCAGGCTGGTCTCGAACTCCTGACCTCAAGTGATCCACCCGCCTCCGCCTCCCAAAGTGCTGAGATTATAGGCTTGAGCCACCGTGCCTGGCCTTTTCTTATTATTGAAAGAAAAATTCTTGTAAATATAAATATCAGCCCCTAAATCTCATTTAGCTGATTACTAGTGTTTCAATGAAAATGCCACATTCTCAGTTGAGAATTTCTGTTTTTCCTTCCTCTTGGTATTTATTTGGCCTGTAACTAAGGGAGGAGACCACCCCTCATAGAGTCTTATGCCCAATTTGTGCCTCCGAAGAAAGAAGAAGTAAAAACTAAAAGGCAGAAATGAAATCCATAGGAAGACAGCGCAGTGCCGCGCCCTGGGCCTGGTTAAAGATCGACCCTTGACCTAATCAATTATGTTATCTATAGATTACAGGCATCGTATGGAAAAGCATTGTGAAAATTCCTGTCCTGTTCTGTTCCCTTCTGATTTCCGGTGCATGCAGCCCCCAGTCATGTACCCACTGCTTGCTCAATCGATCACGACCCTCTCACGCAGACCCCCTTAGAGTTGTAAGCCCTTAAAAGGGACAGGAATTGCTCACTCAGAGAGCTCTGTTTTTGGAGACATGAGTCTTGCCGGCGAAGCCCCTGGCTGACCGAATAAAGCCCTTCCTTCTTTAACTCGGTGTCTGAGGGGTTTTGTCTGTGGCTTGTCCTGCTACATAACAATTAAATGGATGTGAATCAGCTCTGCAGGTCTTCATCTTTCTTCACCTCAGTACTTGAGCATTTCCAGAATAAAAGCCTTTCCTAATCATTCTCAAGATATCTTCCTATTTGCAATGCAATCTCCTCAATCAAAGGAACAAGCAACAGAGTCTTTCCTGGAAGCATGCGGAGAGTGTATAAGAATCTTCCTGCTTTAGGTTTAGTGAACAGGAAAGGGTGACCATATTGGTTGAGTAGGAAAACAAAAACACAGCAAGAAAGCCACAGTACTTCCTGTGATGTTAGAAACATCCATGTAAAGAAATAATGTAGATAAATAGGGAAATGAAAGACTTGCCAACACTAAGTCACTTTTTCTATGTGTTAACAGGCATTCTCCCTAAATACAGCCTGCTCTGTCCTTCACAAACACACCCCAGGCTCTGAGTAACCAGGTTTGATCAGCGAGATGAATTGGGAAAGCCCTAGGGCCACAGAAGGAAACAGACAGTTATCTACAGCGAGGTAGATTACGCCTCCAACTTGCAAATGCGGAGCCCTTTCCTAGGTCAACTCCTGTGCTAACAGCAGTTGTTAGGTCTTTGATTTTTCCTTCTGGAAATCTGCTTCTGCAGAAAATGTGAAATGAGCAGAATTGTAGAAACAGGAGAGGGAGGAGGGTGAATATAAGGATGGCTTGTGTTAGAAATAATACTAGAAAAATATCACATATGTCCTTCTTGGGGTTGATGGTGAGAGAAATATATGCATTTTTTTCCAGAATATATTTATTAGAAGTCTGCCTAGGTTCAGAAAGGCAGACTAATCTGAAACTCAATGTGACCTAAATCATCTGAGATTTGATGTGGCTCATATTTTATAGAACCTAGCCCAATTACTAAATAGAAGAGTTTTATTACCTGAAATTGCCCTCATAAAATTAGTACTTGTATTTATTTATTTATTTTGAGACAGAGTCTTGCTCTGTCACCCAGGCTGGAGTGCAGTGGCGCTATCTCGGCTCACTGCAAGTTCCGCCTCCCGGATTCACGCCATTCTCTTGCCTCAGCCTCCCGAGTAGCTGGGACTACAGTCGCCGACCACCATGCCCGGCTAATTTTTTGTATTTTTCAGTAGAGACAGGGTTTCACCGTGTTAGCCAGGATGGTCTTGATCTCCTGACCTCGTGATCCGCCTGCCTCAACCTCCCAAAGTGCTGGGATTACAGGTGTGAGCCACCGCTCCCGGCCAGTACTTCCTTTTAAAATGTGAGAATCAGCAGGTGTGCATTCTCCCTGCACCCCTATCATTATTTTCTTTGTATTTATCAGTGTGAAATATGCATAATCTATGTTACACACATATGTGTATATGCATAACACGGTTGTAAACAAATATTCCCCACAAATTGCTGGAGGCTGTGTGATGTGGTGGGAGGGACTGAAGGGAAGATGGTCTGTGGACTGGATGAACTGCTGAAAAATCCAACAGTTACCAGGAATGATTCTCTCTATACTCAGAAAAACACCCTGATATGGTTAGTTCTCTCCAAATCTCATGATGAAATGGAAAAGAAAAAAAGAAGGAAATGGAATCACCAGTGTTGGAGGTGGGAGGCAGTGGGTCACGGGGGCAGATCCCTCATGAATAGCTTGGCCCATCCCCTTGGTGATATCTGTGCTCTCGCTCTGAGTTCATGCAGGGTCTGGTTGTTTAAAAGAGTGTGGCATCTCCCTCCTCTCTCTCTTGCTCCTGCTCTTGCAGTGTGACATGCCTGCTCCCACTTTGCCTTCTGCCATGAGTAAAAGCTCTTTGAGGCCTCACTGGGAGCTGAGCAGATGCTGGTGCCACGCTTATTGCACAGGCTGCAGAACCATGAGCCAGTTAAACCTCTTTTCTTTTTCAGTTACCCAGTCTCAGGTATTTCTTTCTAGCAATGCAAAAAATGGCCTAACACAACCCCAAATCTCAAATAAGGAGAAGCAATAGCATTAGAAGGAGGAAACCACAGTTACTGTGAGAGAAGAATGAAAGATTCTTCTTCCTTCCTCGTCAAGCCATGAGGATTTCACCTATCATCTGTGGGTTTTGAGAAAGCAAACTTGGCCAGCACTCTGCTGAGAACAGTTGCTAACTGCCAAGAAAACTGCACATACCAATGGAAACTGTGGCCTAAAAGAGTAGAACAATAGATCCATTCTCTCTTTGATTATTTCTTGATTTTCCCCGTGTCTCAGACACTGTTCTAGGCCCAGGGATACAACTCTAAAGAAATAGGCAAGACTCCCAAATCTCATGTGCTGGAGGGAGAAAGGAGAAAATTATCAATAAGCAAATAAACCACTAAGATCATTTCAGGCTGACTGATGGGGTATAGATGCAGCTTTAGACTGGTGATCAGAGAGGTTCTCTCTGAGGTGGTAACTTTGACTTGCAATCCTGAATATTGGAGTGGCACCAGGCATGGAATATATGGGGTCTGATACTTTGCAGTGAATATTAACTAGCAAAATTGGCCCATAATTATCACAACCATCTTTATACCTACAGAGTTTAAAAATGACACACTATGAAAGCACCTCTGAGAGTTCTGGCAACTCCCATGCAAATGCTGCATTAAATACAATGCAGTGTATCCCCTAGGCATTATTTGAACTTTTTATAAAATCCATGCAGCTACCACTCACACCACTCAAATATGCCATACTCATACAGGCATATTTCTTCTGTTAAGATCATCACCATCCCCTTTGGCCCTTTCAAACTCTCTTGGCACTCTCAATGTTTAGAAGGGGTGTTAATTTGAAGAAAAAAACCTTGAGTTATGTAAGAATTTTCTTCTCTTTTCTTTTCTTTTCTTTTCTTTTGAGACGAGGTCTCGCTCTGTTGCCAGGCTGGAATGCAGTGCGTGATCTCGGCTCACTGCCTCCTGGGTTCAAGCAATTCTTGTGCCTCAGCCTCCTTAGTAGCTGGGATTACAGGCACGCACCACCACACCCAGCCGATTTTTGTATTTTTAGTAGAGATGGGGTTTCGCTATGTTGGCCAGGATGGTCTTGATCTCCTGACATCATGATCCGTCCACCTCAGCCTCCCAAAGTGCTAAGATTACAGATGTGAGCCACCGTGCCTGTCCTATGTAAGAATTGTCTTAGACAAAGAATATATACTACTACATGATTGTCTTAGCAGGGACAATGTTTTTTCTTGTCCCTGATTCAAAACCATTTTGTGTTGCTTTGTGTTAGCTTTAAAATAGCAGATATATAAGTGATAATAAAAATGCTGTATTTCTACTCTCAGAGTACTTCCATCGTAAATAACTTCCTTGTAGTATGAATACTCATTCCTGAAGCTTACTCTTGTGTGTAGGTAGGGTAGATGTTCATCAATGTATTATGAATGAACAATTTCAAGAACAGCAGTCAAACATTTTTATTTATTATGGTTTCTAGCAATTGCTACATTCTCAAAATTTTTATTTCTTTCCCACTTAATGGAAGTTGACATTAAGTCTCAGATGGGTGACACTAAAGCTTTTTATACCCGGTGCAAATGAATCTCACTCTTTTCCTAGGATTTGGTATTGGCGAGGGCAAGAATAAAAGTAGAAAAATACTGTGTTTGTGGCAAGGAGTGAGAAGAAATAGGAAATGGAAGGCCTGAGAATTAGTTACCCCCAAAGAGAAAAACTCATGTAGAACAGGGAGACTGTGTTGTCAAAAAAATGTATATTCTCATTGGTCTCCAGACAGCTGGGGCAGAAACATTTCTCTAAAAATAGTGTGTTGACATAGGAAATTATTAACATCTCTGGTAGATCATTCTATTTACTCAGAAGATGTAATGGACTTTCTTGAACAAACAGCATTTATTCCATGAGAACTATAATAAGACATTCTTCTTGCCCTCTAGGGGCTTATAATCAAGGGGAAGGGTGGGCAGTATAGAGGAAACTAATGTTGGGAATCAATTTTCTGGGTCTGTTACATTTCTTCATGTCTTACGGACAGAGGTGCAGAGGTACAGACCACCTTTGTTTTGGGGTATCTTTCTAAGGATGTTTGTTTAGTGAACAGACTTGGAAGACAGTAAAGGGAGCTGCCTCTGGAGCAAAGGACAGGTTTGTTTGTGGTTTAGAATAATAAATTAATGTCTCCAGGCAAAATTTAGTAAGGTTTACTTCTTATTATAAAGGATTTGGGCTTCGTGAGTTCAGGGTTCCTCTCCACAGGGCAACCCACTGCACATGCAGGCGTTACCTGGCCTTCTTTGTGTCTCCCTTGGGAACTGGAGTTTAGAGAACTGGGACAAATGCTGATATTCCAGCTACTGCTATATCTTTGTGTAATAAAGTCCTTTGTCTCTGACCCAGGAGTTTCATGTCTTCTGCCAGCATTCATGAATCTGATAGGTAAACATGTTAGCTTACTTTTGGATAAAATCTCAGATGCTCCACAATTCTTGACAACCAACATGCTGCCCATTTTTTATTTCAAACACAGTAGATAACTAATGATAAAATAAGGTTGACGATAAGCCATTAATAGAAGTATAAGCAAATTATCATGAAGGTATATCTGAAGACAGATCATTTTGATCGGAGAACATATGGGAAGACCTAGAAAGCAGAATTTGAATGGGGCCTTGAAGGAAGGGTAGGACTTCAACAGTTGGAGTATCAGGTAATGGCATTACTAGTAGTGGGAACAGTTTGAGTAAAGTCTAAGGACATGTTAGGCAAGGAGAGACTGGTTATATTGGTGGGTAGGGTCAGGAGAAAAGAAATGGAGCAACAAGCCTTGAAAAAGGGACAGCATCCAACTCTCTGGGGGGACTGTGTAATGTTTTTGCATTTTTTCTTCCTTGGAATCATGGAAGTTTTTTGTGTGTTTTTTTACAAGAAACTTTTACAATCTAAGTACTTTGTACGGAAGAAGTGGCTTTGGTGCTAGAAAAAAATAGCACTTAAATAATTTCTACCCTTCAAAACTGAGAGTTGTCATCGTCTTAAATTCTGGACAAAGGTAGTTTTGTTTTTTCTTGATTGCCCTAATAAGGAGGAAGAATACACACTAGCACTGTAGATTCACTGCATTGTTCAACACCAACTTGCATGCAAGGTAGGTAGTATGGTGGTATCACTGGGACAATAAGAATCCAGAACATTTTCTCTCTGTCCAATGTAATCTATGACTCTAGAAAATGAAAAATACTTGTCTTGGCAAAGAAGCACAACTTCCCATTCTGAGCAGCTGCTCAGACCTTTGAGACTTATTCAAGGGGGCATCCCAATAACGTTGCACAGCAAGTCTCTAGTCTCTTCCTTGCACAGAAAAACAAATCCAGCTAAATATGCACATAATTTCCAGAAATACAGTCTGAAGAATGTGGCCTTCATTTCTTGAAAGGCCTTAGTAAATGTCAGTGATCTAAAAAGTAGACTCCAATGCCACATCAAGGACCATGCTTGCTAGAAACAGCTCATTTACAATTTGAGGAAAAGAGTCAGAAATGAAATGTAGGAATATAGCTTTTTAGACATCTTAGCAGTTGATTCTTGATAGGATGGATGTTTAAAAGTTCTAGCATTAATGATATTTACAATAGCACAATATGAAAGCATCAAGGTCACTTCCCAAATGTTCTTTCACTATGTTGCTTTCCAGAAGGGTAAATATGACAGAGTGTCTAGAAGCTGCCTAACAGTGGTTTTATCATAAATTCTGAATGATAAATGACTTTCAGACAGTCCTAAGCATCCCACAATGGGCTCTAATAGTACTGAGAGAAAATTTTACGATGAATACAAATCACCCCTAAAGCCCGTAATACATCATGCTGAGTAATATCACAATAAGAATGGGAAAGAAAATGAAACTTTAAATAGGCATATGCTTTTATGTACTTTGACTTGAATTTGTATTCTTTCCACCCACTCCCTCAATCTAACAATAAATATTACTCTGGAAAATAAGAAAACACCTTAAACATTTCTTGGAAAATTTGATTTGTAAAAAAAAACACAAAATCTGTACTATAAGAGATTAACATTACAATTTTTCTTATTGGTTAAATCGAGAATAATGATAATGCTTCCACATGCTCCCTTTTGAAAAGAGTTTTACATGTATTCTCATTTGAACTTTATAATAACTTAAAATAATAGACATTCCCATTTTATAGACAAAGGAATCAGCACATTTAAATGACACTTTGGCTAGCTCACAGGTTAATGAATGATAAAACCAGGAGTAGGAACTTCCGTCTCTTGAAAATTGAATAACAGTCTTACCAACTACCTAAGGGGTAGGAACTTCGGTCTCTTGAAAATTGAATATTAGTCTTACCAACTACCTAAGTTCAACATAAAATAATTTTGGGACCACTGTTATAGTAAATATTGCTGTGTAAAAAGTGATCCCTTAACTTGGAGGTGTTTTGTTTGATGTTGCTCAGGAGTATTAAATAATTTGTGGCTTTTATTTCTCAACCATCACTATCCCTAACGTCATTTTCCCCTCTGCTTTCATTTGAGCCAAATATAATACTTATTAATATATCTGACCTGAGTTTATGATAAATTTCCTAATAAAACTCAAACACCAAACCCAATCCATTCCTTTGGAGGTAAGATAAACTCTGTGTGATTCCATCTCTTAAAAAATCTGCTTAATTTGCTTTTGTGTTCAAAATAAAACAATTTTGATTAAGAAACTGCCATTCTATGATTAGTGAAGCCCACATAGAATAACAGCAGAAGGAAAGTGGTGATTCCAAAGGGAAGAGAAAACCGAATCACCTCACTTCTCAAGTAAGTGAACTCAGTGCTTTCTGTGCAAATTTTATTTTCTGTGCAAATGACAAGAAAGATAAAGGAGTAAATGTCTGTGAAGTTTATAAAATGGTTATTTTTTTCACTTAATGGCAGTTTGGTACCTTTTTTAAAAGCTGCTTGGGAAGAAAGTAGATCACCTGGTTGGATTGAAAACATTCTAACTAATGGTACTAGGCAGTGAATTATAATATTGTCTTCTCAGTATGCTCTATGGCCAGAATGGTATGCACACACACATTACTCTGTATCAGTTATTTTTTAAATTCAGGTGACCTGCTTATAACTGATAGATGGGAAAAAGTACAATTAAATGTAAGATATTTAATTTGGTCTTATGCAATAGCTTACATTTGTGTTCCATGTTAAAGTTTTTCAAGTGTTTTCCCAGATTTGATTCTTTTGATCCTAACAACCACCTTGGGAGGTAGATAGAATCACTATTTGTAATTCACATTTTGCTGATAACAAATGAGGTTTGTAAAGGCTGAATGGCTTGCCTACCAAGCTCCTAAAAGTAGGCAGAAGGAGAACTAGAATCAAGACCTGCTTTATCCAGTGGCTTCTCTATTTATTTTTTGAGGAGTCTGGCTCTGTCACCCAGGATGGAGTGCAGCGGTGCGATCTTGGCTCACTGCCTCCTGAGTTCAAGGAAGCAGTGAGCCTCCTTGACCTCTGCCTCCTGGGTTCCAGCAATTCTCCCACCTCAGCCTCTGGAGTAGCTGGGATTACAGGCTTTTGGCACCATGCCTGGCTAATTTTTTTGTATTTTTAGTAGAGATGGGGTTTCGCCTTGTTGGCCAGGCAGGTCTTGAACTCCTGACCTCAAGTGATCCACCCGCCTCGGTCTCCCAAAGTGCTGGGATTACAGGCATGAGCCACCGTGCTCAGCCTCCAGTGCTTATTCTATCAATCTGCAAACGCAGGAAGAGCAACAGGACAGTACAAAAGAGGAATCTTGTAAGTTCAGGTATTTGGCCAGAATAGGCCTGAGCGTATTTAAAAATCCAGGTTATTAGGAGAACCCAAGGTGTTTCAGGAAAGAAAATATGTGGCAGAAAAAAAAGTAGAGGGAAAAAAGCATTAGTTCAGGATTTGAATAGTATGCAATTAACCAGTGATATGCTTTAAAATCTCCCTTTAGCCTTTATTTGTGTGGCATACAATGACCAGACCAAGCCACTCTTATTTTTCCTCTAGCATTCTCTGGAGCTAATTAATTAATAGATATCTTCTGTCAGTTCTTCTCAAGTTCAGCAGGTTATTTGAAGCATTAACCCTCATAGGCTTTGAGAAAGAAAAGAAACAGTCTGCAAGACATAATTGCAAATGTGTAAAATTATGCCAGTGAAAGGTAATATGTAAAAATGAAATAGCTGAGCTAGGACTATTGGGAGACACTCTGGTTTTTTAAAAGACGTTGTTAACATTTGTATTTTCAGTTTTAAAATAAACCTGACTGATTCCTCAAAGCCTAGCTTTGAGTAAAATGATGATATAGAGAACATGGAGACAGTGAAGATATAGTAATACCTGCACTGCTGCCTAGAGGATTGTGAATTTTACTCTACTTTTTGTTTTGTGATCATTTACAAGCTAGTGATGAAAGGAGATTTTACATGGCTCTAAAGTTGATTCTTGTAGAGTGTAAGTTTGAATCCACAAACCCCCATATACTAAAAAATGTTGTTTACTTGAAGACAAATTAGTCTCTGAGCCCCCTTCTAACTTGCCTAATGGGGAATTCAATCTCCATCACGGTGAGTGCCCTTCTAGTTTAGGGTCCTCAACGTTCTTTGGGCAGGGAGAGACTCACCCAGAGTAGCCTAGATGGGGACAGTCCTCCTATGACCAGCCCACCTATATGCCTTACACGTGTTCATGTTCAGACCCACGTATCCTCTGAGGTTCAGGTTTGTTACTCCTGTGCCCCTCACAGCCTGGGACAAAGCTGAGACCCTCTAACTGGAGTACAGTCCACCGAGCTCACACTGCAGCAGTTTCCTTCTAGAGCACTGTGCTCAAAGGCCCTGGTCTCCCTGCCTTCTGCTCTAGTACAGACCCCTAGAGGAGCTCAGGATTCTTGAAAACAAAGATCACGAGAAAGAGTTCACCACAAACCACACTTACTCCCCGCCTTCCTTCTGCATGAAGCTTCCCTCGTGCACAGCGGCACAAAGGCCTAGCTACGTGCTTGGTCAAGTCAGAGAGAAGCAAGAGGAAAGCAACAATTCAAATCCATATAGCTATAAATTATGCAGCCAGAATAATTTTCATCTCTTGGCCCTCTAGAAAAGCAGATATGGGGTCACCAAAAATGCAGGATCTGGCCATTTCTTTCCCAATATTCCCTTTCTTCATTTTTACAGCTTTAAAATGGAAATGATCTCTGAAGGGGTTAAGCCTCATCCATTCGCTGGTGTGAATATTCTAGTTAGATGAACATCCTTCTTAATTACCAAATTAGAGATATTTGATTGGGATGGGTGGAAGGAGGAGAGATGGGATGGAGGTCAGGACTAAAGGGGGCAACCCACAGGCAGAATGGGAGAGTGGGGAAGCATTGGCTAGCAGAGGACAAACAGGAGGGCTGCAAATAGTGGTGGTTTGGAAGGTGGTAAACCTTTGATTTCCCCAACTCACGGCCTCTCTCTTAATCCAGACCACCCTAGCCCAGCTTTGTGTTTTCCCGCATCTTTCCTACTAAAAATACAAAAAACTAGCCAGGAGTGGTGGCAGGTGCCTGTAATCCCAGCTACTTGGGAGGCTGAGGCAGGGGAATTGCTTGAACCCAGGAGGTGGAGATTGCAGTGAGCTGAGATTGCACCACTGCACTCCAGCCTGGGCAACAGAGCAAGCCTCCATCTCAATAATAATAATAATAATAATAATACTATAGCATGCTTTTTTCCCTGAGATTGATCAAGAGACTCAGATACAAGCATATACAGTAGTTACTCAGAATTTCAAGGGATATAATGGTAGGGGAGACCTCTAGATGACAATTACAAGGAAGAAAACAGATTTTTTTATATAACTTACCTTCTAGCTAATTCTCCCACATTAACTAGGGCAAGAAATTCTGAAATACAAATGTGTATCATAGGAGAGATTATAGAAATGCAAATGATTAGAACTAAAGTAATGATGACTGAGGGATATGATTTCCTTGCTGGGTACAAACGTGTCACAGCACTATAGGAGAGACCCAGGGAACAGCTGTTATGTGACTAAGGAGGTATTAGCGGCATAGACAAAGGTACATGTGCTTGGTTACTCAACTTTAAAAAACAAACTATGACAAAACGCTGGAATTGTAAAGCAGAGTCAATAATCAGCAGGAAATCTGTACACTCTTTGAAAACAACCCGGAGCAAACTCAGGAAAAGTGTGTGCTATGAATCAAAAAGAAAGATTGTGTAACACCTTGCCTTTGCTGCCACCCTCCACTCTCATCTTTCTTCTGCCCACCTTTCTGCCTTCCGCTACCGCTTTTTTTCTTTTCCCATCACTACCCCCCTCCAACTTCCTATACAGAGAAACTCACAGATAGCAGTTAACTGGCAAGTAATATAGGCTAGTATTATCAAAAACATATCTTTTCAAAGATGGTAAGTTTTTCCAGATGAAAACAAGACAAAGAAAACCCACATATATTGTGGCAGGTTAGGAACAATCTAGGAATTTAGAAAGCCAGAGATAATTCAAACTGAACCTACTGGCATTCTTTTATTCTTCTCGTCTTTGTTTCCCTTATCTATCTCTCTTTGCAACCGAATTGCCCCAAATCTAAATTGTGAAGACTGCAACTTCTGGAGCATCTCCTATAAGCCAAAATAAATGTATTTCCTTTGATGCTTGAAGCAACAAATAAGATAGATATTACAACCTTTATCTTGAAAATGAAAGCACTAAAGCTCAAAGACCTTCAGTGATTTGCCCAGGGCCACCGAGCTGGCAAGTGGGCGGCAGTGGATCTTACCCCATATTTGTCTGCATTCCATTCATCACAGCCCACGGTTCCCCCCAGCAGACCTCATTGCCTCTTATCCATGTTATTGCAAGAGCTTTCCTGCTTTCAGTCTCATATTTTTCTTTCAACCCAGCCCTCACAGTACTTACAATATAATTTGCCCAATCAAAGCTTTCCTGTCTGAAATAAGTTGGGACATCTATTTGATCTGTACTTTCAGAAGAATATGGTGGACGGGAAAGGGGTCATAAGGAGTGCAATTACAGAAATCAAGAGAAAGCAGAGGCAGTGAATGACAATTGACTAACTGAATTAGGACTCTGGAAAGTTGAAGTGGAGAAGAGATGCGACAGAAGCCAAAAATGTTAGAAGGAAGGGAAGGGAGTGAAGAGATGTGGCAGTGAGCCGGCAAAATGCCATGCAGGTGAAAGGGGTGACGAATGAGGGAAACTTTAAAGGTCTAAAAGGAAGAGCAGCTAATAGGATGTATATAAAACTTCTAGAAAAGTCTACCATTTTGAGATAGTAAGTGTAAAAAACATAAATGACTTCAGGTTGGCTTTGGACACATTTATAGATCATAGTCTTATAAAATACTATTAATGGAAGCCTCTGATATTTGGAATAAACTTTAATTTTTCTGAGGTGAATATCATCAAGAACAGTTATCCTTTCTTTTTTAGAGGACACTTTGCAGCTATAGTCAGAGATAGAGTTACAGGCAGAATGGTTGAGAATCTCACCCTATGGGGAAAGGCAGCGTAGCTCAATTCTGTCTATGACTCTGCCACTGACTTACGTGGTCAGTTTACATGTTCTTTCTAAGCCTGAGGTTTAATATCTGCAAAATGAGGGGAATGATAATTTCTGCCTCAGAGAATGGTTATGAGAACTAAAAAAATATATATGTATGGGCTTGGCACAGTGTTTAGGACATGGTAAGCATTTACATGCTTACCATTTGAATATGTAACAATTGAATAATTGTTGAGTATCTGTGAGCCTTCCCTATGATTTTGAAGTAAGGAAGAAAAGCAAGGAAGCAGGTAAGGAAGAAAAAAGAGAGAAAGACAGTAAAGAAGAAAGGGAGGAAGGGAGGGAGGGAAGGAGGGAAAAGAAAGGGAGGGAAAAGGGATTTAAAAAAAAACTGGAAATAAGGCAGGAGATTTCAAACAAGAAATTTGTAGTGTAAGGAAAGTAAAACAAACTGAACATCAAAATTGCTCGGTAAACATGAAAACTGGATGTGAAAAATTAAATTAATAGAAATGATTGAAACAGAAAGTAACCAAATAATCTGACAAGTTAATGTGTCATTAGGTAACAATTTGCAAGGAAGAAAAGACAATAAAATGAAAAAAAAATGTGCAGATGTAACATATTCCCCAAGATATTCCCAAAGTGACACTAGGCACTGTCAAAGATAAAAGCCTAGTGAGCTTGAATTTACACAGCTTAGACATTCCAGCCTAGTGGTCCAATAAGAAAACAGGAAGGCGAGGACTGCAATTAGATATAAAGGTGGTTATGGAAAGAAGCACCATGCTTGGACTGGTTTAATATTGCCTCACTATTTCATAACATTCTCATGTGTAGTTACTTTAAATAACATATTTGAAACAATGGTAATAAAAAGGAAAGTGAAAATAATATTAATAAATAAAAGAAAAGCAGATATTATGAAGTCAGTTAAACATCAGGCCTGACCTTTTACTATTTGTCCGAAAGCATCGGGAGAGTTAATTTAGCCAATTTTAATGGAAACTTTAACTGCTTCATGCTCAATAAGGCTATGAAGTTGTTCCCTGTGGCAGCTCTGAAAGACAACTGTGGAAAACCAGTTATGCCTGAGACATTTATTTCCAGCCATTTCCTTTGCCTGCCTGAAATTCTTCTTCATGTCATCAATCTCTCGATATACTCTTAAAAAATCATTATCCTCTTCTTCTGACCTGGAGGAATTCTCTTTCTCTTTCAGACTCTGAAAGAGAGCAGTCACTCTTTCGTGTTATATCGACAATTTGGTAACAGCTGAGAACTACAATCTCTATGAAGGGAGAAAAATACCTTTTCCCCCATCCCCAAATTCTTATCTTAAATTCCACATAGTAAAGTGTTCAAATGATATTTTGTGAATAGTTTTATCACGGGGCATAGTTTTATCAACCAGGCTGGAGGCTAGTGAACTGTGGCCCGTGAACTGGATACAGATTGTTGACACCAGCTCTCTTAGTGTCATTAGTCATCCGAGAGTCTTGGCCATTTTTATTTCTTTAAGGGAAGAGTTTGCTCAGATATGAGAGGGTTAGCATCAAAAAATAATAGGTTGTCTTGATAAGTGTTTTAGGTTTTTCATAGGAAACGATGTTATAAACAGAAAACCTTTCTTTCTCTTTCTTTTTTTGAGATGGAGTCTCGCTCTGTTGCCAGGCTGGAGTGCAGTGGCGCAATCTCAGCTCACTGCAACCTCTGCCTCCCGGGTTCAAGCGATTCTCCTGCCTCAGCCTCCCGAGTAGCTGGGACCACAGTCATGTGCCACCATGCCCAGTTAATTTTTGTATTTTTAGTAGAGTTGGGGTTTCACCATGTTGGCCAGGATGGTCTCAATGTCTAGACCTGGTATGATCTGCCCACCTTGGCCTCCCAAAGTGCTGGGATTACAGGCATGAGCCACTGCTCCTGGCCAGGAAACCTTATTTTTATTATACTTACTATTAACCTTTGCTTCATGGTCTAATTTTCATCAGGAAATTCTGTCACTCATATAGAGAGAGCTATTTTGTCATTTATAGAAACAAGTTTAACTCTTTGTCCATATGATGCCAGACTATCCTACCAAGTAAAATTCAAAATCTAGCAAAGTGCTATGTGGGAGGAGCAATGTAATAAATTGCAATATGATTTTCTGTACCTTCTTATTAGAAAATATAAGAAAAATGTATATTCTTTTCCAACAACAAGTTCATATATTAATTAATAATCATTTTAAGGCCGGGCACCGTGACTCACCCCTGTAATCCCAGCATTTTGGGAGGCCTAGGTGAACAGATCACTTGAGTCTAGGTGCTTGAGACCAGCCTGGGCAACATGGTGAGATACTATCTCTACAAAAATACAAAAAAAAAAAAAAAAAAAAAAAAATTAGCAGGGCCTGGTGGTGCGTGCCTGTAGTCCCAGCTACCCAGGGGCTGAGGTGAGAGGATCACCTGATCCCAGGAGGAGGTTGCAGTGAGCCAAGATTGCATCACTGGCCAGGCGTGGTGGCTCACACATGTAATCCCAGCACTTTGGGAGGCTGAGGCAGTCGGATCACCTGAGGTCAGGAGTTCAAGACCAGCCTGGCCAACATGGTGAAACCCTGTTTCTACTAAGAATACAAAAATTAGCTGGGTGCAGTGGTGCGTGCCTGTAATCCCAGCTATGCGGGAAGCTGAGGCAGGAGAATTGCTTAAACCCAGGGGCAGAGGTTGCGGTGAGCTGAGGTCGCACCACTGCACTCCAACATGGGCGACAGAGCGAGACTCTGTCTCAAAAAAAAAAAAAGTCTGAAAAGATTTCTTAAAGAATGTAAGATTTGAATGAGTTAGAAGAGTCATAGATAAGTGTGCTTAGCACATCAAAGAACTTGGGGAAAGTTAGAATAATAAAACAAGGAAGAAGAGGCCATAGCATTCAAAACTGGTTCAAATACCATAGAGACAAGACCAATGTTTCTCAACCTTGTTCTTAGTAGAAACACCCAGGAACCTTTAAAAAAAAAACACTGACTCCTGGGCCACACTTTCAATGGTTCTGATTTCAGTGGTCTGGTTGGGACCTAAGCATATGTTTTTTTTTTTTTTTTTTTTTTTTTTTTTTTTTTGAGACGGAGTCTCACTCTGTCACCCAGGCTGGAGTGCAGTGGCATAATTTTGGCTCACTGCAACGTCCACCTCCTGGGTTCAAGCGATTCTTCTGCCTCCACCTCCTGGGCAGCTGGGACTACAGGAGTGCGCCAACACGCCTGGCTAATTTTTTGCATTTTTAGTAGAGACAGGGTTTCACCATCTTGGCCAGGCTGGTCTCGAACTCCTAACCTTGTGATCTGCCTGCCTCGGCCTCCCAAAGTGCTGGGATTACAGGCATGAGCCACCACACCTGGCCAGCATACGTATTTTTTTTTTTTTTTTTTTTTTTTGAGACGGAGTCTTGCTTTGTCGCCCAGGCTGGAGTGCAGCGGCGTGATCTTGGCTCACTGCAAGCTCCGCCTCCCAGGTTCACGCCATTCTCCTTCCTCAGCCTGCCGAGTAGCTGGGACTACAGGCAGCCACCACCACGCCCAGCTAATTTTTTTGTATTTTTAGTAGAGACGGGGTTTCACTGTGTTAGCCAGGATGGTCTCGATCTCCTGACCTCATGATCCGCCCGCCTCGGCCTCCCAAAGTGCTGGGATTACAGGCGTGAGCCACCGCGCCCGGCCCAGCATATGTATTTTTTAAAAGCTACCTGTGTGTGGTGGCTCACGCCTGTAATCCTAGCTACTTGGGATGCTGAAAGTGGGAGAATTGCTTAAACCCAGGAGTTAGAGACCAGCCTGAGAAACATAGATGCATCTCAAGATATGTAAGTATATGTGTGTGTGTATATGTAATGTCCATGTATATGTATATATGTATGTAAATGTGTGTATATATGTAATGTATATGTATATATGTATGTATATATAATATATGGATATGGATATGTATGCATATATGTTTGTGTGTGTGTATGTGTGTGTATGTATGTGTATATATAAAAGCTCTCTACATTGTTTTAATTGGCAACCAGGGTTTGAAATCCCCTGCATCAAGGCAGCACTTCTCCAAGTGTGGTGCACCGGGGCCCGGGGGTTCCGGAAACACTCTCACATGGTCTGTGACGTCATAACTCTTTTCATAGTAATGCTAGGGCATTGTTTGCCTTTTCCTTGTGTTGATATCTGCAGTGATTCTCTGTGTTGACATTTGGTGCAAAAACAATGATGGGTAAAACTGCTGGTGCCTCAGCACACATCAAGACGGTGACACCAAATTGTACTAATTATCATCATTTGTTTTTGCAGCTACACACTTGCAGTTAAAAAAAAAAATTAGTTTCTCTTAAGAATGTCCTTGATGATGAAGCAGGAAAAATATTAATTTGATTAAATGTCAACCCTTCACTTTGTGTTCTTTGACAAAATGAGAATTATGCATGAATTGTATCTGCTGCATACTAAAGTATGTCTTGAGGAAAAACACTTGTGTGATTGAGTTGTGAGCTAAAATTAGCCAGTGTTTTCGTAAACACTCTTTTTACTTGAAAGAATGGCTAACACACAAACTATACAGACTTGGATATTTGGCAGAGATTTTATTGAAAATAAATGATGTAAGCCTGATACCTCAAGGGAATAGCTGTCAGTATGTATTATTGTCAGCAGTAAAATTAGAGCTTTCATGTACAAATTACATTTTGAAATACATCCACAACCATGGGATTTAACAGCTTCCCACTACTTAGAGACTTTTCTTATGAGATCAGTAATTATAAGTATTTTTATATTGTATAATAAAATCATCAACATTTGTAAGAGCTGCATAATCAATTAGTCAATATTTTCCAAATGCCTGGATGTACAATATTATGCATGAACAAAAGACCCCTATTTGATCACAAGACAGAGCAGTGGAACTTCATGCAGCACACAAAAACAAGTTCATTGATGTGGTTTCAGTTTCTACATTGCATATTGCTTTAAGAAATTATCACTTGTCAAGTTTTGGTGTCATATCAAAGAAGGAAATTCAACATTATCTGAGAAGGCGATTAAAATATTCTTCTCTTTTCCAGTTGCATAGCTGTGTGAAGTATGTGTGGAATTTTTCTTTAGGAACTTAAACCAAAAGAAGACATTGCCACATGGAATTCAGAAGCAGAAATAAGAATCCAACACTCTTAAGCCAGCCATTAAAGAGATTTGCATAAATATAAAACAATATAACTCTTCTTGCTTTGTTTTTGTTTTGAAAAAATAGTTTTTTAATAAAAATATTTTATGTCAACATGTGAAGGGTTTATAAGTAGATATTTTTGTAATGTCTCCATTTTAATTTTTAATATAATGAATAGTGATAGATAGAATGAACACACATCAACATTTTGGTTCTCATTAATTTTTAAAAATGTAAAGGAGTTCTGAGGTCAAAACATTTGAGAACTGCTGCTCTAAACCGAAGGGGCAGGTGGCAAAGCCTGGCTAGATGAGTGCTGTAATGCTGTTGAGTAAACAGAAAGAAACCGAGGGAGCGGAAATGGAATTTAATACAGAAGTCCAAAGGAAGCCAGTAAGATTTTGACATAGTCAAGCAGAACTGAAAGACCAAAGAGATGATTTTCACAGTGGAGAAAATTACAGTCATTCAGCTATGAGATAGATGAGTGTGACCTGAACCAGAGATTTGATTCTGATATGTAGAGAGGAAGATGCAAACATTTTGACCGCTGTAGGGAAAATTGTTCTGATTTTTACAGCAAGGAGTCAGAATTTACTCTGAGATGCTGTCATTGAGTGACTGCTACTGACACATATGTGATGATATCTAAGGGGTTGGGAAGAGGCTAGGTCTTGAGGAGGAATGTTAGAAAGCACATCATGCTTTGCTTGGTACTGTTGTTGTTTATTGCCTAAAAATTCTTTGTGATAACTTGGCTGACTGCTATCTTTATAGTTATATCAGGTGATTGTTATGTTTGACACACTGAATGAGGATCTTTTTTTTTTAAACATTTATTTATTTATTATTATTATTTTTTGAGAAGGAGTCTCACTCTGTCACCCAGGCTGGAGTGCGGTGGTGCAATCTCGGCTCACTGCAACCTCCGCCTCCCAGGTTCAAGCAATTCTCCTGCCTCAGCCTCCTGAGTAGCTGGGATTACAGGTGTGTGCCACCACGCCCAGCTAAGTTTTGTATTTTTAGTAGAAACATGTTGGCCAGGCTCATCTCAAACTCTTGATGTCAGGTGATTCGCCTTCCTTGGCCTCCCGAAGTGCTGGGATTACGGGCATGAGCCACCACGCCCCGCCTGAATGAGGATCTCCTAATATACCTCCTTAGTTCTGTTTATCCTCTTGGTCTTGGGTGTGTTATACAATGTACATTTCCAGGTTTGATATCTGGAACAGTGGGAGAAACCTGTCCCTATGGTCTGAATATTGGCATCCCCCCAAAATTCACATGCTGGAACCTGATATTATTAAGTAGTGGGGTCTTTTGTGAAACAAGTCATTTTATAAGGCTCCAACCTCATGAATGGGATTAATACCCTTATAAAAGGGGCTGAACAGAGCTGCCTTATCCTTCTGCCGTGTGAGGATGCAGTAACGAGGTGCCATCTTGGTAGCGGAGATCAGGCTTTCACCAGACACCAAATCTACTGGAACCTTGATCTCAGACTTCTCAGTCTCCAGAACTGTGAGTAAGAAATGTATTGTCTTTATAAATTACACAGCCTGGGGTATTTTTGTTGTAGCAGTAGGACTAAGCCACCTACCATGAATCTCTTAAGTGGAGCTGAAACCATGAAAGAAGGACTCTCTTCTCCATTTGGGGTCTAAGGAGCATCAAACCATGCTCAGGGAAAGGTAGAGAATTGAGCTTATGAGCTAAAAGTTGTAGAGAACAAGATATTTTCAATCTTTGGGATATGATCTGTTTTTGAGAAAGTTAAGTTTGTTACTTTACTCTGTAACACTTAAGTCGGTTTCATATAATACATACAAGGGCTGATTGTGGCATGCTGCTCTTGCTTAAACGTGCTTCTTAGGAAATACCTCTTGAAAGTCAGATCGCCACATTATATTTGCATCATATGTTATGCCTGGAGTATTGTCCTTTGAAATAGATTGGACAGAGTATGCTATTCACAGAAGAGCAATAAGCAACCAGCTTGATAGAGTTACAGAATTTTAGCTCTCAAGGAGAGAATGCCAAAGTAAGTTATCATAGACTACTCTTGAAAAATAAAAGAGCCCGTTAAGATCAAGTAGAGTATGAAAAACGAAAAACCCTCTCTCCTTGACTAAACACTCATTTATTAAGCAGTAGTTTTTACATTCTCCAGGTACAGCTGAAAAGTTTTTCTATAGTCTCAGAACTAAGGTGACATTTCCCTGACCACCTATTTATAACTTTTCTTCCAATCCTTTGCAGTCATCAGATTCATGCATAGTAGCCATGTATATAGTTGTGGATTGTTGAACTTGTGCAGGTTGTCATTTGCAGCTGCTAGAAAAAGGACATGCGCTCTACTTCTTGAGGGATGAATGTAAAAAGTCTTTTAAAAAATGTTACTTAATGTCATAGATTTCCTAATATCAGGTTCATTCTGTGATGCTATTTAAGAGAAAATAATTTCAAATCAGCCTCAGTTATAATGCATCCCTGAAATTATGTTGGAGATATATCAAGATCAATGAGGTCAAAACAGTCAATGAATCAATTTTCTAAGAAGGGCAATGCTGAAGACAGTATCAGGGGCTCACGAAGCGACTGACACTTCAACTTTGTAATATACTATGATGTTTAAGTAATTTATCAGTGATCTCAAAGATCTAAAATAATAGTACTTATGGTGGAATAATAAAATTGTATGAGATCATAAAGACATTTGCATTCCCAAATTATTTATTGTAAGATTTCTTTCTGATTAATAAAGACTTCTTTACATCATTAAAACACTGCCACTGAAGAAGTACTTCTCTGGAGGAGGCACACTAATAAGATTTAACTTGCTCAATGCAGGTGGGTAGATGGTGACAGAGGAAGCTAATGGAAGTTCTCTTCTGATTGCTTCTGTTTCTTTAGTGACATAGGATATAGACAATTGAAAGTGAGGATATGGAAGGCTTTTAGAGGTTTGATGTTCTAGGACAAAAGAGAATATTTAAAATAAATCCATAGTTTTATTTTAATATTTTAAATCTATAGTTTTATCTATAGGTGCAGTGGCTCATGCCTGTTATCCCAGTGTTTTGGGAGGATGTGGTGGGAGGCTCACTTAAGGCTAGAAGTTTGAGACCAGCCTGGGAAACACAGTAAGACCCTCCCTGTCTCTACACAAAAATAAAATAAATAATTAAATTTAAAATGAGACCAACTATGTGATTGAGAGTGTTTTCTGATCAATTTAGATTCAGAGATGCTGATGATGGCAGCGGCGGACCGTCCAGGGCAGCCACTGCCATCACACTGGCTGCTGTGAGGAGGACGCAGGAAGGAGGCAGAGCTGGGCCTGGGGCATTGCCATGTTCCACACTGCCGGTGGGAGCCAGGGACAAGTGGGAGACCTCCCAGAGCCTCCTGCCCTGGGGGCTGCCACGATGGGGCCAGGCTAAGCCACCTGTTTGCAGGGGAGCAGCCCAGTCAGGCATGGAAGGGCAGACAGAGAGGGGCCCAGTGAGGACCTGGAGCCCCAACCCCAGGCTGTAAGGAGGTGTGGCCGGGGCTGCCTGCATGCGCCATGGAGTGGGCAGGAGTCCCGCCCTCCCAGGCACAGGACCCAGGCATCTCTGTAGTCTGCACCCTCCGGGCCCAGGAAAGCCCTCTCTGTTCCTACTGCCTGGCCTCTCCCCACTCCAGGAGCCCACTCTGATATTAGAGTGCGGTTGGGGCCAAGCCCAGGTGCTGTCACAGCCTGGCCCGGTTTGCACACACTCGGGGAAGTGCTAACACACCATGCCCCTGACCACACTATGGGCAAATTAAGCTAATATATAAAGAGTACCCTTAAAGCAAAAGAAAATGCCAAAAAAAAAAAAAAAAAAAAACCCAAATGTAGAAAAAGGATATATAAACTTACCTAAAACAAAATAAAAATTTAAACATATGAGTGATAAGTGACAGGAGGCAGTCAAATGCCTAGGCAGATAGGGGCCGGTCCCTTGTGATATCCCACCTTCAAGTCAAAAACAGCCTGAAGGCTGAAAGACTGGACTGCTGGTTCCGGATGAAAAACGTGACCCAGAGTGGGAACTTCCGTTCCTGTTTGCCTGTCCTTTCCTGATTGGTTCTTTCTGAATAATGCTTTTTAACCAATGGAATGTTACGTTTTCCAATACTACCTTTGGCCCGCCCCTCCCCCATCTATGAGTATAAAAATCCTAGACTCAGCCATACTGGGGGAGATGACCCAACTTCAGGTGAGAGACTACCTTCCTGTCCCCTCTCCACTAAGAGCTGTTTTGTCATTTAATAAAATTCTCTGCCCTGATCACCCTTCAGTTGTCAGCATGACCTCATTCTTCATGAATGTGGGACAAGAGCTCAGGACCCAGCAAACATGGGTGCCTGGAAAGGCTGCAACACTGTGGCCCTCTGCCTTTGCCAGCAGAGGGCAGCTGCTCCATGCACCGGAAGCAGTGGCGGGGCCGAGGTAGTCCCGCAGCCGTGGACTAGAGCAGGGCAAGGGGCTGATTGAGCTGCTAACACACCACTGTCCATTGGGCTGTGGGGAGCAGAACTAAAAGAGCTAATTAGCACACTGTGACACCCCCTCTGGGGCTTCGGGGTCACGGGCATCCCTGCCTGAGTGGGTCACCACATTCCCCTTGGGGTGACACCTCGTTTGGCCGCGGGCCGCACATGGAGCCTGCTCCTATGTTGATGCTGGGAGCAGCTGGCCAGACCCCGCACTCGCTCACTCACATGCTGCCTCTCACCGCAGTCACAGTGGCTGTGGGATTCGCGCCAGAGACTTGCCCTCAGGCGCGGCTAGGTGCGCTGAGTAGATGCGGTGGTCTTCTACCGCGAGCCCAGCAAAGGGGCTCAGAAAAATTCCTGCATCATAAGGAAAAGCAAAGCTAGGAAAGACAGTCAATAAAATAAAAACAGAAACATCAGGAGATTAATTCACTCTGGAAGAAAGACAAATAATAGTATGCTGAAAATTACATTAAAATAAGTATGTTTAGGAGTCTCAGTGAAGGAACATAGCAAACACATGTTAAAATAGCAATGGTTAGGGAAAAGAAACAGATAACATTTTTGAAAAGAAAAGCAGACAAAATCTAAATATATGCAATAACCTTGGGACTAGGCAAAATTAAATAGAGACTAAATAAATTAAAATATTAATTTAAAAGGAATTCACCTCCCATGCAGGACATAAGGATATTAAAAATATAAAACAGAACATTAACGGAAGGAATGGATTAAGTAAGGAAGCTGAATGAAAATAAATCCACATCTTTTCACTGTGCAGGTTAAATTTACAACGTAAAAGACAGAAAAATCTTCAAAGTTATTCCAAGCACTGAGAGATGGTATCTGGAAGATAATGCAGACTTAGACTCTAGGAAATGATCGTGGGTCGAGGAATAAGGCATGACAAAGCTAATCCTCCAGGCTCGTAGAGTGGGCATCAAACACACATGCACTGCCAGGCAGGTGACATAAATGTGAGAAGTAAAATGGGTGTGAGCTAGAAAGTTGTTTAAGGACAATCGATGTTCTTTCAGTGTTGGAGGGACAACAAGGAATAGTTAGGGCTGGGACGAAAGTGATCAAGTACCTTACAGAAAGAGGGAGCCCATGGGGGAATGTGGATCCATCTCTGATTTTTAAAGAGGATCCATAAATCTAGGCTTTTCAAGTGACACCTTCCAATTATAAATATTGACAAGTAATTTAAAATATGGCTCAATACAAAACGAGGCAGGCCAGAGAGCATGTGGTGAGGGCTGGATTTGCTACCGTTCACTTCGGAGAAATGTGCACAATTAGTGAAACCTTACAGCCCTGAACAGGCTTGATGTGACTATAACGGTTTCTTTGACCTATTTCTTCCTTTGTCAATAACAAGCTATTTAAGTCAATATCAAAAGAAATGTAAAATGCAGTCTGTATTGTGAGACTCTAGCAAGACTTTCCCATAAGAAGGAGGCCATGTACAGAGACAGGGTTGTTGCCTTTTCCCCCTGTAGTTGAAAACTGTGCCTGATGTTGTTAGATTGGGTACAATTAAATCTACACATTCCAAAACACTTTCATTATAGACTCATGCAAAATTATATTTGGCTTTATTGTTTTCTTTTCAACTAAATAAAATGACCAGGTCAGCTACATCTTGCAGTAATAAGTATAAACTATCAATGAATTTTGAAATGATGTGTGATTTCTGGTGATATAGTACTTTTCCATTAAAGAAAGTTAATTAGAAACCACAAAAATATTAATGCATTGAAAATTACCTATAATTTAATAACACCTTTTTGGTGAAAAAGGGTCATTTTAAAATGCTCATTTTACTACTTTATTTTGTTCACTTTTTGTTCTTAGGACAATATTCCACACATGGGTATCATTTAATGAGAAACCTAAGTATCATAACATAACAATTACAATGACACAATGTTACTAAATCTATGTTTCTTCTAATGACTGGAAGTAATTCACTTAGCACTCAGTTCTCATTTTTCCTATTCTTTTTATGTATAACATTATACAAAGTTGTGTTATTTATATAATGGAATATGGTAAAAGGTAATTTTGATGATATTTTTGTGACAGAAGGAAGAGGACGAATCCACCTTTCTCAGTTACAAGTGCTCTGGTTTTACTTGGCCTAAAGAGACCTTCTTTTGGTTAAATATTTTACTAGAAATATTTCAGGTTTTCAGCTAATAGAAATGTCTCAAGCATTACGCTGCTGTAATAAATCACTTAAATTGCCAGGTTATATTTTACAGCTCCAGTTGCTTGAATATTTATTGTAAAGCACCAAGTACAATAATTTCCATTTTTATAATTAATGAGGAGATCTGGAAAAATAATTCTAATTGGTAAGGCAGGAATGATTGCAATCTATTCTTAACATGTTGTCTAAGTCCTTATGTATCCTTCTGTTTCTCATGAACACACTCTAATTAGAAGATCAGAAGAAGTATACTTGTTAAAAGCTGAGCCTCAGACACCTTAATGGTGAGGTGAGCCTCCAGGAGTAAGATACCGTTTGGATTATATTATGCATGCCCTTATTTCCAAAGCACAGCTCTCTTTTTGGTGCGTTTTTCTATAATTTTTAAAATATTTCCCAGTCTTGCCTCATTGCCTCTTTCATGAGTGCAATTAATCCTGATTTTGGATCTCCCAGTGAATCCCATGGATTCTCACGAGAATATATGATGATTATATTGGTCTCAAACCTATTTCAAGGCAGATACCTTTTTTAGTTCCTAGTTTGAATCTGTTATCTCCCTAAACTTTGTCAATTTGTTCTTCATTTTTTAAAGAATGTCATTTACCTTCCAGTTATGCCTGATCATGATTTGGTTTTGCTTCTTTTTTTCCTTCAGATTTTCTCATTTTATTTTTCTCCCAAGGCCAAAAATAGTTGTTATCCTTGACTTGAACTTGCCATTTCCCCCTCTTCATGTCATCCACTCCTGAGCATTTCTAATATACCCCCTACCAGCATCTTGCCTATGCTGAGATTCTTATTTATATCTTAATCATTTTCTGTATCAAATCCTACCTCTACCTCATTTATAGCCTTCTTAAATCTTTAATCTGCGAGTTTCAGAAGATCTAGAATTCTGATGCTATACTATGTTACCTCTCCATTTTTCAAAGCTCCATATTCCTGACCTTTCTATAATCTTTGATGGCTTCTTCATCCATTTTTTTTAACTCTCAGTTACCAGGTTACTTGCTTTATTCTTGATACCCTTTAACTTTCTCTTACCCTTCTCTTGAAATAGTTCCATTAAAAATTACCATGTAAAGTACCTAATTTCCATTGTGTGTCTATGAAGCGGATTTTCACAGCATCATTCGACATTATGCAAGTTGAATTCCAGGGCGTGTGCCAGAACATGTTAGGAGCCGAATATAAAACGTTAGGCTGCAGATAGGGTACCAGTGTGTTACTGAATTGATTCCTCGATGCTGTTACTATGAACATGGATGAGTATTTTATGCTATAAGAAAGGGATGACTGTAAATCTGGACAAGATATGACAGCTCTTATATGTTGGATTCTCGGTCTTTGCTTTTTGAAGTTTCCTGCATTTTTCTGTGTTTTCTAGTTTTTATCAGCATGGATACCAATAAGCCACTCTCAACTTACCTCTGATTTCTGCTTTCATTTTCTGAAAGTCTTGAATATCAGACGATCAGTTTTATGAAAAGAATGTACAAAGAGCAAATCAGCAGAATCTGATCCTCATCTTTAAGACGGTAGGAGTTCACCCCCAAAATAAGTTATAGAAATGGAGTGCCGGGATTTGGGGATTTATATTTTACCTTGTCAAAAGCATGTTTTACTTACTGCACAGTGTTCTGCTTACATGAGATTGTCAGATACCTGGGTTCATATTCAAATAACATTTAGTAGACATTATTAAAGCTGTTATTGAGGATCTCAAAGTATGTGACAATTTTATTCAACCTCTAAAGTGCAGATAACATGGCCACTCATTTAGATAAAGAGAATTTCTTCATGATACGATATTTTAGAAAGTTATTTTTTAAAATTAAAACATACGGAGGTATTTGTAGTTCTGTTTTTCCATTTCTGGTAAAGTTCTTTAGGTTATGTGTCAAGAAATTATAGTTCTTGGGCTGTAATCTGCTCCTCTAATATATCGAAGATGTTGGCATAACTTGCATTCCAGGCCCCTGATGAAAAATTCACACAAAGGTCTCCTACTCTTTGTTAGGAGTTATAAATGAATGAGTCTCTGCCACCACCTCTCTGAGATGAAGGAATAGACCGTAGGAAAGGCAAAGAAAAGCGTAGTTGGTGCCCCCCGTAAGTTATTTGTCAGGCATGGTTAGTACTGGGGAGAGCAGGAAAGTCACCCCAGGAGTTTTGAGATAAAGTTGTCCTCTGAGAATAAAATCAAGAAGATTCAAAACGTAATGGATGAGATTAGTTATCTGTGGAAATGACATACCCCAAGGAACAGACAAAAAGATTTTGTGGAGAAATTCAGAACACCCTGAGGAATTTGACAATAGCAGAAGCTTGATTGTATCCATATATTTCTAGCAACAATCTAATCACAGTAAATGGATGAAGCTGTAACACAATCAAGCAGTAACTTAATCAGTTATAGTGAATAGATTAAGTACTCTAATCACAATCAATTGCATTGTAACCCACCTGAAGAAAAAAAGTTCTAACTGAAGGATTGGGGGGTGTCTACAAGGAAAGGGGAACCTGAGAAGCCAGAATTTGTATGTGACTTCAGCTCCCTCCAGCGTAAGATGTGTGGCCACTGTGCTCCACTTAGCAAGCTGGTGGAAACAAGGGCTGTTTCCATAGTAATTTGGATTTCAAAAGCTTTATTCGTGTGTCCATTTGTCTACAGGGAGAGAATGCCTTTACCAGCAAAGCAGCAAAATGCCAAGGATTGCATTTTTAGAAATACAATAACAGGCAAAGAGCAGCTAGGAAAATTAATAAAGGAATAGGATACATATTCACTCAACAATCATTTATGGAATGCCAATTACACTCAAGCCACTGGCCTAGGCACAGGGGATTCAGTGTTGAAGAAGAGAAAATCCATGCCCTTATAGTGCATTCATTTAAAAAAGAAAGATAGGTATTCATCAACAAGATTTACATGATTTCATTACAATTGTGATTATTTCTAGGAAGAACATATACAGGATTTACCTGAACTGAGAAAAATCACAGGGGCTCCTGAACTGACCTGAGGTTTAGAGAAAGCTTTTCTGAGGATTCTTTTGTTTGATTTATGCATATCTTATTGAAGGGAAAAGAAAGAATGAGGGAATCAATATAGTTAGCTGAGGGAGTAACATTAGGCTAACATTGTGAATAAAGTGGGTGACAATAAGTAGCTCAAAAACGATCTGTGACAAAGCAATTATTTGCATACAGAGCGTTTTGAAAGACTATTGCTCATGTTTCTTTAAGAGTGGCATCAAGAGAGGCTTACATAGTAATCCACATTCCAGAAATGATGTACTATTTAGAAATGAACTACTTCCGATCTTTTTTGAACTGATAACTAACAGCTTTGAAGATTTTCACCACTGGAGTTGACCATGGATCAAAATTATCTATGTTCATTCCTGAAACAAAATGAGGGTGCTGGAAACATGCTGTAGTTACAGCCCCATTGGAAAGCACTGGACAATCAGCTATAGCAGATAAGACCAATTTGAGGATGCAAGACCATAAGGCATGGAGGTAGAATGATTGCAATGTGATGCTGAAATAGGGCATTCTCTTGTAATTTCCTATCTGAGGCAGAGAAGGGTTATTGAAAAGTTTTAGATCAACCATGCACATGCTCTAAGTGGGCCTCAAGGGCACTCAGGCAGAAGCTGCATTACCCAGGAATGCGTTAGGAGTTGGAGAGCCAGGACATAAAATATGAAGTGCTAAAACACTGCAGTGTGTGAGATACAAGCAAAGCGCCAGCATATGTCCGACCCCAGTCACACATCCTAACAGAAAGCGAGCAGGAGCCGAGGAAGCAGTGGACAGATGAAAGAAAAAATGTACCTCCTTGCGAAAATACAAATAAAATGTTTTGGGAAGAAGCACTCATAGGTTGTAAAGAAAGCCAATTAATTGACTGTTGCCAGGATTATAATGCATTATGCATTTGTTCTTTAAGTGTGTTTCCCTTAAGCTTTTATTGAGAAATTATTTGTTTGGGAGGTATTCACTAAATATTATGGGGGTTATTAAATCTTGCCTTTTTGAAGATTATAGTTTACATAAGCAAGATTTGGTGTGAAAGCAATTCAACAGATAGACAATCAGCATCAACAAAAGAGATAAAAAAGAAGGAAGAAAGGAAGTAGGGGAAGAAAGGAAAGGAGGGAGGGAAAAACAGAAAGGAAGAGAAAAGGAAATTCAGCGGCCTTGTGCACGAACAGCAGTGTGACATTTTTCCCCTGGGTTGCTAGCTTCTCTGATCTTCTCTCCTCTATCTTAACTTCAGTGAAACTTTTTTTTCTTGTTAGTTTTCAGCCCCTGTGAATTGTTCAATTGACCTTCAAGACAGGATGCTTCACACTCTGAGATTAGTACAATTTGTTTTGTTTTCTTCTAGAAGTCTATGGGGGAGTTTTAATCAAGCAGTTTTCATGGGAATTTACATGTATAAAAGTAAGAATACCTCATTTTAAACAATTGTATAGTGAACTAACCACTGACCTAAAAGAAAGAGAGGGCAGAAAGAAAAGCAGATTTAAGAGTGATGGACAGGGAAACACAGCAGAGAGCGGTCTTTTCAGTACTGCTTTGAAAAGACACAAGAAGCTGAAAACAACTGGAGCTAATCTGAAGGGATTGGGGATGATTATACTATTTAATTATGCAAATGGTGAATGCGGAAACTTTTTGAGAAATGTATTTTAGATTTGGAAAGGGATTTTAGAGATCTTCTAATACAACCTTCTCGTCTTATGGCTGAAGACTCTGAGATCCAAGAGAAGTTCTGTATCTTGGCAGAGTTTCATATATTTGTTAGCAATCATATGTATTGTTATTATTATTATTAATGATTATTTAGTGGCAGAGCTGAAATGAGAAATCAGGTTGCCTGACTCCCACTGCACTCACTGTTCTTTTTTCAACCTCACATTTCAATTCCATTTTAAATGAATTAACCCACGTATTACAACACATTTCAAAAAAGAAGTCTCACATGTGTGTTCCAATGTAGTATATTAAAATGTTATCTAAAACACAAGCAAATACTTTTTCCTCCAGAGGACAGGGGTCCTCAAATTTGAGAATGCACAAGGATTACCAGGAGAGCTTGTTGGACAGCAAACATTCCTGGGCCTTAATCCCGGACAGTCTAAGCAGCTCTAAGCTGGTGCTGATGCTGCTAGTTCACATTTTATTAGCACTTTTACTTAACAAGTGTTGCTCTAGGAAACAGCGGTTATAGTAAGCCCACTCTTGGTAAGTTGGGTGAGAACAGGTAATAATTTGCAATGAATGAACGGCATGAAAATAATGACCATTATTAGAGTGGGTTGATTTTAGCTCCAGTTATCATTCATATTTACAATATGCTAGTTCCTTTCCATGTCAAGTAGTCCTTTACAAATTCTCTGTTTATAGGCTTCTCCTAAACTCTACTTGCTTGAAGGTGGCAACTACTCATCTCTTCAGTGCTACCTCCTTTGTGAAGATTCCTTGTGTCCTCCAGGTTGAAATGGGAGTTCTTTTTCCTGTTTTCTCTTTGCATCCTACCTCTCTCGACTATAGTCCTTGTCACATTGGGCTGTAATAGTTACTTTGCATGCTTAATTCCCCCCAAAGACTGTAAACTCCTTGAAGCACTGTTCTTTATTTATGCTTTCACAGTGCCTTGCTGACATCATGCACTTCAACATTTGTTGATTGAACGCTTATAAAAAAGAGGATAACTAGAGAGAAAACAAATGTAAAATATATACAGTAGAACTAATTCTCTGTGAAATTTATGGTTTCTAATTTTATCTATCCATTTTATCCTTGGTAGGCCTATAAATAAACTGAAAACTGTCAAAAAACAATAAACATGTGCTAAGTGTAATTTCATGATACAAAATCTTTAATGCAAGTATTCAGGAATTACCCTGCAAAAGTTTAGCACCATTGATAATATATTCATTTATTCTGAGCCATTTTCTTTGGTTTTTTTAATTGGTCAAATTTTTATTTTAATTCATGGTATGAGAAATGAACTTTTAAAGCAACTGAATTGTATGGAAAATGACACAGCAAATAAATTAGACCCATGTTAAAAGAGAAGGTCAGCTAAATGTCCAAACTTAAGGATATAATGGGCACAGATAAACATAGATTCCAGTCTTCTTTAAGAGGTGGCATTCCCATCTGCTGCTGGTCTCTGGACAAGTGTATAGCAAAGCTGTGTTTGAAGGACTTCAACCTCTTTAGTTATAGTTCCTAGAATATTACAGTGGGAAGGAAACTTTGATGGAACCTGAGGTTCCTTTTAACCACATCTACTCCTGCAGGAGGTCAGTCGCTGAATTTCTCTGATGACATTCCCGGTAGGAGCTAAGCACCTCACAGCGTCCTCATTTCATTTTTTAAAATTCTAATTTTTGGAATTTTATTCTTCTTTTTAACAATCAAACTCATGTATCTTAGTTCTGTTTTTCTGGACGTGCATGGAATAAATATAATTCTTTCTTTTTATCTCAGTCTTTCAGATCTACAGATAGTTGTCATCTTCTACCTAGCATGTTTTCTTTTGTAAAAAAGGAATAGAAAAAAAAGGAGACTACATTTTTTTAAATTTAGAAAAGAAATACTTACCAAATATACGTATTAATTCAAATGCAAATATATATTTACCAGTGGTGCTGTATTTAATGTCACTCAGAAAGAATAGATGGGAATGCAAAAATCAAATTTGAACTGAAAATACAAACAAGTATGAATGATACACGCTCATTAAAGGGATTTACTAACCGACTTCTACTTTTTATCGTATATTGACTTCCAATTTTACAAGTTTCTTAAATCACTGGTGATATCTTTGTTTCCATAATTTTTACCCAAGAACAATATTTATGTGAACGTTAGGAGTATGATCAGAAGACGATGTAAAATGGCAATATGCCGTCAAATGTTAGAATCTGTCTCTCATTTCACAGTGGTACTCCCACCCAATTCAAGACATACCTGATAAACCTCCCTTCCACTTGAAGTCTCCACGTCTGACAAAAAATGGAATAGTTGAGTTTATGCAGCTGTTCCTGGGCTAATTATCTGCAATCATTTCTGATTACTTAATAGGCCATGGTAGGACGTGTGTTTGCTGCTATGTTGAGTTTACACATTAGGCTTTAATGTGCTGATATGGCTAATTGTTGTGCTCACTGCTGCCTGCTAATAGACCATTCCTGAAAATGAGACCGTATCTCAACGGAATTTGCTTGTTTATTTTAAATAAGTAATAACTACAAACTCAGATCCTAGATCCAGTGTTTACCATTTTCAGAAGGCACTTTTTAATGCTGTATCATTTCTAATGCATTTAAATTATTCAGGTTTGAAAAAATGAGTTATTAAACTAAGGAGTCAATAACCAACTCAAGTACATAGATTTAACATTTTTCCTGCTCTATTCAGTTTCCTAAATTGTTTTCTGGTATTGATAGCAAAATAAATTCTTTAAAATGGTGCCAAACAAGCTGAATGTAATAACATAATAATGAGAAAAATAAATGCATATTACAAGCAGGCAAGTATTTATTAATAGGTAAACCAAGATGCTCATGCTAGCGATTGGGAGTGACATAGATATGTTAATATGGAAGGTAGATATGGAATTGTTGTAATGAGACTTTGAATTTGTTTTGCAGTTTTGCATTTTATGATAGCATTTAGTACAAAATGCTAGTATGTAGTTTTAAAAATTTATAAGACTGTTCTTTTGTTGATTACATATATTTGTGTTACTGATTACCAAAAACAGATGCCAAGTGCCCACATAAATATAGATACTTTAGGTGTTCTCTTCATCCTTCCCTTTCTATTCGCAGTCAGAGGATCTTTTTTTTTTGTCTTCACTTTTTTCTTCATCACTTATTTTTTCTTTTGAGACAGGGTCTCGCTCTGTTGCCCAGGCTGGAGGGCAGTGGTATGATCATGGCTCACTGCAGCCTCGACCTCCCTGGCTCAAGTGATCCTCCCACCTCAGCCTCCCACATAGCTGGGACTACAGGTGCTCGCCACCACACCAGACTAGTTTTTGTATTTTTAGTAGAGATGGGGTTTTACCGTGTTGGCCAGGCTGATCTCAAACTCCTGACCTCAAGTGATCTGCCTGCTTCGGCCTCCCAGCATGCTGGGATTACAGGCATGAGCCACTGCACCCAGCTCTTCATCTCTTTTTAACTTCTTTTTTCCTCCCTCATTACTCTTTTATTAGAGAAGTCAATACAATTCAAATAATACATAGAAAGTAGAACAATAGGTTTCTTCCATTCTCTGCTGTTCCCCAGGCCCTCCTTTGAGTACAGGATTTACCCCTTCTCGAATAGATTTCAATGAATGTGACTCTGGAACTACTTGGATCCATCATGGGGTGAAACCATGTGACCCTACAATCTGCTCCTCCAGAAACACTATATAGTCAGTGTTTCCATGCACTTGAAGCCACAATCTCTGCTGCAAAGAAGTAGAGAGAGAAAGAGATTAGTTTTGGTAATAACATTCATTGTTCTGATACCTGATTTCTATCTATAGGATAATATATGCCTAGGTTAATCTGAGGCTTTGGCTCTCAAAATTCGTCATGTATGAAGGACTTTTATGAGTTCTTTCATGTTTCCTATTTCTAAATTTTTGATGTCTCATTGGAACCATAATACTCACCCCAGCATCTCTTCCAAATACTTTTATTTTGAACTTCTGGACTCTGTTCCCTAAACAAAAACAGCTTTTGCACTGTTCCTTCCATCCTTAATCCCCTTGCTGTAGGGTGTAGTTCAGGTCCTTCTTTAAGGTTATCGCCATTGTTATTTCCTCTCTGAAACATTCCAGGAGAATAGTTGTGACACATAACAGTAGCAGGGCTATTACTGATAAAGATAATAAAATTAACTCAAGAGCTTTAACTGCCAATGCTAAACCCTTCACGTGGATATTTTATTTTATCCTCACAAGAGCCCTGTTAAGAACTGTACTGTTATTGTCACCATCTAACAGATGAGGCATCTAAGACCTAGCACACACTAGCCAAAACTTCAAACATTGAGATCGAGGTCGTATGGTCAAGGTCACAGTCAGGGCTGGTGCAGATCTTGGGACCGGCAGTCTGACTCCAGGACTCAATTTTATTCAGAATCTGAGTGACTAACCACCATGCATACCATCTCCCACACCACTGGCAGGATTGATCATTTTTTTCATTTGTTTGGGTTCCTCTGCGTCATCAGTTTAGCATGTATCTCAGTGTGCATTGGCTTGCTTATCTGCCCATGGGCTCCTTAAGGAGAGAGTGATTTATTTATTTTTGTATTCTCAGAACTCAGAACTGGCCCATCCCAGGATCCATTTATAGCCATGAAATGGGAATTGATTCTTCTTTTACGCATTTATCTCCCCATTTTCCTTCACATACCCTATGATCTAGCCAAACAGGAATATTTCTGTTGCTGACACCTTCTAGTGCTGCTGCTCTTAGAGATCTTTGTATATGCTATGCCTGCTGCCTAAAATGCCCTTCTACGTATGCAAATCCTCATCAAGGTGACATGTCAACTCTTTCCTACCTCTTTCCTGAAGCTCTCCTAGCTCCTGACTCATATGTGAAATTTCCCTCTCTGCAACCTTTAGCACTTTGCTTAAAGTGCTTATTTTCCCTTATCATTTCTTCCTCATTTATGTATCTGCAAGATCGCTTTAAAAATACCTGTCCCTGAATCTTTCACATAGTAGGTGTTCAACAGAGATTAATTGAATTAAACATTTATTTAAATCAGTTGGCTTTGTTTTCTAAAAGACGAAGAGGTACAAAGTCATGGGCATTGTAAGATATAATTATATTTACTCATCTCTATATGTCCCTAAATACAGTGTAGATGTAAGGCAGCATTATTTCTGTGTCTTCTTTCCCTTTTACTGAATGCATGTCCTTTGATTCGATTAATTTTGGCCTGTATATCTGTAAGCAAAGTTCTAGAAAATACCAAAAAAAGGGACTTTCATTTAAACTACTGGAAAGATTTAACAGCTTTTAGATACAGGAATTTTCCAGTAACACTTTTCAATGACATTTCACTGCCTTCATGTTTGAATAGTGGTAACAACGTTAAAAATGTTCAATAGACTGACATTATATTAAACCTCCATCTACAAAGTTTAACAAATATTTACCAAATTTCTACTGTATGCAAAGTACAATACTTGGTAAGATTCTGTGAAGAATAAGGAAGAGTCATATATAATTTCTTAAGCAAGTGAACATTAAGAAATGCAGAAAGGACAAATACAACATGATGCGGACCATAGTATACTCCAGAAAAGATATCAGTGCTGTAAAGACATCCACAAAAAGAAGTTTCATCTTTTAGGAACCCCATGAGAACACTTGCTTTTTCGTTTCCTTGCCCAATTTGCCAATACTGATGAACTATAATATACAATGATAAGTACCTTTAGAAAAGTACATGAAAACGGTGGATTTTTAAAAATAAAATAATGGAACTAAAATGTATAATGAGAATTTAAAATGAACTTATGGGAATTTTAACATTGTAAATTTAACATAAATGTTAGAAAAGAAAAATGACCATAATCTCATCATACCACAATTATTTTCATTTGTGTATTTTTTCCCTTTATTTTTCCTACATAGATGACTCTTAGATATTTGTACATATTAAAGACATGCAATTCTGGGTACAGCTACTTTTCCTTAATAAATGAGAAGGAGAATAGCTTATTCAGGGTGTGGGCATCAGTGCTTCACAAAGTTCATTCAAACCATGGCTTGTGTGACACAGACACACTTCCTACTTAACCTACAGAAGTCCAAGTCTCCTTAACTGAAAAATCAGAAATAGCGACAACACCACAACAACAGCAACAAAGTCTATTACACAGAGTGGTCAAGAGAATTAAGTGAAGTGATCTGTGGCAAGTATTCAGCACAGCGGCTGTTGCAAAGAAAGGTTCAATAAACAGTGGCTCTCGAAATCACTGTCTTCCCCACAGTCTATCTGACTCTCAGTTTTTTCTCCCATCATTAAAATATTTTATATTCTTGTGATGCTGGTTTGAAATACCAGGAAATGGGCAGATAAACTCCAAAGAGATGAATACCAGCAGACCACATAGCATCTCGCAAGTTAAGCATAAGGACTAACAGATGCAGGCTCTGAAATCTGACAGCTCTGTCCAGGTTCTGCTGCTGTGGGAGTCAATGTGGTTGATGTGGGACAATAGCAACCGCTTCCCTCCACCTAGTGGTATAAGGAAACACAGGCACAGAGACATCTGCTCTCCCCAACTCCAGAAACAGCAGGCAACCCAGGGGATCACCTGTGCCCACAGACTGCACCAGTGGGGATTGATAAGGAGCCACAGCAGCATCAGAAGAAAGAACAGAACTGCATCGCAAGGGCTCTGTAAATGACACTGTCATTGAAACCAAAGCCTACAGTGCAGGCCAGAACCTACACACTAAACCTCAAGAGGCTGATGGCATGCTAAGATAGAAGATTAAAATAGGATCTAAGCTCTCCTAACATAACTGAAACATCCGAGGTATGATGAGAAAAAAATCACCTGTCAAGCTGAAAACCAGGAAAACAGCCATCTGAATGAGACTAGATGCTCAACTGAGGGCAATACTGAGATTCGTCAGATTTGGGGATTATCTCAATTTTAAAGCAGATGTCACAAAAATGCTTCAAGAAATCAATTATACATGCTCCCAAAACCAAAGGGGAAAAAACTAGAACATCTTAGCAAAAAAACCCCAGAAATTATATTTTTAAAAAACCAAGTGGAAGTAATAGAAATGGAAAATATAATAACTGAAATAAAACCTCACTGAATGATCTCAATAGTAGAGTGGAGATGACGGAAAAGATTCAGTGACCTTGAAGACAGATCAATACAATTTACTCAATTGGTCCAAAAGAGAGAGAAAAATAGACTGGAAAAAAGGAAGAGAGTCTCAGGGATCTGGGCTATGTTCCTTGGGGATCTCAATAACAATCTAATAATCTAACGTTTGTATCACTGGAGTCTCAGAAGAATAGGAAGAGTATGGGATTGAAAAAGTATTGGAGGCCTGGCGCGGTGGCTCACGCCTGTAATCCCAGCACTTTGGGAGGCCGAGGCAGGCAGATCACCTGAGGTCAGGAGTTTGAGACCAGCCTGGCCAACATGACGACAGCCTGTCTCTACTAAAAGTACAAAAATTAGCCAGGCGTGGTGGCAGGTGCTTGTAATCCCAGCTACTCAGGAGGCTGAGGCAAGAGAATCGGTTGAACCCAGGAAGCGGAGGTTGCAGTGAGCCGAGATTGTGCCACTGCACTACAGCCTGGGCGACAAGAGCGAGACTCCATCTCAAAATAAAAAGTATTGGAAGAGATAATGGTTGCAAACTTCCCAAATTTGGTAATAGATAATTAAAATACATCATTAACTTTGTACAATTAGAATTAATATGGTAACACTTCACATAAAATGTAGAAAACTCATATAATAGATCCTTCAATCTCTCCATCCTTGATGATATAGTTGTCACATATATCTACCTGCATTGTAAATTTCACAAGCTAATTTCCTGCTTTAAAAGTCCCATATGTTTTAAAGAAACTAAAAGGAAAAAAATTTTATATTCCTTTAGATATTTGCAATTTCATATTTTCTGTATTGCCTCTTGAATATTTGGATTTCCACCTGGCTTTATTTCCCTCTAGCATTCACTTCAATGAACATAGTTATAATAGCTGCTTTAAAATCTGTGTTTACTATTCAACATCTGGGCCATCTTAGGGTGGGTCTTGGTTGTCTTTCCTCTAAAACTGGGTCACATCATTCTGATTGTTCATATGCTGTGTAGTTTTGGACTGTATCCTGAATAGTATAGGTATTATATGGTGAAGACTCTGGATTTGGCATGCAGTAATTTCTCACTTCACATCATCGATAGGTTCATGGAAACTGTGACTTTAAGCAAAATAATCTAAGACAGAACCAATTTTCACAAAGGCTAATTGATATAAACCAGAGTTAAATTCCTACAGCATATTTCTGGTCACAAAAACATCATCAAACTTCTAAACAGACTTCTAATGTTAAACACTAAAATAAACGTGAGCTGTACATATATTTAAGAAAGATTAATAAAAACAAAATAGTTACTCAAATTTTGGTGAATGAATTCATTCACCCTCCACACTGCAGTCAGAGTAAATTTTTTTTCTTTTTCTTAGTCACCCAAATTTTGGAGGGACTGATGGTGGTTGTAGTGGTGATGAGTTAACTCACAGAATAAATGTTTGCAAATGTTTCATATTGTGTTGTTGTGCATTTGTATGATTATTGTATTGTATACTTGGCAAATTTTTATTGTCCTATAATTCACATTCATTCATTTTCCAACCCACTTATTCCAGTTCTGGGTTGCAGGTGGTTGGAACCCATCCTGGCAGCTCAGGGCACCAGGTGGGAACTCTCCCTGGCCAGGATGCCCTCACATGACAGGGCAACTCACACTCACATGCTCACACTGGGACCATGAACATGTGCCAGTTTACCTAAAGCACACATCCTTGGATGTGGTAGGAACCCAGTGTCCAGAGGAAAACTCACGCAGACATGTGGAGAGCATGCCAACTCCACACAGATAGTGGCCTTGGCTGAAAGTGATTTTTTTCTCATAGTTATAACAAAATGATGTTGAATGAAGTCTTATTCAAGGACCTGCTGTAGTCTTCTAAAGAGTGTTGATGTATTTATCTCAGCAGCAGATTAATTTGGTTAGATTCAAATTGCAAAATCTCTTTCTTGCATGGCAGATAATATCTTGGCTCAGCATTTTTTTTTTTTTTTGAGACAGAGTCTCACTCTGTCACCAGGCTGGAGTGCAATGGCGAGATCTCAGCTCACTGCAACCTCCACCTTCCAGGTTCAAGCGATTCTACTGCCTCAGCCTCCACAGTAGCTGGGACTACAGGTGTGAGCCACCACGCCCAGCTAATTTTTGTATTTTTAGTAGAGACAGGGTTTCACCATGTTGGCCAGGATGGTCTCCAACTCTTGACTTCGTGATCTGCCTGCCTCGGCCTCCCACAGTGCTGGGATTACAGGTGTGAGCCACCGTGCCCGGCCAGCTCAGCTCTTTTATCTTAGGTTGCTCCGTGTTCAGTTTGTCCCATGCATATATGGTTCAGTGGTCAATGACATCAGCAGAGTTTCACAGAATGTGGGGCTCCCCTCTCCATGTCCTTTCTGAGATTTCCCCCTTACTTCCCAGTGGCTGTGGCTGCCAAAATTGCCTGCTGATTCTGTAGATGAGAAATACTTCAGGTTTTCTACTGAAGTTTTGGTTGGCCTACTTGATTCTGTTTTTGTTCTGCCCTCAGGACAAAAGCTGTAAAAAATGGGAAATCACCTCCAGCCTATTCTTTCTTCTAAATTTCACAGCCCTCAAGAATCTGCCTGCTTTAGTTCACTCTCCAGCGGTGCTTTTGATTTTGTCCGGAATCTAGAGTTATCTGTGGGGAGGTTGGGTTCAGCTGGAGCTCACCAGGACACAAGGAGGCAGAAACCCCCACTGAGATTTTTTATGAGAAATTTTATCATAATAGAATTAAGTCTGAAAGAACGCTGTCTTTTAAACAATCTTTCCTTCCAAACAGGAACTTGTTTTTGTTCTTGTTTGAACCAGAATACATCTGGTTCTCTGGGACTCTCAGATGAAAGTTTCTTCAGGCCGGGCATGGTGGCTCATGCCTGTAATCCCAACACTTTGGAAGGCCAAAGTGGGAGGATCTCTTGAGCCCAGAAGAAACCAGCCTGGGCGGTATGGCAAACCCTGTCTCTACAAAAAATACAAAAATTAGCCCGGCGTGCTGGCACACACCTGTATTCCCAGCTACTTGGGAGGCTGAGGCTAGGGGATCGCTTGAGTCCGACAGGTTGAGGCTGCAGTGAGCCAAGATCATGCTACTGCACTGCAGCCTGGGGGACAGAGTGAGACCCTGTCTCAAAAAAAAAAGTTTCCTCATATAGATCCTGTACATTTCTTATTAGGATAAGGATGTAAGTTTATCATATAACCTATAGTTTCATTTACTTACATTTCCGTGTAATTAACATGCACATTTTTGGAGACCAGACTTCCTGGAAGTCCTTTTTGCAGTGGACCTTTTTTCCTCTTTATTGCACAATTAGCTTGCAGTTTCCTTCCTAATGTACTCTCTATGTACTTCACATCAGTGCAGCTAAGATTGTCAACTGTCCAGTCCAGTTCCTGGTCTGTTCTGTAGAGTCACTGCCCTGTTGAGCAATTTGGGTGAAGATCACTCATCCTAGGTTGGTCCTGTCTTTTCAGTGTAGAGTCAAAACAAAATACTTATAAAACTATAAAACATGTTTTGTTCTTGCCAGTAATTTCATATGCTGTTAACTTCTATAGCTCTGCATGGAAAAATTAGTGGTAGAACGGGAAAGTGGTTCAAGCCACCTTTGTGCTGTCCTTTAAAAAAAACAGATTCAACCAGCTCTGAAAGGACTTTTTTTTACAAGCATACAGAAACACCTTAAGAGTGACTTTTTATCGAGGAGGAACAATCATAGTGATCTGTGCTAAAATTTAAATACAAGCAGCGGGGAGAGGGCGTTAGAAAAATATAAATCAACCTCTCTTTTAAACGCCTACACGCAAGTTCTTCTTTTCTTAAATGTTACTTTTATAGTCTGCATCCACATCACTTTACATGAGAACACAAATTTGAAGTCATACAAGGTTTGGCATAGCCCCAGCCTCTAACAGGAACTTAATGTTGGTTGAACAGAATTTTAAAAATAGACTTGTTCATAAAGGAGATCTTATTTCTTATTATTTAATAAAACAAGAAATATCTTTAATCATATATTATAAATAGTGTTAGTACATGAGAAATGTATTCACTACAGACAGAATATCTTATTTTATTGTGTCGCATAATCCTTTCCTAAAAAAAAAACACTGCTTCTCCCCAGTTACAAGAGACTAAAAGCATACTAAAAACACTTTATCGTCATTACTAAATGCATTAAATACACATCCTAAATGGAATATGCTGTATATCCGATGAAATACATAGAACGTTCATCAAGGCAAAAGAAAAGACGTAGCCAACAATGGAAAGATGGCACACACAAGAAAAAAAAAGAACAGTTCTCAAATATTGCAGTAACTTTTCAATGTATCATAGATATTCTATGACTTTTCTATGAAACAGAGGAGGACCAAACATTATACACAGTTTGAAGAGACTAAATGCCAGAGAATCTACAGATATTAGCATCCAGGAATAATTTTTATTCCTGGCCCATTTTCTGCCCACTGGAAAAAATTGCATTGTTTTTCCTTCCCAAGAGGACACACAAAAAAATTCTTTCCATTGTTAGGTCCAATCTTCAATACTGTTTTCATGGTGGAACGCTTGCCATGGTTGCAGAATGGGAAGGACAAATCTGCCCACTGCAGGAAAAAAAGGTAAATTTACAAGTTTATACAAAAGTTATCATGATGTACAGGCTAACCCTAGGCACATGTGATTAGTGCCATATAGTCTTCACTGCTGTTATCATTAATTTGACATTGTAAAATAGACCAGTAATTAGTCGTCGCCTTTAAAAAAGCTTATATCCTAAAAGAAGCATCTCTCTTACAAATTTGTTTGAATCACGCAGAAAATGGCCATAATTCTGAGCTTCCCTTTATCTAAAGGTATATTTACAGAAGTTTCTTCACTTTGTTAAGAATAATTGAAAACTATCAAAATCTTGCTGTAATCACCAATATCCCTGCTATAGGTCTGTTTCAGTTAAACCTGTAAGATCAGGTGAGGTGCGGTGGCTCATGCCTTTAATCCCGGCACTTTGGGAGGCTGAGGTGGGAGGATAGCTTGAGCACAAGAGTTTGAAACCAGCCTGGGCAACATAGGGAGACCCTGTCTCTAAAAAAATCAAACAACAACAAAAAAAACCCTGTAAGATCAAAGATTTGTCATGATTTTAATATTAAACTTCCTTAGGAAAAGAAAGAATCAAATACTTACGCAGACTGAATTAGACAGATTCTATTATATTATTCTTACTAATTTTGACCTCAAGAGAGATATGAAAAAGGCTATTATATTTTTAGCAATACCATGAATATTGCTAATAATATTTTCCCATTACATCTATAAAAGCTTCTTGAGGAGGAAATCTGTGAATTTTGTAGGGTAGAGTTACACTGTGTTTAGAGATTGAGGTCTAAAATCACTATCCAGTTTTCCCCGGGAAATTCCTTAAGAAGGTATCACATTGAAGACAGATATTTGATCTTTCAAAAAGTCCACCAGAAAATCTTTGCGCCAGCACTGAAACATATCAATATTTTCTTTTTTCAGTTCTATTCCAGATGAAGAGTAACTAGAAAAAATATGTATCTCTGAACATTAGAATCACACTCAGCCTGATGAGATGCTCACACCGAGGAATACCGGAAGTGAGACTGACTAAACGGACCTGAGGTTCTTATCTCCTATCTTAGGTTCATCTTTAGGGATACATCCACAGACTGGAAAGGCAGGAGGAATCGCCTATAGCTAAATTGCTATGGTGCCATCACTTTTTTGGGTCAAGTGTGGTTAAGTAGGATTTGATAAGGTTATTGTAAATCCCAGGCATGTAAATTGCTTTTCTTATAAACCTTTATCCAATGCATAAACCAAAGGTTTTGATGTAGCGCTGAAGTTAGGAAGAACAAATTCTTACCTTGGATTATTAGCCACATATGTACTACTAGTACCTACTAGTCACTCAGTGTCTTTCTAACTTTACAAGCTAAGTGCAACACTTCTAGACTTATGATTATAAATATGATATACTCTAACAATGTAATAGCTATTATTTTATTAAATTTCTTGTGGCTGAACATCTGAATTTTAAGTTAGTCAACATTCAAGCTTTAGACTGAATGCCAATATGGCTATTTCAAATTTAAAGGTAAAAGGTAAAACTAGGAAAGTATTGCTATTTGTTATACATTAATAACCAAAGCATTTAATTACATTTTAGTAAGCTAGATAAATCTTACACATACTTCAAAAAATCCACATTGTGCTTCTCTAGGTAGAGGACAGGCATAAAACTGCCTGCCCTTGTTTTCCCCATCCTTCCCCACAACTCGGAGAATGCAGAGGCGGTTGTGTTTACTGCAGCGAGGGCTGTCAGGATTTAAGGTACGAGGGCCATCTGTCATATTAATTTGAAGTTCACTGTAATGACAGGTTACAAAATAAGTACAGCATAGGAGTGCTAAGGGACCATTCACACCACTTTACCCCCACATGTCAGAATTTCACTTGTACCAAGAAATTCTATCAAAAAGTGGACCTCGTTAACATTAGGTCATTATGCAAAAGGCTGTCTTTATTCTTTGTTTTCCCAGGTAATTCTAATTTATTTCCAAAGTTACCTATGTACCTAAAACACGTAATTTAACTTTCTAAAGAACAAAAGCAGCTGGACTGTGTATCCAGTAAATCAAATTTTATTTTTCATTTGTGATATTCAGTTCTTTTCTTACCCAATATCACACTGTAGCCACTTCTTTTTCCTCTAAAATATTCTCAAGTCCAGGTTCTCCATTCCCACTGGCCCCAAAGTAGCTAGTCACAATCTTCTCTAATTATTTTCTCATCGGTAGCAAACTCTCATCAATGGCTCTGACAAGGCCATAGAAATCACTCTCTCTGCTGTCCACTTTAAAGACAATTTTCTATGCTTTTCTTTGATCAAGGCTACTATAATAGTCGCAATCATATTCCTGCAAGAAACAGGCTGCCTGGCAGAGAGCAAAAATGTGAATTTTGTAAAGCTAGCAGGGAAGCTTTATTCTCCCCCATAATTAGGATCAAGAGTATTTGGAGGTTGCCCTCATACCCAGTGTACACAGGCTAGAAGCTGGCCTTGTACTGTAGCTGTATAAACAGAATTTTCTTCTTGAAAAGAAGCTTATTTAAATTTTCTGTGTTGTGCATATTTTAATAATGCCTTTAAGAGAATTAGTTTTTTAATAAACTGGTTGAAGAGAAAGTGTTCACATTCATTAAAACCAGAAGTCCCCCTCTTAATATTCCTATTTTTTTTTAACTCTTTAATGATAAAACAGTTAATCCATTCTCATCTTTTCGGTAAATATCTAAAGAACAAAAATATCATTCTTAAATAATTGTTAAAAAAAAACTTAAAAATCAAAGGTGATTTCCCTTTTTCCTTGCTTCCTAAACTGCATTTTTTACACACTTGTTTCTATGATGCCTCAATGCATCATATCTAATTGAAATGTTCAGAGAATGCAATCTCTTATTTGTGATTAAATGGACTGAAATTCATTTATATAAAGGATGCTTAAATATACTGCTTTGAAAATGTTTGCTGGGATGAACTCAAACATTCTGAGGGCAGTTTTTGAAGGTTTCTTCAATAGCCATTTGTAAAATAAGAGCAGCTGCAGGCATTGCTAAATCAATCGTCACCATTAAATACTTCACCAGCAACTATTTTGATGGTAACTTTTCCAGGGTAGAGGGGTGGTGGCTGTATTTTCAAGTCATGGGTAATACCAGATCAGAAATAGGAAAGCTGAGAGGCAGAGGACTTTTCTTTTCCACAACCTTTCAGTTCACCAACCCCCTCCAAAACTCCATTTCACCAATCTCCTCCAAAACTTTAACTTCAAGGGAAGCCAGATATCTGGACAGTTGTAGAGAAGTCAAGAGATTTCACAATTAAAGCAAGTGGTTCATAAACAATGCTCTCTTAAAATTAAAGGAGAAAAGATTAAGAATATTAACAAAATTAATGAAATGATGCATTCTTATTAAAAATTGTGTGGACACAAAAACAGTTTTATATATTATTTTAGAGGCGGCTGTTTTGGATAACGGTTGAACATTTTCTAACCTACTTGTTTCAACCTAGAGAGCTCCAGGGTTCCACATATCCAGGGAGAGGTTTAGATTCTGTATTAAAATTTTTCTGGGGAGAAGGGCCAAGGTAGAAGGTAGGATTAAAGTAGAAAGGAGAGGCCCAAATGTCATCTCTCTGCCTTCACTTCTGCCTTCCACTCCATTTCTTCCCTTAAAAATTAAATTAAAAACATAGCCACAGGCTGGGCATGGTGGCTCACGCCTGTAATCCCAGCACTTTGGGAGGCTGAGCCGGGCGGATCACCTGAGGTCGAGAGTTCAAGACCAGCCTGGCCAACATGGTGAAACCCCGTCTCGACTAAAAATAGAAAATTAGCTGGGCGTGGTGGCGGGTGCCTCTAATCCCAGGTACTCGGGAGGCTGAGTCAGAAGAATCCCTTGAACCCGGGAGGCAGATGTTGCAGTGAGCTGAGATCGCGCCATTGCACTCCAGCCTGGCAACAGAACAAGACTCCTTCTCAAAAAAAACAAAAAACAAAAAACAACAACAAAAACATAGCCACGTGTGATCTTATTCTTGGTACTCAGAGTGTGGTCCACTGACCAGAAGCAGCAGCATCACCCGGAGCTTGTTAGAAAACACAGACATATCCACCCCTACTCCTGATTGCCTGCAGAATCAGAATCTGCATGTTAGCAGGATTCCCAGGTGATTCATATGCACATTAAGTTATGAAGCACTGAAGTAACGTAACCAAGATACTAATGCCACCTGTATCACACTGGCTCTAAATATGCACAGCTAATCTTAATTTTATGATAGACAACATTATCCAGGATAATTAAATGTTCTGATTAACTGAGGACATCTTAGTTCCTCTTTGTTTTATAAAAACTTTCTAAAATATAGCAGATTTCTTACTTAAATGTAGCATACAGAATTGTTCATTTTCGTGATCATGACCATGATTTTGAATATTAATTCTGGGTTATAAGTGATCTATTAATACAACAGATCGGGGCTGGCAAACCTTTTCAGATAACGTATTTTAGGCTTGCTGGTCTTACGGTCTAAGTTTGTTATCACAAAAAGCAGCCATAGATAATATCTAAACAAATGTAAATAAAGCTTTACACAAACAGGTGGTGGGATGGATTTGGCCCTGCTGGCTATAGTCTGCTCATGTACATGTCATTAGAATCAAGAACAATGCCCGAGGCATAATAGATTCTCAATACTTATTAATAAATAAAACTGAACAGAGACCAGACAAAAACTATCATCAAGAAGGAAGACATTACTAAGCACAGATCTGTAATTTTAAAGTGAATATTATTTTTTCATGGTCAATTTATCACAGTTTAACTTAGGGGTGTCCAATCTTGGCTTCCCTGGGCCACAGTGGAAGAAGAAGAATTGTCTTGGGCCACACATAAAATACAGTAACCCTGGTGACAGCTGATGAACTTAAAAAAAAAATCACACAAAAAACTCACGTTTTAAGAAAGTTCACAAATTTGTGTTGGGCTGCATTCAAAGCCGTCCAGCCCACAAGCCTATGGTTGGACAAGCTTGGTTTAACTCATTTTATAGATAGGGCGATTCATTATAATAAAAATACTGTCTGAATTTTTTGGATTAATCGGTCTCACTGAATGTAGATTTTGTCATACAGGATTATTTCGAGGATTAAAACAAACAAAAGTGAAATGACTCATTCTGGACGGCCCCAGGTGGTTCTGAAATCCTGAGACTGAAAACTCCAAGAAGCAACCAAGAGACAAGGACATGGTGTCAGTACTTGCACTGGTGATTAAAGACAGATCTTCAACATCCCTGACGGCAGCAAATGTGAGAAAATATTAATGATTTTGTTATTGTCATTTCACCCTCCTATGTGAGCCTTTGCATCAACGCAGGAAAAATTTCAGCCTAAAACACATGCATTCTTTGAAACTGCATCACTGTGTTTTGCTCTGTGTTTACAGTAATTGGATCGACAACTTAAACTGTTTCTAGTAATTATTCTTAACTGTTTAAAAATGGGTTCAATCATCTAATTTATAAGCCAATAGCTGGATGGAATACACATCTATCTCAAGACCAATCAGAAAATATGCCTCATCAACACTGCATGGATTGTGTGGTAATGAGAACAGTAATTAAGAGAACAAAAGTCAAAGTAATTATCATATAATATTAAAGAAAAAATAAACTGGCTATAAATTATGAATGGACCACCTGCTTTAATAGTATTATGTTGTGAGCTTCTGCTAGGCATCTTGTCCACAAGATGAACACTATAGCTGCCAGACAAGGAGAAAAATGAAATAAATGACAGTAATTTGCAATTTATTCCTTGTAAAGTAGCTGGGTGCAGAAGGGCTGCTGGGTGAATTTATTTCATCACTTGACATTTATTCTGCTAGTTGATCTTGATTGATTGTGGAGTCTCAGTCCTGGTGTTCTTATATTCAATACATACACAGGCTGCAGCATTCCTAAGTAATGCTGTGCACTGTGATTAATCATATGATCCTATTACTAATGGCTTATGAAGAAATCATTTAAATTTAAGGTTACATTAATGTTTTTTTAAATCCCTAATTCATTAGTTAAAATGTCTGAGATTTTCTACAAAGCATTAAGGAAATAAAAATATGCCAAGATATTTCATCTAGGTACAACAAATGCCACAATATTTTAAGATGATCACTTCTACTTTCCACTTAAGCCACGGAACAGAAAAGACTGTTTGGAAATGATTTTCTGTTCCAGGACAGCCTCCCAACTCAAACATTCTTAATTAACTCCTTAATGAACTTCTATCATGAGGCACTAATTAGGGTTAAAGTGAAAACGTGGTGGATTTATCCAGTCAGTTAAAAGTTTAGCCCCCTTAGCTTACTTCAAATGTGAGTATATGAACAAAAGTTAAACCAGTTATCATAAATGATTATGAACAAGACATTAAAAAAACCAGTCAAGGATAAATCATCAGGATTAACTGATGGTAAATTTAGAGCTGGAATAGGAAACTTGGAGTAAACACATCTATTGAGCAGAGACTGTCTCAGAATTTGTTATGAAATAAGCTTAAGGATTCCTACAGGTTGCTCTAGGAGTTTACACCAAATGGTCCCTCACCCCACCGCTGAGAGAAGGCATCTACCCATCAGTAAAGGCACAGCTAATAAGAGGAAAAGCCAGTGAATCTCAGAATTCCACCTGAGATTACTCTAGGTCCCAACCAAAGTACATCCCTCCATAGCCGTAGGTTCCCAATCCATGAATTCAACCAACCTTGGATCGAAAATATTTGGAAACAAAAAATAATGAAACAATAAAAAAATTACACAAAATATACAGTATAACAATTATTTACACAGCCTTTATATTGAATTCAGTATTATAAGAAGTAATGCAGAGATGAGTTAAATATATGAAAAGGTGTGCATAGGTTATATGCAAGGACTATGCCATTTCATATCAGGGACTTGAGCATCTGCAGATTTTGGTATCCTGGGGGTCCTGGAACAAATCCCTTGAGGATACCGAGGGATGACTGTAACTCCTTCTCTGCCTGTCTCCCATTGGCAAGAAAAGACATACATGGGAGGACGACCCTCCATTTATATGTTATAAATTCTCCACTTATTTAAAAATGCTGGATGTAAGTCAGCTGCTTTCTGAAGGAAAAAAGAAAGCAGCTGAGAAAAGAAAATGGTGGAGAAATGTGTCCTGTGTTGGAGATATAACATCGGGTTGCCATAGTTAGGAATTCCAGATAAAGGGACTGGGAGGGCCAGATAAAGGGGGAAGGAGGGTCAACAGAAAATTGTTTCAGGAGCTGCCGATAATCATTAAGGAAAAGAGAGGATGACGTTATGTATTAAAATTTCTGTATCACAGGTGACAAAAATGAGGGTGTTCTCCTGGACATGTAGCTGGAAGTCCTATAAAATATATCTGCTCTGGTAGTATTTCTTAGTTAGAATTACAACTTTTGAATTTCAGATACAAAGTAGCAAGTATGCTTTTTAGGACTTTTAGTTAAAGAACAACGCCAGGCGTAGTGGCTCACGCCTGTAATCCCAGCACTTTGGAAGGCTGAGGTGGGCAGATCACCTGAGGTCAGGAGTTCGAGACCAGCCTGGCCAACATGGCGAAACCCCATCTCTACTAAAAATACAAAAAAAATTAGCCGAATGTTGTTGCAGTGAGGCAAGATTGTGCCATTGCACTCCAGCTGGGCGACAAGAGCAAAACGCCACCTCAAAGAAAAAAATAAAAATAAAAATAAACACCATCTCGCATGACTGTTTGAGATCCATCCACGTTCTTTAACAGAAAGGTCACTACAGGCACCTCAGACCCCTCCTTTTAGAACACAGTATACTTACTAAACTTTTATAAAAAATAGTTCCCCTTTTGGAAGACTATCTTTCATTGGAAGGAAATATTAAAAAATGCTAACTGGTTATTGATAAGCAGTATGATTATGGGTGACAAATATTTTTCTTTATACTTTACAATATTTTCCAAATATTCTGTATTGATCATGTGTATGGTTATTGTCAGAAAAAAAAAAAACCCAACTTTTCATACATGTAGGAAATTACGTTTTTCATTTCCTTCCCTTCTCTAACATTATAATCTAGAGAAGGGAAGGGAGACAGACTACTATAATAGTCTTTTAGGGTTTGATTCATGTTACCAAAAGTAATTCAACTTCCTTACCAAGGGACAATTTCTGTCTTCTTAAAACTTAATGCAACCAGCCGGGCATGGTGGCTCAAGCCTGTAAATCCCAGCACCTTGAGAGGCGGAGGTGGGCAGATAACTTGAGATCAGGAGATTGAGACCAGCCTGGCCAACATGGTGAAACCCCGTCTCTACTGAAAATACAAAAATTAGTCGGGCCTGATGGCATGTGCCTGTAATCTCAGCTACTTGGGAGGCTGAGGCAGGAGAATCGCTTGAACGCGGGAGGCAGAGGTTGCAGTGAGCTGAGATCACACCACTGCACTGTAGCCTAGGTGACAGAGTGAGACCTCGTCTTAAAAAAAAAAAAAAAAAAGCAATTATCTTAAAGACCAAGGTTAAAAGCATCATACCTGTTAGAATATCCAGGGTTGCAGCTTTTAAGCTCTGGTGATGAGTATTGGGCTGTTTTCGGTTTTTTATGTGCTGGACTAAATAATTTAGATTCTGAACTGATTGTAGGTGATATGTTTACTTTGCTGGATGGTTGAGTTATATCGTTTGTTGTCTTCTTGGAGGGGTGCTGTATATCATTCAAACAAACACTAGCAGGAGGAGAGTTTTGAAACTCCTCATCTAGTATCTGGTTTTGCTTTGTTTTTCTTTCCAAAGTACTGGATTTATTGCTAAAATCAGTCAAGACAAGAGTTGTAGTTCCAAATGCAGTTTTTCTGTTGATCTTGACTTCTGTATGAGGTTTTCCAAAAGTATTACACGGGTACTTCATTAAGTGGCTAAAGACAGTAGAATTTTCTTCACTCTTGAGCACTGAATCTGGAAGGAGAGAGAAGTAATTCTGCAATAGTCCCATAAATATAACATACTGATTATGTGAAACATCTTTTTATTTGATTAAAAAATTTACTTCACTTTATTACAGTGAACTAATATATAGAACTAATAACACAAAGTTAGCTCAGACAAGTCAGAATTAATCATCTTCTGGCTAGGAAATGAAATATTATGTAAAATGCAAAATTTCGACTTACAGAAACCCAGACATGGGTTTAACAAAGATTTATATTTGCTTTTTATGATGTTTAAGCATTTAAAGGTCACTCAGTTATCAGTTTTGCTAATATTAGGCAAAGCATTAAAAAGTGGTAGTTGAGAGATGATATCCCATAAAGCTTTAGGTCAGCAGTTAGAGACCTGTTTCTAGACTACTAGGAATGACAAGACAAAGTGAAAGGCTTATTTAAAATAAGTAAAGATGAATTACAAAGACTTAACATCTTCTTTTTTTTTTTTTGAAACGGAGTCTTGTTCTGTTGCCCAGGCTGGAGTGCAGTGGCGCGATCTCGGCTCACTGCAACCTCCGCCTCCCGGGTTCACGCCATTCTCCTGCCTCAAACTCCCGAGTAGCTGGGATTACGGGCACCCGCCAGCACGCCTGGCTAATTTTTTGTATTTTTAGTAGAGATGGGGTTTCACCATGTTAGCCAGGATGGTCTCGATCTCCTGACCTCATGATCCACCTGCCTCAGCCTCCCACAGTGCTGGGATTACAAGTGTGAGCCACCGCGACTGGCCAGACTTAACATCTATTAAATACAATGTTTCACAACAGAGTATCCTAGGATTTTGGAATCTGTACTATAATACATTCTATATTATCATTAAGATGTCTTTCTGACTCAGAAACATTAACAAGAAAATAGTTAATGAGACATATAAATGCATTTCAGAATGTTGAAATCAATGTGGCAACCTAAGATTGTGTTTTTCCATGGGCTCCGCCTCTGCTGAAGGACACTGAAGAGGGAGGGATGGAAACAGGAGATGCAGCACAGCAAAGCTGTGCAAGGGGTGATGTCTGCCTTTCTGGCCCAGGAAACAAAACACAATATGACAGTTGACACAATGCAGGGGTGCGTAAGTCAGGAATGAACTTTCTCATCTCTAATTGAAGAAAGAAATAACACTTTGAGAACACAATAGAAGCCGCTGCAATGAGATGGCTCTTAATCACAGGTTTCCTCTGAGGTTTTACATGCCCTAAATGCATGAAATCGTGAGCTATAAAGAGTTATTTTGAAGGGTTTCAATGAAATCAGTACAATTGTCTGGATACAGATTTTAATAGCACGGGGTAGAAGGGATAAAGAAGAGAAAAAATTCAGCATTTTTCTATTCCACCTGCAAAGAGATTCTTACAGAAATCCTCCCTTTCAATTTATGCAACACTTGGACTGAATAACAAACTCGAAAGTTGCTGAAATCTGCATAAAACAAAGCTTTATTGAATAATTCATTAGAAACAGTAGAGAACAGATGTGATCATCTCCATTTTTTTGAGATACAAAGGCACATACTGTTATAGCACAAACATGCTTTCCCTCCCTGTTCAAAAAAAATACTCAACAGAATATTAGCATGGTTTACATGTGAAAACTGGCAATTCCTTTAAACCTTTGAGAAAGAAATTTTATTTAGTTATGGAATATCAAGATGGAGCAAGATATATTCCTGACTTTGTATAATTAACCCTCTTAGAAATGTAACAAACTCAAAATCAAAATTCAGTCTTACCAATAGGCCTTGAGGTCAAGCAAGCATCACATGCCTTAGAAGAGGGCTTATTGATTAAAGTACACACCACACAGGTCCAGTGCTCTTCCGACTTCCGAGCCACGGAGTCCATAACATGATCCACCCTGCTAGATGTCCAACTGATTATAGTATTTCTAGTCGGTAGCTTGCTATAAGATAATTTTTAAAATTAATCATTGTTATTATTGCCTTGTTCTTGTCTGGATATTTTAGAAATGATTATAGAACCATTAATACCCCAATGCTATCTCTTTATTATTGCTTGGAAGTTAGTACTGTATCTTAGAGTCTTTTTTTTTTTTTTTTTTTTTTTTTTTTTTTTGTAGAGATGGGGTCTTGCTCTGTCATCCAGGTTGCAGCGTAGTGGCACCATTATAGTTCACTGCAGCCTCGAACTCCTGGACTCAAACAATCCTCCCACCTGAATCTCCTGAGTAGCTAGGACTACAGGTGCACATTGGTCTGCTTGGCTAATTTTTAAATTTTTAGTAGAGATGGAATGCTGTGTTGCCTAGGCTGTCTTGAACTCCTGGCCTCAAGTAATCTTCCTGCCTCAGCCTCCCAAAGCGCTGGGATTAAGGCATGAGCCACTGCACCTGGCCAGAGTAAAATGTTTTCACCTGGACCCCCCTTTAACAACTAATTGTTGTTAAAGTGAGAAACATCAAATAAAAGTTATTTAGAGTCAAATAATCGAGTAGCTTTTTTTTAAACCAACTAAAAATATTTGATATCACATTAGGAAGTATTTCTCAAATAATGTTTTAAGTAATTGGTACTTTTTTCCCAAACAAAATGAAAATACCTTTATTCAATTAAATTATGGGAAAATACACCTATGCAGAAATTAGAGGATTGAAAGATGTGAAAGTTTTATATTTACTTCATGTGCACAGAAAACTCAGGAAACTCTAGAATTTCTCTACAGTATCTGCTGAGCACTATGTAAATTCATTAATTCATAATGATGAAAAAAGATATCTCTTTGTGTTGTTTCCCTTCATGTAAGACTGTTTCATGGTGGATAGCCAATTAATAGATTAGCAAGCAAACAATAAAACCCTGATTTTTGGCCACAAATATAAATCATGATTCTCCATCTGAAGTCCTTCATTGACCATGTATTTTTACACAAAATGCCTTTATACGGCTGTGACATAGTCCTACTCTCTAATGCACAGCTAGCTATAGGTCTGGATATAGAGCATGTCACACAGTTAAGCAACCATGGCAGTATCACGGATTCCCTTCATGATCCCAAACATTAATACTGAACAAAGCTCTTGCAGGTAAAGGCTATGTATCTTACATTTCAGAACATGAGTTCTTTGACTTTCAAAGGTAACCTTGTCTCCTGTGACATTTTGTTCCTTACATATAATTACACTAGTTTTAAAATTCAGGAGTGTCTGGTAAAATAATAAATAGAATAAGAAAATCTGAAAGTAAGATACATCTCATTAGGATTCTTTTATCTTTACTTCCCTTGACTTTTAATGCCACTCAGTATTTATTATCCCTATGGAATATCAGATCTTCTACAGAATTTGTTTATTTGACCTAATCTCTGTCCTCTACTAACTTACTTTGAAAGGCAGCATGATGCATTTATCTATAATTAAACAAACACAATTTAAATGACTTTTAGATTTTCCATGTGCTCCAACTTTTCCCTATTTTCATTTTCTTCTGTCCTAAAAGTTTCCCTGATCATAAGGAGAATTTTATTGTTACATATGGAGGCTTTGGAAACATTCTTTCCTTTCTTTACTGCTCTATTTCTTAATCACTCATTAATAAATTCTTCCCAATCTCCACTTGGATGTGTAAGAAGAATCCCAAACTTAATGTTTTGTAGTAGGATGAATAATGGCCTCCCAAAGACATAGGGCACAATTCCAGGAATCTATAAATGTTACTTTATAAAGAAGGAGGGTTTGCAGATGTAATTAAGGATCTTGGCGTAGAGAGATTATTTTGGATTAGCTGATGGTCCCTTAACCCAATCACAAGTGTCTTTATAAGAGAGAGGGAGGGGGAGATTTGATACACACCAAAGAGAAGGCAAGGAGACCACAAAGGCAGAGGTTGCAGTGATGTAGCCACACATGAAAGAACGCTGGCAGCACCGGAAGCGAGAAGAGGAAAGGAATATGATTCCCCCCAGTTCCTCCAGAGGGAGCACAGTCCTACCCACACCTTAATTTTGGTTCAATGAAACTGATGTTGAGCTTTTAGCATCCAGCGTTTGAGTGAATGCATTTCTGTTGCTTTAAGCTACCAAGGTCATGATAATTTATGATGGCAGCCAGCGGAAATGAATACAGACAAAATTCATGACCCACGAGGCCGGGCGCGGTGGCTCACGCCTGTAATCCCAGCACTTTGGGAGGCCGAGACGTGTGGATCACAAGGTCAGGAGATCGAGACCATCCTGGCTAACACGGTGAAACCCCGTCTCTACTAAAAATACAAAAAAAAAAAAAAAAAAAAATTAGCCAGGTGTGGTGACGGGTGCCTGTAGTCCCAGCTACTCGGGAGGCTGAGGCAGGAGAATGGCGTGAACCCGGGAGGCGGAGCTTGAAGTGAGCCCAGATCACGCCACTGCACTCCAGCCTGGGTGACAGAGCGAGACTCCGTGTCAAAAAAAAAAAAAAAAAAAAAAAAAAATTCATGAGCCACCAATCTGCAATTCTACTATTCTATCTCATGTCAGGAAATGGCATCAGTATCGCTCAATTCATCAGGCCCAGACCTAGAAGTCATCCTTAACACTTCCTTTTCTCACATCCCACTTCCAGTCCATCAGCAAATCCCGTGGGATCTGCTGCAGATGCAAATTTACATGAAGCAAAAGAAGTTTAACTTTCCATGGCTTGACGTGTCCTCTGCACACTGGGGTGGGCAGCATGGAGAATGGGAGCCATAACTCGACCACATGCTGGGGACTCAGAGGATTGCAGGCAGCGGTAATCCTGGCGCCTGGGTGCTGCCAGCATCACCTCACATCTGTTCAGTGCCCAGGGAAACTATTGCCCTGGTGACCTCAAGGAGCAGGCGGACTCTGCCCTGAGGCTTGAGGAGAAGGACCTGAACAAAAGATACTGCATCGTTCCGAGCTCACAGGCCACCATGATCCAGGCTGCCAGGCCACTCTACCCCTATACTACCCACCCTAACTCAGAAACAACCTGGTAGAGGGGGGGAACCTGAGGCACCTGAGGAAGATCAAAGGGCTGGGGTTCTCAAAGTCAAGTCCTCAGGCCAGCAGCATGGGCGTCATGTGGGAACGTGTTAGACATGCAGATTCTCAGGCCCCTCCTCAGACCCACTGAATCCCCAGCTCTAGGGGTGGGGCCCGGCAATCTGTGTTTTCACAAGCCCTTCAGAAAATGCTGGTACACACTAAAGTTTGAGAGGCACTGCTCTTAGGGTTTCCTTACAGAGAAGTACTGCTTAAAGAAAAGATAGAGGAAGTTGGAGATGTGTCACTATCAACAGCCAATTGTGAAGCTAAAAGTTTTCTCATCTAGCCGTAATAAAAGATGTAATGATATTGTTGGTGGTCATATGAAAAGGCAATCAAGGAGTTTGCAGCCAAAAACATAAAGGAACACAATTACACAGCTGTGTCAGGCAGTGAACTAATAATATCTCATTTTTCTGATGTTTGTGGTGTTTAAAAAATATAATTTGTTGTGATTTCTTATTCTACATATTCACATTAGGACCTAACGTTGTAGTCATAATTTTTTATTGTTTTTCATAAATAAGGGCCCCCAAATTATATAAATTTCTGGCCTTAACCCTAACTCAACTTCCAAAATTATCCTAAATTCAACCTTTTTTTCCCACCACCTTCTCTCTCTTCCCCGTCACCAGCATTTACCACCTGCACTACTGTTGAGAGCCCCCGATGCTGCCGCTTCACTCTGGTTCCATGACCGTCTCTATTCCACACAGCAGCCCAAATCATCCTCAGAAAACCCAAGTCACTTCATGCTGCCCTCCTGCTCAAACTCTCCCAGTGGCTTCCCAGCTCAAAAGTATTGGCAACAGTCGCCAGAGTGATTAATCTTTTCAAACATTAAGTCAGTTATTTCACGCCCGTTCAAAACCCTCCAAAGGCTCCCCAGTCTACTCAGAAACTTGCCTTGGCCAAGCCGACTCTGCATGCTCCTTGGTCCCTCCCAAGCAGAGGGGCTGCCTCTGTCTCTCATTCCCTCTGCTTGGTTCAGTCATACATGCCTTCTTTCTCTTCCTTCAACAACTCAGAGGCTTTATGCTTTTCTGGGCTACCTTCTTTGAAATATTTCCCCCACCCTCAGATTGCTACAAGTCATCAAATCTTTTCAACAAAGTCCTCCCCACGGACTTATCTGCTACCCTATCAAAAATGAGCCGTCTCCGTCACTATCCGCTACTGTGGCTCATGTTCTTGAGAACACTAATCACCACTTATCATCGCCTCATGTCTTATACATGTATGTATAGATAGGTTTTTTCTTTTTCTTTTTTTTTTTTTTTGAGACGGAGTCTCGCTCTGTTACCTAGGGTGAAGTGCATTGGCGCGATCTCGGCTCACTGCAACCTCCACCTCCCGCGTTGAAGCAATTATCCTGCCTCAGTCTCCCAAGTAGCTGGGACTACTACAGGTGCACGCCACCACACCCAGCTAATTTTTGTATTTTTCGTAGAGATGGGGTTTCCCACATTGGCCAGGCTGGTCTCAATCTCTTGACCTCGTGAACCTCCCTCTCAGCCTTTTAAAGTACTGGGATTACAGATGTGAGCCACCATACCTGGCCCAAGAACTATAGTTTGACACATAACCTAAAGATCTTTACCAGAAATGGTCTGAGATGATAGCTGAATCTGGTAGTATTCGCCATCACTGGGAATGCACGGAGGGAGGAGAGGCAGAAAGGTCCAATAGAGAGCCTTGCTGTTGCCTTAACTTTGATGATCAAAAGAAAAGGAGCCCATGAAAGAGAGGCAGAAGAAACAGAGCTATAGGAACAAAGATGGGAAGTGATGGAGAGAATTAAATTCAACTGAGTCGGCTGGCACGGTGGCTTATGCCTGTAGTTCCAACACTCTGGACAGCTGAGGCAGGAGGATTGCTGGAGGCCAGGAGTTCAAAACCAGCCTGGGCAACATAACAAGATTCCATCTCTAAAAATAAAAATAAAAAATTAGGCAAGCATGATGGTGCATGCCTGTTGTCCCAGCTACTTGGGAGGCTGAGGCAGGAGGGTCACCTGAGCCCAGGAGTTCGAGATCACAGTGAGCTATAATCACTCCACTGCACTCCTGTCTTTAAAAAGATTAAAATTTTAAAAATTTAAAAATAATTCAACTGAATTAGAGAGGGTGAGGCTTGAAGAAGCCTATTTAAGACCTCTGGGAAATAGGTGATTTTCAAGAGAGCAGTTGTAATAGATATGTAGGGGCAAAATTTGTTCATTAAGCCTATATTTATTGAATATTTGTAGATAACTATATTCCAGTGGGAGGAGATCTATTTAAGAAAAAACTTGGCTGGTGTGGTGGTTCATGCCTGTAATCCTGTCACTTTGGGAGGTCGAGGTGGATGGATCACCTGAGGTAAGGAGTTCCAGACCAGCCTGGCCAACATAGTGAAACCCCATCTCTACTGAAAATACAAAAAATTAGCCAGGTGTGGTAGCATGCACCTGTGATTCCAGCTACCTGGGAGGCCGAGGTAGGAGAATCATTTGAACCTAGGAAGTGGAAGTTGTAGTGAGCTGAGATCGTGCCACTGCACTCCGGCCTGGGTGATAGATTGAGACTCTGTCTCAAGAAAAAAAAAAAAAAAAAAAAAAAAAGCCAGGCGTGGTGGCTCATGCCTGTAATCCCAGCACTTTGGGAGGCCGAGGCGGGTGGATCACGAGGCCAAGAGATCGAGACCATCCTGGCCAACATGGGAAACGCCATCTCTACGTACACATATGTAACATCTCATGTATACATATGTAACAAACCTGCACATTGTGCACATGTACCCTAAAACTTAAAGTATAATAATAATAAAAAAAAAAAAGAGTTGGTTTGCAGACAGCACTAAATTCTCATTGACTGGCAACCAACTACAGCCACATTTCCAAACTAGATGGTTTTTAGAGACCTGAATATGTGCTCCTGAAGGAACAAAATATCCTGTGTGCAGCATTCCAAATGTTCTCCCTGTATACTTTCCCATGTGTTGTTTCGTCTTTCAGAAAATCCTTTTCCTACCTCTTGTCTTTGATGAATTCCTATTTCTTTCTATACTAAGCTCAAAGACTGCCTCTTTCAGAAAGACTTCCTTGTCCTTCCCAGGTAGACTTAAGTGTTTCTTCTTCCATACTTCCATTGCCAGTAGGATAAACATGTCCCTTTACAACACTTCCATCACGGTGCTTTATCTATTTACCATTTACTTCCCACATTAGCCCTTGAGCACTTTGAGAGGCTGTGTTCTATTTTGTCTTTGTATTCCAAGTACCTGGTGTATAGCAGACCCTAATAAATAAAGTAAATAACAACGAAAAAAATTTAAAGTCCCTAATGAAAGGTAAAGACTACCTCCTCTGTTTTCTTTAAAGGAAATAATACTCACATACATAAATTATATTAGCTAGCAAATAATTAAGAACCAACAATAAGCCGGACACGGTGGCTCACACCTGTAATCCCAGCACTTTGGGAGGCCAAGGCAGGCAGATCACTTGAGCTCAGGAGTTTGAGACCAGCCTGGCCCACATGGTGAAACCCCGTCTCTACTAAAAATACAAAAATTAGCTGGGCGTGGTGGTGGGTACCTGTAATCCCAGCTACTCGGGAGGCTGAAGTAGGAGAATCACTTGAACCCGGGAGGCGAAAGTTGCAGTGAGCCGAGATCACACCACTGTACTCCAGCCTGGGTGATCAGAGTGAGACTCCGAGACTCCAACTCAAATAAAAAGAAAAAAGAACCAACAATAAATAGCATCAGTATTAAAAGTGTGATATGATCAGTAGAAACTGGAAAATTGGGGGAGGACTTCATGAGTTCAGTAAGCTTTCAGAGACAGAAGAAACAGGAGGATTTAGATAATTGGTAGTGGCCTTTTCAGACTTCTTCAGCTTAACTTGAAATGACTTTACATTAAAATGAGAAAATTTAATCAACATAAAAAAGGATCAAATACTCATCCAGAAAATAAATGGGATGTACTTATTCACAGAAAAATCTAAGAACAGGGCAAATCATCTTGGTTTTCAAGCTTTTTAAAATATGTAAACATTTATTTCACAGTGTATAGTTGATTTTCCAAACAAAGTCTTAAGCTGACTGCCAGTGTAGAAAACAGAATCAGGTCGGGAGGGAAGAGGGATTACAAGGCCCAGAACATTTTCAGCACAGCCTTCCCTAACTCATAGGTCTCTTTTGGGGAACTGTGGGGTCTTTGAAATCTAGTTTCAAAAAAACCTTTGACATTGACAACTATTTATGTGATAAATAACATATTTATAATTTTTTAATCTCAAAGATATCAATTCATAGAAAACCAATACAGAACATTAATCATTTATTTAGTAGACAAATATATATTGAAGATCTTCTATCTGCCAGCTACTGTGTTCAACGCAGTATCTAGTTACTTGGTCAAATAAATGTATACCTATATTATAAAAAAGTTCCTGTTCATAAAAAACTATGAAAGTTCTTGTTCATAAAAAAAAATTATGAATGTTCATAAAAAATTTAAAAACCATTAAGTGTGTATTATATATATATATATAAAATTATCTAAATGTATTTCAGATGTCTATGATAGTAACACGGGGTGAAGCGGCTGAGTGGAAGAAGATATAGAGTGCTGTAGAGAAAAGTATTGGAGAACAAGAAGAGTGATGCAGAAAATGAAACGCAGGGACACAAAGAAAAAGCACGCAGTTCTGGACATATTTATGAAGACTTAAGCTGGGACTTCCTCTGCACACCAGCTCCCTCCCCTGCCCCCAGCTCTACAGACATGACCGCACTTCCCACCTCCCGGGTTTCCCACAGCCGAGTGGTGCCCTGAGTCTCTTCCTATGTCCAATCCTATGGTTTTGTTTCCTTTGCTTTTTCTTTCCTGCCCACTTTGTAGTTATAGGTATTTGCTGAAGCTCAGACCTTGGCTCATTTCCTTTCTCATTCTTACTGAACTGAGAAGTTGGAATGCTTCAATCAACAGCACTGTGCCGACAGCCTCTCTCATCCTGGATCGCAGCCCCTAAGACATGTCTTCCTGGATATTCCAGGGTTCTTTCACATATCTAACACATACTGCATCTTCACTGCTGCATCCCAATTTTCCCAGACCCACAATGTGAAAATTTTTATTATTTGGTCCTGAAACCTTTTGCATCATCCTACCTATCAAATCTGCCACAGTCCTTGTTGACTTTTAAAAAGTTTTACTAGGGTACCACGTCCAGTGTCTTGACCCCAGGCTGGTAACCATCGCTTGCCCATTACTCTGCACCAGCTTCTTTACATGCATTTTCAGTCTCTTCGTTTTCCATGTTAACTATGCTACAATCAACTAAAAGTCCTTAATGTGCTAATTTAGGAAAGACCTTAACCATTCTCCAAACTACTAATGACCCCCACCATTTGATCCCACTCTCCCTGTAAAACTAGCTTTTATTATTCCACAACGTGGAGCCTCTGTTGGGGTTGGCCAGTATTCTCATCATCCCTCCACCATGCCATGTTTATTAATGAGTCAAGGTTTGTGGCCATGCTCCTTTTTTCCAATTAAATACTGTTTGCTTTATCGTTTAATCAAAATTCTATTTTTTAAGGTAAATTTCAAATGATACTTTTTTTAAGTCTAGTCAAGTACAGTAGGGAGAAGGGGGGAAAGAGTGGAACAAGGAGCTCCACTCAAATGACGCTTTCTTTGAGATCTTCCCAACCTTCCTGCACATAGAAACCTCTAATATCCCTGAACCCATGCAGCATTTTTTGTGCTTCATGTCATACTGGTACTACTGGCTTATAATCACATATACTGCTATGCAGCTGCTTTATACTACATAATCTTATAATCACATATACTGCTATGCAGCTGCTTTATACTACATAATCTTATAATCACATATACTGCTATGCAGCTGCTTTCTACTGCATAATCTTTCTCTTAGATTTCCCCCAAAAGGTCCTATGGCCTGTTACCAAGGTAACTGTACATTGGGGAAAAGAAAATAATCAGACTTTTCAAGGATTATTGGACACTGGCTCTGAACTGACACTAATTCCAGGAGACAAAAATATCACTGTGATCCACCACCAGTCTGGTCAGGTGATCAATGGAGTTTTAGCCCAAATACTTCTCACAGTAAGTCCTCAAACCTATCCTGCGGTTATTTCTCCAGTTCTGGAATGTATCATTGGAAGAGACATACTCAGCAACTGGCAGAACTACTACACGTGGGTTTAGTAAGTGGTCTATTATTTCACCAACTAGACATACAATCTGTAAAAAGATCTTGCTTTTGTTTTATAATATTATTTCTAAGTGAAGCAGAGACTTTTGAAGGTAGTTGCATTTTTTTCCAATTATTGACATCTCCTGGTACTCACTTTACAAACTAGGTTAAAGGTAAAGGCTAGATATTATTCCCTGAGCCAGAGATTTTCCACCTAAATTCAGAACTGGTCCATAAATCATCTTTGGCTCCCTCAGGTTCTTTGGTGACATTATTTACTATTTCCTTTCAAGGACTAAAATACTTTTGAGTCACGTTCTCTTCTGAATAGCCTGACAGTTATTCAGTTATATTCTCAGATTATTAGCCTTTTAGTTAGATGGTTAGGGCAAATGGTATCCCTTTAAATTCAATATCTTACCATATGTCAACATGTTGAGGATTTTCTTTTTGACAGTGAGGACAGAAATATGTCATTCTGTTATTGTCCCCAAAGCGGCACACAGTTATTCTGCAGTGGCACTGACCACAATTAGGACGCTTGTAAACCTTATAGTGTTTAGAGAGAGCAAGTCCTGCTTTACGGCACTAAAAAAAAAAAAAACCAAAAAATTCTGTTATCCACAAAACAGTGCTGCCAAGGAGCCAAAGACACATTCTCGAAAGTCACCTCTGAAAATCATCTGCTAAAAATTTACATATGTTTGTACATATGTCAATATAATCTTTTCTTTCATCAGAGAAAAAGGTATTGACAAGATTTGGTAATATTTGTCAAATAAAATTTGTGTGAAATAAGTCATTATTTAATGACATTAGTATTCAAAATTGCTCTTTGCATAGCTTTATCCTCTTATCTAAATGACATGTAAAAGTTCTATATTTAAAAATGTCTTTTACACTTTTAAGGCTTTTTAAATTAACCATAATTATATAGTTAAAAGAAAAAGGCTAGATTAGCTTGAAATCTGATTATTTTTAGAAGACTGAAACTGCTCACTCAGTTTCAACAACCAAAAAACTTAATTCTAGGGGACAAAATTTAATAAGAGCATTTTCTTTGTTGACCTGAAAAAGGATTTTTTTTTCCTTTTTAACCTTAGAGATTCATTAATAAAAAAAGAAAGAAAGAAAATAAACATTCAAATACCATCCTAGCAGAGAATATATTCCATTTTGGTATAAATTCTACTTCAAAAGATATTTTGATATATTTGGTCAGTTTTATTCCACTCACAAATATTTAAGGCTCCTACAAAGAAAATATCTTGAGTTTCCATCAGCACTGTGAAAATTTAAAAGCCCAGAAATATGGCTCACCACGTATGAGCTGAAAATTACACAATTTATATTAATTTAAGGAAAGTATTGAAAGACCCAATTTAATCTGGGTGGAAATGGGCAGTTTTCTATGGTCATCTTTTTCTGGAGGAAGAAGTAAGCAAATGCAATTTAAAAATAGCCATAGTTACTCAAGACCGATCTGCAGAGCAAGAGGTTCATTCACATTTTAGGCCAATTAATAAAGAATACTACAATACCTGACTTTCTGAACATAGTAAAAATGAAAATTTTGGATACAGAAAATGGACTGTGAAGAAAGAAAATACATATTTGCATTACTTTGTTTAAAAGATGTGTTTATTGAATTCTATATATGCATATAGTATATAACTTTCCACATTTACAAGTCAGCAAGTCCTTCCTTCTCAAAACTGTGGTAGACAGAGAAACATTATTATCCCATTTTACAGATGAAGAAACTAAACTTAAATAAAGTTATCCAAAGAATCTAAACCACACAGATAGTAGTAAGTGGCAAAGCTTGATTGAACCAAGGTCTATAGTCAGTGGCAAAGCCTGATGGAACTAAGGTTATCTGAAAGTGTTACTGTAGGTCAGCCTCTCTAGACTTTCTATATTTTATGTATCCAAAAATAGAAAAAGAGTCTGTGAAATGCCAACATGGCTGCTCCTAACTTGGTATAAAGATAATTGAATATGGTTATAGTTAGACGAGTTTGAACTGACCTATGACCTAGAATTTCAAGATGTTAATTACACCCACATAATGTCACTCTCCCTTAATGTACCTCCATGCTCTTTCCACTAGATGGCTATATACAGCTTTCACATTTTTTGGTGCACTCCAAAAGGAAACCACTGACATTTTACATTTTACACAGTTGAAAAATTTTGCTCTTACCCTGTAAAAGAGAATGCTGAAATCACGTATCATTTTCATGAGGTGATGGATCTGTTCATCTGTTAATTGACAAACCTTGAAGTGGAAAAAACAGCAGAGCCTAGTTTCATGACTTGCTCATTACTGTAAGAAATAATACGCCTTGCCAATTCTGTGAAAGAGAACTGTAAATAGATTTTGAATACAGCTGACCTTTGAACAACATGGGTTTGAACTGGGAGGGTCCACTTATACGCAGATTTTTTTCTGCCTCTGCCATCCCTGAGACAGCAAGACCAACCCCTCCTCTTCCTCCTCAATCTATTCAATGTAATGATGATGAGGAGCAATAACTTTATGATGACCGACTTCCACTTAATGAGTAGTAAATATAATCCTTATGATATTCTTCTGTTTTTTTAGAGACAGGGTCTCACTCTATTGCCCAGGCTGGAGTGCAGCAGCATCATCATAGCTCACTGCAGCTTCAAACTCCTGGGCTCAGCCATCCTTCCGCCTCAGCCTCCCAGGTAGCTGGGATTACAGGCGCAGACCATCACACCTGGCTCTTACCATATTCTTAATAACAATTTCTTTTCTCAAGCTTACTTTATTGTAATAATACATATGTAACACATAAAACATACAGAATATGTGTGAACTATGTTATCAGTAAGGCTTCTGATCAACAGTAGGCTATTAGTAGTTACGTTTTTGAAGAGTCAAAAATTGTATATAGATTTTCAATGGGAGGGGTTAGCACCCCAATTCCTGTGTTGTTCAAGAGTCAATCGTATATGAATATCTTCTAGAGCTCTATTTCTTACGGATCTATTTAGTACCATTAACAGTAGTTATATTTTGAACTGATAATATTACTGACAAAATATGATTCCTATTTATACATTTTAATTGTAAATTCAAGCATTTATTGAATATTTATTCTGTATTAGACATCTTCAAAGTCTCAGCATTGTCTATCAGACACCTTGAGAAGTCTTGCTGGACTCAAAAAAAAAAATTACCAAGAACAATATAAAACAGAAAGAAGGGAAGGGAAAATAGGCACAGGAGTAGATGACCACCAAGGTCACTATCGAGCTTTAGAAAAGATATGCATTTCTATACATGCATTAATATCAAAGTACTTATTAACACATGGAAGAGCTCAGACACAGACCTTACTGAAGAATTTTTTTCTGACACAGCCTAACATAAATCTCAGTGTTACCCTTGCAGAATTATTATTTGGCACATGTGCCGTCAATGGTAATCCCAAAAGAAACCCTCTGATGCCTCATGCTTGTTGCCTGTGTGTGAATATCTATATGTACAGCTGACCCTTCAACGACACAGGTTTGAACTGAGCAGGTCCACGTACATGTAGATTTTTTTCAATCAAACATGAATGAAAAATATAGTATTTGTGAGATGTGAAGCCTGCATGTGTGTAGGGCTGACTTTTTGTGTAGCAGTGTCCCTAGGGCCAACTGCAGGACTTCAGTATGTATGGACTTGGTATAGGCAGGAGTACTGCAACTGATCCCCTGTGTATACTGAGGGAAGCTGCATATAAACAGACACATACATGTACAAAGAAAATCACTTATCAGTGACTATAGAAGTGAAAATCTAATCAACATAGTCATCCTGAAAGTATTATACATATTCAATTGTTCACTTAAACTTTAAAACTTACATACATCCAAAATATTTATTACTTTCCAAATCTTACATACTATATTAAGTCACATCTTGAAAAGTTAAACTGTACTTTTTCAGTAATTGTGCACGTGCTTTTAAGAAGCTAAGAGCTAAATTTCAGAAATGTGTGTGTGTGTGTGTGTGTGTGTGAGAGAGAGAGACAGAGTCTCGCTCTGTTGCCAGACTGCAGTGCAGTGGCGTGATCTCTGCTCACTGCAACCTCCGCCTCCCGGGCTTAAGCGATTGTCCTGCCTCAGCCTCTCCAGTAGCTGGGACTACAGGCATGTGCCACTACGCCCACCTCATTTTTGTGTTTTTAGTAGAGACAGGGTTTCACCATGTTGGCCAGGATGGTTTCACCACGTTGGCCAGGATGGTCTCACCTCTTGACCTCGTGATCTGCCCGCGTCAGCCTCCCAAAGTGCTGGGATTACAGGCATGAACCACCGTGCCTGGCCAATGTCATTAATTTTTAAACCCCCAGGCATTATGGGTAAATGATCATTTCCTAGATGGATGGATGGCTGGATGCAGAGATAAAAAGTAAATTCTCAGTGCATCACAGATAACAACAATACCCTGGGTTCTCTTTTTTTCAAAAACAACTTTCGTAGAGGTCTAAGTGATTTTTAAAAAGCTCACTCTTGTTAAAGTTCTGTTTCATTATTTCCATACTGAACTCACGTGTTCCAAGTATCAAAAAGCAGAATCTAATCTAGACCTATCATTAACTGGCTTCTTTTAAAGCTTCATTCCTACTGATTTGGGTATTACTAAAACTATCTAGTAAGTATCTACACAAAGTAAAAAAATAACCTGGGTTTATGTAAAAGATAATTTAGTTAATAGAGTCAATTATGTAAAAAATAATTCAGCTAAAAGAGCTAAAAATTAATTTAGTTAGTGGCAACAGGTCTTGATAAAAGCCCTAATGTAGAGGTCTTCCCTAGAAACTAAAATGTATGTATTCTACCTGGGTTAGGGTTCTCACCTCTCTTACCCTCTTAGAACATTGCTATATTCATCACCATTCCCTTTTCTACAATTTTAACCTCTGCCCTTTAACCACTTTTTTTTTTTTGCAACATATAAATAAGTTCAAGTCTCTGCAGTTGTAGAACAAGAAAAAAAATAAAATAACCAACTCATGTCTTGCCCTGGAATCCCCTCTAGCAAGCCAATATTTTCCCTTCACTCCGGCCTATGTGAACAAGGGCTCTACATTTTGCTTTCATTTCCTCACTGATCACTTATTCCTTGGTCCCTGCTGCCTGCCTTCCATTGCTATCCTTCCACAACAGCAGCTTCTAATGTCACCAACAGCTGTAATCAGGAATACACAAGCGTGTGCAGAACATGTACTTAATATGCCAGAGAGAGAAAATAAGTTGTGAGTTAGTTCATTCACATATTCCACAAATATTAATATCTAATGCCTACCATACACCACAGGTCACGTTCTAGATGTTGGGATACTTCAGTGAACAAAAGCCTTGTTTCCTTTTGAGACTGTGTTCTAGCAGAAGGAGACAGCTTTTAAACAATCAGTATAATAAGTAAATATGTTATGTTTGAAAGGGATACCTGGTATGGAGAGAACAAAAAGCAGGGCAAGTTAAGGAAGACTGATAGAGTGAAATGTGGAGTGGGAGGGTGTGCACAAGGCAACTGTAAGTGCAAGTGCGGTGGTAGGAGCCGGCTGCACTGAGAAATTGACCTGGGTAGAAATGGGAAGCGGGACACCTGAAGTCTGATGAGACTGTGTTACTGAAATGCAGAGTTAAGGCTTCCACGTTGGTTCCTTCACAGTACCGAAAAATCAACAGATAATTAAAAAAATACTTAAAACTTACTTTAACAGCTGGGTGGAGACCACTGTCAAAGAGAGCTTCATTTTTGATGATGTTCCCTACTCCAGGCAATACGTTCTGATCCATTAGCACATCACCTAGCATCCGGCCTTTCTGTTTTTTAACTTCACTTTCTGCTCTCAAGAAACTAAATTCAGGTGAACATACATCTAATTCTTTCATCATTCTTATTCTCTGTTGGCTTTCCATTGAGTTTCTATAGAAAGGAATATAAAACACATTAATCATAAGTCTGGTTATAATTTCACAAAGTGTCTTTTAAAATGAGCTTTGCTATAAGCACTTTATGTTAATCAGGGTATAAGAGTTACATATGCAAACAACAAAGACCTTACAAATTATATTATCTGAAGGCTTCTTTAAAATGAGGTTTCATCAATTACAAACTCTTTATTTATTTGTTTCTTTAGTTACACGTGTGACATCCCAAACCAAGCTCTGCAGTATTGCAGCGTAAGTACTTTTATTTAATTTTTTTTACCTGAGTTCTACTGATGAGTCAAAGAAACAAATCAAATCTTTGGTGAGCTGCACTTCCAAAACAGGAGAAGCTCCATTTTTATATTTATACTCAAGTGGATTAATCATGATGAAGCCTTTCATTCCGAAATGAATCCTGAAACAAAATCAAACCATTTTTGAGTGGCAGAAAGTATATCATTTATCAAGCTTTTTTCCTGTACTATCATTTTTTTTTTGGATTATAAGCAAACAAATGTTAGTCAGGATAGACACTTTTAAAGGGCAGAAACCAGTGGTAAGATTATTATATATTTTTCTCTCATGACTTTGTATCCTTATAAAGATAGAAGACATGACAATCAGTTTTTCAACTCAAAAGTAAAATAACTTCTCAAAGAAATAATATGGTACCAACAATAAGCCCAAAAAAATACACCCCTGCTCCTCTTTTCTTGTCAGATGAAGTATCTTTTATTCATGGAACAGTCTAGCATCTCTTGGCATTTTCTCAGATTCAAAGGCTTGGGATGAGATAAGGCTAAGTTTAAGTTGCCTATAGTTTGTGTTTTCATAAATTCTACAAAGCCACTAATATTCAAATTCCTTATTTCTAACCACAATGGATTGGAAATAATTACCTATTGCAAAATAATATCTATGGTTTAAGATGCTCTTTTCCCCCCTTGTTTTGCACTAGGCAATGAAACAATTTTTTTTATTTTTGCAAAATCTTACGTATCAAAAAAAAAGAGAGAACAAGTCAAAATGCTATTGTCCTCAATTCTTTTCGTTTTCTTTTACCTCTATATGTATTGGGAAGAGGAGATTTATAAATATTTACGGTTAACTTGAAAGCCACAAGGCAGCGATGAAAAATTCGTAACCTTTCAGATTTTATAGGATTGATTAGCATGTCCAGTTTTTAAAAAAAGTAGTTCTGTAAGACCTCTGATGATGAAGATCAAAAATGATTCTCAAGATGAAATACTGTGATCCGCCTTTCAAATCCTTCTCCTCATAGCTTTGTTGAGTTCATAAATATGGCTCTTTTGGCAGCGAATGCTACTGCTCTGTGCTTCTAATTGCGGAGCACCATGTTATAGTATTGTACAAGGTTAACCAGTCTAACTTTAAAAATGTGGGTTTTAAACTCTGTGTGCCCTACTATCAATCATAAATGCATTTTACATGCCCCATAGTTCTTGACAGGAAAAATGTGTGCCTGTAAGTACTCCATAATTTAACTTATGGAAGTTCAACCCCAGTGAAAGGTGTACAACTGTCATGCCCAGAAGCCATCATATCTAAAATCTTTTCAGCTGCATGGCTCATAAAGTGGATTCTAAATCACTTTCTATAATGAAACCACATCCACATAAAAAATCTCAAAGGTTAAGACCCAATTCAAATGCAGGAGTAGCCCCAGCAAGAACCTTAGATCAAATAAGTATGGCTCTGACTTATAAATCAATTCATTTTTAGGAAAAAAGTGCATAAAATGTTTTTTTAAATTTTTATTTATTTTGTTTTATTAAATAGATATTATAATTGAGCCCCAATAAACCAACACATCTCGTGGGTTTATTACTAAGTACCTTTGATCTTAAACTATAAAAAATGTATCAGTATCATGAAAATATTTGAGGCACAGTAAACATCTATACTGCGACAACAATTGATACTGATTTTTTTTTTTTTTAAACCAGGACATAGGCCCATATTACATAAAGAAAAGACATTTTTAGGGTTTCATTTGCTTTTCAGGATTCCTCATAATTAATTAGTTTAGGAAACTTTTATCAGATCCTTATTTCTATCTCAAGCTCCTTCTACCAACCCAAAAGGTTACCCAAGACAATTCACTCTGCATAATAGAAGTCTACCTGCCAACCACAGTTGCCTGGTCCAAGGGTGGGCATTAACCTGTTCAGGCTTAACCTGAACAGGTCTCTGTCGTTTTCTCAGATCCTGTGCCTTTGATACAGTTGATTCAGAAATGGACACCTGTCCCAAGCTAGATCCATCAGTATCCAAGCTGGGTTCGTCAATTTTTCTGATGAATTTAAAGACGTAGGACCCAAGGAGATCCTGCTAGCATTAAGAGATCTCATATGAGAGCTGTCTATGGGAATGATTCCCGATGTGAGCACCAGCAAAGCAAAGGAAGGTCTCCCTGCAAAGAGGAAGACTATAGAAGATTTCAGTGAGGAGCAGAGTGAAGAAATGAAGAGGAATCCTAACAGCTTTTAGTCTTTGCTTGCTTTAGTTCTCCTTGAAGCCTGCCTGTATTCTCTTCAGGTTTTGTAAGATACTTCATACACTTTTTTAAATTTTAAAGAAGTTTTTGGTGCCAAAGTCAACAAAAGATAATAAATAATTATTGAACCTGCTTGAGTTGGGCCTCTGTCACTTGCAACCAAGTTCTAATATGAAAATGTGCCCAAACTAAAAATTCAATTAACAGTAAGAAAATTCCTCTCATTAGAAATATCTTCCTAAAGAAACTAGTAAATAAGCCCTGATCCTGTTTTAAGAATCAGCCGTATTCTCCAAGCTATCACTGTCAGAATAATCTGAACATCCTTAAGCAAGCACAAATAGCATAAACAAAGCAGTACTGTCACAGTTTCACATTAATGACAACTACATTTTGCAAATAAGGCAACTGCCTATAAAAATTTTCAAGTGGTCAGAAGTGTCCTAAGGGTAATAAAGAGTGGAAAATGTAGAATATAATAGTTGTAAAACCTATGCTGGGAATTAAAAAAAAAAGAATGTAAAAAGATATGGTTTTAACAATGCTAAAAATAAAAAATAGGAGTTCTGCTACTACTTAGGATGCAGAAGGCTGAAAGTGAACATAGCTACCGCTCCAACAAGGAGAAAAAAAATCACGTTATCTACAAAATCATACATTTTCTTAAGCCCATCAGAGACATGAGATTGCAACGCAACCAGGTAAGCTAAATTCCAAAATGTGACAAGCCCCGCCATGGAAAGTAAAGTCAGAATACACAAATTGTTTCACCTGTGGCAGAGCACAAGAGGAAGAGAAGGCTACTATAAAAATGGGAAAGCAGAAAACTGCAAAATTTTCAACAAACTTTTACATACTGAATGTGGGCTGGTGTAACAGTTTAGAATCCCCGGAGCCCCAGACACAAGGAGAATACACACTCGTGGGCCCATGTGAAAGATGTGAGTGACAGCAAGAGACCTGAAAGAGCTGCTCTTGGTGGCATGACACCTGTCTTCATGAAACTCTGTCTGCTTCTTGAACACTTCTTTGAGATGAAGTCCAAGTCTTAAAAAGTCTTTAAGCTGCTGGGGCCAAGGGAGAGGTAGAAACAAAGGTCATATCTGTCCTTGAGGGAGGAACAGGAAACTTCCTCTGCCCAAACAATATGTCTTATACTGAATAACAACCATAAGCAGTCTGCCACAGGACAGCAGCGGAAACCCTTCGGCCACCCAGCCCAAGCAAAGGTACCCTGGCCTGTTGAAGGTGAGGTAGAAGCAAAAGCCATCTGTCCCTAGAGTTGAAACAGAAAATCGGCTTTGGCACAAAATACTGTGATGATACAAAGAGAAATCTGCTTCCACCAGAAAAGAGGTAGGAAGCTCTCTGACCCAAGTACACCCACAGGTGCAAGGCAGAGTTTGGCTGCCATAGGAGGGCAAGGGACAGCAACCCTAAGAAAACTGCGACCTTGGGTTCTACATACACAAAGGCCTGCCCAAGTTCCAGGCTAATCCAGAAGTAAATATCCCCACTATCCCCATCATAAGCCTCCCACTGAGTCACAAGCGACAGCAGTCTACATGGTGGAGAGGTAAGAACATGGAGAGACTTTCTCTGTGACATGAATATGCAAGATGTGCTGAAAGCTGAGAGTCGAGCAGCAACACAGAGAAACCATCCACTGCCAAACCAGACCACACACAAGGCATAAAGTAGCAGTAGCAGCTGGAGTTTTGAAGTTGTTGGTGCACTGAAGCCAACCCAAACAAAGCAAAACTCAAACGAAGGTCAACTACTTTACTAGACTCACTCAATCCCTGACACTAATGACTGACAGAAGAGGCATGACTGTTTCTGAGCTTAAATATTATTTAGCTCTTATATGTCTATACATGGTGTCTGGGATTTAGCTTTTTGTCTTCTATAGACAATGTCTAGGATTCAAAAAAATGATAAGACACATATATACACACAAAGATTAAAAAAGTATCAAGAGATAAATATATCAAGAGATAAAGCAGTCAACAGAGCCAGACCCAAAGATGCACCAGATGTCATATCTATGAGACAGGTGATTTAAAAGTAATGTTAAATTAATTTTAAACTTAAAATATTGATTCTTAATCAAATTTTATATTATATATTAGTTATTAATATGTTAATGATTTAACATATGTAAGGATCTAGTATAAAGGCACATGAACAGGTGTGATATTTCAGCAGAGAAACCAAAATACATGATAGCAGGGAGAAGACATTTCTTCAATGAGCAGACCAGCAGACCGCACAGAGCAGAGGAAAGAATAAGTGAACCTGAATATAGATTAATAGAAATTATCCAAACCTAAGAAAGAGAAAAAAGGATGAAAAAGATAAAACAGAGCATGTTCCTTAAATATGCCTGGGGTTTTCTTTCTTGAGAAGTTTTAAACTATCAACTCAACTTATTTAAAACATAGAAAATAACTCATATTTTTACTTTAGTTCTAGAGTATGTTTTGATAATTTGTGTCTTTCAAGGAATCTGTCCATTTATTTTAGTTGTTGAATTCATCGACATAAATTTGTTAGGTAATATATAGTGTCCTATTTCTATTCAAATAACAACTTGAGGATCTGCAGTAATGTTCCCTTTGTCATTCCTCATAGTGTTTATATGTGAGCTGTATTGTCCAATATGGCAGCCACTACCCACATGTGGCAAGTGAGCACTGGAAATGTTATTAGTTCAAATTAATGTGTACTCTAATTATAAAATACACAGTAGATTTTGAAGACTTAGTATAAAAAAAGTTACATAGCTTATCAATAATTGCTTATATTGTTTATATGTTGAAATATTTTGTATAGGTTAATAAAATACATTATTAAAATTGATTTCTTTTTGCTTTGGTTAATGCAGCTATTGGAAGATTTTAAATTATATATATGTCTCCCATGTTTATATTGGACTGCATTGAGCTAAAAGTTTATCATTTTTATTACATTTTTCAAAGAACCAATTTTTGGTGTCATTCATTTTTATTATGCTTTTCAAAGGACCAATTATTTGCTTCATTGATTTTTTTTCTCTATTGCTTTCATTTTTAAATTCCATTGATTTCTGTTCTTATCTTCATTATTTCCGTCCTTCTGTCTGTTTTGGGTTTAATTAGCTCTTATTCTTCTAGTTTTTTATATGGAAGCTTAAATCTTAGAGAATTTTATTCATTTATAAAAAACATTTAATGCCAGAACATTTCCTCAAGCATTGCTTTAGCTGTCTCCTACAAATTTTGATCTGGCGTTTTCATTTTCATTCAGTTCAAAATATGTTCTAAGTTCCTTTGTGATTTATTTGACAGGTGAGTTTAGAAGCACATTGATTTCCAAATACTTTAAATTTTTCAGCTGGGCGCAGTGGCTCACGCCTGTAATCCCAGCACTTTGGGAGGCCAAGGCGGGTAGATGACCTGAGGTCAGGAGTTTGAGACCAGCCTGGGCAACGTGGTGAAACGCCGTCTCCACTAAAAATATAAAAATTAGCCAGGCATGGTAGCAGGCGTCTGTAATCCCAGCTACTCAAGAAGCTGAGGCAGGAGAATCACTTGAACCCGGGAGGTAGAGGCTGCAATGAGCAGAGATCCCTCCACTGTACTCCAGTCTGGGTGACAGAGCAAGACTCCATTTGAAAAAGAAAAAAAAAAAAGATTTTTCTAGGTATCTCAATAATTTCTAGTTTAATTCTGTTGTAGTCAGAGAGGATTCTTCCATGATATCAATACTTTTAAATTTGTTAAGACTCATTTTGCTGTCCATAATCTGGTCAATCTTGCTAAGTGTTCCACATGCACTTGAAAAGCATGTGTTGTTGGGTGGAATGTTCTCTACTTGTCAATTAGGTCAAGGTGGTTGATAGTGTTGCTCAGGTCTTTTATCCTTGCTGATTTTTGCCCACTTGTTCTATCAGTTACTGACAAGAGAGTGTTGAATTATTCAACAATATTAGTTTCTCTTTGCCCTTTCCATTCTAGCAGTTCTTGCTTTACATCTTTTGAATTTCTATTAGGATTACTACATTTTCTTGATGAATTAACCCCTTAATCTTTTTTTAATGTCCTTCTTTACCCTCAGTAATATTCCTTGATCTGAAATCTACTTTGATTTTATTCTAGCTACTCCAGCTTTCTTTTGATAAGTGTTTCCATAGTATTTCTGTTTCCATCCTTTTATTTTAACCTGCATCATTATATTTTAAGTGGTTTTCTTATAGGCACATTATAGTTGGGTCTTGTGTTTTTATTCAATTAATTTCTGCCAAATAATTGGGATGGTTAGATTATTTATATTTAATGTGATTATTTTTATGCTTTGATTTAAATATACTGTATTACTATTGTTTTCTATTTGTTCCATCTGTTCTTTGTTCATCTTTTAATGCATTCTTTTGGATTGAGCATTTTTAAAACTTCTATTTTATCTCCATAGCAGCTTATTACTTTTACCACTTTTTGAATTTTTTTAAGTAGTTGCTCTAGGTTTTATAATACACATCTTACACTGTGATACAAGTTATCTCAGTGATATATTCAAACGATATGCAAATCTTCAAATGATATGCAAAACGTATATTACTGAGATACAAGTTATCTCAGTGATATCTTCAAATGATATGCATATCTTCAAATGATATGCAAAACGTATATTGCAACAACATTAGTGTACCATCATTTTCCTATCTCATTTGTACTATTGTTGCAATGCATTTTACTCTGACATATGTTATAAAGTCCACAATAAATTGTTATTATGCTTGCTTTAGATATAGAACATAACAGAAAAACATCTTTTATATTTACTTCCAAGTTTCCCATTCCCAGTTTTTTCTTTCTGTAGTTCAGATTTCTGTCTGTTATTATATCCCTTATGCTGGACAGACTTTAACTTTTCTTGCACTGCAGGTCTCCTGCTACTACATTCTCTTAGCTTCTTTTTTTCGAAAAAGTCTTTATTATACCTTCATTTTTAATAGATATATTAGATGGGTTTAGAATTCTGAGTTGAGAGGTTTTTCTTTCAGCAAACGTTGCTCTGTTGTCTTCTGTCTTACATAATTTCTGTAAATGTATTTCTTAGCTTTGTTCCTTTGTATTAATATGCAATGTTTCTTTTTCTCTGCTTCCAGCACTTTCTCTTCATCTTTGGTTTTTAGCACATTGGCTAGGTACGTGTGAGGGACATTTGGTTTGGTTTGAGGCTCTTTTAGCTTCTTGGATCTGTGGTTTGTTAAGAAAATTCTTGGCCATTTAAATCCAAAGATGTCTTCTGTTCTGTTCTTTCTTTCTTCTAGGATGACAGTTACAAGAATGTTAGATTATGTCACCTTGTTCCATAGCTTTGTTAATCCTGCACAATTCTTGGCCATTACTTCTTTTAAAAATGTCTTCTGTTTTGTTTTTTTCTCTTTCCTTTCTGGAACTCCAAATACATCAGACCAGTTGATGTTATACCAATAACAAATCTACACAAATGTTTCTGGAATATCAGATGAAACTCAGTTGGAGGCCATCATTACCCTAATACCAAAATTAGACAAAGGCAGTAACAGAAAAATAACACCATAGTGCAATATCTCTTATGAAGACACAAGCAAAAGTCCTCAATAAAATATTAACTAATCGAATCCAGAAACATATAGAAAGGACAATCCATCATGACAAAGTGGAGTATATTCCAGGAATGCAAGGCTCATTCAAAATTTAAAAATCAATCAATATAGAATTCCACACATAAACAAATGAAGTAAGAAAGGCAATATGATGATCTCAATAGATGCAGAAAAAATACTTGAAAAATTCAACAAATTAGAAATAAAAGGGAAATTTTTTGATTTAATAAAAGAAAATAAAGCTAATATCACAGACAACAAGGCAAACTTATTTGCTCTCACCACTACTACTCAACATCATGCTGGGGGTCCTGGCCAGTGCAATAAAACAAGAAAAAGAAATAAAAGGCATATAGGGTGTGGGGGACAAGGAGAGGGAGAGCATTAGGACAAACACTTAATGCATGCGAGGCTTAAAACCTAGATGACAGGTTGATAGGTGCAGCAAACCACCATGGCACATGTACACCTATGTAACAAACCTGCATGTTCTGCACATGTATCCTAGAACTTGAAGTAAATTTTTTTTAAAAAAGTCATATAGATCAGAAAGGAAAAAATAAAACTGCTTTAATTCACAGATGATATGATTATCTACATAGAAAATACTAAAAGTATACAAGAAAAAGCGACTAGAACTATAACGAGTTTAGCAAGTGTATTAGTCTGTTTTTACACTGCTGTAAAGAACTTCCCTGAGACTGGATAATTTATAAAGGAAAGAGGCTTAATTGACTCGCAGTTCCACATGGTTTGGGAGGTCTCAGGAAACTTACAATCATGGTGGAAGGTGAAAAGGAAGCAAGGACCTTCTTCAGATGGCAGCAGGAGAGAGAAGAGAAAGAGAAGGGGGAAGAGCCCCTTATAAAACCAAGAGATCTAGTGAGAACTCACTCACTATCACAAGAACAGCATGGGGGAAACAGCCCCCATGATCCAGTCGCCTCTTTCCCTTGACACAAGGGGATTACATGCCCCCCCACACCTCGACACATGGGAATTACAATTCAAGATGAAATCTGGGTGGGAACACAGAGCCAGATCATATCAGCAAGGTTGCAGGATACAAGGTCAATATACACACAAAAATTGTATTTCCATACACTGCAAATGAACAATTAGAAATTCAAATTTTAAAAAAGTACCCTTTACAATAGCTCCAAAAAAACCCACTTAGTTACAAATATAAAATATGTCTGAAGCTGAAAATTACAAAATACTGATAAAGAAATGAAGGAAGATCTAAATACATATTAATATATACTGTGTTCATGGAGTGGAAGACAATAATGTTAGCATGTGAATTATCACCTAATTGATCTATAGATCCAACACAAGGCCAATCAAAATGCCAGAAAGAACTCTGTAGAAATCAACAAGCTAAGTCTAAAATGTAGAAAGATAACTAAAACAACAAAAACAATTTTGAAAAAAAAAAAGAATAAAGTCAGACGACTGACACTACTTAATTTAAACTGACTTTAAAGCTACTTTAATTAAGACAGTGTATTATTGGTGAAAGGACAGACACAAAAAATGATAAAAGAATATCACTTTATCTGATATTCTTCTGAATGCAGAGTTCAGAAATAGACCCATACATATATGGTCAACTAATTTTCAACAAAGTTGCAAAGAAATTCAATGGAGAAAGGATAATCTCGTCAACAATGGTGCTGGAAAATACACACGCAAAAAGACAAAGTCCAGCTCCTGCCTTGTACCATATACAAAAAAGAACTCAAAATAGATCATAATCCTAAACAGAAGAGCTAACTCAATAAAACTTCCAGAAGAAAACAAACAAGGAAATGTTGATTAATTTGCATTAGGCAGATGTTTCTTAGACTGGTCACAAAACGTATGAATGAACCATGAAAAAAAAATTTGATAAATTAGGTTTCATCAAACTTAAAAGTTTTTAATCTTGAAGAGATATGGTTAAGAAAATGAAGAGAAAAGCCATAGATTGGGAGAAAATACTTGCAAAACATGTTATCTGATAAATGACTGACATCTAGAATATATACAGAATACTATAACTCAATAATACAAAAATATATCCAATAAAAAAGGAAAACATTAATAGACACATCACCCTATAAAATACACAAACAGGAAATATGCATATTGCATCAGATATCATTAGTTAGTAGGGAGAAGAAAATTAAAATCATAGTGAGATACACTGTACACCTATTAGAATAGCTGAAATTAACACAACTGACAATACCAGGTGCTGGCAAAGATGCTGAGTAACTGAAATTCTCATACTCTGCTGGTGAGAATGTAAAATGGTACCACCACTTTTAAGAACAGTTTGGCAATTCCTCTTAAAGTCAAACATATGCTTACCAAATGACTTAGAATTTCTAAGTCATTTGGTAATTTATCCAAGAGAAATGAAAATGTATGTCCACATATATATGTCATATGTATGTGAATATTCATAGCAATTTTATTCACAATATTAAAAACTTGAAACAATCCAAATGTCCATCATCTGATGAATGAATTAACAAAATATGGTATGTTCATACAATGGGAGACTACTTAGTAAAAGAAAAGAAAGTACCACTGATACTTCAAACAGTATGAATGAATCTTAAAGTATTATACAGAGTAAAAGTACACTTCTATTTCTCCTAACATGTTATATGATAGTACAGAAACTATGTTGAAGCTGTAAAACTCTTTTATAAGTAATATATGATGGATTCAATAAAGACATTTCAGCAAACTAAAAAGAATCATTATATTATCTCTTGCATAACTGGTTTGAGGTTCATACTTAAACCCCAATAAATTATAAAATCAATCATGTATAAGGCATTTCTAAAATGGCAAAGCCTCCAAAATATCTCAGATATAGTTTCTGGTCTCTGAGCACATATAACTTCAAAAGCCAGAGTCATGTAAATCACAAACTGGAAACAGAAAATGGTCTTGGAAAAATATATTTACTTATCTATCTATCTATCTATCTATCTATCTATCTATCTGTTTTTTAAATTTTAGTCCAAAATGCAACAGCTATGTCCATTTTGATTAAAATGATAGCTTCAGTGTGAGTGCAGCTGGGTGAACATGCATATAAACATTCGCACACACTATACTGGCAATGTGGCATTGTATGCATCCAAAGTTAATAAAGATTACACCTGGTAGTGGGATTGAGAATGTATTACTTTACACTTATTTTCATTATTTTTCAGTTTTCTCTACTGAGTACTTGTTACATTTGTAGCAAAAACTTCAAGTGACGTTTGTGTTGTTTTAGTTGAAGAGTTAGTGGAAAGTGTTCAGAAGTTGTACAGGTATTAATCACACATAACACAATAGTGCTCCTAAAATAAATGTGTATCAAATAATTTTTAGTATTCCTTGGCACTATCAGGAGCACTTGAATATATCACTTAGTAGGTAGAGAAGTAATCACTCTCTAATTTGTATCTTTCTGATGTGTGGATTTTTACAGGGCAGATTCTTTTAGAGGCTATGCTCGTATTCTACTTTCATTAACAAATGAATCCCAGGAGATTCAACCAATGAATCCCAGGAGATTCATGGCCCAACCTATGAGATGCACACACTTTATGACTAAACTCTGCGGGCAATTTTGCTTGTGAAAAGTTGGGTATCAAGGGAAAACTGTGAGCAACCTTTGAAAGTGTTTCCTGCTATATGCTCTATCAAATGCAGATGAGCCAGGTGGGTGGGAGGCAGAAGTCAAAAATGAAGACTACATTTCTATTGCAGGTGCACAGACCTGCAGCCTCACAAAAAGATCACATTTCTTTGAGAGAGTTATCCATTCCTCTAAGAAGCACAGGTTGGAAGTACATTTTTTGAACTTCTGTTACATTGTGAAAAGAGGGGCAAATGATTTTAGGTTCAGATTCCAACAGCAGATCTGCCATTGACCTTGAATTGTTACATCCAATAGTTGTTATGGCTGCAGGAAACTGAAAGGAAGCAAGCCACTGCATTTTTCCCACCCATATACTGACATAGGTACTCTCCAGGGAGGGCACTAGTTCAATGAGTTTGAAGAAGTGATTGTCCTTGTTTAGAACTTCATGGAACACTTACTGACAGCCGTGTGCTGAGAAATGACTTCCCCCTTATCAGTCTGGTGGAGAGCACTTGATAAAAACCCCCTCTCATCTTACAGAAATAAATCTGTACCTAACACCAGAGAATCAATAACATATCAATGTTTTCAACTATCGTGCATAGATCCCATTGTGTACTACTCTATCCAGAGCTATGAGTTTTCCATCACATCAGTCTACTACAGCAGCAGTGTAACCTGCAATATATCATTACTGCATGAACAACTAGGCATATGCTGATGTTATCAATTCCAGACTAAGCAAAACCATGAAGTGACAATGTTGTCCAAGGACAGCAGCTGCTGACAATGAAAAGAGAACACCTCAAAGGAAAAGCAATTACATAAACCCTGGATTACTCTAAATATGTGGTAGATGAGATGCAATAAAGAACAATCATATAGTATCATCTCTTTGTGACAATTATTCACCTTTGGTTAGCATGGGGTCCAGGAACAGGTCTTTTCTTTTAAGAAAAAGGTGATAACTGTGGTCAGTATCTTTAAACAGCACTAAAAACGATTTGAGGAAGCAGTATCAATTTTTACAGTTGGCAAAAGCTTAGGCTAAACTCAGAAAAGACAGAATGAGATTGGGTAGACATATTAACTCAAAGGCCGCTTTCATTTTCCTGCAAAAATTAAACATGTGATCATGCATCACAATTACATATATTTTGACTTTTTTATCATTAAGTCAACAAAGGAAATAGGTTGCTAGTCCTTCTCTGCCAGTATATTAGCCATGAATTTCCATGGGAACTGTGAAACAATGGAGAACCTGTTATTTCTCTGGAAAGTTTTTACACTCTCTAAGTAAATTTCCAAATTCCATTCAAGGCTTCAGAGAAAGCAGGAAGCCAGAAAAATATTTAAAGATCAAGTGATACATTTAAACCAAACTAGGGCCTGTCACAAATATAAAGTAACCGATGTCACTGAATACAATAAGCATTCGGTAAAAACAAGGAGAGACTTGTGGTATAGGAAGCTTGGGGACTAGCAAAACAGATGTGTTGCTCTAATACATCTTGGGAAGCCCTGTAAAATGACTGTCTTCCAAGTGATGATGACATCAGAATTTATTCTTCTGCTGTTTATTGATTTCCATGATAGAATCACAACCTCTCATATTGGAGCTCTCTTAAAAACACAGTACTTCCTATATGATTAAATGTGACACCCGGCAAACTCCATCTAGCCTTCTACGCATCTTTAAATATAGAGAGATAAGATGTATCGTACAGGCTTATCTTACCGTAAAGCTTTTGGTCCAAAGTACATAAAGAGCTCCTTCCCCAAAGTTTCCACGCCACTGTAAACATATCCATTAAACAGGCTCAAGACATTCTGGCTGGAATCATTATTCAGTGCAGCAGCCTAGTGGAAAATACATGTACACACATAAGCACACACACACACAAACTCTAAGCAAAAGCATTATTTAATTCTTAAATGTGTTTATATTACTTCACGCCCAGGTGCATTCCAATGAGAAGAATAATCTCCAACAAGTCATGTAATGTAATCGGCTGTTTACATACATTTTGTCAAATCACTATGCAGTCATTTAAAGAGAGAGAGGCCAAAAAAATTAAGTGAAAAAAAGTAATTGGTAGACAAGCAAAATAAAGTTTCTTCCAGGACCATATAGCTCTGTGCATATGAAAAGAAAGCATAGGAATACAACACGAATGTTCTAAAACTAAAAACTGGAATATAGGTTCTTCCATTTCCAGAAGTATATAGCCAAGTTCCCTGAAAGAGTGGTCAGATAAAAACAGCTACAAATGACAGATGATAAAATATGAAAACAAAATATTTTTAACTTCACCGATGAACTTTTAAGCTAGTATGAAATAATAAAAGGTCAAAAACTAAAAGCGGGAGAGAACCCTGAGAGGTAGTAGGGAGAGCTGTGAAGCCAGCATCTATCCTAAGGGCATTGATTGAAACTAAGGAATGAGAGCTTCAATTTTCACATGAAACTAAGGAATGAGAGCTTCAATTTTCACATCTTGTGAGGGTGCAGGAGATCAGAGATAAAAACCTGCGGCCCCCTGAGTAGGGGAATCTAATTTGAGACCTGTCCTATTCCAAGCACAATGTTAAGAATAAAGAAAAAATAAACTCATATTCCCTTTCCCCCATCAGCCTTGCAAAACCAAACAATATATTGTTAGAATGACAACATATAGGCAGAATCCTATAAGATATTCGAGGAAATTATAAACATGAATTAAACAGAAAACAAAAATATAAAATGTAGGTTCTTCTGTGGGAGAAGAAAAGAAAGGGCGTTTGGTTTAGATTTTAGTAATGCCCTTTTTCTTAAACTGAGCATTATGTATACTGGTGTTTCTTATGTCATTATTTTTTATTATTTATATATGTTTTATAAACATTATTTAATTTAAACTCAAAATGTAATAAAAATGTAAAACTTAAGACATGCGTAATTATTATATAAGATAAAATAGGGTACACAGAATTACATCTACGCATTAACTCAGTCTAAGGTAATATCCTCATTTACCTCTAACTTCTTTTGTGTTTTTCTCAAATGGGCCTAAGGATCCTCAGAAGATTCTGAACGAAACCTTGGTGGGCAGTGGGAGTGGGGAAATGTCAAGATATAATTATAAAACAGCTTTAGATACAGAGTCTAGAAACAAGTCACAATTTTTCCTCAATTTAGAGTGAAATGATATTGTTCAGTGATTCTCAAACTTTTGATTTTACAGACATTTGTCATTCTAAATGCTTAAGATGACATGTCCACTCTATTCTTTATTTCACTAAATTGGTCTTTGTTAAGATACAATCACAGTACTTAGCTCAAAGAGAGATAACAGGGAGATAAAGAAAAAAAAAAAAAAGAGACAGACACTATTCTTCCACTAAACCCATTCAAGGTTGAAATAGCTACAGTCAATGCCAGAATTTTCCAACTGCCTGAAGTTCAGGCGACTGGCTTTATATATCCCTCCTTTGTTTAAGAACTGGAGAATCAATCACTGGCTTAGAATGACAGATAAATTAAATGCACAGGAGTAATTAAAAATGACAGCAGGCCCGGCGCGGTGGCTCACGCCTGTAATCTCAGCACTTTGGGAGGTCGAGGCGGGCGGATCACGAGGTCAGGAGATCGAGACCACCGTGAAACCCTGTCTCTACTAAAAATACAAAAAAAATTAGCCGGGCATGGTGGCGGGCGCCTGTAGCCCCAGCTACTCGGGAGGCTGAGTCAGGAGAATGGCGTGAACCCTGGAGGTGGAGCTTGCAGTGAGCCGAGATCACGCCACTGCACACCAGCCTGGGAGACACAGCGAGACTCCGTTTCAAAAAAAAAAAAAAAAAAAAAAAAAAAAAGACAGCAGTCACTTCCTGTTCTGCACAAATCACAAAAAAAGAACCTGTTGGAGACTGTAGGTATATGCCACCATGTCCTCAAAGCTCAGTCTTTGGTTGCCCTTTCTGGGATGAACTCTAGTACCTATCAATAATTATCAAGCACTGGGAAGGCAGGCTTGAGTACTCAGTGAGGAAAAAACACATTTGCCTTCTTTTTATATAAGTCAATCTTTTAGAGCCCTGAATTGACAAACACCAAGAATCTTGATGCTTTTCTCCTTAACAGGAGACTTTAAGTCACTTAAATACACTTCAGGCCAAGTATAGATTACAATAGTGGGTTTTAAGGTAGGTTTCCATGACAACCAATTAGTATGTAAAAAGTTCCTATAAACTTGCCAGGACACTTTTAAGATGATGATATACAAAGCAGATATAGATCTTTGTCTCAATATAGATTAGGTTGTACATTTTCAGGATCTCAGATTTAAGTTCTTACTAACATTTTAAACCCACATTTATAAGTCAATGGTGAGAGCCTTGTTTCCCCACCACTCCAATGTCAACAATCTCTTATCTTTTTCCAACATTCTTTACTAGCAACTTGTTTTAGCCATACCCTGTGAAATTTTCTAGCTTTTCTTAGAGCTCCCAGCAGAGGCCAGGTGATGAATATTATCCCATTTTACACACACACACACCCTTCTCTCTCTCTCATATATAGTAGCGTTCCCTGCTTCTTCGGTAGGAAAGAATTTGCTACTACTGCCACTCCTGTGCTTTAATCTCCTTTACCCCTTTAGGTTTTATAAGTTACATCTGATGTAAAGGCATAAGAATGACACATTACACTTTGGGGACTTGCGGGGAGGGACAGAGGGGCGTGAGGGATAAAAGACTACACATTGGGTATAGTGTGCATTGCCCAGGTGATGGGGGCACCAAAATCTCAGAAATCACCACTAAAGAACTTATCCTTGTAACCAAACACCACTTGTTCCCCCAAAAGCCTACTGTAATTAAAAATAAGAAATTAAAAAAAGTTAAAGCTGAAACTCAACATCTATCTAATGTCCGATTGGCCAATTATGAAATCCTATGTCAGCTACCATATCACTGCTTCTCAGTGCACCTGACTGGCTCTCTTCCCTTCTTCCAAGATGGGAAACCATCTGACTGGCCTGCACTCACTACTTGTCTTCTCCCTACCTGGACCTTCTTTCTTCTGCTTAGTTCTGACTTTACCAGGTTTTATAATGGCTACTAGCAAAGAGACAGAGAAGTAACCTTGAAATAGACAGTGCTGTCACAACACCTAATAAGACAGTACACGAGTCCCAAATGTCTCATGTGAAGTCTGCTCACATCACCAAGTTAACAGCTTTGACAAGAACTTACACCATTTAGTTAAAAACTCCAAAAGCCAACACCTGTAACAGTTCATGTTATTCACCTGGCTTTGTCTACAACAAAAGTGGCACGTGACATCTGGAAAGATGATCCTCCTCCCCATTAAAAATGGCTGTTTACCTGGATAAACTCATTTTAGAAAAGTTTACTGACCTTCCACTATGTGTCAGGCCTTGTTCTAGATGCTTGGGATGCATCCATAAATAAAACAACTAAAACCAGCTGCCCTCGTGGAGTTTATGTTCTAGTAAGGAAAAAGAGTAGAAAAAGAGTAGGCAATAAACACAATAACACAGTATGTTAGAACATTCGGAAAAGAAATGGAGATGAAAAGGAGAGAGCAAGATTGGGGGAGGGTGCAACGGGTTGCAATTTTAAAGGAGCAGTCATAATTTCATCAAGGAATTGAAATTTGGGCAAGTTTTAAATAAGTGAGCCATGATCCAGGCAAAAGGAATGACAGAGCAAAGGCCCTTGTATGCCATGGCCCAGAGAACAAGAGGAAGAGTAGTAGATAGATTTTCTGATTTTACTCTATCAGTTCTGAAAACTTTGCCAATTTCCTGGGGAAGTTTTCTACTCCATGAAGACAACTGCCCCATTATCAAAACGCCCAAATCTAATTCAGCAGCACTGCCCCATTGAGTTTTGTTGTAACTGGCAAACCAAAATACTTACAGAAATAATGTGTAAAATTTTTTGTATCATTTAACCTCAAACCACCATATGACATACATTTCAGGTGAGATCAATTGAAAAAACAAACAGGAAAAAACTGACAAAAGTAAGGGTTCTTAATGGAAACCTCAACTTCTTTTTACCCCAATATTAAAATGCTTAGGACTCCTAATAATATTCATTAGGAAGAGACTCAAAACTAGCCATCCTGATTTCTACCAGAGATTTTCCCCCAGGGAATTCCTATGTGGTAAATGAGCCTATAAGATCCTGCCTCAAGATTCTATAGAACCTACACTGTGGGGAATATAGTTCCATGTACAGTTTATGAAAAGAACGGCTGAAACGTCCCTCATAACCAATGCTGAGGGATAGGTTTTTTTGAAAGAAGTTTTTATTATTTCCAGGATTTATGCCTCAAGGCATCAAAGGTTATCCTGGAGCAGACATCTATATCTGCAAACCTACTGTCATCTATCAGAGATTTTAGCAAGTTCTAACCATGGTGGCCAGGCACGGTGCCTGTAATTCCAGCACTTTGGGAGGCCGAGGCAGGCGGATCACCTGAGGTCAGGAGTTTGAGACCAGACTGACCAACATGATGAAAACTCTACTAAAAACACAAAAATTAACCAGGTCTAGTGGTGCATGCCTGTAATCCCAGCTATTTGGGAGGCTGAGGCAGGAGAATCGCTTGAACCCAGGAGGTGGAGGCTGCAGTGAGCTGATCTCTCAACAGCACTGCAGCCTGGGTGACAGAGCAAGACTCCATCTCAAAAAAAAAAAAAAAAAAAAAAAAGAAAAGAAAGTTCTAACCGTGGAAAATGATGTGGCCATTTAGCAAAACAAAGTTTTGGTGGCTAGTTCTTCAAACCTTATGTTTACTGCGCCACTTATTAACAAGAAAAAAGGTAATACGTTCCCTTGTAAATAAACTCTGTTGTGAAAGGAAAAGGAGTCAAAAATACAAAGCCCCCAATATACTTAAAATGCATGAGACCATTATATATCTTCACATGGCTGTCAATGGAAATTGAAATATGTTGTCCTAGCTGACAGAGCTTCAAAGAGAACCTCCAACTAAAGTCTTAAAGGTGTAATACACGTCTTATTTGCTCTACTGGTGTTTCACCCTATTCTCTGCAATTAAAAACAACATACAATATGATCTTTAAAAAATGAAAACTCTGAAATTACCAATGTTGAAAAAAGATGTTTATCGCCTGATGAATGTTAATATTGTAACATACATGTTGACAGAAGAGCAAGTGAAGGAATTCAAGGTAGATATTAACTTATAGAAAAACATTAACCTAAAAATATCAAATGACTTCAGTGCAGCAGAAACTCTTCTAGGTACAGATGCTATATGACCTTGGCTTGAATATGTTTAAGAATTCCTTTTTTAATACCCGATGGTATTTGGGTATTAAAATGCAATGTTAGTAAAACCTCTTCCTTGCTCACATATATAGTCTGTAATTCTCTCTGGGCCTAGGGTTTCCCCACCTGGACAGTAGGATAATCTTGAGGCTTTCTACCTGCCAAATTTCGCATAGTATTTTCTAAACCACTGTCATAGTACTTACTATACTGAATTATTACTTGTCTGTGACTTGCATTTCTCCCCTGTCTATAAGCTCTCTGGGGACAGTAACAAGTTTAGCTAATATCCTTGATGGCTTTACACAATGCCTGAGGTTCAGTGCACATTTGTGGGATTAAATAGATGCCTCCTCCTTTAGCTCTGAAAACCAAGTGTGGCTTTAAAATATACATTCACTTCTTCCCCTCCCACCATCCCCATCCTGCTTGACTCTTCCCAAGATATCTTGGCAAAATCTTCTACTCTACCATCTACTTAATCTCCTTTTAAAATTCATTAACATCCCAATATCTTATTTTCTAATTACCTGCAATGGAGTGAGATTTAAACATAGGAGGACCAAATCCTCATGACTACTAGAAGCTATAATGGAAGTAAAATACTCTACTTACCAGAATTTCCCATAAAATTAAATGAACCATATGGGAAGGTTTAGGGAGGAGTTCCTCTGTGTTTAGCAACCAGTCCTAGAATGCCTGGTTTTTATTTGACAAGTTTACTTAGCATTTAAATTGTTGCTCTAAAAAGATCTAATCCAATACAGTAGTTCTCCCCTATCCAAGGTTTCACTTTCTGTAGTTTCAGTTACTCACGGTACAGTACCATAAGATATTTTGAGAGAGAGAGATACCACATTAACTTTTATTACAGTATGTCATAACTGTTCTATTATTAGTTATTGCTATTAATCTCCTACTGTACCTAATTTATAAATTAAACTAACATAGGTTGTATGTATAGGAAAAAAGATAGCATATATAGGGTTCGATACTATGCATGGTTTCTGGCATTCGCTGGGTGTCTTTAAATGCACCTTCTGTGGACAGGTGGTACTACTGTGCTTAATTTTGGTTTTGAAATGACACATCAAGATTTTTTTATTCAGTTGTCTATCATGCAGATGGTTTACCCAAGTCAGCGGATTCCTGGTACTCTATCATTTCTAAAATAATCAGCTCTGGATAATATACTTGGGATAAAATAAAATTTTCAACTTACAATTGGCCATTGCAAGCACCTGGATATATCTTTCACTGTTCTTTTAAAAATCCATCTTAAGGTAAAATTCTGGTATACTGGTAATGGTTTGTTCTACTTGTTTTAAGAGCTATTGTGTACAAACTGGGCAAGGTTTTTGCAATAAACCTAAGATTTATAAGATATTCACTTGTCCTACCATAGAATCTAGGGTTATCACTGCTCTCTACAAGCTTTTGCTGCCCAAATTCAAAAACTAATTTCCATAAGCCTGTTATCTTTGCTATGACTATACGTAATTGTCCAATATACACTTGACTTTCCCATGTTGACCCTTATAATCCATTACTGTATTATTTGAACATTTCATCCTTTTTAGTTTTTTCTGAAATAAAGACGAAAATCTCCTTTGACACAAGTTTAGGTATGATTGAGAAGGGTTCACCTTCCCATTTTCAAGTGGCTTAATAATATGAAATCTTCAAAACAACATGTATTTTCAGAGACAGCACATGATTTATTGTGCTGATTACCATTTATCCTGCCTATCCATGGATGGACAAGAAAGACAAACTTTTTAGAGCAGAATAAGACTTTTCCATAGATAAATGTTTCAACCCTAGTGCAGTTAAGTATTTTCCCTATAGAGAAGAAAATACCATATTTACTTTCATACTCTCTCCTCTTTTCCTCACACACTTTTCCCCCCAGTACAACAACACATTTTTTTTTTTTTTTTTTTTTGAGACGGAGTCTCGCTCTGTTGCCCAGGCTCGAGTGCAGTGGCGCGATCTCGGCTCACTGCAAGCTCCACCTCCTGGGTTCACGCCATTCTCCTGCCTCAGCCTCCCGAGTAGCTGGGACTACAGGCGTCCACCAAGCTAATTTTTTGTATTTTTAGTAGATACGGGGTTTCACTGTGTTAGCCAGAATGGTCTCAATCTCCTGACCTCGTGATCTGCCCGCCTCAGCCTCCCAAAGTGCTGGAATTACAGGTGTGAGCCACCGCGCCCGGCCTACAACAACACTTTTTAATCAGAGATCTCTTAAATACCAATCGAAGTCATCAAAGAATATAATTTTAAAGTGATTTCTAAACAACAAAATAGAGGTCCTCAGGCCCATTCATCAAAAACATATTCTACAATTTTCTAAGTGCAGGACCTTCAAGCACTTACTCAGACTAAAGACTTTGTACCTTATCTGAAGGCACCAAATGATTACAAACCCTTCATAAAAATAGGGTGTTCCTCAGATAAATGGGTCTGGTGAGAAAGCTCTGATCCAGAAGAAAAAGGAACAATTCCCAGGATGTTTATTTTGCTAGGTACTAAGCTAAGAATTTTACATGCTGCTTAATTTAATCCTGACCAAATAAGCTAAGATGCAACAATAAGCATCTCCAGACGAGGAAGTAACAAAAAAATGGGAATTCAAAATCAAGATGATCAGATGCTCTCTTCTCTGCAGCATGCCGAATATGTTCATCTTGGATAAAAAGCTACAATGGCCATGGAAAATCACCTCCCCTTTTTCCTCCTTTGTAAGAATGTTTCTGTTCTTTGTTATCCCTTGTTTCATGATTCCATAGGATTCTGGATACCAATAATGATGATCTTGAGTCATTAAGGATAAATCATTATTAGTATCCATTTAAGAAGGTAAGGAAGTATATAATGCATGTTCTCTAAATTATTTAGAAATCCCCTTCAGATGCTTAAAGAAATGAGCCTCATTTTGCTGGAAAATGAATCTCTGTAGATTAGCTCATTTCTTTAAATAATGGCAATAAAATGAGCCACGATTTTTTTCCCCCACTTTGAAGAAGGAAAATTTACTACCTGGTTTATATTCTGGTAGTAGGAATTTCCATATAACATGCACAACAAAATATACACATTCTCATAATGAAAGAGTCCAAATGGAATTTATTTCTAAATCTTTAATCACTTTGCACTATTCAAAACCTTGTTCTTCTCCATCCATTCAACTTTTATTAAATGTCTCCTCAGTTCCTGACACTGTGAAGCATATATAACGATAAATAGCTGGCATATTAAATACATGTATCAAATTTTAAGGAGTGATGGAAATAATCAGACCATGTTTCAAATAAAATGAATGCTTATAAACTGTTTCATATCCTGTTTTGTGAGATTGAAAACACATGCAGATTAAATATGATTTCACTAAAATATTGTATCCACCCAACAATTAAAATCAAAGGATTGACTCTTCAAAGCTCATTAACCAGATATGTTCATTTATATTCCAATATTGTTTCTTACCATAAGTTTCCACAATCTCCAGCAGAGTTTTATGCAATTTGCTTATACTGTTGCACAATTTTATGCTGACAAGACAGTGGATCACGACTCAGAAAAATAATATAGTACATCCATGACTAGCAGATGCTGGGATCTTCTATGGCTAGGTTTTCTCAAAATGAGGATCAGTTGTCACAGGCAGACATGCATTCAAGTGTGTTCTCTATAAACTTTATACTGTAACAAAGAGGAATGCTATATGACACAGTAACAGTCCATTATGGCAATAACTACTGAAGTAGTGTTTTTTGGTTTGTTTTTTGGTATGATTATCTGAGGTTTAAATATTTTATTTTGAATGCCCATTAAATATTTCTTTAGCTCTCATTAGTAACTTTTTCCATGTTTACTGCACTGTAAAGAATGCAGTATGCAGTTATTAAATTATTTTTAAATGCTGCCTTGTGAAAACTAATCATTTCAAGCCAGTAGCAGAAACATTTAAATAGCTTTAACTCTTTGGCATAAATGCCTAGGAGACATGGGATCATCTGCTACAGTAATGATCTTGCCAGAGGTTTGTGACAACCTACCATGTTTTAATGAAATTTACTATGGATCCCTCTAAAATGCAAAAGACTCTTCATGTTTACAAAAGGTTATAATTATGTTTTTTTTTTCAGATCAAAGTCCCAGAAAATGAAGCCATAGTAAATTATTTAGAAATTTACCAACAGCCTCAAAGAATGTATTCCTTCCATATTGATTTTAAAATCCAGTGTCCATAGAACCAGATTCCTGATACTAACCACAAAGACCTATTCCAATTTTTAATGCCTCTTTCTATCAAGGTATCAAAAATAATACCTTTAAATGCCAGGCTTTTTATGTGTGGGGTATAACTTATTGAATATTGCTGCCAAGTGATGTTAATAATTGCCTAACCATTACTGACGCATTTGTATTATATTATCAGGCTGCACTCTTTTGTGCAATCCAAACATGGCCATAGAAGCTGTTAGAAGAGAATTATCAGAATAGATATAAGAGAATTGACTCAACCGAACAAAACTAAAAATGGTGGTAGACACAGCCAAAAATCCAAGATTGCACTTTTCTATTTAATAAATAACCACTACTATATACTGAGCATTATGGTGTTCTTACCGTTGTATGCTAAAAAAGCAATAAAGATCCTACTGAATCTTTTATGGCTGAGAGGAGCTATGGCATGGTTAAGAGGGTAGGCTTTGGAGTTTTAAAGAAAAATCAAACCCTGGTTTAGCCCCTTACTAGACATGTGATCTTGGGCAAATTTACTTAAAGTCACTCTGAGCCTCATATGCCTCATCTGTAGAATCAGGTTAATCCTTTATCATAGGGTTATCCTTTTTCATGACTGAATGAAATGTAAAAGCATCTCATGCCATACCATCAGAGATAATCACAACAAAACTTAAAAGGAAATGTTTAAGCTATTTTTCCTAAATACCAATGAGGTGATATTTATTTAAAACATTAGGTTGGACTCTCACAGCAGAAAGCATATCCTACTCATCTTCGTATCCGCAGGAGCTAGCATAAAACCTAACACAAAATACGTTGTGGTTGAATGATGTAAATGATGATATCCCTAAGTATATTCATGTCATATCCATTGCTTAGCCCTCCCATCATAGTGATTCTCTTGTCTTCATCTCCACCACCAGCACTTGACCCCAAATTTGTCACCTGGATTTCTGCAGTCGACTCCTAAATGAGAGGGCAGTGTCTACTCTGGCTTTCTTTCAGTCTTTTTCCTGTTCCAATCCCTGAGCTGCATGGCTTCTACTCACCCTGCACACCTCAGCTTTTTTTTTTTTTTTTTTTTTGAGACAGAGTTTCGCTCTTGTTGCCCAGGCTGGGGTGCAATAACGCGACCTCAGCTCACTGCAACCTCCACCTCCTGGATTCAAGCGATTCTCCTGCCTCAGCCTCCTGAGTAGCTGGGATTACAGGCATGCACCAGCATGCCTGACTAATTTTTTATTTTTGTAGGGATGGAATTTCTCCATATTGGTCAGGCTGGTGTTGAACTCCCAACCTCAGGCGATCTGCCCACCTCAGCATCCCAAAGTGCTGGGATTACAGGCATGAGCCACTGCACCCGGCCCACACCTCAGCTTTGCTACTTCCCTGGGGAAGCCTTCCCAGGTCTTCCTACAAGTCCTTAAAGAATCGTGTATCTCTCCTTCACAGAACTTATTAATTTATATTTCTTTAGGTGATTATTTAATGAATGTCTTTGTGTCTTCCCAACTGAAGTATAGGCTCCAAAAGAGGAAGTATTTGTTTTTGCTCCCCAGGTGTCTTGAGTATTCAAAATTTTATTGAATGAGTAATTTTCATAAATATTAATATTCTTAAGAAACCATCTAAAATCCATCTCTGTGGTACCCTGAAACGATTTTAGAAACACTATAACAATAATAAAAAAAAATAGGTACAGAGTACTTACTGGCATATCAAGTCAAAATAAACAAAAGGGCAATTGGAAGGAGATGTAAAACTTATTTTTTCCCAAGTTTGAAAATATATTTTCTTAGACTTAGAACCTCATTTCTTTCAAGTTGTAAGCATATGCTAATTTCATAGCAGGCAACTTTTTCTTCCAGGACCAAAGGCTATAAGAAGCTTTGCAGAAGAAATTGAAATACAGTGCAATATTGCATGTAGGCATGAAATACAATCATCCATACATCTAGAGGGCTTTTAAAACATGATGCCTTAATCAGAATATTTTTAGTACAAGTTCTGGCCAAATGAATACCACATCGTCTGCAATGAATGCCTGAGTGGCAAGAAGCTGTGCTAGTTTACTTTAAAAAGAAATAAATTCACTTAAGGGAACCAGAACTGGGTTTCATTGCCCCTTAATTAGATGGCAATATGAAGTTGAGTGAGAAGTTAGTGCTAAATTTTCTACGTGTAGTTTTAGAATTATATACTAGTTGTGATATACTTACCAATTGCAGATTAGCCAAGCAAGAAAGTAGAATTTTATGCTAAAAGCTTAAAATGGGACGAAGAAAACATATCAGAGGTAGCAGAGATTTGATAATATCAATAGTAAAAAATGCAGCTGTAGACATGGGAAACCATGTGTGTATCATAAAGAAGTTAAGTAAGGTGACTCGGATAAAACACCTTCACTGGATTCCCCTAGGGCATCTTGCTCCGGCAGCGTGAGCCCAGAACGCTAGCCCTCCTCTCCTGCGCAGGCGCGCTAGGACCGACTTCTCCCTACAGTAAAGTGACGATAAACTCTGTGAAAGGTGGGACCCCAGGAAACCTGGGCCAGAGCAAAGAGATGACACTTTAAATCCTGGAACCCTGATGGGGTCTTTATTCCATTTCCCCCCTGCTGACTGCATGGCCTGTTACAGGAGTAGCTCACCTGCGGGGAGACCACAACCGTGGAGGCTGCGAGCCGCAAGGCGCGGCCCTGCAGACTCCGCAGAGCGCTTCCCCGCACGCCGGTCACCGCCTGGCCCGGGAGCACCCGCGCGCGAATCTTCTCTCCATTCAGAGTACAGCCTGGTCCTTCCACCATCTCTGTGGCCGGCACTGTGGCCCACCGATTGCAGGGCCTGGTGAGAATACCGCTGTGCAACTCAACGCTGCGCGGGCACTGACCGCACGCAGAGGAAATTCAAATCTCGCGCGCGTCTGGCCCCGCCCAGGCCCCGCCCAAACAGCACCCTAGCTGTTGAGGTCGCTCCCTACGGCGCATGCGCTGTGGTTCACCCCCGCCCTAGGTCTTGCTGTGGGTTTATTAAGAAAACGCAAACGCGCGTGGGGCGGGGGGCGTGGAGGACAACTAACTAGGCTGAACTGTAAAAGCAGAAGAAATTGGGACTTGGAAAGCTCTGAATGTATTTTCTTTGCGTTAAAGTTTTGCCCTTGTCTTTGAGCTACTTAGTATACACACATTTTCTGATCTGGTCCTCTTAATCTGTCCTTGTCTGTGACAGGACAGATATGTCACAGACAATCTTGTTTTTGGCTCTGTTTTTGGCATGCTATATTCGGACGTGGGTGGGATAAGAGAAACGAAGAAGAGGGTTTTTGGAACAAACAGCAGAATATATTCTAGTGTCTATATTTAAAAACTCCATTATTAGATAGTTAAGTGAGCCCTACCTAAGTGCATGCATCCATTTTGTAAGGGGACGCCCCAAGATGAAAGCTATATGAAATTGCTTTGTTAAACGTAGAGGTTTATATAAATTTGAGGGTAATGCGTAGCTTTTCAAATTTACCCACAACCCTAACCAAAGATGCATGCATACATATAAATCTATGAAGTTTATGACTCCATATAGTTTTGTAAATTATAAAGTGTATTCTTTTTTGAAAACTGAAATACTACACATTAAAACAGAATGTCAATTTCTAAGTGATTTCATAAGCATAGCACTGTGCTGCCGTTAAACCACAAGAGCATATACACAGGTGGTTGCTGACTTAGGATGCCCCAGCGTAACAGTGTTTTGACTGTATGATGGTGCAAAAGTGACACACAGTAGAAACTGTACTTTGAGTACTCATATAGCCATTCTGTTTTTCATTTTCAGTACAGTAGTCAATAAATTATTCAACACTTTATTATAAAATATGCTTTGTGTTAGGTGATTTTTCCCAACTGTAGGCTAATGTAAGTGTTCTGAACACATTTAAGGAGGGCCTCGTGAAGCTATGATGTTTGGTAGGTTAGATATATTAAAGGCATTTTCGACTTACTGTATTTTCAGTTTACAACGGGTTTATCAGGACATAACCCCATCGTAAGTTGAGGAGCATCTGTATACTAGAGAGTTGAATTTGAATATACTGAAGACTTGATTGAAATTTTGAAAAGTATTAAATCTTTCCTTTGCAGGGAGAGATTAGTGATCAAAAGTTGGCTGGATCAATTTCAGGACTATTTGTACTTTACTCCCTTGTTCAATTCAATAATCTCTGTCCTTTGATGGAGAAAAGTCCTATATACCTTCTCCTCTTTCAGCGTTGTACTAGTTATTTATTGTTACCTCATCAATTATCCCATTTGTTATTTCAAAGTTTCTGTGGGTCAGGAATTTGGCAATAGTCTAGCTAGCCAGAGTCATCCTGGCTCAGCATTTCTCAAGAGGTTACAGTTAAAATATTAGCCAAGGCTAAAGTGCCCCAAAGGCTTTTTGTAGCTAAAAGATCCACTTCCGAGATGAGTCACTTGCATGGCTGTTGGCAGGAGGCCTCAGTTTCTCACCTCTTGTGTCTCTATAGTGCAGCTCGGCTCTTCTAATGACATGGCAGCTGAGAGTGTGATCCAAGAGAGAAGTCAAGGAGAAAGCTGCAATGCCCTTTATTACTTAGTCACCCTTTATTACTTAGTTTACTATGGTAACTTACTTCTTATTCCATTCATTAGAAGCCAGTCATTAAATACAGTGCATTCACAAGGGGAGGGGAATTAAGCTGTGATTTGAAAGGAGGGATATCAAAGAGCTTGTGGACAAATTTAAAAAATATCAACCTGTTCATTTATCTGATTCACCTCATTTCTCTTTAAGGTGTTGTGTACTGTGCACATTTGGGTCAAATACGATCTTTAATTAGTAAGAGTTGGGGACTGACACTGAAGGCATTAAGAGATTTCACTGGCGTGACTGAAAGGCGGAGTCAGATTTTGTTTTGTTTTGTTGGCTGGAGTGCAGTGGCCTGACCTTGGCTCACTGCAACCTCCACCTCCTGGGTTCAAGCAATTCTCTTGCCTCAGCCTCCGATGTAGCTGGGATTACAGGCACCTACCACCACGCCTGGCTAATTTTTGTATTTTTAGTAAAGACGGGGTTTCACCATGTTGGCCAGACTGGTTTTGAACTCCTGACTTCAAGGGATCCACCCGCCTTGCCTCCCAAAGTGCTGGGATTACAGGCATGAGCCACTGCACCTGGCCCAGATTTTGTTTATATGTGACTAGCCTCTGAGTCCTTTGGTATATCTCTTTGATCTTGCTTCTTACGTCCAATCAAAAGCAAACTCGCATACGCTGTGTATCTACATTGTCTGTAAAAAGAGCCCACAACATTGCAAGCAAGCCTACCCTAGTGCAGACCCTTGCTACATTTCAGCTGGACTATGTCAGGATCCTGCTAACTGCTATCCTCCTTGAATTTTCTCTTGTGCACTCTTACCAGAGGAACCTTCACAATTTCTTCTTAAGTCCAATTTACTAATTTCAGTAAATTTGCTAAATCTATTAAATTGTGCTATTTGATAACCATATATATATATGTCATTTATCTTTTCCAAAACTCACTTTCTTCATATGGACAATAAATAATACTTTTTCTATACACCTGCATATGATTGCTCTAATTTCCATACACAACATAGCTTATGTGAAAGCACTTTGAAAACTATGAATACTCTACGAAATTAAGATAAATTGTACTTATTCCCAGAATATATTTTGTACCTTTTGTTTTTTGGCTCATGCTATTATTCTCACCTTTTCTTTTTTCCAAGACAGAGTCTAGCTCTGTCTCCCAGGCTGGAGTGCAGTGGCGTGATCTCAGCTCACTGTAACCCCCACCTCCTGGGTTCAAGCAATTCTCCTGCCTCAGCCTCCCGAGTAGCTGGGATTACAGGCACCCAACACCACCCCCAGCTAATTTTTGTATTTTTAGTAGAGACCAGGTTTTGCCATGTTGGCTAGGCTTGTCTCAAACTTTTGACCTTAGGTGATCCGCCCACCTCAACCTCCCAAAGTGCTGGGTGGGATTACAGGCATGAACCACCGTGCCCGGCCTATTCTCACGTTTTTAATACCTCCTCTTTTTCCCAGTTTACTGAAGTTCTCCCAATTTTTTTTTTTTTTTTTTTTTTTTTTTGACATGGAGTCTCACTCTGTCACCCAGGCTGGAGTGCAGTGGTGCAATCTCGGCTCACTGCAACCTCCATCTCCTAGGTTCAGGCAGTTCTCCTGCCTCAGCCTCCCGAGTAGCTGGGACTACAGGCATGCACCAACATGCACTGCAACCTCTGCCTCCCGGGTTCAAGCAATTCTCCTGCCTCAGCCTCCCGAGTAGCTGGGACTACAGGCACGCACCACCATGCCCAGCTAATTTTTGTATTTTTAGTAGAGACGGTTTCACCATGTTGGCCTTCATGATCTCGATCTCTTGACCTCATGATCCGCCCACCTCAGCCGCCCAAAGTGCTGGGGTTACAGGTGTGAGCCACCGTGCCTGGCCAAGTTCTCCCAACTTTTAAGCCCCAGTTGTATGGATATCCTCTAAAACCCTTATTGATACAGTCAGAATTAACCTCATATCTTCTGAAGTTAGTTCTTCCAAAGAACTTACCAAACTTACCTTGTGGTAAAGTAATTTGTGTACATTTTGTACATTTTGGTCTTCTAGACTAGACCCTCATTCCTTAAAGACAGAAGAGATCTCATCTTTATACTTTCCATAGCAGCCAGGATGCTTTTTTTGTATATAATAGATATTCAACAAATATTTGTTTAATTGAATTATTATTATTAACTTAAGGTTGAAAAATTGGACTATCTGTTCCCAGGGGCCTTTAATATCATTCTTTTGAATTGAGATTTGATGTTTTCAAGGGTCTCTTCTAAAATAAATGTTATGGAAAATTAGTAATACATTACGTTAACCTGTGACATGTCAGTAATTAGAGCAACAAGCCAGTAATCTTGATGTATTCCCGAGGGCATTAGACCAACCGTATGTGCAGTCATTTGTGTACATTACAGTCATGCGTCACTCAGTGATGGGATGCATTCTGAGAAATTTGTCATTAGGCAGTTTTGACATTGTGTGAACATCATGGAGTGCACTTTTACAAACATAGATGGGACAGCCTACTGCACAGCTAGGCTATGTGGTATAGACTATTACTCCTAGGCTACTAAACCTGTACAGCATGTTACTGTATTGAATACTGTAAGCAATTATAACACAATGGTAAGTATTTGTGTTTCTTTTTTTTTTTTTTTTTGAGACGGAGTCTTGCTCTGTTGCCCAGGCTGGAGTGCAGTGGTGTGATCTCAGCTCACTGCAACCTCCACCTCCCAGGTTCACGCCATTCTCCTGCCTCAGCCACCCAAGTAGCTGGGACTACAGGCGCCCGCCACCACGCCTGGCTAATTTTTTTGTATTATTAGTAGAGATGGGTTTTCACCGTGTTAGCCAGGATGGTCTCAATCTACTGACCTCATGATCCACCCGCCTCGGCCTCTCAAAGTGCTGGGATTACAGGCTTGAGCCACCGTGCCCGGCCATATTTGTGTTTCTTAACATATCTAAACATAGAAAAGGTACAGTAAAAATACAGTATAAAAGATTTTAAAATGGTACACCTCCATAGGACACTTTTTATGAATGGAGCTTAGAGGACTGGAAGTTGCTCTGGGTGAGTCAGTGAGTGAGTGGTGGGTGAGTGGGAAGGCCTAGGATATTGCTATACACAACTGGAGACTTTATAAACACAGTACACTTAGGCTACACTACATTTATAAAAAGTATTTTTCTTTCTTCAGTAATAAATTAACCTTAGCTTACTGTAACTTTTTTACTTTATAAACTTTTTAAACTTTTTGACTCTTTTGTAATAACACTTAGCTTAAAACATAACCACATTGTACAGCTGTACAAAACTATTTTCTTTATATCGTTATTCTATAACTTCTATTTTAAAATTTATTTTTTTTTACTTTTAAACTTTTTGAAAAAATGAAGACACAAACACACACATTAGCCTAGGCCTACACAGGGTCAGGATCATCAATATCACTGTCTTCCACCTCCACATCTTGTCCCCTGGAAGGTCTTCAGGGGCAACGACATGCATGGAGCTGTCATCTCTTACAGCAATGCCTTCCGGAATACCTCCTGAAGGGCTTGCCTGAGACTGTTTCATGGTTAACCTTTTTTTCTTTTTTTAATAAGGACAAGGGGTAAACTCTAAAATAATCATAAAATGCACAGTATATTGTATATAAAAAGCAGGAACATAGTCAATTATTATAGAATATTATGTACTGTACATAATTGTTTATATGACAGCAGTGCAGTAAGTTTGTTTATACCAGCCAATTATTATCAAATATTATGTACTGTACATAATTATTTATAGGACAGCAGTGCAGTAGGTTTGTTTATCACCACAAACATGAGTAATGCATTACACTATGATGTTAGGATAGCTACGATGACATCACTAGGCAATAGCTCCATTACAATCTTATGGGACCACCGTAGTGTATGCGGTCCATTGTTTATCAAACTATTGTCACACAACACATGACTGTATTTTGTATGTATTTGTCTTCACGATAACCTGTATAGTAGTCAGGGAGGATATTAGCTTTAGTATTTTACAGATGAAGAAGCAGTTTCATTTCGGGTTAGTCGTTATTAAGATAACCTACATTTTTTTGCTCCTGGATCAGTACTTTTTCACTAACAACACAGGTAAGTGTTGATGAAATAAAAATTTCCAAAACACTGGGAAAGATAGCTTTCTTCAAGACCTCAAATAGGCAATATACAGCACATAAATACATAATACTAGTGGAAAAAGCATTGAAAGGGGTAACAGTTTGCCAAAAGGAGATGGATGGGAGCTAAAAATAATATAAATTTTACTTCCAATGATTTTATTAATAAAAAAATGTACTTCATGCTTGCTTTGTCCAGGGCACAGAGCCAGGCCCTGAGGTACATCGTGACATAGAGGAGTCTTTGTACACAAAGACATTACAATATGGTTAGAGATACAGGCATTAAAAAAATGTAATAAAAGGAAAAGAGATCTCATGCTATGTACAAAAAATGATACAGATACTAGGAGAATTCATTGAAGGAACCGATCACTCAGAAGCAATGTAATCTAACAAATATGATCAGAGAAGAGATGGAAGCTAAGAGGGTTCCCATCAGAAGTGGGGGCCCTAGGGAAGTAGAAAAGTCAATTAAGGGAATTCTAAGCAAGGGGAATATGGAAAAATACGTGATGTACTTTGGGCACAGTGATTAAAGCAGAAGTGTCAGGTAGGTAAGTAATGGTAGATGACACTGCAAAAATTCCTAGGTACTATGTTGTCAAGAACACAAATCAAGGAAAATAGAACTCATTTTCCTGGGATAATATGCAGCCAATGAAATTTTTCAGCAAGTGTAGGGATCCCAAACCCACAAATTCACAAAACTTCTTACTGAATTTGAAACCCAGATTTAGTACAGAAGTATTTAATACATTTACTAACCAAAATCCAGGGCTGCATTTTAGGCTATGAAGAGCTGTGGTTTGGGTCCCTTATTTGCTTACTGTTATTAAGGAATAGATGGAACTCACAGTTGCTGATAGTAGGTGGGTAGAGTTCCCTGCACAATGCTGAGTTCTTAACACTTTGAAGAGTCCTTAGTACAAAATTCCTCTATTTTCTCTAATAATAATCCCAGATGCTTACTTTGTGCTTTCATGTACCAGGAAAGGTTTGGAGTGTTTTGCAAATATTGACTCTTTTTAATTTATTTTTATTCTTTTAGAGACAGGGTCTCACTTTGCCACCTAGGCTGAAGTGCAGTGACGCAATCATATTTCACTGCAGCCTTGAACTCCTGGGCTCAAGTGATCCTCCTGCCTCAGCTTCCTGAACTGCTGGGACTAAAGGCACTCGCCACCATGCCTTGCTAATTTAAAATATATATATATTTTAGAGATAGGGTCTTGCTATATTGCCCAGGCTGGTCTTGAACTCCTGGCCTCAAGTGATCCTCCCGCCTTGGCCTGCCAAAGTCCTGGGATTATAGGCATGAGTCATGCCACATGGCCCAAATATTGGCTCTTAGTCCTCACAGTAGCCTTCTGAGGTTGGAACTATTATTGTTACCCTCATTTTACAAATCAAAGCTCTGAGGCATAGAGCGGTGAAGCCACTTTCTCAAGGTTGCAGAGTTAGGATTCAACCAGGCAAGCTGTAGTCTTAACCAAATATTTTCAGCAGCATCAATTATGTGACACTGGCACTCAACCAAATATGTTTAGTAACAACCTTAAGAAAAGTGTTTTAAAGGAAAAGAAAACATTTTAGTCAGCCTTATATGGGAACTAACCACAATCCAAAAGTCTTATTTTAGCATATTATGTTTTGACATATTTTAGATAGCAAAACTTTGTTTATATCATTCTTACAGTGTCTGTGGGCAGATTTTTAACTGGAGTGATAAAAGTATAGCATGGGGGAAATGTCTTTAATTTTGGTGCTTTACATAAATTACCTGAATATATTTAAAAGGTACAGAGAGAGCATCCATCCTCTCTCAGCACCCTCTTAATTTGAGCTTTGAAGTGAGGAAACCTCATTAGCAAGCATTATATGCAGGTGTTTTCGGTGGTATTTACTAAAGAGTCTCCAGTTTCTAAACATTAAGAGAAACTTTAACATTCAACTATCAGAAGAATAATAAAATGCACAGCAACAGAAACCATTTTGACACTTTTATTGTTTGGAGCGTACGCCAAATGTTGGGACTTTGCAAATCAGTTTTTTTGTTACATAGTGAAGGCTGGAAGTGCCCAGGTGACAGTTTTCTGCCTGCAAAGTAAAAACCTAAATTGCAAAATCAACCATGCCTTCCTGATACAGGAAAGAGCTCTGACATACCTAGCCTTTTCATAGTGTTGTGAAATTTATTATTGCGGTGTTTAATTCTAGCTTTCTTTTGCCAAATTCTTGGTGGAAGAGATATTTTTTCCAATTTTTAAAAACTCAAACATATTAAGAAAAATAGCTTCTGAGCATGAGCCTTAATTTTGGAAAAAATAATAACTAAATAGTGACTAAATACAAAATAATTTCCGTTTGAGTGGTTCTTTCCATGCAAGAGAATGGGAGAATTAATTTTTCTATTTTAAAATAGAAAAGCAAGTTATCACCCGTTAATATTTTGGAGCAACATTCTTCCTCAGTTTCAGCCACCAGAGAGTGTATTCAAGTTGAGGCATGAAATCCACCATTTACTCCATCATTCCAAAAACGATTATTGTACAACTAATATGTTCCAGGAAGAGGGTTAAACCCTTCAAGACAGATAATGGTCAGAGATCTAAACAACTCACAGACTAGTGCAGGGAAAAGAGGAAATAAACACTAGCTCTCTAATTGAGGTAACGTGCTCAGAGTGTACATGAGAAAGTGACCTAGATTCTCAGACATCTAAGCTGGCTCCTAAAGAGAAGTAAGTAAAAGTTCATCAGATGAAGAATAGAAGGTGTTTTCTAGGTGGATGGAGGAAGAGATATTTACAAAGCCAGGAGGTGTGAGGGAACCTCACATTCAGGGGAAATGCAAGAATATATGGAGGACAAGAAGATGGAAAGAGAGGGCAGTCAGAAAAATCAGCAAGACAGAGAAATAACCAAGAGAAATGAGCAAAGCCCGACTGTGAGTAATCTATTATGATATATTAAGAAATGTGAATATTGTTTTGAAAATAATAGGCAACACACAATTCTATGCAGGAAAGTGACATGACTGGATTTGCTTTTTAAAAAGATCACTAGAACAGGATAAAGCAATGGGTCTCAGCCAGAGGCAATATTGCCCCTCAGGTGACATTTGGTCACAACTAGGGGAAGGGGATGTGCTCTAAGGAGCACACAGCAGGACGCTGCTAAATATCTTACAACGCAGAGGACAAGCCACCGTAACAAGGAATGATCCAGGCAAACACGTCAATTGTGCCAAGTTTGAGAAACCCTGGGGTGGTAGACAGAATAGGGGCCTCCAAAAAGTGTTCAAGTCCTAATTTCTGGAACCTATAAATATGTTTCCTCGCATGACACAAGGACTCTGCATGTGTGATTCAATTACAGATTTTGAGGTGGGGGATTATCCTGCATTGTCCTGGTGGGCTCAACGTAATCACAAGCGTCCTCATAAAAGGCAGGCAGGAGGGTCAAAGACAGAAAAGCTGACCGAAGACAGAGGCAGAGTTAGTGAAGGCGGGTGGTGATGCTATGCTGATGCCTTTGAAGAAGGGTGAAGAGGCCATCGTCCAGGGAACACTGATGACCTCGGCAAGCCAGAAAGGGCAAGGAAACCGATTCTCCCCCCGTTGACTCCAGAGGGAACTAGCCCTACTGATTCTTTGACTCCAGGCCAGTGAGGCTGATGTTGAGTTTTTGACCTCCAGGACAGTAAGAGAAAAAATCTGTTGTGTTGTAACCCACTGAATTTGTGATAATTTGTTACAGCAGCAATAGGAAACTAATATATCTGGTTTAGAGAGGAATAGATCAGAAGCAAATCCTGAAACAGGATACACAGTAAGGAGGTTTAACAGTGAGGAGTAACAATATTGCCAGGCACTTATCGTAGCACTGGAGCTAAAATAGCCATCAATACAGAAAATAATAGTAATAATAATACCCGCTCTCTTCAAGTATATAAGCTACTGAATCATATGGGTTTTTGTCGTACTCTAGAAAATAACCTCTTGTATAATGCTAATTTATTTTCCTCCTCCATCATATATTAGCTATTTTTTTCTATCTGAACATACATTTTTACTTTTGATTTATTCAGATTTATCAACATTTTATACCGTGATTTGTTCTTTCCCCCAAATCCAAGGTTATACCAATGTCATAAAAATGTCCTCATGCACAGTTTTAATAAACTTTATAGTTTTATTATGCTAAATTGATCATTGTTTCCAGTATTCACTTGCTTCCTCACAGCAGTTTTATTAATGCTATCATTGATGTGTCTTTCTCTAGAGGATAAGACTTCACCACACCGTTGTCAGGCCATTTGACTACCTTAGTCAATTGAATGTGAGTTCTTTTATCTGATCATAAATTTGTGAGTGAGAAATAAAATGTTTATTTTTAGGCCAGGCATGGTGGCTCATGCCTGTAATCCCAGAACTTTGGGAAGCCCAGGAGGGTGGATCACTTGAGGTCAGGAATTCGAGACCAGCCTGGCTAATCTGGTGAAACACTGTCTCTACTAAAAATACAAAAATTAGCTGGGCGTGGTGGTGGGTACCTGTAATTCCAGCTACTCAGGAGCCTGAGGCAGGAGAATCACTTGAACCCAGGAGGCAGAGGTTGCAGTGAGCCGAGATCGAGCCACTGCACTCCACCCTGGGCAACAGAGTGAGACTTGAGACTCTGACTCAAATAAATAAATAAATAAATAAATAAATAAATAAATAAATAAGACTCCATCTCAAAAAAAAAAAAAGTTTATTTTTGGAAGCCACTGAGACTTTGGAATGGTTTCTTATGCAGGAAACCTAAAAAACTTTGATTAAAACTTTTATGTTTACATTTAGGTCTTTTATCTATGATGCCATCGTTATATGCAGAATTCACAGTTATATATGTCTGTTCTTCCTCTTTAGTTTTGTTGGTCTATCTGTTCTTGCCCCACGTCAATACTATTTTTATTACGGTGGTATTATAATATGTCTTCATATCTTGGAAAGTGAGTTCCCACTTTTAGTCTTTCTTTTCAAAATTATATTAGCTTTCTATGAGTGTTTAAACTTCCAGGTTATATTTAGAATCAGTTTCATATTCCTCCTGAAATTCATCTGAGATTTTAATTATAAATACATTAAATTTATAGGTAAGTTTAAGAAAAAATTAATAGCTTTACAATGTTAATGTGTCTTCTTTTATTAAGGTCTCATTGGATTAAGTTTATTAATTTTATAAGTCTCTCTGTGAAGGTGGTGCTTTCTTTATTGGCTTAATTCCTAGTTATTTCATAGATTGATATATTCAGTGGCATATTATTTTCTATTGTATTTTTAATTTTTTTTATTGTGTAAGGCACTTGATTGCAGTGTGAAATGTGAACACTCAATTGGGGAAGAGAAAAACATATTAGCATTTCTGTATATTTAAATTTTTTTTATTTTTAAAAATATTTTAATTTTAAGGCAAGTAGTTCCTAATGGATTAATAACCTAGCTCTATACTTATAATAATATATAATATTTATGAGGCACTGACTTTGTACTATGAATATTTAAGTGCTTTTCAAGTATGATTCACTTAATCCTTGCAGCATCCCAAAGTGATAAGTATTATTATTGTTCTCATTTTACAGATGAGAAAGCTGAGGCTGAGAAGGGATACGTAACTTGCCTAAATTCATACAGATAATGACACAACCAAGATTTGAGTCTAGGCAATCTTGTCCTTGTTACACCCCCAATGGTTTCTTCTTGCCCGCTGTGCAGATAAAGCCAATGTATTGAGACAGCAGTGTTACAGCAGAGAAAGAGTTTAATTACTGCAAGGCAGTTGAGCAGAAGGATGGGAGATGTTTCTCATATTTGCCTCACCAACAACTTGGAGCCTAGGGTTTTTAAGGATAATTTGGTAGGCAAGGGGCTAGGGAATGGGTGCTGCTGATTGGTTGGGGATGAAATCATCAGAGCATCCAAATTGTCTTCTTGTGCTGAGTCAGTTTCTTGGTATGAATCATGGGTCCAGGTGGCATCACTTGGTCTGACTGAATGTAAAAGTCTGAAAAATATCTCAAAAACCAATCTATAGTAATGTTATCTATAGGAACAATTGGAGAAGTTACAAACCTAGTGACATCTAGCTACATGACTCCTGAACAGTAAGGAATTATAGAAAAGCAAGCTAGGGAGCAATAACTGCTTTTTATTTAAATATGCCCACATCTTTGCAGAATTCAGGTCCCTCCCATAACCCTAACCCTGTAGCCTTTCAGTGTTCTTCCAAAGGCAGTTTCTGTCCCCAGAGGGGGTCAGTTTTGGGAGGGACTATTATCATCCTTGCTTCAAAGTTAAACTGTAAACTACATTTCTTCCATAGTTACCTTGGCCTACACCCAGAAATGAGTGAGAGCAATTAGCTTCTGAGGTTAGAAGCAAGATGGAGTCAGTTAGATTAGATTTTTCTCACTGTTATAATTTTTGCAAAGGTAGTTTTACTCTTAGCCTCTGCATTATATTGCATGTGAAGTAGATAATTGTAGCTAATAAATAAATAAATAAATATCAGGGTCATAATAGGCTCATAAAATGAGTTGGCTTGCTTTTTAATTTTTTTTTCTTTTTGAGACAGAGTCTTACTCTGTCACCCAGGCTGGAGTGCAGTGGTGCAATCTCAGCTCACTGCAACCTCTGCCTCCCAGATTCAAGTGATTCTCCTTCCTTAGCCTTGGAATAGCTGGGATTACAGGCACTCGCCACCACATCCAGCTAATTTTTGTATTTTTATAGAGACAGAGTTTTACCATGTTGGCCAGGCTGGTCTTGAACTCCTGACCTCAAGTGATCCACTCAACTTGGCTTCCCAAAGTGCTGGGATTACAAGCATGAGCTACCATGCCCAGGCTGGCTTGCTTTTTAAAAATAAGGATTATATATTTTTCAAAGTTTTATTTTTATTTTATTTTATTTATTATTATTATTATTTTTGTAGAGACAGGATCTTGAGATGTTGCCCAGGCTGGTCTCAAACTCCTGGCTTCACATGATCTTCCTGCCTCAGTCTCACAAAGCACTAGAATTATAGGTATGAGCCACCATGCCAAGCCTAAAAGTTTTATGTATTAATTTTTAGAGGAACTAATATTTTGAGACTAGTGGTGTGGAAAAATACTATTAATTTTTAAAGTTTATCTTGTATCTAGAAATTTTACTTAACTCTTTTATTAGATACACTAATTTGGTCTTTCTTTTGGATTTTCTATGTAGAGATCATCTTAGCGTCTACAAACAATGGCAGTCTCATCTTTTCCTTTCCAATTCCTTTTTTTTTGAAGCAGGGTCTCACTCTGTCACCCAGGCTGGAGTGCAATGGCGCCATCTCGGCTCACTGCAACCTCCTCCTCCCAGGTTCAAGTGATTCTCCTGCCTCAGCCTCCCTAGTAGCTGGAATTACAGGCGCGCACCACCACAGTGGGCTAATTTTTGTATTTTTAGTAAAGACAGCATTTCACCATGTTGGCCAGGCTGGTCTTGAACGCCTGACCTCAGGTGTTCCACCCGCTTTGGCCTCCAGAGTGCTGGAATTATAGGCATAAGCCACAGTGCCCAGCCGTCCAATTCTTAAGGTCAGTAATTATTTTCTTTGTCTTGCTTTGTTGGCCAGGGCCTTCAGTAGTATGTTGAACTGTAGTTGAGATATACGGTATCTTTGTCTTGTTGAGTTCAAAATTTCTTCGGTAAGCACAAACTTTTTTTTCTTTTTCTTAAAAAATCAAATACTTTTTGTTTACTATAAATTGTTCTAAGTGACTTAGGATGAGTCCCCAAGTAGCCTCGGGTTGGGGCTGGTCACCAGAAAGACTAAGGTGAGGGTTAGAGGGCTAGAACCTTTGGCCTCACCCACTGACCTTTGGAAAGGGTCATGGAAATGAGATTAGGCTCCATGAAAACTCTTGAACAACAGAGATTTGATGAGCTTCTGGACTGGTGAACACATCCAGGCCCTGAGGGAGTGGTGTCAGGAGAGTGTGTGAAGCCTCTCTGCACCCCTCCCCAAGTACCTTACTCTGAGCTGTGCCCTTTATAATAAACCAGTAAATGTGAGTTACCTGCCTTCCTGAGTTCTGTGAGCCCTTCTAGAAAGCTATCAAACGTTAGGAGGAGGTCATGGGAATGCTTAACGTATAGCCATCAGAAAGTACAGGAGGCCTGGGACTTGCAACTGGCTTCTGGAGTTGGGGGCAGTCTTGAGGGACTGAGCCCTTAAACTGTGGGATCTGCTCTAACTCTAGGTAGTTAGTGTCAAAATGGAATTGAATTGTTGAACTCCCAGTTGGTGTCTGGAGAATCACACAATGTGTGGGAACAAACCCCACACATTTGGTGCCAAAAGTATTCTGTGGATAGAAACAGATCATAAGCCAAGTAAAGGACGTCTCATTTGCTCCCAGTTTTCCTAGTTTTTCTTTTGTTTTGTATTAAATAAGAGTAAAATTGTATTAAATGCTTTATCTACGTCTACTGAGATAATTAATTGTTCTCCTTTAGCCTACTACTATAATGAATTACATGATAGAGCTTTGATCAGGAAATGTTTCTAGCATTCCTAGAATAAACCCTATCTATTCACACTGTATTATTCTTAATACATTTTGAATTTATTTGGCTAATATTTTATTTAGTATTTTCCCATCTGTTTAGAAGTGAACTATTTTTCTTTTTCTTTTATATCGTCCTTATCCAATTTTAATATCAGGGTACTAGTTATATAAAGTGACAGGTACAATCTCTTTTTTTTTTTCTGGTTTTTTTTTTTTTTTTTGAGATGAAGTTTCACTCTTGTTGCCCAGGCCGGAGTGCAATGGCGCAATCTCAGTTCACTGCAACCTCCACCTCCTGGATTCAAGTGATTCTCCTGCCTCAGCCTCCTGAGTAGCTGGGATTACAGGCACCTGCCACCATGCCCGGCTAATTTTTTGTATTTTTAATAGAGACGAGGTTTCACCATGTTGGCCAGGCTGGTCTCAAACTCCTGACCTCAGGTGATCCGCCTGCCTTGGCCTCCCAGGGTGCTGGGATTACAGGCGTGAGCCAGCATTGCAGGCCTCTTTTCTTTTTCTGGAAGAGCTTTTTTAAGATGTAGATTATCTGCTTTTTAAAGTTTCATTTATCAAACTTAAAAAGGCCCCACTTCAACTAATTATCAGGTATTCAATTAGCAAGGGTGAAAAGGAGGGATGCCAAGCCTGTGTTATGGTATTCTCCAGAGGAAGCTGGTTTAGTCAGTTAAATATTTTCTGTAATTCATCATAAGATAGTGAACTTTAAAGCTTCACAGCAGAATTTTTAAATTCATAGTATTTGGGTGTTTTGGAAGGGATTAAGAACATTAGCACTTTTGTATATTGGCCTCATTTGATGTTGTTTTGATTGCCAACCATTTTGGAAGACAGTTTCCCCCCAAATTCCTGTCAGATTATTAATGCAAAAAATCAAAATAACTATGTCAACATAAGCTATGTTTTGATGGGCAAATTGAAAGACAAACAAGGATGAGATTCCAGAAGGCGATTACTGTAAAAATTAGATTGCTAATGAGGACTGCATTTGTTCCAGGGAGAAGAAATATCAAGCTAATCATTCTTTTCAAAAAAATTTTAAGAAATTAAAAAATTGTTTTTATTTTTATTTTGAGACAGGGCCTTGCTCTGTCACCCAGGCTGGAGTGCAGCGACACAATTGTAGTTCAATACAGTCTCAAACTCTCAGGCTCACCTCACCTCAGTCCTGAGGTGGGAGGATTGCTTGAGCCAGAGAGTTTGAAGCTGCATTGAACTATGATCAGCCTCCTGAGTAGCTGATGCTACATGCCACAATGCCTGGCTAATTGAAAAAAAACTGTGGATGGGGTCTCACTGTGTTTTTGAGGCTGATCTCAAACTTCTGGGCTCAGGCAATCCTCTCTCAGCCTCTCAAAGTGCTGGGATTATGAGCCACTGTGCCTGGCCTAATTATTCTTTAATAATCAGAATTTCTACTTGAGGCAAAGGGGCCACTATTATCTGCATTGATAGAGTCTGAATGTGGAGGAAGTGTTTAGTAAGGAATTCCTCTCAAGAAACAAAAACTGAGAACAGAAATATTACTAGATTTCATCACAGGCAGAGACTATTATTTTAGACCAAGGACCAAGAGTTTTGAAATCATTTTGCATGCAGATTCATTGTTGCTATTTTTAGTGATCGCCAGTTCACATCATGAATAGCTGGAAAACTCTTAAGAATAAACAACCTGCGTGCCTGTTTTTAGGGACAGCAAGCCATTTGGAGAAATGGAAGCAAGGGACAGAGCAGGAGGTGGCAGCTGAGAGGTAGAACAGACACTAAGTTAAGTCCTGGCTGCCACAAAGCAGAAGCGGGAACAGAAAAAGTCTTGTGCCTAAGAATGGACCTGGAGTTTTAAAAAACAGAAATGCTTGAATGATGTCTTTATGCCACATTATCTACTCTGTGGACGTTCCAAGTCAGCTTGATTGTTTTAAGGCATGAGTTGAAGCAAGGTAACACTGAAATTGATAGCTGTGCAATGACAGCAACAGATGGACTTTGCTAGCATGAAGTAATCAAAGGTGTGCAAAGTTTAAGCAAAATACTCAATCCTGAGCTTGACAGACCATATAGAAGCAGGTTATATCATTAACTAAAGGTCAGATATAAATATCGTGAGCTTGTTTAAGACAGTTGGGCACACTCTAGCCTTCTCAATCATATTTACACACTTGGGAGATAACTTGTCAGCTATATGTATATTTGTCCCTACCTATGTAACAGCACAAGTACAACTTTCAGGGGGTGACTGAATCCAGTCTATTGTATAATGTCTTAATGAGAACACAGTAGTTATAATGCACTAAAATGGATTTATATTCCTATGGAACAGAAAGTCAGTTTCAGCAGCCAAATAAAAGATCACTCACTTCTGGCCCAAAGTTTTAGTCAACCACCAAAATCAGCAGAAAAACTCAGATGTATAAAATGTGTAGATGTCTTGGAATCCATTTTTTAAAAAAGGTAAGAACGATATTTAGAAATTGTTCATCTTATGCAGATGGGGTTCATAGTTTAACCATTAAGCCTCAACAACGATTCCTTGGCATTTTTGATCTAATTATTATTGGCCTGTAACGACTTTGAACTACTGATTAAGCCACAATAGGTTCTATTTTGAATTTTTTATCTATTAGACTTGAACGGTTTATCTGTTCTAAACCTATGCAGCGTTTAAAATTCAAGACTTTTTGCTTACTTGCTAAATACTGACACTTAGTTTTTTTTCTGTTCCACTGGTTTCATTCATGAAGCAATTGGAAAATGCTAAGGGAGGGGTGTGTGTGTGTGTGTGTGTGTGTGTGTGTGTGTGCACGTACACAGACACGTTTTATAGTCCTTCAGGGATAATCACTCACCTTTGCAAAATATTCTAATTTAGATTAGCAAAGCTGAAAAATAGCCCATTCTTTTATTTATTAATGCTGCACTAGGGCATCCAGAGCCATATCCTAAATGCTGGAATTACTGTCTATCTTACATGTGGAAGTTTGCATCAGTAGACATTTATGTGACAGCTTGATTATAAAAGGTTTTGATTAATTCCTCAGCACATGCATGTTAGAACTTGATGCTGAGGTTGCGTGCTAATGTGAAAGGGATTAGCGCTGCAAATTTAAAACTCTCCTTAAGAAAAGTGTTAAGCATAACTTTAGCTCAGACAGAAAAGGCCAAGGCAGTTACAGAAAACATATTTGCAGAGATTCCAGATATGAAAATAATTTTGTAGAAATTTCGCCTTGGGAATGTCTTTCAAACTATGTAAGAAGTTGAATTGTTTTACAAAAGGGCAGTCAACAATGTTCTTCAGGATAGCCTGGACTTAATGTCTCATTTTAGAAAAAGTAGTGCTATTTCAAAGAAAGGGAAACACTACTCAGATGATTTCTGATTACCAAAATGCTGCATAATGGGGGAGAGTCCGCACTGAATTCTTTGCATGATAACATAGTAACCTTTAAAAAGTATTCTTCAGAGAAGCTATTCTAGAAGAGGGGAAAACGGACAAATGTAACTCACGCAGAAGTTTGAATTTGGCTTCTGATAGAGTCATGAATTTCCTTTCTTTTTTGGTATTAGTTAGAGATTATGTTCTGCTGACTATAACAGAGACATAACTTTGTTGGCTTAACCATGTAGGGGTTTCTTTTTCTCACATACAAAGTCTGGATATAGGTCAGTGAGATTGGTATAGTGGCTTCATGAGGTCGTCAACATCCTAGACGTAATTCATCTTTTGCTCCGTCCTCCTCATGATGACTTCCTGGTTGCCAGGTGTTATTCTTCATCACTAATCTCCTTTCTCTATTCCAGTCAGGAAGAATAAGAAAGTTATGAGGTGGGAGGGCAGGTGCCCATGTCAGGGAGACAAATCAGCACAGGAATTCCTGGCAGAGTTCAGCTAATTTCATTGACCAAACCATATATGGGTAGCCTTTGCTGAAACAGAGCCGGAGAAATAGGTGTGGGTTTTTGTTTTGGTTTTTGTTGCATCGCTAATAAAAATAAAATGAGGGTCCTTTTAAAAAAAACAGAAATAGGATTCTTTTAGTAAACACAAAAGAGGGAATGGTTATTGAGTGGCCAATCAACATGTTCCACCACATATTACTTCAAGATATTTAACAGCATCCATTCTGATTTTTGGCAGACGCCTGTGACATCCTGATTGTTAGTTATTTTTTACACAATACCTTCTCTCCTTATCTTGCTTAATTAGAAGTAGATTTTGTGCAAAATAGCTTTAGTGCACAGAGTTTACGTTCTCAGGAAATAATGACATCCTGAGAGCTTGTTGATGAAGAGTTTATTCTTTCACAGTGCTTCAGAACCAGAACAAAACCTTAATTATTTATGTATGCAGAAAGGCTAAGAAGGTGTGTTAGACTGGCAACACTGGGTAAGAAATCAAAAGTAAGTATGACATCATTCTTCATACGGCTGCCCTGAAAGTTAAACCTAAAGACGTACTACGTTAATACAAAAATACCTAAAGTAAAAGCTGGTGGAACTAATGACAGATACAGACCAGTCCAATGGAAATATGAACACCTTTTATCAAGGCATATCGTACAACCTCCAGGATAAACCATATGTTGGAAAATAAAACATACAAACGTCTTGATATTATAAACTATGTTAACTGATAACAGACTTAAATTAGAAATTAATAACACAAGCTATTTAGAAAAGCCAAGACATTTGAAAAGTAAAGAACTGCCTTTTAAATATCAGATGGGTCAAAGAAAACAATTACAATTAAATAAAAACTTAATTTGTGTGTAATTATAACAAAAATACAGCCTATGAAAATTTGAGGGATATTGCTAAAGCAGGACTTAAAAGAAAAATTCTAAAATTGAATAAGCAAAATGATTTAAGATCACTCTAAATTTCTACTTTCTTAAGAAGGTAGAAAAAGGCAAGCATTTAAACCCAAATATATAAAAAGACACAAAAACAATAAAGATAAGGGTGGAAATAAGAAATATAAAACAAGCAAGGGAGAAAATTGACAAAGCCAAAAGCTGGTTCTCTGAAAAGATGAATAAAACTGATAAAACTACAGCTAGATTGGTAAGTTCAAAAAAGTCAAAAAGAAAATAAAAACTACAACTTTCTGAAAAAATAGGAATTTTTGTTCAAATAATATGTATATTAAAAGGATAATAGTGGAATATTATGAACTTTTTGCCAATATGTATGACAATTTAAGATAAAATAGACAAACTCCTTGAAAAACACCAGTTATCAAAACTGATGCAATAGAAAATCTAAATAGCCCCATAATAACTGAGTTGAATTTATCCTTACAGTCTTTCCACAAATAAAACCTGAGTCTTTTTTTTTTTGAGATAGGGTCTTGCTCTGTTGCTTGTGCTGAACTGCAATAGCATGATCTCAGCTCATTGCAGCTTCAACCTCCTGGGCCAAAGTGAAGTCATCCTCCCACCCCAACCTCCCAAGTAGTTGGGACTACAGGAGTATGCCACCGCATCTGGCTAATTTTTTTAAGAGATGAAATCTCACTCTGTTGCCAGGCTGGTCTTGAACTCTGGGGCTCAAGCAATCCTCCTGCCTCAGCCTCCCAAAGGGCTGAGATTACAGGTGTCAGCCACCACAACTGGCCAAAGCTTGAGTCTTAAATGGCTTTATGAATTCTATCAAACATTTAAGAAAGAAAGCTAATTCTGTCAAACATTTAAGAAAGAAAGCTGGATTTCCTAGGCCAACTAAGAATCCCTAAGCCTAGCTGGGAAGGTGACCACATCCACCTTTAAACATGGGGCTTGCAACTTAGCTCACACCCGACCAGTCAGGTAGTAAAGAGAGCTCACTAAAATGCTAATTAGGCAAAAACAGGAGGTAAAGAAATAGCCAAACATCTATTGCCTGAGAGCACAGCGGGAGGGACAATGATCGGGATATAAAACCAAGCATTCGAGCTGGCAACGGCCACCCTCTTTGGGTCCCCTCTCTTTGTATTGGAGCTCTGGTTTCACTCTATTAAATCTTGCAACTTCAAAAAAAAAAAAAAGTAAGAAAGAATGCAAATCTTACATATAGTTTCACGTAAAATAAAAAAGGAGGTAATAATTTCCAATGTTTTTCTATGAGGTCTGTGTCAGGCTTAGGATTTGATTTTACCCTAGTTATAAACTGTTATCTAGCATGTTACTGTTTCATACAGTCTGGCAGAAGACAATGAGACTCAACCTTATCAACATATTTGTGTCTATTCACCTTGTTCTCCAGTCCCACAGGGGTGACACAAAAGGCCCGGATGGATGCCAATACATGAGATGTATTGCATGACAGGAGAGCGGTTCTGAGCTTGAAAAATCCACCAACTTGTATCTATCTGGTGATAAAGAAACCTGACTGACAATTAGGAAACATGGTTTTGGTTTTAGCTTAGCTATCGATGCATTCTCACCTAAGGACAAGCCATCTGTGTTTTGTGGTCTCAGGTTCATCATTCATGAAATCAGAAGGTTTGGACAAAGGATTTTTCAGGTCCTCTCATCTCCAACTCTAAGAAGAGTTTAATTCATGTCTATAAACATGAATTAAAGAGGTTTGATAAATATAGCTTTAAATTGTTTTATGTACTAGAACACCTTTCATTAGCATTTGGCCTGAAAATATCAATTCTTCCCCACCCTATGATTCATACATAATCCATGAATCTTAAACTTCCTGACAGTTTTATTTAGTATTTCAGATTTGTACTTCTCATTCTATAGCTTTCTTTTCACATCCATTTAAAAACTCTCCTGATGATGAGAATAAATCAAATAAATAATCCCAAGTGTTTATATGTGTATGCAAATGTCTAGCAAATATCGAGATATGTGTATACATGAATATGTATATGTATGTGCATATATATGTGTTTATGTGCATGTGTATATGCTGATAAATAATACTAGTACAATAACATTCCTTTTTTTTTTCAATTTAATGTGTAGCTTTGGTCTTTAAAAAGCTGACATTTTCTTCCTAGCTACTTTTGCTACTATTAGAACAGTGTCACCAGGTTACAGAGGAACATTGGTCATAGACATCAAACTAACAATCTGTGTTTTTTTCTTCTAAAATTCAGATTTTCTAACCATGAATTCTTCTGAATATTGACAATAAAAAGTGATATTTAGCTAACTAGAATCAAATACATATTTTTTACTTAAACCTTAATGTCTAAAGTTTAGGGAAACAAATGTCTCTTGTCAAATTCAGGATTTTTATTACTAGTTACTTTAATCCAGTTCAGACATTATTTATTGAATATACTGTAGAGTTAAGTCTACTGGACTCCAGCTTGAAACCAAAAGATATCTTCCCATCGATTATTTTAAAATTTTGTCCTCATGCACTTTTCAAATTGTGTTCCACGGAATATTTGAAAATAATACAAAAAAAGTATTTTTATGAAGCATTGGGTTAAAGTTTTAAAAAATAAAGTAGTTTCCTCTATGTGGACTTCTAAGGACCTTCATCCACTAGTGCTCATTGTGGACTTCCAAGGGGGAAAGTATGGAACATTGCTTCCCAAATCTATTCCATCACTGAAATTTATTTCAAGAAACACACTCTGCAAATGCTACTTGAGGCTCTTCAGCATTAAGCCTTGTGATAATTTTACACAGTTTACAGAAAGTCTGCCTAAATTTTAAAAGGCTCTTAATTTGTCCTTTTCCATATTGATCAGCGAAGGCATTGTGTTGCCTTGACCCCCCTGTAATTTCTTCTCATTCAGCTGGATAAGATAGAGAGACATTAAGGCTGTGGATAGGAGAACACTGGGCCTACTTAACAGGAGCTTGAAGCCACACAGGGACAGCCAGGTTTAAGTGGTTAAGTGGTTGAGCAGGCAGATAGTTAGACAGGCCAAGAAACTGGCAGAATCGAGGCTAGTGGTGATTGCCAGCTGTCAATGCAGACTTTTCCAGGAAGAGATTCAAGGCAAGATGAGCAGATAAGGCAGGGTTGAGGCTTAATCAAGTTAGGACTGGAATTGCAGAACTTGAGTCTCAGCACTCCACCACAGGGAGGAACTGAGTCTTAATTCCACTGGACACTTGATACAGATGCCTCTTTATTTTCTAACTCTGGTGTCTCAGATTGTCTTTCACCTGTTAGGTTCAGGTAGAATTATTTTGACTCTAAAAGACCAAGGGTCTTGAAGGCAATCTGCCTGAGTGGGCAACACTATATGTTGTGAGTAGATTTTGGCCTCAGATTGAGTCACCTGTAGAATGAGGAAGGGTGGATTCTTGGGGTCCTTGAACTTTACTTTGTTGTTTTCCTCCTAGGCAGACTCTTTTTACCATAATTTTGACAAAGTAAAAGCTCCCGTTAGGGCTTATCCTAAATTAGGTCCAAGCCTCTTGTATTTATACAGGCATACCTCAGAGATATTGCAGGATCGTTTCTGGACCACTGAAATAAGCCAATATAGTAATGAAGCAAGGCACAAGAATTTTTTGGTTTTCCAGGGCATATAAATGTTATGTTTACACTATACTGTCGTCTATTAAATGTGTAATCACATCCTGTTTTTTAAAAAATGTACATACCTTAATTTTCAAATACTTTATTGCTAAAGAACTCTAACAATCATCTGACCCTTCAACAAGTTGTAATCTGTTTGTTGCTCTTGGAGGATCTCGCCCCAGTATTGATAGCCACTGATTGATCAGGGTGGAGTTGCTGAAAGTTGGGGTGGTTGTGGCAATTTCTTAAAATAGGACAAAAATAAACTTTGTCACATCAGTGGACTCTCACAAAAGATTTCTGTGTAGCATGCAAAGCTGACAGCATTTCACCTACAGCAGAATTTCTTTAAAAACTGGAGGCCATCCTTTCAAACCCCACTGCCGCTTTACCAACTAAGTTATTCTAAATAACTTAGAATAAAGTTATGCTAATATTCTAAATCCTGTTATTTGAACAGTGTGTACAGCATCTTCACCAGGTGTTATTTTTATCTCAAGAAACCACTTTCTGGCCTGGCACAGTCGCTTATGCCTATAATCCCAGCACTTTGGGAGGCTGAGGCGGGTGGATCACTTGAGGTCAGGAGTTCGAGACCAGCCAGGCCAACATGCTGAAGACCCATCTCTACTAAAAATACTAAATTAGACAGGTGTGGTGGCAGACGCCTGTAGTCCCAGCTACCCAGGAAACTGAGATAGGAGAATCAATTACTTGAACCCAGGAGGTGGAGGCTGCAGTAAGCCAAGATCCCGCCGCTGCGCTCCAGCCTGGGTGGCAGAGAGAATCTGTCTAAAAAAACCCCAAAAACCACAAAGCAAAAACTTTCTTTGCTGATTCATAAAAAGTAACTTCTCATCTATTCAAGTTTTATTATGAGATTGCATCAATTCAGTCACACCTTCAAGCTCCATTTCTAATTCTAGTTCTCTCTTGCTATTTCCACCATATCTGCAGTTAATTTCTACATTGAAGTCTGGAACTCCTCAAAGTCATCCATGAGGGTTGGAGTCAACTTCTTCCAAACTGCTGTTATGCTGATATTTTGACCAACTCCCATGAAACATGCAAATTCTTAATGTATCTAAAATGGTGAATCCTTTCTAGAAGGTTTTCAATTGTCTCCTCTCAGATCCATCAGAGGAATTACTGTCTATTGCAGCTGTAGCCTTATAAAATATTTTTCTTAAATAGTAGGACTTCAAAGTTAAATTTATTTCCTGATCCGTGGGCTACAGAATGAATGCTGCATTAGCAGGCATGAAAACAACATTCACTTCCTAGTACATCTCCATCAGAGCTCTTAGGTGACCAGGTATATCGTTCAAAAGCAGTAGGAATCTTTTTCTTTTTTCTCAACAGTGGGTCTCAAAAGTGGGCTGAGGCCAGGTGCGGTGGCTCATGCCTGTCATCCCAGCACTTTGGGAGGCTGAGGAGGGTGGATCACCTGAGGTCAGGAGTTCAAGACCAGCCTGGTCAACACGGTGAAAACCTCTCTCTACTAAAAATACAAAAAGTTAGCCAGGCGTAGTGGCACATGCCTGTAGTCCCAGCTACTCGGGAGGCTGAGGCAGGAGTATCACTTGTACCCGGGAGGTGGAGGTTGCAGTGAGCGGAGATTGCACCACTGCACTCCAGCCTGGACAACAGAGTGAGATTCCATCTCGAAAACAAAACAAAACAAAAAAAACAGTTGGCTGAAAATACTGAGTAAATCATGCTGTAAACAGATGTGCTGTCATCTACATTTTCTTTTTCCAAGACAGACAGCCTGACACTTGAAACTTTGAAGCCAGGCCTTAACTTCTCTCTAGCTATGAAAGTCCTAGATAGCATCTTTTTCTAATAGAAGGCTGTTTCATTTACATTGAAAATAGGTTGTTTAGTGTAGTCACTTTCACCGATTATTTTAGCTAGATCTTCTGGATAACCTGCAGTAGCTTCTCCATCAGCACTTGCTGCTTCACCTTGCACTGTTATGTTATGGAGGTGACCTCTTTTCTCAGCTCTCATGAACCAACAACCTCCACTAGCTTCCAACTTTTCTTCTGCAGTTTCTTTACCTTTCTCAGCCTTCACAAAGTTGACTTAGGGTCTTGCTCAGGTTTAGACTTTGATTTAAGGGAATATTGCGGCTGGTTTGATCTATTCAGACCACTCAAAACTTTCTCCGAATCAGCAATAAAGCTGTTTTGCTTTCTTATCATTTGTGTGTTCACTAGAGTAGTATTTTTAATTTCCTTCAAGAACTTTTCATTTGCATTCACATATCTAACTATTTGGTGCAAGAGGCCTAGCTTTTGGCCTATTGCTGTTTTCAACATGCCTTTCTCACTAAGCTTAATCATTTCTAGCTTTTGATTTAAGATGAGAGGCATGTGACTCTTTCACTTGAACACTTAGAGGCCGTTGCAGGGTTATTTATTTGCCTAATTTCGATATTGTTTTTTCTTAAGGAATTGGAAAGCCCAAGGAGAGGGAGAGAGACGGTGGAATGGCCAGTGGGTGGAGCAGTCAGAACACACACAACATTTATTAAGTTTATTGTCTTATATGTGCACAATTTGTGGAGCCCTGAAACAATTACAATAGTGACTTCGAAGATCACTGGTCACCGATCACCATAACAGATATAATAATCACAAGAAAGTTTGAAATATTGTTAGAAGTACCAAAATGTGACATAAATTGAGCACATGCTGTTGGAAAAATGGCATTTATAGATTTGCTTTAACGCAGGGTTGCTACCAACCTTCAATTTGTAAAATAATGCAATATTTATCCAGGCATGGTGGTGCATGTCTGTAGTTTCAGCTAGTCCAGAGGCTGAGTCAGGAGGATCACCTTAGCCCAGGAGTTTGAGGCTTCAGTAAACTATGATTGTACCACTGCAATCCAGCCTGAGTGACAGAGTCAGACCTGGTCTCCAAAAAAAGAAGAAAAAGAAGAATAATGCATTATCTTTGAAGCACAATAAAGCAAAGCACAAAAATGAAATAGGCCTTTACTGGACATAATATTATGTTTGGCTTTGAGCTATAAAAATCCTGATGAATAGTAGCTTAAACACAGAAAGTGTTAATTTTTCTCATGAGCACTTTGGGGTAGAGATAGGTAGTCCAGGGCTGTTATCACTGAAGTTCTGCAAAATTATCAAGGATTCGAACTCCTTTTATTTCTCTACTCTGCCCTCCTCAGGGTGTTGCTGCCTTTGTGCTTGTTATGGTTTGAATGTTTGTGTACCCCCCAACATTTTTATGTTTGAATTTAATCTCCAATGTGATAGCATTAACAGGTGAGGCCTTTGGGAGATGATTAGCTCATGAGGGCTCTGCCCTTATAAATGGGCTTGCTGCCATTATAAAAGAGGTCTGAGGGAGGCTGTTTGCCCTTCTGCCATGTGAGAACTCGTAGAAGGTGCCATTGATGAGGAATGGGTCCTCACCACACATGGAGTCTGCTGGTGGTTGATCTCAGAGTTCCCAGCCTCCAGAATTGTGAGCAATACATTTCTGTGGTTTATAAATTGCTCAGTCTGGCATATTTTGTTATAGCAGTCCTAATGGATTAAGACAGTGCTCATGTTTGCAAGATGGCTGCCACCTCTCCAGGCCTTCTATTCCCATTCCAGGCAGAAAGAAAGGGATAGGTATGTAACCCTTTCCCACAAGACTCTGTCTTATCTTGAGAAGGATGCTGGCGCTAGGCATGTCTGTCTGTATCTTATTAGCCAAAACTGGCAACATAGCTTCCCTTAGCTGCAAAGGGATTTGTGAAAGTGAATATATTTACATATTACACATTAAGCTTGGAACGTTGATAATAACCTCCAACAAAATTGGAGTTCTATTATCCAGGAAGAAGGGGAGAAGAGATAGTGACAAGTGACAAGTTTCTGCCATATGCTCACTGTAGAAAAATTACAAAATGCAAAGAAGCACCTCTTGATTCTTTTAGTTCCATTGATTTCTTTATTCAGCCTTTTTCCCACTTTCTTCTGGTCAGGTCCTTATTTGAAAATAGAGCCTTTCCTGGCCTTCCCTCAGATAGTTAAAGCAACTTTCAAACTATGTCCTTAAATAAACTATGCTCTGGCTTTCTGATAAAAGTAACTTGCAGAAGACATTTTTTCCTAAAATTATTTAGTATCTCTAAGAAAAAAAAATTATCTTTAAGAAAAAAAATGTAAATAAGGTTGCAGGCCAGAAATTGAAAATCGTTTTATGACAGGCTGTTGACATTTTACTTGGGTCGCAAAACAGGCCATTTCCTGTCTTCTCAAAGCCCTACATTTCTCTCATCACTGCCCTGTAACCCAGTGAGTGGAAATATACTCAGTAAATGCCGCAAAGGCAGCAGCCTCCCCCTCCTAAGTGCATGACTTTTTGTTAATGGCCCTAGACACTGATTGCGGGACCTGGTTCTGTTCATCATTGTCATAATCACCATGGATTATTTTTTTTGAGTGCTCACAGGGGGCATGGCACTATACTCTGCATAATGTTTACTGCTCTATTTCTGCTTCCGAATCATTAGATGTTTTGTTCACACTGAGCTTATCTCTGATTGCAAGCAATACTGTCCACTGCTGTCAGCTACCTAAAGTTAAAGCCTTTTACACTGTGAACATCTCCTTAAGGAATCTGATGAAAAAGTGGTATACCACTTTTTGGCTATGTGTTTTCATCGTTAATGGATTTACTCAACACGCCTATTTGTAGGTATTCTTTTCTTTATTATATAGCTCAGCGATGACGTTGCTGAGTTCAAGCTTTGCCAGAACCATCAAGATTTGAAGGAAAAAGAGAGAGTCACTATGCATCAGTCCTGGGAATAGTACAAAATTGCTTTATATTTAAAGCTTAAGGTATCTGTCTGGAGGAATAATTAGTACAAACACTTTGTAGATGAAGCAGCTGATGCTAAAAGAGATTAGATTATTTGCCCAGGCTGGGCATGGTGGTTTATGCTTATAATTCCAGCACTTTGGGAGGCCCTAGGTGGGAGAATTGCTGGGCAACATAGCCAGACCCTGTCTCTACAAAAAAAAAAAAAAAAAAGGAAAAGGAAAGAAGCTGGGCACAGTCCCATGCGCTCTGTAGTTCTAGCTACTCAGCAGGCTGAGGTGGGAGAATAGCTTGAGCCCGGGAGTTTGACATTACAGTAAGCTATGATTGCAACACTGCACTCCAGCCTGGGTGACAGCATGAGGCCACTCTCAAAAAAAGAAAAAGAAAAAAAAAAGTGAGTTGTCCAAAGCCACACAGCTGATAAAACATTAAAACTGAACTTGAGCCTGGGTCCTAATCTAATTATCTTTCAACTACAGTATACTATCCTTTAATAAATGTTCTGGTATTTCACCAAAAGATCATAAAGCCCAACCCTCATGTGTGAACCTGGCTAAACGTAAAGTATTCTAAAGAACTCATACCTTTTATTGCCATCAGCTGTTACTGTGCATGAACAAGAATAGGTCCTTTCACAAGGTAAATGAAGGGACTTAAAAAGCCTAGCAGAATTCACGAAGAAGGTATTTTATTTTCTTCAAAGTATATTATGTACTTTTGAAGTATATTATGTACTTTAGTTCTTTTAATACAGCAGAACTAAAATTACGCTATATTCTTGTTCAACATGGTTTATTTGCCCTGAACATGTTTACAACTTTGTTGTGCTTACTCACTTTATAAGTTAGTTCTCCATCATAATGATAGTTTTTCTAATAGTTTATTCTTGCTCTTAGCTCTTTGTTTTAGTAGCAATTTCTGGTGTGGTGCTTTATTTGATACATGCTTTCTTACTTTTGTTCAAGCGCTTTCATAATTTTCATACTCATTCACATCAGCCTTATTCTCCTCTTGCATTATTTCTGAGTGCTACTAACTGCACATTTCCTGAGTTTGTTTTAGAATCTTCAATCTTCCTTCTGTATTTCACAATTGCAGATGGCTTTTTTTTTTGGTAACATGCTTATTTTCTCAGTCTCTACTTCTTAAAGCTTGATGTTCCCACTCACTTAAATAACAATTCACTAAGAACCTGAAAATTTTCAAATTGTGATTGCTGTTGAATATAATTGTGACTTCTATTTCATAGGTGCCACAGTTTTCCTTATTTCTAACAATTACATCCAAAATCATTTTCAACTTTATTAGAATTTTACAAGGGAATCTAGAATATCATTTGTGTATGTTCTTTTTCTTTATAGAATCTATTGTACAGAAGCTGATCTTTCTTTTAACTAGTCTCAGTCATTGGAAGTATTTATGTTTTATGTTAACAACTAAAGCCCAAATACATTGCATTAATCTATTCTCCTTCTTATCCCATACTCTCTGGCCTTTAATACACATTTCCTTCTGGGTAACATGAAATCCACCTCACATTTGTAGGTTTTCTAAGCTTTTCTCATTGGCCTCATACCATCTTGACATTCGGGCATTGACTTAGGTAATAACAAATATTTAGTAATGTAATATTTTGGCACATGTACTTCCCTACAATTATATGGCTAGTAGAAAAAAAATGGTCGGCTGTGTAATTTAATCTGATGGAGACTAAAATTAAGTAGAAAAACATCTAAAAGTGCTTTTGAAATAAATAGATCAAGTGAAGGAAAGCAGACTCACTTTAAAAGACAAGGAAAGAAAACACAGAATGAAATATGTAAAGAAATAGTAAAACAGCAATAACTGTCTATAAAATACATGGACAGTGAACATCAAGTTCTTTGTATATTTTTAAATCACAGAATCGTGATATGGTTTTTACCCATCTGAAAGAAAACCATCAAGCATTGGAATTATCATCAATAAAGAGTTGAGTAGATACTGAAGAAGGTAGCCTCACTCATTCAGCCTACCTATATCAGAATAATAGGTAGGACAAGGAGTCAGACATACAAGCCTAGTTTGGGCACAGAAAAAGGCAGTACTGTGGGCCGGCCTGGGTGAGGAAATCCGTGGAGTCAAAAAAGGACAAAGAAAAACGAGGGGCTTAGGTTGAATATAATTATATAAATATGAGCATGTACTGGGCATGGTGGCTCATGCCTGTAATCCCAGCACTTTGGGAGGCTGAGGCAGGTGGATCACGAAGTCAAGAGATCAAGACCATCCTGGCCAACATAGTGAAATCCCACCTCTACTAAAAATACAATAATTAGCTGGGCATGGTGGTGTGTGCCTGTAGTCCCAGCTGCTCAGGAGGCTGAGGCAGGAGAATCGTTTGAACCCGAGAGGCGGAGGTTGCAGTGAGCCCATATTGGCCATTGCACTCCAGCCTGGCGACAGAGCGAGACTCCATCTCAAAAAAAAAAAGAAAAGAAAAGAATATGAGCATGTGTGTTTAAAGTATTCTGGGGTAAAGCAATCTCATCCTTTTTGCCACTGATTCTGGTCATGAGACTGTAATTAATAAAGCATATAGTTGAAAACTACATTATATCACCAGCTCTTTTTATTAGTCAACATGTATGTAGCTCATACATAATGGGGGGCTTGCTGAGAAGATAGTTTATACATAGAAATAAGTAAACAAACACAATTGATCTATTTGGCCAAAACTTTGGAAATCCTTGCCCTCATGTTAGGAAGTGACTGGAAGGGAGAAAGATGCTCAGAAGCTAGCCTGAGTGGGACCACTTCAGAAGTCATTCTGAGAGAAGTCACCTCCGTACCCTGCGTGCTCCTAGGGACGCCATTACTGCCTTTGAATGGCTTGCCTTGGCAATAGATGTTGGAATGTGTGTTGTTGATCCTTTTCATAATCTTTGCCTTACACGTTGCCTCCATTCAAGGACTCCCCTCCTCAAACCTCAGGAGCCAGCAGCCCATGGTCCACTTGCTCACCAATAGTTGTTTCTTAAGTTGAAAAGAATATGGTCAACATCCATGGGTTCACTCTGCCATCTGGAAACTTCTTTCAATTAATAGATCTGTCAGGATCAGCCAGGACTCTCACTTTTGGGGATCCAAACCCCTGCCTACACTGAATGGTGTTAACTTGAGGACAGGTAAGTACTGAAATGATATTTGTGATAGAGTCAGGAAGAGGAGGGAAAATTTTGATTCCAATGAAAGGCTTAGGGAGAGAGGACAATTCACAATGAGTAGGTATCATGAAAACACTGGGGATCTGTAAAGGGGGCGTGGGGCACAGGATGGAAGGAAATGAGCCAGCAAGAGGTGAAGGGGTTCGTATTAGTCTGTTTTCATGCTGCTACGAAGGCATACCCAAGACTGGGTAATTTATAAAGAAAAGAGGTTTAACTGAGTCATTTCCACATGGCTATGGAGGCCTCAGGAAACTAATAATCACAGTGGAAGGTGACATAGGCACATCTTACATGGTGGCAAGTGAGAGAAATGAGGAGTGAAGTGGGGAAAAGCCCCTTAGAAAACTGTCTGATCTTGTGAGAACTCACACACTATCACAAGAACAGCACGGGGGAGACGTCCCCATAATCTAATCACCTCCCACAAGGTCCCTTCCCCAACATGTGGGGATTACAATTCAGATTACAAGTCAAGATGACATTTGGGGGAAACACAAAGCCAGACCATATTAGAGTTTTAGAGAATAATAGGAAGTTCAGAAAAACAATTTTTTCATACTCTTCAATTTTTACCAAAATATTTTGGAGACAAGTGGAGTGACATTGGAAATTACTGTGAAGGTACAAATATTTAGCAGATAACTTTGGAAGACAAATGACATTAAATGAACATTTGTTGGAATTAAAATAGAGGTTAGCAACCATTTTATTATAAAGGGTCAGACAGTAAACATTTAAAGTTTTGTAGGCCATGAGGCAAAATTGAGGATATTATGTAGCTATTTATATAAGAAGAGAGAAAACAAATGTCTACAAATTTTTTATTGTTGAAATTCAAAATATAATAATGACAAGTTCATTAAAAGAAAATACAGGCTGGTACAGCGGCTCACACCTGTAATCCCAGCACTTTGGGAGGCCAAGGCAGAAGTATCACTTAAGGCCAGGAGTTTAAGGTCGGCTGGACAAAATAGCAAGACCCTGACTTTACAAAAAGTAAAAAATAAAAAAAAAATTAGCCCAGCATGGTGGTGCATGCCTGTAGTCCTAGCTATTTGGAGGCTGAGGCAGGAGGACTGCTTAAGCCTGGGAGATCCAGGCTGCAATTAGCTATGATTGTGCAACTGCACTCCAGCCTGAGTGACAGGGTGAGACCCTGTGTCAGTAAAGAAATAAGTAAACAAACAAACAAACAAATGCTTAAAAAATTTAAACATACAAGTCTATGAATGATAAGAATGGGGGGATAATATTTTGCTTAACTGGCGTTCAAAATTAGTTCTTGCTATCATCAAAATCAATTGTAAACTCATCTGTTAATGTTGATCCATAATGAAATTTCATGTATTTTATCTGTGAAAATATCTTCTCACACAGATAGGTTTTGCCAAATACTGATATCAATATGTGAGCATATGATTTTAACTGAGCACATTCACTAGCTCAAAGGCAAACAGAATTCTATTAGATTTTCCTCTTGATATTTGATTTTGGTGTACCATTCTATTGCATACCAGCAACTCCCGCAGGAAAGCTAAGTGAAAGCTCCTCAATTGCACAGTTAAGTGAATTCTGAAATATGGAGGATTTTTGTTTTGTCTTGTTTTTCCTTTAATTAAGATCTGAAAAATGCAGCTGGAACTATAGTTTGAACTTGAAAAACATATTCATTGCAAATTTTTTGTGGGAATGGAGATCTTGTGTTTTGTTTTGTCTTTAACAGTATGTGACGTGTACAGCTTGGGCACAGTGGCTCACACCTGTAATTCCAGGACTTTGGGAAGCTGAAGTGTGCAGATCACTTGAGGTCAGGAGTTCAAGACCAGCCTGGTCAGCAGAGTGAAACCTTTTCTTTACTAAAAATACAAAAATTAGCTGGGCACAGCGGCGTGTGCCTGTAATCCCAGCTACTCAAGGGTCTGAGGCATGAGAATTGCTTGAACCTGGGAGATGGAGATTGCAGTGAGCCAAGATCGTACCACTGCACTCCAGCCTGGGCAACAGAGCAAGACTTGGTATCAAAAAACAAAAACAAAAACCAGAAAACAAAAAACAACAGTATGTAACGTGTATAAAGGAGCTTTACTTTACTGGGTTTGAAACAGTGTTAGTTGTCATAGAAATGATTTTGTTGCAATGTAAGTTTTGCATAGATGCAGTCTTTTGTTTTATTAAAAAACACTAATTTTAGTTATTCAGTGCTTAATAAGAGTGGCTGAGGCTGGGGGCCGTGGTTCACGCCTGTAATCTCAGCAGTTTGGGAGGCCAAGGCGGGCGGATCACCTGAGGTCAGGAATTTGAGACCAGCCTGACCAACGTGGAGAAACCCCGTCCTACTAAAAATACAAAATTAGCTGGGTGTGGTGGTGCATGCCTGTAATCCCCAGCTACTCAGGAGGCTGAGGCAGGAGAATCGCTTGAACCTGGGAGGCAGAGGTTGTGGTGAGCCAAGATCGCGCCATTGCACTTTAGCATGGGCAACAAGAGCAAAACTTCATCTAAAAAAAAAAATTAGAAAATTAGTGGCATGGAAATAAGTAGTGGGCAAGATTTGACTGTGGGCTTTTGTTTGTCAATCACTGAATTAGACTGATATGGCCTTTGGAGTCAGACTCCTTAGTTTGAATTCTGGCCACACTCACTCTTGAATTGTGTAATTTGGGGCGGATTACTCAACCTCTCTAAACCCTCTAAGACAGGACAAGAGTTCTCCCCTTATAGAATAAAGATTAAATAAGGAGTATGCATGAAATAATACAAACGATTAGTAAATAGTATTTTAAAATTCTACTATAATGCTCTAAATGGATCCAACAATTTAGCCATGTAAAAAGGGGTTGGTGTTTTTATTGTAAAACTGATGAGTTGAGCTTGGGTAAGCCTGCTGTGGAGGATGTGTGCCAGCCATTGATGCCATCTATCTGAATTCTTGTTTTTGGGAGTTCTCCATGTATTAGAATTACTGTAAGTATTTTATGAATGCTGCCATTGTTATGCTTCTGAGATGGGATAGTTCCTTTGACCCCTTCACAGGACTCATGAAGGGGTGGCTCATCTACTCAGCCCGCAGCTCTGAACCCCTTATAGGAGGGGGAGCATGGAGGTGAGCAGGTGCGGGAACCAGGGCAAATGAACGCTGGAACTGACTGGTCACTCCTGTCTGGCATTAGCAGGCTCTCTGCGGGCCCTGTGGCAGCGTCCATGTGTGTTACAATGGTCTTTTAGCTCTGCTGTCTGAGAGGGGGTGTCTGTGACTCCTGGAACCCCAGAGGGCATGTGTTACAATCAGTGCTGTTTTAGCATTTGCCAACCACAGACAGCTAAGTGTTAAGCAGCTCAGCGAAGGGTCGGAGTGACATCCTTTTATACCTTGCCCTCTTAGTACCCAATTTCTTGTTGCGTGTCAAGGAAGAATCAGGTCACGCGAACAAATTGAAGGGTGGTGTATACGGAGGATTTTAATTGAGCAGTGGAAGTGGCTCTCAGTGGGAAGGGGAGCTGGAAGGGGGATGGATTGGGAAGATAGTCTTCCCCTGGAGTTTGGCAGTCCCCAGTTGAACTCTTCTCCAAAGTCCTTCCATCAAGCTATTCCTCTGAAGTAAAGCTGCTTTTCTCCAACATCCAGTTGCTTCTTCTCTTCTCTCCTTCGTTGCCACTTTGCTCTGCTCCTCTGCCAGTGGAGCTTGGGGTTTTTATGGTACAGGATGGGGATCATGATGGGCCAGGGTGGTTTTGGAAAAGGCAATATTTGGGTGGGAAAATAGGAATGCATGTTCTCATTTAGGGCCATAGGTCCAGGTTTGAGAGTGGACCTTTTCTACCTAGTATTTCCCTGACTCCTGTCTGTATCACTTCCTTTTCAATTTTTATTTATTTATTTATTTATTTTGAGACAGAGCCTCACTCTGTTGCCTAGGTTGGAATGCAGTGGTGTGACCTCAGCTCACTGAAACCTCCACCTCCCGGGTTCAAGCGATTTTTGTGCCTCAGCCTCCTGAGTAGCTAGGACTACAGGCCTGTGCCACCACAACTGCTAATTTTTGTATTTTTAGTAGAGACAGGGTTTTACCATGCCATCCAGGCTGGTCTGAACTCCTGGCCTCAAGTGAGCTGCCTGCCTTGGCTTCCCAAAGTGCTGGGATTACAGGTGTGAGCCACTGCTCCTGGCCCCTTTTTTATTCTTTATAACCCCCTAATGAGATAGGCATTATTTCCATGTTATGACAAGGAAATTCGTATTATCATCCTTGAATCTACTCCATTCCTCTTCACCTACTGCCCATGCTAAACTAATCCAGTTTCACCAGCTCTATGCAGGGGCTGCCCAGCTAATCCCAGCTCTTCCTTTCTCCACAGTATACACTGGTAGCATACAGAGCATGATTCATGGGTTTTGCTATTCCTCTGACTTCGTAATGGTTTCTAAAGGCAATGAAGTCCTTATTATCCTTTTTTATACTGTCTGATTTTGTGCTTATCTCTTTCCACGTTGGGTGATCCTAAAAGATCAGTGATGTGCCTTATTTATTTTGGTATGTACAGAGATTAATACTAGTAGTTATTAAAAATAAAAGTATTGAATCAACTAACAAATGAAGTTGTTAACAAATGTTTTGTTTCTGTTATAACGGAAACAAAAAAGTATTTTTATTGGTATTCCTTACTAATTTCAAAGCTTTTCAGTAGGTTATTTCATTGCAGTCATGTTTTTCATATTCTTTTTTATGTTATTTATTTATAAACCAAAAGAAGCCATTTATAGAAGAAATGACTTGGATTAACGTGATCATGTTCAGAACCCTAGTTTGCCATTAAACAGCTACGTGTGGCCAGGCACAGTGGCTCATGCCTGTAATCTCAGCACTTTGGGAAGCTGAGGCAGGAGGATCACTTGAGGCCAGGAGTTCAAAATCTGCCTTGACAGCACAGTGGGACCCTGTCTCTACAAAATATTTTAAAATTATTCAGGCATAGTGGTGTGCACCTGTAGTCCCAGCTTTTCAGGAGTCTGAGGTGGGAGAATCTATTGAGCCCAGGAGGTTGAGGCTGCAGTGAGCCATGATCATACCACTGTACTCTAGCCTGGATGACAGAAAGAGGCCCTGTCTCAAAAAGAAAAAAAAAAAAAGAAAGAAAGCTAAAAAGCTAGGAGTATTTATGCAAAAATTTTACTTTTTTCTTCTTTTATTTCCCTTTCTTTTTTTCTTTTCTAAATTCAATTCTATTATGCTTTCTAAAAAGTGACCTTTAAGGTCAAATTCAATTCTGAAATTCTATGGTAGTTTTTAAAGTATGAAGTTTAGTTTTGATAATGGATTCTGTAGTATTTACCTATGTTTTTTGAAAAATAATCTATGCATTAAAATTAGTTTAAAAATATCTTCACTCTTTCTTTAGTAGATGAAAGATGTCCTTAAATTTTTTGGTAGAAACATATTTTTTAATTTGACATATGATTAATAAATATTGGTAAATTGTTTCCTTGAATATACTTCATCAGCAATCTAATTTAATGCTTTATTGAATTGCAGCTTTTTAAGCCATATCCAAATTTCACCGCTAGTAAGAGCAGTGTCTTAACTGACTTTTCAGTGATATAGTCAGTAACCAAAACTGGGAAGGAATGATCAGTCTGGCAGGAGAAGCCACGTTGATTTCTCTATTACCTCTTGGAATTTTACTTTATATGAGAGACCTCATATATTAAAGAAAAACTCTAAACTGGTGTGGATATGCACTTTTCTTTTAATCGCTTCAATGTCAAGTTGTGATTTTTATTTGTATTTATTACTAGAAATGGAATTGGTTATTGCTATGCACCTCAAATACATTACATCATTACATCAGGCTTCTCTTTTTTTTTTTTTTTTTTTTTTGAGATGGAGTCTCGCTCTGTCTCCAGGCTGGAGTGCAGTGGCGTGATCTGGCTCACTGCAATCTCCTCCCAGGTTCAAGCAATTCTCCTGCCTCAGCCTCCCAAGAAGTTGGGACTACAGGCATGTGCCACCACACCTGGCTAATTTTTGTATTTTTAGTAGAGACAGGGTTTCACCATCTTAGCCAGGCTGGTCTTGAACTCCTGACCTCGTGATTCACCCGCCTCGGTCTCCCAAAGTGCTGGGGTTATAGGTGTGAGCACTGTGCCCAGCCCATTACATCATTTTTCTTATCACGGTAACAAGCATGTATAGATTACAGTTTCCAGGCACTTCTATTTTCATAAGACTGGACTATGGCTGTCTTCCTATTGTGTATCCCAGCAGCTAGTCCTGTTACAGAACCAAACTGGGGTCCTCTTGTCCAGCACAGTAAGACCAGATATCCACACCACAGTTTGCATCAGTAGAAAGGAAGGTGTTTATCTGTAGGGCAGCAAGCAATGAGGACCAGACAGTTCACGCTTAAGTCACAGCCTTGTTGATGGATTGCAGGTGAGAGTTTTTAAAGGCAGGGGTAAATTTCAGGAAAGCAGAAGTTATAGGCAACATGGTATGTCGATACATTTGCATTGGTTTTGGCCTTAAGAAGACAGATAACTTTAAGGGAGAGAGGGCTTACGTGTCATAAATAGATTCAAAGATTTTCTAATTTGCAATTAGATAAGTAAGATAAACCTTGTGTAAAAATTTGGGGTCAGCAGATTTGAATGTTAGCTTGGCTCCTGGATGTGACTCCCTCCTGGCGCCTCAGAATGAAATGTAAAACAAAGAACAGTGGTCAGAGTTCAGACTTCAGTTCCTCGTTATCTGAGGTCTACATGCCAGCAAGTTCGTTTGGTGGGGGTCTGGGTTTCTGAAAAACAACTCAGAGACCTATGTTGTTATCTTTAGTTTCTGCAGGAGAATCAAACATCCCATGATTGAAGCTTTCTTGGCTGTTGTTTTGGGCTACTATTACTTTCTTGCTTTTCAAGTTACTTATTTATTTCTCAGGGCTGGCTAGGCACCTGGAATTTCCCTTGAAAGAACTCAAGATTTCCCTTTAGTTCCATGCTTGGGTGTGGAGAGGTGCAGGCCCCTAAGAGGGGGTCTCTGCTCCTTTTCAGTTTAGAGCCTGACACATAATGCCTGATTCAACAAATATTCACTTAATCACAGAATGAATGAAAGTACTATCATATTTGATGCTCACATTATTTCTATTAGACAGATGAGGAAAGAAAGATGAATTAAGGATTATTGTACAAGGTCACAGAGATGATAAGCAACAGCAGTTAGATTTAAACCAGATCTTTTGACTGGAGAGCCCTAATCTTTTCAATGACTCCGGCCTGCTGCTTCTATTAAAGTTGTACATGTTTTTAGAGCCGATCTATCAAATCATGTTTGTTCAGAAGATTTTATGATAAATACTTCATACTTTAGCACTTTTTTGATATTTAGAACCAAAGACAGACTTAAACTTCCTCAGCACAAAAACACCAGAAAGGCCCGTTGAGAAACCTGCTGCAAATTTTAATGTGCATCTGCAGAGGATTAGGGTCCCCATAGACATTCTGGGGCATTCCCCAGGGAGTTTCATGGAATACTATTTCCCAAAGCTGTTCAGAAGTTCCATGAAGTCAGGAACATTTTTCTGCTGCTTAGGCAAGTATGTTATCTGCAGACTGTAATTTCTCAAGTCCAAGAAAGGGAAATGTTGGTGACAGAAACTTACTCTGGGGACTTCATCTACAGAAAGAAAGCTCACTTATCACAAACAAACCATTTCTAAGAGAGCAACAATTTTGTTGACTACATTTAAAGACAGAAACACGCAGTTCCCAAGTGCAATTTCAGTTTTCCAAAGGACAGTTTGATTCTTTTTCAGAAATGCGTTGGTGATTATTTTTTGTTGTTTTGTTTTGTTTTGCTTAGAAGGACTGCTTAGTGTGCCTCTTTAGTCAACATGAAAAAGAAGAAAAGAACAAGCAACTGAATGATCCTCTGATGGCCTCAAGGCAGTGGATTGAGAATATCTCTTAAGTACAAGGAGGTATTCTAGGTAAGACTGGTAAAGACTTTTTAAATCAGGCTCAAATACTCCTCAAACACTGACACAGTCAGATTGATTCTGATTAAATGCTTTTTTTTTTCCTAAAGAATGTCTATTTTCCATACTGATTTTACAAAATCCCTCTAAAATTGCTGAAATTCCTATAATAAAATGTTAATCTCTTACATTAAGAATTGGATGAAATTTACTTACAGCAGACAATCTTGGGTTCTATTATGTTTAGTATACAAATTTTTTTCTTTTGACAACTACTGTTTTAAAACTCATGATATTAGGTTTCAGGATACGTATTTTATAAGATATAATACATATATTATGTATTATATATACATATATGTATAAATAGCATATTTATACATATAATATATTATATTTATACATAATACATATAATATAATATATATATACACATATATATATTTGTTGTGTGTTTTTTTGACAGAGGAAATAGTACCAGGGCTAGAAATTACATCAATATCGTAGGGTATTTTTATACTGTTTTGGCTACTTTGTATCCTTCATATATATTCCTTGTAGGTAGGACATACATGCCTCAAATATGTGTAATTTTTTAGAAACTTGTGATTTTCTCAGCTTAATAACTTTGTAAATAACTTTGTACTATTTAAAAATCTATATCTGTAAAATTATATACCACACTTGCAGAAAAACTGTTTAGGATATTTACTGCATAAAAATGAAAGGTAGGCTTACATTTTGGCTTTTCTTGGGTGGGGAGGCAGGAGATACCACTACATTATGAGCTTTCTCAGGGAATACACTCTACGTTGGTCAGGTCTGCATCCCCAACACTTAGTTTGGTGACTGACCATATTAGACACTCCATATATTTTTGTTAACTAACTGCATGAAAGGCAATGATTATATCATGTGTCTGTCTAGGTGCTGGCACAGTAGGGTCAAATCTGGTCCATGACCAGTTTTTATATGCCAGGAAAGCTAAGAGTGTTTTGCGCATTTTTTTTAACATGCCGTAAAAATAACAAAGAAGAATATGTAACAGAGATTACATAGCCTGAAAAGCCTAAAATATTTGCTATCTGGCCCTTTACAGAAAAATGTTTGCTGACCCATCTTTATTCTTAAATATACTCTTGTTTTTACATACACTTCAGTCAGAGCTCAGACCAGTCTTGGAGTGAGGCTATCCCTGGAGGTAGACTCTGCTAATTGCCTGTTCAAAGTCATTCCCTTTCTCTCTTGTTAACAGAATCCCCATTATGTTTGGTTGACAATAGAACTTCTATGGATGAAACATGGCAGGTCAAAGCCAGTTTTGGCAATCTCATTTGTCTTTCCTAGTGATTTGTCTAGAGTAGGCATGTCACTCAGTTCTGGAAGATGAAACCTAAGGGGAAATGACCAGGTAGATTTCTGAGAAGGATTTTACTCCTCTTTTAAAGGCAAACATATATAAAGGAATATATGTGTTTGCTTCCACTCCATTCTGTTAAGTGAAGTTTAGCCTAAAGTTGCCTCTTTACATATTTTAAATTGAGCCTAAAGCTTTCTATGTACATAGTGAACTATAACCTAAATAGAAGTGTAAATGGTCTCAAATCTACTCTTGTGCCAATCACTGAGTTTTGGCCAATCATAGGGGGCCAACTGTTTAAACCATTTTTAAATAAGGCAAATGCTGAGCTATAACCCACCTGGCTGTTTCTGTACCTCACTTCCATTTTCTGTAGGTCACTTTCATTCTGTCCATAAGTCTTATGTCACCACATGCTTGTGCTGGACTCTCTGAGTCTACTCTGGCTCAGGAGGATGCCCAATTCATGACTTGTTCTTTGCTCAGTTAAACTCTGTTAAATTATATTTGTCTAAGGATTTTCTTTCAACAGTTCTTTCTTGCTTGGGATTTAGTTATGTGAAGTTGTGTTTTGCCTCTTTGGCAGTCCTCTTTTGACCAAGAAAGAAAGCCAAAATGATTCAAAGTGATGTTGGGCTAACATTCTGCCACTGTTGTGCTGTTGAATTGACTCTACAACTGAGATGAGATTGTTTCCTTGACCTTGATCCCCTTCATGGGTGGGAACTGGATGGCTCATTTCACTCAGTCTGCTGCTGGCCACTCCTTGCAAGAGGGAGCATGCAAGCAAGTGAGTGTGGGACCAAAGCAAATGAATACTGGAACCGGCTGGTTGCTCCTCTCTGGCAGGAGAAGGCTCTGTGCAGACCCCACAGCAGTGTCCCAGCCCCTGCCCTCTCAGCACCCAGGTTCTCATCCAGTGTCCAGGAAGAATCAGGTCACATGAATGGGTTGAAGGGTAGTGTATGCAGAGGATTTTATTGGGTGATGGAAGTGGCTCTCAGCAGAATAGAGAGTTGGAAAGGGGATGGTGTGGGAAGAAGGTGATCTTTCCCTGAAGCTGCACCATCTGAAGTTAGTTGCATCTATCTGCAGTCTCTGAAGCTCAGTTGCTTCTCTGCTTGTTTCTCAGCTACTTCCATGCTCGTTGCTCAGCCACTTGTATCCCTGATGCTCAGCTGCTTGTGTTGCTCTGCCAGCTGAAGACTTTTTATGGGCACAGGATAGGGGTAAGGCAGACCAAAAAAAAAAAAAACAAACAAAAAAACATTTTTGCGGAAAAATGGATTCAGCTATTTTCACTTAGGGCTGCGGTTCCAGGCTTAAGGTTGGGGTTTAGCTGGGAGCCCAGCCCTTCTATATCATAACCACCTATCTCTAGCCTGCTTGTCAAACCACCATTGCGAAATTGTAACTAAGACAGTGAAAGAGATTTGACCTAACCAACTGCATCTTGCTTCTAATCTCCAAGCTATCCTTATTCTTTCCTGGGCATAGGCTGAACTAACTTCTGGAAGAACTTAGTTTATAGTTTAAAACAAAGATGATAACAGGCCTTTACCAAGGCAAATCCCCTTCTTGCCTGGGGACTAGACTGCCATTGTAGGTTGAACATATTAGCCACAAGATTAGAAATTATGGTTTAAGAGTCATGCAGCTGGAGGCTACAAGATTCTGACCCTCCTTAACCTGCTTGTAAGATCAATGCTTGAGATATTTTGCAGACCTTGCAACTGATGGATCAGCTGGCACCACCAAAATTGATAAACTGGCTCATCTGATCTTGTGGCCCCCACCTAGGAACTGACTAAGCACAAGAAGCATCTCTGACTTGACCAATCAGCACACCTGTCTCATTGGCTTCCCCCCGCCCACTAAGTTGTCCTTAAAAACCCTGATCCCCCGAACCCTCGGGGAGACTGATTTGAGTAATAATAAGACTCCAGTTTCCTGCACAGCTGGCTCTGCATGAATTACTCTTTCTTTATTGCAATTCCCCTGTCTTGATAAATTGGCTCTGTCTAGGCAGTGGGCAAGGTGAACCCATTGGGTCATTACATTTGTAATATGATAAAAAAAATCATGTCTTTATGCTTCAGGCTATTGTTAATTCTGTACGCTGATGCTTTCTGCTAAAATATACTGATTCATTCAGTTTTTAGATCTATTATAATGAGCTCAATGAAATTATTGAAGTTTTTTTTAATGAGAAACTCTCAAATTACTTGGAGTCCTAATTGGTTATAGTATTATCCAGACAGGGATTAATGTAACCTGGTACTACACTATCTTGGACATAGCCATTTTGGTTCAAATTTATATGAGAAAGGCAACCACTTGGAGAGCAGAGTGAATTCAACCGTGAAAAATCAAATTAATTCTCTTATCTGATTAAGAAGTGTGTGTGGATGTGCTTATGCATTTGTGTGTTCAGTATTGACAACCATAAATAATGAGATTCAGAAAACTTTATTAATTGTAGAGTTTATTCAAGCACTAAGCTTGAGGATGGCCATCTGGGAAGCAAGGATTCCAAAAAACGGAAATCAGCTTTCCAAAATGTGGAATTTTGGAGGTCATCTATATAGATAACATTTAGGGAAGCTTAACAGAATTTCAGCATCTTTGTATATATGGCTTAATGCATGGTTACAAAGATCTGATTGGTTGAGCTGGTCTTTTTCTTTCAGGAAAGGTATATTTAATTTCCACATTGAACATGTGACAGTCATGAGGTCTTTTGCATGATCTGGTCTGAATGAGGTACAGGACAGTAAAGGAGGCAGTTAATCTATAACAAAAGTCAGTGATTAGAAGGGGAAGAGATGTGGTCTCTGGTTTCTCCTAGTCATTTACAACGCAAGAGCAATGAGAGAGTTATTCTACAATCTAAGAAGCAGAAGTTGTAACTACATTCTATGTGATTCACATCACAGTCACATTTCTCTCAAGGCCTAAAGAGTTTTGAGGGTTCCAACAGCTTTTAAATTGTATGTGTTTTCACAGTATAAACATAGAATGTATGTGCTTCACTTAAGTAGACATTGGTTAGAATATACTAGACTAGGAATTAAGGAAAACAATGCTTGTGATCTGTCAATAGTGATGTTACAAATCCATGCTGTAAAGTTCATACTCTTAAACCCTCACATTCCTCCCTCAATGCTTATTTCAGAATGGATAGATACACAATGCTAGTGTAATATTATTTTACCTTATTTCTGCATTTTGACATCCCAGAATGGTATATTGCGTTTTCACTGCCATATAGGAAACTTCCCAGGGCACTTAAATGCAGAATTAATATTCTTTAGACTTCTATTTACTCTAGGTTAGCTATGTTAACTATTAAAACTCTGCTGCAAACTAATATTCATTTAATTTGATTAAATATTTTCTGAAATCTTTCAAATAACTATGATTGAGATTATATTTTTTCAGTTGTGCCCATGTCTTACCTATCTATATATGGCACAAATAGCACTTTCTATGGACATTTCATACACTCATCCATCTCTGACTTACGTAACTTTCTACTTTAGGTTAGTTTGTCTATGAAATCTCACGTGTTATTCTGTCTGTTCATTATTGTGAACTTTGAACTGTCTGGCAGAGGGCTATAACTTCCGGCATTTGTAAAGAGACAACTCCTTGCCTCCAACAAAGCTGCTTCCATATAACAAATTAATAGAAAACTTACTTATTTTTAAAAAAAGGGAATATGTTTTCTTTAATAAATTTCTAACATGTACATAGTGCTTTACAGTAGAAAATGCATTTGTATTTCTTATTTTATCCTCATAAAAACTTCACGAAGTCAACAAGCTACTGCTTTTTGTATCTATTTCATATTTTAAAAACGGGCTCAGAAAGTTTAGGAGACTTGCTCAGTTCACTCTCCTTTGAAGAGGCAGATTCTGGCTCTAAACCCAAGTCTCCTGATTCTTGTTCCTTCCCAGAGATAGGATGTTTGCACTGTTTTGGGGGTAGCACTACCATCTTTTTGAATGATTTTTGGAAATAAGCCATTTATGAAATATAATTTTCGTTAGAGGTGGCCAACTAAATTAGCTGACCTTTGACATCTTTAATGAAATCAATGAGCCTGTGCAAAAAGTTTTACATCTATCTCTCTTTTAAAAAAATAGAGAAAAATATTCACCATATATTAGGAATCCATAGAAATATTTTGGAAATGTCTATATACTGTGAATAAAATCACTGTAGTGTACAACTATATGCCATCGACATGTGTCTGATGTCAAGGTTGATTGAAGATTATTATAAAAAGTCTAAACATATTCCCAGTTAATTTACGATGCTGGCTTTCTTTGTCTGTATTCTCAGCAGATGACAGAATTCTACATACCTGACTGTCAAGCTTTACTGGTGGTTCTTATATATGCAGCATTCATTTTACTTTAATTAACCTCAAGACTCCTAGTTTACAAGGCAGAGCTGGGCTTCCTAATTATTTCCATAAAACTAGCAATCTTGCAAGCCATCAGAGGCTGTGGCTAAATCCCACACAAAGAAGCTTCAGTACTAGAAAATTTAACAAACTACTGTTTCTTTTTTTTAAGGAAAGGACTCTTTCATATTCTTTAATTTTTGTTGAATGGTGTTACAGTGAACTCTAGAAATGGCTCAGAGGCTAATTTTTTTTTCTTTTATACATCTGTCTATCATGCTACCTCTCTATATTTTTAGAGTACATTAAAGAAAATACGCCCTACGGTACTATTTTTCATCTTTATAATGCATGTGAAAAATTATTCTTGTTTTATCGTCTAAGGATAGTGAAGAGTGGGAATTGAATTCACTGTTACCCACATGCTGGCCTTGACAGGGAAAGACCCTGGATTATCTTCAGAATCAAGCCTTCATTACTGAGATAAAGTGAAAGAGACTGTACCACTCTTTATGTAATTAAATGCAAGCATTATGAAAATTTTTCTGCACAGCTGTTAGGTTGAAAAAAATTTAGGCCTTATCAGTAATCCCTTTATATCTTTAACATGATTCATAGCTCCTCACGTATTCCCTGGCCCAAAAATGAAACAGAATTTGCAGCCTTCCACAGGTAAATATTGCCCATTTGTTGCTTTAATATCAATTCTGTAGCTTTTTAAAAAAAAATTCAGTGAGCCATTCGAATGGCTATCATGCCATGTCTGGACAATTTATTTACTCAGCAATTCATAGTTAAAAGGCCAAGTGGCCAAGCAGGTCATAAAATAGTCACTTGAATTTAGTCTCAAAATGTTGCAGGACTTTTCCTTAGTTCAGCTAAAGACAGGGTCCTTGCCACATGGTCATGGAAATTTAGGTCTGCAGAAAATTGAAGGGTGAGTAAGGCAGGGTTTTATTGGATGAAAAGGGATAAAAGGGAAAACAGGGACCCTCTGCAAAGCCAGAGTCCCTGCTGGTGAGCTTCCTACCTCGCAGTTTGAATCCCAGGTTCCAAAGAGAAAGGGCCAGGCTCCGTTCCACTGCAAATGGCGTGAACTTCTGTGGCTTCACCCGTGCTCAGGCCAGATGGAGTTTTGCCAGGGAGCCGTTCCCACCTGGCTGTCTCAAAACCTTTAGACAACTGAAGTAATAGACTCCAATCGGGCTGTTAATTAGACCACTGTAATGTAATAACATATGTGCTTGAGGGGAGGTTATGCTGCCGCCCAGGTATCTCTGGGGTTGGGAACCTGGAATGATGAGTTCCCTAACCTACTTGACCATATCCGACAACAATTCTCCAATTATATTAATTGATATGCAAAATGTTCTTTAATGTCTATTGTCTATATCTCAAATGACTCTAAACTTGGGCAGAGAAGACAGATATGCAATATACTGGGGACCTTACGACCCCATGCATTAGTCCAAGCTCAGTAATCCCTGAAAGGCCTGGGCATTTCCTTTTTCAGGCCCATGGTAAGGGGCTCTGCGTCCTTTGCAGGGAGACCAGAGAAAAGATTTGGCAATATCAAAAAGTGTTTCCTTAAGGAATCTGTTTTACTCTGTATTTGAGGGACTTTTGGCGTTCAGAAGTAGTTTATGTCTAAGAATTAGAAGGCAGAGTCTTTTACTCTTTTATGATGGCAAAATCAGACTTCTGCTTACAATACTAGAGTCTCTAAATTCAGATCTAATAGGACTCTAGTAGCCTGCCTAACTATTTTCGTCCAAGAGACCCCATAGTTAATTAGTAACTACCAAAGATCCCTATGGGAAAAATTATTCTGATGACCTTTCTGTCTCTGCTGCCTATTTCTGTAATCATGAGTATCTTGTTTCTAGCAGTTAAGTGCTGCCATTTAGTCTTCTCCACTCTGGGACCCAGTTGTCTTCACTGAAGTCATTAAGCCTATGTCAAGGACAGCCTTTTCCACCTTCCTTGCTGACCTACTCAGGATATCCAGTATGGTACCTTTCAAGGTGTTATATGTATATTTGTATTAACATATATTTTTAATTTATCTGAAAATAATTTCAAACTTATAGCAAAGTTGCAAAAATAGGCGTATACAAAGAACAATGGTACAGCCTTTACCCAGATTCACTTCTTAACATGTTGCTCCATTTGCTTTATCATAGAGACCCTGTCTCTGCCTCAGCATCTGAGCATAAGATGCATACCTCCTGGTACTTCCTCACTAAGTACTTATTTCTTAAGAAAAAATGTATCCTTGTGTAACAACTGTGTGGTTATCACCTTCAGTAAATGTAATACTAACTCGTATTTTAATCTATCATCTACATTCTATTTTATCAAGCAACCCAGTTATGTCCTTCACTGAATTTGTCTTCCATTATAAAATGTAGTCTAGGGGTAGGTACTGCACTTAATTATGTCTTTTTAGATTCATTTAATTTGAAAGATGTCTAAAGCCTTTCTTTGCCTCCTTTATATGCAGAATATAGTCCTCTCCCACATTTTCAAAAAATAAAACTGCATGTTCCTCATTTTGAGTTTGATGTTTACCCATGTTTAGATTTCAGTCATGTCTTCCCAACTGGGATACTACATAAGGGATATTGTGATTTGATGTCCTTCTCAGGGTATCAAATCGAGAGTCACACAATGTCTATTTGCATCCTTATCATCTGGTCAAGGCATTTGATTTGTATACCATATAGTTACTGCTTTTTACATTGCAATTAATAATCTGTAGTAAAACAATTTAAGATCACGCAAATATTTTGCCTCTTTTAAACATTTATCCTCCTAGTTTTAGCATCAGTTGATGATTTCTGCCTGTCTCAATCTTTACTGTAATGACTGCAAAAATGATGACCTTTTTCCAACTCCACCATCCCTCTGATGTTTATCATTCAGCAGTTGGTGTTCTTCTAAAACAAAAGCCCCTATCTTCTTATTTATTTACTTTATTTATTTATGTATTTTGTATATCTAGGTATAAGTATTTTGCATATAAGTACACATAGAGATATATATTTTGGTATAAACTCATAGTTTTCTATTTTCCCCCTAGTGGTTTATTACATATTTCTGTCTTCTATTTTATTTTTTCTTTTTTTGAGGCACGGTGTCACTCTGTCACCCAGTCTGTAGTGCAGTGGTGCGATCTCAGCTCACCGCATCCTCAAAAGCCCAGGTCAAGCGATCCTTCCATCTCAGCCTCCCAAATAGCTAGGACTACAAGTGCAAACCCCACACCCAGCTAATATCTTATTAGTGTCTCACTGTGTCGCCCAGGCTGGTCTTGAACTCCTTGTCTCAAATGATCCACCTGCATGGCCTCTTCAATTGTTGGGATTACAGGCATGAGCCACTAGGCCTGGTCCATATTTCTGTCTTTAATTATTTTGTTTACCAATTTATTTTTAAATTGCCTAGGTAAATGAAGGGTCCTCTGAGGCACCTCAGGATAAATTTCTATAGATTGAGTAATTTAGTACATAAAATAAACTCATTCCATTTTTATCTAAGTCTTAAAATTCCCTTTTCTGTATTATACTAAATAAGGTTAGGCATGTCACCTTCGTTTTGTGCAGAACACCATTTAGTCCAGGTTCCAGGCAACTAACCAAGTCAACATTTTATACCACAGTGAGAAGCTTCAGCTGGCACATTGAGTCTATAATCTCTGGTAGGTATACCTATATTGATACATTTTGTCTGATCTATATTTCTTTTTCCCTTGTCTATCCTTGTTAGAACCCATTCTCACACATATCCTTCAGCTTCCAGCTAACATTATATATGTATATATATGGATATACATATGTATATATGTATACGTATACATATATGTATATCCATATATATATATATATATTAGCAAAATCATGGATCTATTTGATATGAAACATAACTCTTTCCATGTCAGATTCTGTTCGTTTCCCTAGGACAAGCTGGGATCTAACTCTTGTCATAGGTGTAGTGTCTATGAGGTGCAGCTGTGGCCAGGGTCTCCAAACAAACCAGGGCTTGTTCCATCACAAAGGAGAGAAAGAACCGTTTCTGTGGGTGAAGAGATATTCACTGGTCTTCAGGGATGCAGAGTGTTCAGGTTCAACAGAATCCACCAAAATGTTCCTCATCAGGATTCCACTTTCTGTTGGGAAATACTCCAGCTTTGATGTAAGAGGCATGGAAAGGCTTTGCATTCAGTTTTTGTTGTGATACAGCAAATTATGGACATCAAACTCTGTGTCTGATTTCTGGCTATGTTGGTTATGTGACAGCAGGAGATCATGATAGATGTTTCCCAACCTTGTAACTGTGTGTTGAACTAAGAATTGAAAGCCCAGAGCCTGTCTTTTTTTATTTAAAAATTGCCCAATATAATGAGAAATAGCCAGAGTTCTGTATTCTTTTTACTCTCCTGGATGCTGTATCACAATGGTCATTTCATTTCAAAACCTTCCCTTCAGTAGGCACTTTATTTCAAGTGACTGAAGGTGATCCTATGAGTGGCTCTGTGTCATGGGCCACACATTTTCCATTTTTGAATGACATAGGGATCATCCTTTTTTCACAAAACAGGTCTCACAATCACTCCCAAATTCCCATCTCTCAAGTACAACTGCTTCTAATCCTACTGTATCAGTCAGAACTCAATGTAAAAACAGGGTCTACTGTCAAACCCAATACCTGACAGAGATACAAAAAAAGAAAAGAAAACTTCAGGCCAATATCCTAGATGAATATTAATACAAAAATCCTCAACAAAATACTGGCAAACTGAATCTAGCAACACATCAAAAAGCTTATCCACCACAATCAAGTAGCCTTCATCCCTGGGATGCAAGATTGGTTCAACACACAATCAACAAACAAATCAATAGATGTGATTCATTACATAAACAGAACTAAAGACAAAAACAACAAGATTATCTCAATAGATGCAGAAAAGACTTGTGATAAAATTTAACATCCCTTCATGTTAAAAACTCTCAATAAACTAGGCATTGAAGGAACGTACCTCAAAATAATAAGAGCCATATATGACAAACCCACAGCCAATATCATACTGAATGGGCAGAAACTGGAAGCATTCCCCTTGTAATCTGGCACAGGACAAGATTGCCTTCTCTCACCACTTGATTCAACCTAGTATTGGAAGTTATGGCCAGCGCAATCAGGCGATTGAAAGAAATAAAGGGGATTTGAATAGGAAGAGAGGAAGTCAAACTTTCCCTGTTTGCAGATGATATGATCCTATATCTAGAAAACTCCATTGTCTCAGCCCAAAAGCTTCTTATGCTGATAAGCAACTTCGGCAAAGTCTCAGGATACAAACTCGATGTGCAAAAATTGCTAGCACTCCTATACACCAACAACAGTTAAGCCAAGAGCCAATTCAGGAACCAACTCTTTCACAATAGCCATGAAAAGAATAAAATACCTAGGAATACAGCTAACTAGGGAGATGAAAGATCTCTAAAAGGGGAAGTACAAACCACTGCTCAAAGTAATCAGAGATGACACAAACAAATGGAGAAATATTCCATGCTCATGGATAGGAAAAATCAATATCATTAAAGTGCCCATACTGCCCAAAGCAATTTATAGATTCAATGCTATTCACATTAAATTACCATTGACATTCTTCACAGAACTAGAAAACACTATTTTAAAATTCATATAGAATCAAAAAAGAGCTAAAATAGCCAAGGCAATCCTAAGCAAAAAGAGCAAAGCTGGAGGCATTATGCTATTTAACTTCAAACTATACTGCAGGGCCACAGTAATCAAAACAGCATGGTACTGGTACAAGAACAGACACATAGACTAGTAAAACAGAATAGAGAACCCAGAAATAAGGCCCCACACGTACAACTATCTGTTCTTTGAGAAACCTGACAAAAACAAGAAAAGGGGAATGGATTCCCTATTCATAAGTGGTGGTTCAATAACTGGCTAGCCATATGCAGAAGACTGAAACTGGACCCCTTCTTTACACTGTATACAAAAACTAACTAGTGATGGATTAAAGAATTAAACGTAAACCCCAAACTATAAAAACCCTAAAAGGCAACCTAGGCAGTACCATTCAGGAGAGAGGCATGGGCAAAGATTTCATGACAAAGATGCCAAAATCGATTGCAACAAAAGCAAAAATTGACCAATAGTATCTAATTAAACTAAAGAGCTTCTGCACAGCAAAAGAAACTATCAACAGAATAAATAGACAACCTACAGAAGAGGAGAAAATTTTGCCAACTATGCATCCAACAAAGATCTGATGTTCAGCTCTATAAGGAACTTAAACGAACAACCCCATTAAAACAACCGCGTTAAAAAGTGGGCAAAGGACATGAAAAGACACTTTTCAAAAGAAGACATACATGTGGCCAACAATCATATGAGAAAAAGCTCAGCATCACTGATCATTAGAGAAATGCGAATCAAAACCACAATGAGATACTATCTCACACCAGTCAGAATGGCTCGGAATGGGTCAGAATGACTGTTATTAAAAAGTCAAAAAGTAACAGAAGCTGGCAAGTTTGTGGAGAAAAAGGAATGTTTAAACACTGTTGGTGGGTATGTAAATTAGTTCAACCATAGTGGAAGACGTGTGGCAATTCCTCAAAGACCTAAAGACAGAAATACCATTTGACTCAGCAATCCCATTTCTGGGTAGATACCCAAAGGAATATAAATCGATCGTTCTATTACCAAGACACATGCAAGCATATGTTCACTGCAGCACTATTCATAATAGCAGAGACAGAGTCAACCTAAATGTCCATCAGTGGTAGACTGGATAAAGAAAATGTGGTACACATACACCATGGAATACTATGCAGCCATAAAAAGAACAAGATCATGTCCTTTGCAGGGACATGGATGGAGCTGGAGGCCATTAATCTTAGCAAAATAATGCAGGAGCACAAAACCAAACACTGCATGTTCTCACTTGTAAGTGGGAGCTAGTTTATGAGAACACATGGACACTTAGAGGGGAGCAACACAAACTGGGGCCTTTCAGAGGATGCAGGGTGGGAAGAGGGAGAGGATCAGGAAGAATAACTAACGAGTATTAGACTTAATACCTGAGTGATGTTCGTGACCAGCCTGGCCAACATGGTGAAACCCTGTCTCTATTAAAAATACACAAATTAGCCAGGCATGGTGGTGGGTGCCTGTAATCCCAGCTACTCGGGAGGCTGAGACAGGAGAATCACTTGAACCTGGGAGGCAGAGGTTGTAGTGAGCCCACATCAAGCCACTGCACTCCAGCCTGGGCAACAGAGTAAGACTCCATCTAAAATAATAACAATAATAATAAATACATAGAATAAACCTGGGTAATGAAATAATCTGTTCAAAAACCCCCGTGACACATGTTTACCTATGTAACAAACCTGCACATGTACCCCTGAACTTAAAATGCAAGTATAAAAAGGCAGGGTGCAGTGGCTCATGCCTGTAATCCCAACACTTTGGGAAGCTGAGGTGGGTGGATCATCTGAGGTCAGGAGTTCGAGACTGGCCTGGCCAACATGGCAAAATCCTGTCTCTACTAAAAATACAAAAACTAGCTGGGCATGGTGGCACGTGCCTGTAATCCCAGCTACTGGGGGTGCTGAGGCAGGAGAAATGCTTGAACCTGGGAGATGGAGGTTGCAGTGAGCTGAGATTGTGCCACTGCACTCCAGCCTGGGTAACAGAGCGAGGTTCCGTCTCAAAAAAAAAAAAAAAAGGGAAAAAAAGAATATTTAAAAAAGAGAAAATATAAAAGACAAACAAAAAACACACAGAAAATTCTAGGCTTCCATTAAGGAATACTGGAAGGATAGATTGTAGTTGCGCCACCAGAAATGACTTCTTCAATCAAGATCCACAGGGGACCTGCTCTACTGAGACAGCTGCTGCGCTTGAGAGTGTCTGTGACGCAGGATGAGGAATCCGAGGCTGATGCCACTGCTGCCTCTGACAGAACTTCCCGTGAAAGCAAAAGAAGCAAAGAAAAAGACATTCAATGATTGAAGCAGAAAATCTTCAAATTTCCATATTCTTTTTAGAAAAAACATCGAAAAAAGACAAGAAAATGGTTTTGGCTTGACTTTCACTTTCCACATCTCACTCAAATGCATTTAATCTGAGGAATCTGATGTGTATCAAGGACCCTAGAGCAATAGATAAATGTTGTTTAGTTTCCCCAGATCTCAGTTAGAGATGCGTTGGAATCTAGGTTGAACAAACTAGTCGACAATATTTAACAGGGCCCAACAGTGAGAACTGCCACGTTTAGATCAGGAACAAGGAAACCTATGGACAGATGTGTTGTTAATGAGAGTTGTAAGCAGTAAACATTTGGCTCAATTCTCATAATGTGTATTTATATATCATACCTCATAAAACTCATAAAGAGGATGATTCTGATTCCCCCAGAATGAAGTTTATGATACTTATTGTCCTCTTTTGTTTAATATTCTTAAATCATGAAAATAAATGGCAGCTAGTTCATGTCCAAAGTGATTTTGATATTGAGTTGTACACATTATGGTAATGCATTTTTCTTTTCTAATAAAGCCTTATATTATCGTCAATTAATCAATAATTGTATATGACTTATTAATATATCTGTATTTTAGACATAGCAAGACCTAGCTGACTTTTTTAACAGGATGGTATGGAAGACCCAGTTCACTCCGAGTAAGAAAGCATCATGTCTTCTCTTTGAGAAAACTGGGCCAAACTGAGGATGCTGGCCACGTGACCTACTCATGACTGCTAAGCAACAGAATGGCTGATATGACAGATTTGTTAATATAGATTCTGGTGTAAGCATATCTCTTTCCCTTTTTTGTATTTTGTTGTTTTTATCAGTACTGTATTTTCAATGAAGAAGAAGTTCATAAGGAAAAAATGAAAAATATAACTCTAAGCTAATTGGCTTTGAAGCTTTGGGGGATTCATTTTATTATGGAAGATCAACTGGAAGATAAATGCACATACACAGCATGAAAAATATCGACCCCACAGAAACCACAGGAGAAAGCTCAATTGGCTGGCAATGCTATCTGATTCAAAAGTGTATATACATAAACTAACTTGCATTGTGTTTGTTTTATTTATACTTGTTTATCTCTTCCAAGCAAGGACTTACTGATTACTTGAAAAAGAAGTCAATTAAAGGGGAAAGGCTAAGATAAGAGAAGAAGCTGTTTTTAAAAAATACCTTTCTGATATCTTATTTAGAGGTTTTCATTGTGTGGTAAATTATTTTGTTAAATTTTATATTTTAACTTATGCTTGCAAGTTTTTTATTATTTAATACTTTAGCCCCTTTAATTCTTGCCTAAAAATATTTATTCCTCAAGCATTAATGAGAGAAGAATCTCTTCCATCTAGGCAATAAGGAAAATAAAGTGGCTACATATTAGAGTCGAGTTTTCAACTCTTGTCTGGCCTTTTGTGTAAGAACAGTTGGCACTTAAGAACACCTTTTCAAGGTGAAGTCCTCTAACTGCTTTTGTAAGCATGTGTGGGGTCATGAATAACAATGGCTTCACAGGGAGAATACATCTTCACATCTGATGGAGCATCTCGGAGATTCACTCCATTCCCAAATCTCTCTGAACAATATATATTAATCTTCAGAAGTGATAACCTTAATAGAATATGGTGCAAAGTTTTAAATGTTATTTCTCATACTGTCTGATTTATTGAAAATAGGTAGTACTTCCAATGATATCACAAAACTAACAACCATCTGACCCCAACTACAGTTACAGAATATGACAGATACAAAATATTGTTATAATGAACCAGAAGAGGTATCTGGTTTTTGTTGCAGTAGAATTTAGATCTAAGGGGTACATAACTATAATTTGCATTTCTGGGACAAAAGAACTTGAGAACCAAAAGAGCTAAACATTTGCACATCGAGTTTGTATCCTGAGACTTTGCCGAAGTTGCTTATCAGCTTAAGAAGCTTTTGGGCTGAGACAATGGAGTTTTCTAGATATAGGATCATATCATCTGCAAACTGGGAAAGTTTGACTTCCTCTCTTCCTATTCAAATCGCCTTTATTTCTTTCAATCGCCTGATTTTGCTTTTGAAATTAGCAATGGAGAAAAATGCTTCAGCAAAGTTAGCGCAATGATTTGACAAGACTCACAAATATCCCAAAGATCTACTCATAAGCTTCTAATACGTGTAAAGAGTATAGAAGAGCAGGAGAAAGAAATCACTGTCAATAACTGATCATAGAGAGGTTTGAATATTTCCAGCCACAGCCCTGTAATGTTCTTCCTTATTCAGATAGGATGTAGTTCATCTTTGGTTATGAATCCCTAAGGTTGGTCTGAGATGTCGTAGTGTTGGCAGAGCCTAAGCACAAGTTTACAGGGGGACTTATATACCCCAGACCACATAGGGAAAGACAGGGTGTATGACAAGTTAAAGCAGGCACAAGCTATCAATCTGTGCTGTCTTTTCCAAACCCTATAAAAACACATAACCAAGCCTTCATCTCTATTGCTTTTGTATTCTTACTTCTCTTGTTTTGATTCCTAATGTTTGTGGTTCTGGATTCCGGATTCCTTATCTGACTTCTATTCTCAAACTCATTTACACCTTTGATTCTTTTTTCTCATCTACACTGGCTATTATAATGATTTGGTACAGAAAATAAGAAAATGAAAGACATAAAACTTTATCTACATCTTTTCTGTCTGTGTTTTAGTCCATTTGTGCTGCTATAACAGAATACCTGAGATTGGGTAATTTATAATTAATAAAATCATCATTGGCTTATGATCCTGGAGACTGGGAAGTCCAAGATTGAGGAACTGGCTTCTGGCAAGGGCCTTCTTGCTGTGTCATGTCATGGCAGGTGGCAGAAAGGCAAGAGAGGGCAAGAGAGTAAGAGGGGGCCATATTCTTTCTTTTATAAAGGCACTGATCCCACCTCTAAGAGTGGAGGCTTCATGGCCTAATCACTTCTTGAAGGTCCTACATCATAACACTCTTACAATAGCAATTGAATTTTAACATGAGTTTTGGAGGGAACAAACATTCAAGCCATAGCAACCTGCAAAATTTTTATGTTATACTTGGTGGCTCATTTGTAAGTTAAAGTTCATAGGACGGAGATTTGGGAGTAAGGAATTTAAATGAGTTCCTTGGGAAGGAGATGAGAATAATTGCTTTAAATGTCATATAGATGTGGAGTATTCACTTTAAATTCATTAATTATATATAGAAACCACGTTATGGGTTAATGACATTCACTGTAAAGATTCTATCTGCATTTATATTTTTATATTCACAACTTTTGGAATATTACCCATAAGAGATCTTATGGGTAATATTAGATCCCTTAGACTTAAATGTAGACAGCCTGTGCCGACATTTGCCACATAATATGTGCAAGTACATTTTACTATAATGTCATTGTGTTTGTCTGGATTAGAGCAGGATTTTCCTGTTACTATAGTGGCCCTCACACTCTGCTGTAGTGTGGGTGACTGATTCTCTCCCACTTGCCTTCCTTACAAAGGCTGATTTGACTGAATCTCTTGACCTAGGCTTCCTTTTTGAAGTTGCCAGAATGGACCTCATTGGCTTTTTCAGAAAGTTTAATGTCCTGATGAAGTTCAATATCTCTCAAGGATATTCTATAGAAATCAAGTTCTGTAATAAAGTCTTTATCAGTGTAATCAGGACACATCTAACAAATGTTGGCCAGGGACTGTGGCTTAAACCTGTAATCCCAGAACTTTGGGAGGCCAAGACAGGAGGATCACTTGAGGCCAGGAGTTTAAGCACGGATAGCAGAGTGAGACCTTGTTTCTACAAAAAATTTAAAAATTAGCTGGATATGACAGCATGCACCTGTAGTCCCAGATACTCAGGAGGCTGAGGCGGGAGGATTGCTTGAGCTCAGGGGCTCAAGACTGCAGTGACCTACGATTGCACCACTGCACTCCAGCTTAGGCTACAGAGCAAGAGATCCTGTCTCCAACAAATAAATAAATAAATATGAATAAACAAATAATAATAATAAAATTAACATTTATTAAGTACTTACCATGTGCCAAGTTCTGTACTAAACAATTTACATGTATGGACTCATACAATCCTGAATAATTTTATGAGGAAAAACTGTTATAATTCCCATTTTATAGATGGGGAAACTGAAACAGAGGAAGGTTTAGTAATTTGCCCAAGTGCACACAGTAGGAAAAGACTGAACTGGTATTTAAATAGATATATTAGTGAGAAAGTCCCAGAGTTAACATAAAGTGAATCACAACAAAGCAAGAAAACCTGTAATAATAATTATCAAAAAGCTTCTTTTTTAAACCATTGTTCTTCATACTTGTCCATGGACTGTGCATTTTGAGGTAACACCCATCACTACAGTGTACGCTTTGGGAAATGCTTCATTAATTCAGTTAGATCCTCTATGACTGTACTTCCAGACCTCAGCTCTGAAGTTCCAGAGTCCTTTAGGAGCCTTGACTAAATAGGTCTGAAATTTTCCAGGGAGGGGTTTCAAGATATTCCATCACATTTACTTTAGAAATCCACAAAGTGATGGGAATAAGCTAAAGGTGTCTCATTCAATTTCCACTGTTACTGAAGGCGTGTTCTGCAAAGGCAGGAATTTTTGTGGGTTTCATTCTCTTTTATATCTCTGACAGAATCATGCTTAGAACATAGTGGGTAGTCAAAAGATATTTGATAAATAAGTGCATTAAATAGCCATCATAGATCATAACCTGATTATATACCAGATTTGCCTTGAACCCTGAAGTTTAGAAGAGAATGGCAAGGGAGAACAGAAACGGATTTCAAAGGTCTGTCCTCTGCATTCCCCATTCCACTTGTTCTCACTGCTATTCTTATTCCACAACTCTCAAGAAAATTAAGATGTTTGTCCCAGTGGACTGGAAATGTTTGGTATCTAGTTTCCTATAAGGACAAGGAAAATATTTTCACTCACGAATTCAGATAATGATACTTTTTGAAGGTTACTATGTGGTAGCCATTGGACATTTGGTAATGAACAAAATACCATGTAAGTAAGCACTTGCGTAATAATTACTATGGTCCTTTTATAAATGATGCATGTATATTTATATATATTCTCATATACATATTATATACACACAGTATGTGACAAGATATGTGATAGGCACCATGAAGTGTTTCACAGTATCATTACTAAACGTAATTTTTCCAAAGATATACACTATGTGTATATATGTCATATATAAAAATGTGTATATATGTCATATATAAAAATGTGTATATAAAAACAATATGTACATATACTCACTGAACCATCATCACACTTTACATATGAGAAAAATAGAGCCAAAAAGTTAGCAGAGGGCCATTATGAGCCTAATTAGCCATTGTCTACAAGCCAAATTTTTACAGTAAGCTATGGTCCCCACTTCAACTTTAGTGGAAATGAGAGACATCTACTCACACAAATGCCTACCAAATCCCACAAATGTGACAGGTGCTGTGACAGAGCAGCAGAGGGTGTTATGAGAGACGGCAGTGGAGGGAAAGTCAGAATGGGACTCTGATGAAATGACATTTAAGCTGAGACCTGAAAGGAGGGGAGTGGTTGGCCAAGAAAGGGCGGGGAAGGCATTCTAGATAAAGGAAACTGTGCAAGGCCGAGGCAGAGCAGGTGCACGCAGCCTTATACTGTTGAAGGAACTGGAGGAAGTGCATCGCAGTGAGAGCTTAGGAGTTGGGTGCAGGGCAGGGAAAAGGAACGCAGGACACAGCAAGAAGAGGCTGGAGAGTGGGGTCAGAGGGGCATATCACGTCCACAATGTAAACCATGCAAAATTTTACACACTTTTAATTTCAATAGGAAGTCACTGGAAGATTTTAGCAAGGATGTGACATTATCCTATTTATGTTTTGGAAATGTTAGTCTGCTTTTTGCACTTCCATAGCAATAGATAGTCATGATAATACATAGCACATTTATAAAAGAATATTTATTCTTTTAACAGATGTTTTCTTGATTACTTCAACTAGCTCATTTGTATCACAGATACCATGTGGACAACAGAAACCATATTTACATTTAAAAGTATTTAAAATGAAAATGTTTTGCTGTAAATAAATATGATATGTAAAAGAAGCAAATTTAGAAACTGTGTGTTACTAGGAAGAAAAGGAAAAGACGTGACAGAGACACTATTAAGTGCTTCACAGTATCGCTGATGGAAGTTATCAAAAGGAACCTTTTTAAAGCTACACAATGCTCATTGGCTATGTAAATGTTAAAAAACATGTATTTAGATATTTAGGACAATATTTACTATGAGGACTTCTCATGCAGTGAAATGCAGATGTAAACTTTTATTAATACATAATTATATGATAGAATTAATAAACTCTTTACTATTTCATGTGTATTTAAAATATTATGAATTAAAAGGCAAAAAAGCAACAACGTTTTAATAAAATTTAGTCAAAAAGGAGGCTTACTTTGTCCTGTATAACGAAGAGCTAAGACTAATAGGTTTGCATTGATAATGTATGTTCTTTGCAAAACTACCATCTAGAAAAAAGAACTTAGCTACCTTTAGGGTGCCCAACGTTTGTATCTTATATAAACAAGCTGTCGTTTAGAATCAGAAGTAAAATCCATGGCCTATGGCACTGGTTAAAAGCAGACACTCTTGCTCTAACAGCTCCAACCTGGGCTGGTTGGAGATTGGCAGGAACTCAGCGGGAAACATCCAGAGCGGGCTCACGGTCCAGCAGCGCTCCCAGGAGGGCGATGGCAGAATAGCAGCCTGTTAGGCGGCGGGAGGAAGGCGAGGCACCAGTTACTGATACGTATGTCTGAGAGCGAGTCTGAAGGAGAGGAAAGACTGCAGAAGGCATGGAGGTGACAGGTTAGACAGCAAGAGAAATGGCATAATGCAGAGCCGGTTAATGACTCTGGCAGCTTTCCACCTCTGAGAATGTTACAATTGGTGAGGGAGGATGGCACATGTGAATTATCTCTTGGTAAGAGGGAAATCCTTGACTTGAAAGACCTGAATGTTCTTGTCTATCAGGACACAATGAAATATTTAGATTCTGGGATAACAATGTACTAATGCTAGTTTTCTAGAGGTTATGTTATTGAATCTGTTGCCTGTCAAATTTGAGAATACAAATGAAAAAAAATACCTGATTAATAAAGCCTAGAATATGTGCTAGTGATTGCAACATTCTGGTGAAAGGTTGTTCCGTTGGTTATTTGCCATTGATAAATTTTGGGTACAGCCAAATCATCACTGGACTCTCAGTAAATTGTACAAGAAATTGTTGGTTCATATTTTTAGGTGACCTAAAAATGCATAATATTCAAAATATAAGTGGAAAATATTAGTCAGCCAGATACCTCTTCTTTTTAATTATGCAAACGCAATTATTCTTTTAAAAAGAGCTGGAAAAGAGATGCCACTGTAGTGTTGGAGATCCTGCAGATATAAATTAGGAGTGAGCAGGGGTGGGGACAATTTTGGTTTAGCAATAAAAGGCATTTAGTAACACATCCAAGCTATGACAAGGCAGTGTAGAGAGGTGTGCTGAATTCTTCTTTGGCTCAAGGTTTCTCGGATTTTAGGTTTTCTGCCATTCACTGTGTTTAGGCAACTTGATTAGTACATCTTGATAGTAACAGTACATGTCTCTCAGTTTTAGTGTGAGTATTGGCTGGGCACGGCGGCTCACACCTGCAATCCCAGCACTTTGGGAGGCTGAGGCAGCAGGATTGCTTGAGCTTAGGAGTTCAAGACCAGCCTGGGCAACATAGAGAGACACTGTCTCTGCATTAAAAAAAAAAAAGGAAAAGAAAGTGGAGTGTTCTAATATGACTCATGTAAAAGCTGTTAAGATAAAAAAAATCAGAACCAGTTTGTTTTTTTCACTTACAAGCCTTATCAGAAATTGAATTTAGTTTCAAAGATGAATTATTCTCATTTAAGTAGTTGTGTAACTGTGCATAATGTCGTAACTATTTGATAGCTAAAGACTAATATTTTATGAAACACATACCTCTATGCCAGGCATGAGGCACCGTGTCAGTAAAATAGACTTGGTCTTTCCCCTTCATAGAGCCTAGAGGATAATTTATTAATCTTAGAGGATAATGTATTCATCAAATTAACCATGATGTGGTTAATTTGTAGCTTGTGTTAGAATACAAAGAAAAAAGAACAGTTCAGAATGTTTAAAAAGGATTGGCTTTGGGTAGAGAGTTCGATACCCGCACTTTAAGCCAGGCAGCTGCAGAATGGGGAGACCTTGGTGGTAACTAAAATGGAGCCATAGTAGGTAAGGATGGAGAGGATATGGGTGAAAATCCTATGCCAGGCACTGAGCATGAACACATGCATGATTAATTTCCGTGCAGTCTGATGAAGTAGATATTCTTACTATCTACATTCAATACTCAGGGAATTTGAGGTTGAGGCGCAATTAAACAAATTGCCCAAAGTCCCACAACTAGTAAGTGCATATTTTAATATTTCTCATTGCATACAAAATTAGACAATGGAAGATTTTTAGAAAGAAAGGATTAAAACTACTAGGGCTTTAATACACACAAATAGATATTAGTAAAAATGCAGAGATGCCCAAGATAGGCATTATAATGAGACTCAACAATTGTGACCCCCTCACTCTTCTCTGTATACATTTATTGCTATCACAAACCTCCCCAATATTTTCCTGCTCATGTTCCTTCTAGAAAGAAGTCTTGGCCGGCTACAGTGGCGCATGCCTGTAATCCCAGCCCTTTGGGAGACTGAGGCAGGCAGATCGCTTGAGGTCAGGTGTTCGAGACCAGGCTGGCCAACATGGTGAGACCCCGTCTCTACTAAAAATACAAAAAATTAGCCGGGCATCATGGTGCATACCTGTAATCCTAGCTATTTGGGAGGCTGAGGCAGGAGAATCACTTGAACTTGGGAGGCGGAGGTTGCAGGGAGCCGAGACTGCGCCACTGCACTCTGCACTCTAGCCTGGAAAACAGAGTAAGACTTCGCCTCAAAAAAAAAAAAAAAAAAAAAAAAAAAAAAAGAAGAAAGAAAGAAAGAAATCTGCAGAATATAATAATGATTAGACATGAACCTGCAAGGTTAAAGTATCTATCAGGAACAATTTCCTGTTTTTTTGTTTTGCTTTGCTTTTTTTTTTTTTTTTTTGTCTCTTTCGGCCAGGTGCGGTGGCTCACGCCTGTAATCCTAGCACTTTGGGAGGCCGAGTTGGGCCAATCACCTGAGCTCAGGAGATGGAGACCAGACTGGCCAACATGGTGAAACCCCGTCTTTACTAAAAATACAAAAATTAGCCGGGCATAGTGGCGGGCGCCCGTAGTCCCAGCTACTCCAGAGGCTGAGGTGGGAGAATCGCTTGAACCTGGGAGGCGGAGGTTGCAGTAGCCCGGATCGCACCACTGCTCTCCAGCCTGGGCTACAGAGCGAGACTCCGTCTCAAAACAAAAATAAAAACAAAAACAAAAACAAAACAAAAAAAATCTTAGCAGGAAGCAAATGAAAGGTCAAAGCAGATTATTGCAGTCAGTGGGCACTCAACTAAGGGAAGCTTATAAAATGAAAACAGAAAAAAATCCAAAAAGGCTTCGCCTCCTTCCTTTCATAATAAAATGCTGACACAACCTTAATTATACTGTTATAAACAGTGCTGTTGGACCACTGCTTCACCATATGGGACTGAGAACTATAAATATGTTAGATATTGGTTCTTAGGAAGGGAAAATATAGAATATATCCTTTGTACGAATCATATTTTTATGAGGCTGCTGAAGAGTAGCTGAGTGTTGAATCAAATCACGAATTCTCAAGGCCATCATAATCAGAGTAGGCAAAGTATATATTTGCTCAGGGAAACATCTGTTAAGAAATTTCTCCTGAGTCTCATCAGTAGTTGGCAAGCTTTACTGCTTTAGCTATGTTTTCATTATTGGCCTGTCTGCAGAATAGTTTACACTGGTTGTCCTTGTATCATTAATTCACCGGTAAAGAAATAACCTTTTTAATGGCCCGCCTTTGTTGATAATGCTCACAACAAAATTTAAATTTTAAATAGTCACTCAGTGATTTGTATTTTATTCAGTTGTGCTCTTGAATTTTATGTACATGCACAGAGCTCTGAAAAAGGATAAAAATAGTAAGTTATGAACTGATTGTGAATCATCCATGGTGTTTACAGTTCAGTTGCTTTTGGAGCATTGCAGAAGTTGTGTCTTTAACTAATAATGCTTGGTTCGTAGGAGTCACACCATTACTTCTAATACTTCTCAGTGAAATTATTGAAATCAGCGACATAAAATATACATGGACTTTTTTTTTTAGTTCGAGTAGAGGTACCTTCCAGCAAAATATGCTTTCATCAAACTATCAAATTGATAATAGGAAACAAAACATTTTCTGGAAAAAGAAAAAGACAACCAGAAAATCATCTTTTTTGATACAGTTATCTCATAGGTATCTGTTAGCAGTGGCATGAATAAAATATTTCATAAACTTTTTGGACATAATTACCATTAAAACATACTGGCCAGCATCATATTATTTTCTCTCTAGATTTCCATTTAGTGCTTTCCGTGTGTCACAGAGTCAATGTAAAGCTACCTGGATAAACCCATTAATGAATTGTTGCATAATGTTTTGTAGTTGCTTTGCAAGTGAATTATTTTTGCTGTGGTACTGCTAATACAGCAACCTCTATGCCGTCTATGATTACTAATACGGAATAATAAAAAATTGTAACTTGGTCCAACATTTTCTCTGGTCAAAATGTTGATATAACTTGGCTAAAAATAAGCATGGAGAAAAACACAAGCACTATTTTGTGGTGTGTGAGATCGACCTGCAGTTGTTAACGCTGTTATTAAGTTTCAGTGACTGTTTAGGTCATCAATCTCTGACAAGAACCTTTCAGAGTGCTTGATGATATTGCAAGTAGCAAGCTGTGCTGCATTAAAAGATGATGAATCTCTGTTCAGGTAAAGCTTTGCCCTTTGGCTATCATAATGTATCACCACTTTGTTTACAAATGGGTATTCACTACGCTAAATGGCAACAGAGTGCATGCGATTTTATAAATACGAAACGTTGGCACTAGCTAATATCTGAACATCTAGTTGAAAGTGCAGTTGGAAGTCTAGGGAAAATAATCATAGTTACTTACAAGATAAATAATTTTGTAAATTAAAATTGTTGGGATTCAGCTATTTAAATGATTACAAGTTATGTTTTAAAATAACATGTTTCTATAGAATAACTCAATTTTAACCCTTGGTTTTCTCTTAAAAAAGTCTTTCCATTTTTTACCTAAACATAAATGTGGAAGCATCATACATAAATTTGATAATTTATCAATTTCAAAGGAATCTCTAATCTTTGCTATTAGATTCATGGAGCCACCAGCCACATTTTGTCCAGGTTAGTATTGTTTTAGACAAGAGTCTTATTTTTGGTAGGAAAATTATTTTCTGAACGCAGCAAAATGGAAATGACTTTATCTCTTCTTTTACTGATTGGTTTAAATGCAGCGAAGTGTTACTCCCTTGTATCCTTGCTTATTAATCAAAGGTGACATTTTACAGGCGTGTAGGAGGAAAACCATGTAGTGTTTACCGTAACAACTCCTTTTGTTTTTGAGAGAATGTCTCACTCTGTCACCCTGCTGGAGTGCAGTGCTGTGATCATGGCTCACTGCAGCCTTGATGTCCCAGGCTCGAGTGATCCTCCCACTTCAGCCTCCTGAGTAGCTGGGACTACAGGTGCACACCACCACGCCACGCTAATGTTTTGTATTTTTTTGTAGAGACAGGGTTTCACTACGTTTCCCAGGCTGGTCTCAAATTCCTGGGCTCAAAGTGAGCCACCTGCCTCAGCCTCCCAAAGTGCTGGTATTACAGGTATGAGCCACCATGCTCGGCCTAAAGTCATAAAATATTACAGAAAGTATTGTACCTTGGCTACCCTTCCCTGGTTACCTTCCTTCCCTCCATTCATATCCTGATACATTCATATCATTAGAGCATTTATTAATTTCACATATACATTTGAACTATTACTGTATAATTTATCCATAAATATAATGTAACATTTTGTATATTTTCAGTGTTTTTAAAAATATGATGAGAATATGTGTATTATTATTTAATTTGCATTTATTTGCTCAGTATTCTATTTTTGAGTTTTCACCATGTTAATGCGTAGATCCCTGATTCATTCCTTTTAAGTGCCGTGTATTAAGCTGTTGATGGAGTATACCACAGTTCATTATCCATTCTTTTTTTTCTGATGAGCTGTTAGGCCTGTGTCCAATGTTTCACATTACAAACACCATATTTTAATATCCCACCATCTGTCTGCTTATGCACGTGTGCTCCGTTTCTCTAGGAGAGTATGCACCTGGAAGTTTAAATGTTGTGCGTATCTACAGCTTCACTGGGACATTGCTCTATTTCCCTCCAGGGTATTTTTAATAGATTTATCTTTTCATCAAAGTGTGCAAGTTTTCTATTTTTCCACAACCTCGTCAATGATATTATAAAATATTTTTAAGTTTTATTAATCCGATGGATATGTTTTTCACTATTGCATTCTTTTTCATTTCCCTACTTAAAAATGAAATTATCTTTTCATACATTTATTGAGCATTTGGCTTCATCACTGAATTATTTATATCCTTTTAAAATTTCTTTTTTTGCCTATTTTCTTATTAATTAGTAGGAATTCTTTATATATTATTGTATCTAATTCATTTGTTAGTTACATGAATTGCCAGTAACTTCTCCAATTGGTGGCTAGTCTTTTTACTTGTGAGCTGGACTTTCTGCCTGGGAGTCCTGCCTCTCTTTCTTCTCCTGTGACAACCCTATGCATTTCAGGTCTAGCTTAAATTCCATGTCATTTATTAATTACCCTCCTCTCCTCATGGAGTTATAAAATATTTTTTCTCAAATCAATGAATCTAAGCCCTTTATTTGACAAATGGGGGAAAAGGGACTAAGAGAGTTGAATCAAGATTATGAAATGTGACATTTGATATTCTGTTCTGACTTTTAATTTCAACATACTTGTAAAATATAACTATTAAATATTGCTTATAATAACTTTCTGTCTATGAAGGTTTAGAATTCTTTTTTGTATTGGGATTGTTTTTTATAGTGTGCAACTTTTAGATCTGAAAGGAAATGCAGTGCTGAAATGCACCATGTATTAATTGTGGTTGTAATGTTAATCCTCAATTTAGAAGATTAAAATTGTAGAGTGAATGGACATTATTCTCAAAATGAGTTTTTTTTTGTTTTTGTTTTTGTTTTTTTTTTTTTTTTGAGATGGAGTCTTGCTCTGTCACCCAGGCTGGAGTGCAGTGGCATGATCTCGGCTCACTGCAACCTCTGCCTCCTGGGTTCAAGCGATTCTCCTGCCTCAGCCTCCTGAGTAGCTGGGACTACAGGTGCGTGCCACCACACCCAACTAATTTTTGTATTTTTAGTAGAGACGGGATTTCACCGTGTTAGCCAGGATGGTCTTGATCTCCTGATCTTGTGATCTGCCCGCCTCGGCCTCCCAAAGTGCTGGGATTACAGGCATGAGTCACTATGCCCGGCCAGTAAGTTTTTTATAAATACAAGGTGCTAATAGATGTTATATACCTGTATTTGCATTGTTTTAGTTTCATATAATAATCTAGCATAAATCCCTGTAACATCCAATTTAAGAAGAAAAACTTAGGTAAAATGCATCCCAACTCTAAAGACTTAGTTTACATTATTCATCACTAGTCCCACTAAAATAATAAATAATACAGCCTAGTCTTTATGAAGACTAGAAAGATTTAAGTGACTGAAAAATTAGCAGTTTTTTGCATTAGGATGTATAAAGCTTTATGTCTAAGCATCTTGAAATGCTGACAAAGAAACTTTTTTTGGCAAGAAAAAGTGCTGTATGGTAATTTTTACATTTTTAAAGAATGAGTAACAAGTAAGGTTTTTAAAAATTTAAATCTCATCAGACTAGCATAGAAATTTAGAGCTCAAAGAGACCTTCGAAATAATCAAATCCAATGTTTTCACAAGTAATGAAACTGAATTCTAAGAAAGTTAACGAACTTCTCTTAGAAAGCACAGCAAATTAGCCAGAATCAGAACTACAATTGAGATCTGCTGTTTCCTGTCAAGCCTCCCACTAAGCGGGCTGTGTCTCTAGACATCACGCATGCTGAGAATGGATTTTTAAAAATATGAGATGGTTACTTTTATTACAAGATTCATTCTACACGAAAGCTTATGGATCCTTTGCTCAATTTGTAGGATGGAACGGAGTGTTTGGCATCTCCACTTCATCTTTCGTAAAGGCTGAATGAACTCTTTGCTGCCACTTATTGAAGATAAAAGGAGGCAGAATTACCCTTAAGTAAATACTTTGGCCTCAGTATTTCCTCCACTTTGTACATTAATAAAAATCCCTTTCTTTCACCCTGTCATTTGACTGTCATTGTCAATCTACATAGAATGTTTCTTCATGAGAGGGCTTATTCATTCAACAAGATTTTATGAACCATCTGCTACTGACCAGAAACTGTGGTAGTCACTGGAGTGCCAAGTAAGATAAGTGGCCATGGAGTGCCATGGCATTCTTGTAGCACACATATTGTAGTAAAAGTAATCTTCACATACTGTTTAAAATATATTTATTGCAAATGTAATGTGAAGGGACACAGGGTAATCAATAGAGTAAAAAGGCAAAAAAATCTTAAAATGAGAACAGAAAAGTACTGATTGGTTGGGCAAAATGAAAGCCATTGATGACTTTAGTGATTTGAAGAGTGAGGTGAAAATCTGGAGTAACTTCTGAGAAAGTGACGATGGCAGCATTGAGTACCCAGCTGAAGGTGGACTGAAGCTGGATGGCAGTTGATCATTTTGCACAAAGTAAAGTGGCCTAGGGATTGGAGGTCTCGCTGAAGATGAAGAGCGGCTGGAATGGCAGTAAGAAAGTGAATGAGGCCGGGCGCGGTGGCTCACGCCTGTAATCACAGCACTTTGGGAGGCCGAGGCGGGTGGATCACGAGGTCAGGAGATCAAGACCACCTTGGCTAACACAGTGAAACCCCATCTCTACTAAAAATACAAAAAATTAGCCGGGCGTGGTGGCACACGCCTGTTAGCTCAGCTCCTTGGGAGGTTGAGTCAGGAGAATTGCTTGAACTCGGGAGGTGAAGGTTGCAGTGAGCTGAGATGGCGCCACTGCACTCCAGCCTGGGCTACAGAGCAAGACTCCATCTCAAAAAAAAAAAAAAAATGTGAATGACTTTGAAGGACTGATTTGGTCAGAGGATGCCATTATGGAATTTGGATTTCAGAGATGATAAAATGCAAGAGATGTAGGGTTCAGGGTTCTCCAGAGAAACAGAAACAATAGGATATTGATGTATCTGTCTATCTGCCTATTCATCTAGAGAGAGAGGCGGGGAGAGAGATGCTGTGCTATGGACTAGATTGTGCCCACTTCCCTTGATTCAGATGTTGACGCCCTAACCTTCTATGTGGTGGTATTTGTAGTTGGGTCCTTTGGTAGGTAATTAGGTTTAGATGAGGTCGTGAAGGTGGAGTCCTCTTGATGGGATTAAGAGCTCTTCCAAGACGGAACACCAGAGAGGCTGCTCTCTCTCCTCCTTGTGATGAGACAGTGAGAAGGTGCCATGTGCAAACCAGGAAGAGAACCCTCACCAAGAATTGACCTCTTCCAGAGCTTTGATATTGGACTTTCCAGTCTCCAAATCTATGTGAAAATAAATTTCAATTATTTAAGCCACCCAATCTATGGTATTTGTATTGGCAGCCTGATGAGACTAACACACACACACACACACACACACACACACACACCTTAAGGACCTGGCTTCTGTGATTGTGGAGTATTAGAAGTTTGAAATCTGTACGGTGGACCAGCAGGCTGGAAACTAAGTTGGGAACTGATACTGCAGTCTTGAGTTTGAAATCCACAGGGCAAGGAGGTGGGCTAGAAACTCAGGAGAGATTTGATGCAGCAGCTTGGAGGCAGAATCCTGGGATGGGCTGTGGAAATGAAGACAAAGTACCTGTCATTGGAGTTGAGGATGAGCACATGCAGAGCTAGGCTATTGGTTGATTCATGTGCAGAAGTCAGCTATTTGGTGCTGACAGTAGATATCTGACGTAATTAATATATACTCTTCTCATTCTTAGGACACACATTCAGAATTCTTTTTGCATTTTATCTCTTCAGTGGCCCAAATGTAACAAGAAGATTGCACAAATGGCCAGGCATGGTGGCCCAAACATGTATTCCTGATACTTTGGGAGGCCAAGGAAGGAGGTTTGCTTGATGCCAGGAGTTTGAGATCAGTCTAGGCAACATAGCAAGACTCTGTCTCTACAAAACAATCATACACACACAAAAATTAGCCATGGACAGTGGCTTGTGCCTTTAATCCTAGCTACTCGGGAGGCTGAGGTAGGATTGCTTGAGCCCATGAGGTCAAGCAGCACCTTGTTTCAAAAAAAAAGATTGCTTAGTTTGTGATATTTTCAATGTGTCCTCAGTTTAGGGACTTTGCTATAATTTTTCACTTGCAATTATAATATTTAATATTTTTATAACTTTTAAATTGTGGCCTAATAGTAGACTGTTTCATAAAAAACACATTTATTACTGCTATTACTACTATTATTTCAAAGTTATGAGTAGTTAGGAAATAATATCATTGCATTACATGTGGTTAGCCTCATATTCCAATTATCTTCTCCTGATTTTAAAGAGGATTAGGCTTTATTATCTATATTAAAAAATCCCAGAGACAAAAGCAATGCACAGATGGCTATGCAGAGGGAGCCCCTGCTTTGTATTTGCAAATTCATAGATACAGCATATGCATTCATTTGCAGCTCAAACATAATTAATCTAGGTGGAAGCCATTCATTTGTATCACAGTAATGTTGTTCCAGATTTAAACACAGAAAGACTGCTGGATCTGATCCCAGGTTTACAATAGCCTTACTTGAGAAAAATGTAATAGTTAATCCAACAGCAATACTGATATAAAAATTGAGTGCAAACATCTTATTTGTAACAAAAATATAAAGTTGAATTGTTTCTAGAAAATTGAAAGAATGTGGTGTTACTATTAAATGGTGACTCTTATACAGTATAGGTTTTAATATAATATAGCAATTCAACCAATAAACAGTACCTTCCAATCAGCTCTATACTTGAGACAAGTCAGTTAGCTTTCATACAACAGGCACATTTTCACTTTACATATTATCTTATAAATACCGGCTTACAAGTTTGTGAAGTCAGAGGATTTTTTTCAAACATACCAACTGAATTACTGGCTAACATCATGGGCTAGCACTTTTACTCAATTAAAAAAAAAAGGAAAGAAAAAAGGGCTTTTATGTATTATGAAACTCTCATTCTGTGAAGAAAAAAAAATAACTATTCAGAGACTTTTGGTTGTAAATGAGTGTTAAAGGGAATCAGTAGGGATTTCCTCATCACAGTTCTTCACTCCAAGCCTGTATAACCTCCACCTTCTGTGAGCTCAAATGCATGAAGGGAGAGAAATGAAGTTACAGGCCAAACAAGGGTACATTTTGAATAGTTCCCATTCATCCTCCCATTTTATAGCTTTTAGATTACATTAATTACATAGCTTGCACCTATAAACAGTACTTGAAAAATTTCACTCCTCTCTCTATAGTGCTATTAATGAATTAGGCTTCTAATACTTAAAATGTATTTTAAAAGTTATATGTGCTGTGTGTATATATATGTATATATATTTTATTTTTATTTTTTATTTTTATTTTTATTTATTTATATTTTCTTTTGAGGCAGGGCCTTGGTCTTTTACCCAGGCTAGACTGCAGTGGCACCATCACAGCTTACTGCAGCCTTGACCTTCAGGCACAAATAATCCTTCCACCACAGCCTGTGAGTAGCTAGGACTACAGGTTCATATCACAATGCCTGGCTATCTTAAACAATTTTTTTTTTAATTTTTAGAAGAGACAAGGTCTCACTATGTTGCCCAGGCTGGTCTCAAACTCCTGAGCTCAAGCGATCCTCCTGCCTTGGCCTCCCAAAGTGCTGGGATTACAGGCATAAGCCACTGCACCTGGCTACACACTGCATTTATTGAAAACCTTCTGGTACATTGACAAAGTATATGTGAGTGCCTTCATAATCTCCCTTTGAAATTCTCTCACATTCATCAAGGAAATGACAAAATTAGCAGATTAATATATTTCATAAGTTACTGATTCAGTGCTCATAATCACCAGAGTAAAATATTAAGGAATGACTAAGTCAGGCCTTAAGGTTCCTTGTCATCTGATACTGTTACTTTCTAAATTCAGATTAATCTCTATTAATTGCTTTCTGACAGCATATTTTTTCTTTTATATTTATAAACTGTATTTCTGATAGATAAGCCAATGTAGATCAAGATGCATAAAGAAACACTAGAAATCTGGCTTCATTTTCTTTCATGTACAACTTAGCATTTTGAAAGCATCTGCCACATGTACCTCTGTGTCCCTTGTCAACATTTGGAGGTAGCCGGTGAGCACTGCCATTTCTTTTATTTAGTAAGTGTACTTGTGAGTATTTCAACATCTTCTCATCAAGCAAGTGTAAATGTTAAGAGTAGTTCTGCTGCTTCAAGTCACTGCGGAGTGGCTGTGAGTTGCAGGATTTATCTGGGTGAATATACCAAAGACTGTGTAGATGTTGTTGATAATTCTGCTCATGTTTTCTTTAAGAAAACATTCAAAGTTGGAAATACAAGTTCTAACATTTGATTTACTTGTGTTTCCAAGTTATTTGTTGAGCAATAGTCATCACATTTTATTTGTCCTTCCCTGTACCACATGTGCTTCTTCTTTATGAACAAAAAGTGCCACCTGCCTGCTCAGAGTTTGAAAAATCATTTCTCATTTCATAGTATTGAGCTGAGGGTGTTTTAAAAGATTTTATGATATTTATTTAAGTTATGATAGAGATTTGTGGATTGACTATGAATTGATCAAATCGACTACTATCTTCTAAAAGGGACTCATGCCACGGTAGTTATCCTTCATTTCTTTCTCATTATGTTCTTATTTTTTTTGTGCGGGTGGCCATCAAAGATTGTTTATTTTGTAGTAGTGGTAATGCTGCTTTAGCTTGTATAGCAATAACATTATTTAAAGAGATATCTAATGAGGTGACGTGGAAAGGGAACCATAATTTGGTTCAGGTTATGAGTGAGGAAACTGCAGAGTTTCTCTAAAATATTGCCAGAAGTAACGTGGTGAAGTGGTCCTCATGCAAAACCATTCATTATAGGTGTGCAGGCATTAACTCAGTTTAGTTCACATATCAGTAAGAACTACTAAAATGGTAGGTGACAAAATTCAACTCAAATCAGCTTAATCAGAAATGGAAAAGGAATGTTTTACATGCCTGGAAAGTCCAGATGTAGAGAGGTTTCAGGGATGACTGGATACAGATTTAGCAAGGTCAGCTGACCTTGTTCTATTTCCGTGTCCATTTCTAGGCCCTGCTTTTCACATGGTGGCTTCATTTTCAGGCTCTGCATCAGGTCCTTCAGAATACCAGGCTCACATCACTCTCACTGAGAGCAGTTACTTCATCAGAAAATAGCATATCTCTTTCCTATAGTACCCTTACACAATTCTCAGTTTGGCTTTAATTGGCATGAATTGGCTGACAAATTTATTCCTGAACTAATCTCTGTGGGTGGGGGCTTTGAGACATTTACACCAAGGCCACCCGTCCTCGTCTGGTTCTAGGGGTTGGATAAGCCTTATCCAACCACCTGCACTGGGTGTGGATGAAAGGGGATGTGGTGGAAGGCCCAGATCAAGATTCAGTGTTATGTGTTGCCTTGACGTGTGTTGCCAGGTGGGCCTTGAATAGCCTAACTGCAAGTTTCCTTTCTGACTGTGCTCTGCAGATAAGGGCCTAGCCAAGCAACCCTTCTTACCAAGGGGCCCAGGCACAGCTCCTGCTTATCCCTGAGTAGTGGGTTTCAGTTCTTTGCCAGCCTGCAAAATTATTCAAACAAGCCAATCGCATACTCCTGTGGGAACCAAGGGGCACCTCATCTTCTTGATACTGCAAAATCTGCCTCCCCCAGTCCCTTGCTGTTCCCTCTGCTCTCAAGCTCAGCCCCCATGTGGTCCTGCATGGCATGGAGTGCCCTCCCACACAGGCTGTGAGCTCATGCACAATTGTTGAGTTTGTCCAACCAGTGTTGGCTGTCGTGTATTTGGCCCTCCCCATAACCATATGACAGGAACTCCTCCCTCCCTGATGGGGCACATAAGGGGTAATTAAAACAGAAGGACACCCCCAAAAATGAGGAGTCAATCCCACATAGGATGAATGAATGCTCTATAGGTCCATAAATAACTGAAGTTAATTTCAGTTAGGATCCATAACTCGGATTCCAACAAGTATTCTCTGTACCTAGAATTCCTGGTAAGACATGAGAATGTAACTCTCAGATTGTTTTAGAGAATTTGGCTGTACTTGGAAGCAGCATCATTTCAACTTAGAACCCTTTACCTGTTGCAGAAGGCAGGATTATAGAGTTAAGAGAACTAGGACTGAGTATCCTAGCTGATGAAGCACTGCATGTTATATCTTTTCTTTTCTTGGAAATTCACTATACTCATTAACATTTCAAGACTCTAATAAGTCCTGCAGTGAAAAAAAAATCAATACTTTCTATCAAGATTTTCCAGGCATATTTGACACAGAATACATTTTTGCGTACCATCTATTAATATTTAGGAAATAATTTAATAGAATATAACATCTTTGGATAATATATTCTGCCACTATAGAAAGTTATATTTTTAAAAATTTGTTTTAAATATTATGAGAATATCTTGAATCTTTACAATTCTAGTGAATATAGTCATTAAACATAGATATTGTATAACATTTAAGAATACTTGGCCGGGCGCGGTGGCTCACGCCTGTAATCCCAGCACTTTGGGAGGCCGAGGCGGGTGGATCATGAGGTCAGGAGATCGAGACCATCCTGGCTAACAAGGTGAAACCCCGTCTCTACTAAAAATACAAAAAATTAGCCGGGCGCGGTGGCGGGCGCCTGTAGTCCCAGCTACTCGGGAGGCTGAGGCAGGAGAATGGCGTGAACCCGGGAAGCGGAGCTTGCAGTGAGCCGAGATTGCGCCACTGCAGTCCGCAGTCCGACCTGGGCGACAGAGCGAGACTCCGTCTCAAAAAAAAAAAAAAAAAAAAAAAAAAAAAAAAAGAATACTTATGTGGTCTTGTCCTTAAGAGATCTACACCAGAATTAAGATTAGACTTAGATATCTCAAATTCAATCGACCATTTAAGTTGAACTTCAGTTCTTTGATTTACTTCTCTAGATTAAATCCTTTAAAGGCTGTTTCTTCCTCGATATTATTTGGGAATATAAACCCAATCTTATAAGACCAGAAAAAAATATCAAGTAGTTATTTCTCCTTTAATCACAAAACCCTTGCAGGAGATAAAAGATTAGCCTCAGACTTTCTGACCTATAATGTTAACATATTTTAAAAGACCATCATTTCAAATGCTCTAGTTTCTTTTTTGAGCAAACTGTGAAAAAACAAAAAACTCTTCTAGTATCTGTCTTCTGTGGTCTTCACTACATATCTCCTGAATGAGTGTATTAAAAAGTAATGTGTGATGCAAGTTCTGATGAATGGTTCATGTATGTTTTCTGCACATTTCCAGTTATACAAGTAATTAATTATGCCAATAAAAACAACAAGAACTCGCAACACATGATAAAATAGTGCAGAATGTTGGGATTGTGAGGGGTATGCTACAGTTTTTATTTGAGTATGCCAACAAATGACTGTCAGTTCTCTGAGTTAATTATCTGTGTTATATTTAATACACACTGTGTAATTCTGCAGGATTGTGGGTAGTCTTTCCCTGGAAGAAATGTGACTGGTTGTCAGCAAGGGGGATGGTTTTATTTCTGACAACAAAAGCAATCATGATATTTTAGATATAATGAAGAAATACTTACCTATGTAACTATTATTGTTTTTGAAACAATGTTACCTTAAAATATATAAAGGAGTTTATTTTTAATTCTTCTATGAGAAATAACCACAAATATTTTTAACTAATTAAAAATAAAATGTCTTGGATGGAAAGGAGATTAACTGTGCTAATTAGCATAATATTCTGTCAGAGCAATATATGGGGACTTGGGGATGTCTCATAATAGATATTGAAATATTCCAAATTGATAAACTCTTTTAAGATTCTTCTAGGCTCAAATGTTTATTTTTACAATCTCTATTAGTTTCTTTTCTTTACTATTTATTTATTTATTTATTTATTTATTTATTTATTTATTTTTTGAGTCAGATTCTCCCTCTGTCTCCCAGGCTGGAGTGCAGTGTTGTGATCTCAGCTCACTGCAACCTCCACCTCCTGGGTTCAAGCGATTCTTATGCCTTAGCCTCCCAAGCAGCTGGGACCACAGGCACATGCCACCATGCCCAACCAATTTTTTTGTATTTTTAGTAGAGACAGGGTTTCACTATGTTGGCCAGGCAGGTCTGGAACTCCTGGCCTCATGTGATCCACCCGTCTCGGCCTCTCAAAGTGCTGAAATTGCCATTGCGCCCAGAAGTAGTTTCTTTTAGAAACATGATTGAAAACTCTCTAGTTCTGCCTTGGCAATGTGAACATAAGTAAAATATATTTGCAAGTAAAGTGCCATATTCAAAAATTCCTGTGCTCTTACTTCTCTTCAAACAATTATTTATTGAATGTATATAAATGATACAAAATCAACCTCATGAAATATAAACAGATGACCAGCTCTGTGTCTGTAACTTTGGACTAGTGGGAAAAGTGTGTGTGCATGCAAATGTAATTCCTAATTCTCTTGACAAGGAAAGCATGGTGGATGTTCAATATTCTCATTAGTCACTATGGTTTTTCTTAGCACCTACCACAGGTCTAAGTATATGATGATACGTGTACTGTTGTCTGTCTCTTACTCTAGACCTTTTTATTTTTTTGAGACAAGGTCTCACTCTGTCACCCAAACTAGAGTGCCGTGACACAACCATGGCTAACTGCAGGCTTGACATCCTGGGTTCAAGTGATCCTCCCACCTCAGCCTCCTGAGTAGCCGGGACTAAAGGTACACACAACTACACCTGGTTAATTTTTTATTTTTTGTAGAGATGGAGTCTCACACTGTACTGCCTAGGCTGGTCTTGAACTCCTTGGCTCAAGCGATCCTTCTGCCTCTGCCTCCTAAAGTACTGGGATTACGGGTATGAGCCACTGTGCCTGGCACCTGCCTCTAGGTTCTTAAGCAATGTAAAGGCAATGGTATTGGAGTACTAGCAAATATGCACCATATACACATATACAAATACATATGCATTGACATATACATGTACGTATATGCTTGCTGTTGCTGGTGTAACAAATTACAACAAACTTACCAGCTCAAAACAAAACAACTTTATCATCTTACAGTTCTATAGGTCAGAAGTCTCACTGGGCCAAGATGAAGTTATAAGCAAAGTTGTGTTCTTTCTGGAGGTTCTCAGGGAAAATCTATTCCCTTGTGTTCTGAAGTTCATAGAAGCACTTGCCTTCCTTTGCTCCTGGTCCCTTCCTCCATTTTGAAAGCTAGCAGTGTTGCATCTTCAGATCTCTCCCCGACTCTGACATTCTTGCCTCTTGCTCACAGGGCCCCTTGTGATTATATTGGGCCCACCTAGAAGACCCAGGAAAACCTACCCATCTCATGAACCTTACCATAATCATATCTGCAAAACAATCCTCACTACAATCATATCTGCAAAACAATCCTCACTACAATCATATCTGCAAAACAATCCTCACTGCAATCATACTTGCAGGTCCTTTTTGCCATATAAGGCACAAAAGACTAGAATGTGAACATCTTTGGGGGTTATTATTCTACCACCACTATACCTATACCTATATGTATATCTGTTTCTATATCCATATTGGTATGTATTTATGTATATATCTAGGGAATACAATTCTCATTGTACAGATTTATGATTGAAATGAATATAATTTTATTTCTATTTTATCATTCAGTTTAAATGCTCTTTTGGTAACTCATTTTATAAGGGACTCAAAAACAATTTCAGTCTAGTCAGGGTTATATCCACAAAATGTCAAAGCCTAGGGTGTGAGTCCATGAAGGCCCTGTCCATCAGTCCACACAGCACTGCTGCTGGGATGGCCCTCATTCCTGTTACAGGATGCATATTACTTGGCAGCAAGAGGTCATCTAATTCCTATTTTACATGTACTCACTCATGCATTCATTCAAGAAATATTTATTATGTATGGAATGCAAAACATAAGATATCATCCCTTATCTCAAGGAAACTACTTTCCAGGAAGACAGACCCATAAACAGATAACTGAAGTAGATTCTGGCAAGTGCAATGACAGAAATGTACATAAGGTAGGATGTGAGTATGGAGGAGAGAGATCGAATTCAGCTTGGGAGTGATGTGAAGTTCGATGAGCAAAGGCTCCTGGGGTTGCTGACAGGAGAGCTGAGACTTAAACAATGAGAAAGAATTTTCTAGGAGTAACAGAGGTACTGGTACAGCCAAGCCTCAAAGTTCCCTGAGGACTGGAGATGTATCTGAAATTCAACTCAACAAAACAATTATTGAGCTGTGATGTATGCTAAAGAGAAATACAGTGACCTCTGAGAGTGCTTGATACCTATACTTCCCCTTATCAAGGGGATTAGGGAAAGTGTCTCTGAGGAAGTTACAGACATTAAGCAAGTAATTACAAGTGTGATGAGCTCCACGAAGTGATGCCATGGTAATGCAGAGAAAAATAATTTAACCTAGTCAAGAGGGCCAGGGACTGTCACACAAAGAAATTGGTGTTTAAATTGAGACCTGATGGATAAGTAGGATTTAACAAAGAAAAGAGAAAGAGAAGCAATGGAATGTAGAGAGGGAGAAAGAGAGACTAAGAGTAAGCCTGAAGGAAGGTACATGTAAGGACTTATGAATCAGGTTAGGATTTTACAATTTGTCATAGATTCATTGGGGACCCTTTGCAAAATTTTAGGTTTGGAAATAACATGACCAGAATTTTAATTTTAATCCCTCTGGCCATAGGAAGTAGAGATTAGATTAGAGTTAGGTGTTAGAATTAGGAAGCTGGTGAGTATCCGAACAAGACCCTGACTTGGGCTGGGTGGTATTAGCGTGCATGGAATGGAAACAGTCCCTTCAAGAAATATTTAGAGGGTAGAATATTTATTGAGTTCTTCTTATGTTGAAAACACTATGCTAAATTCTGAAGATGCTATAATGTATGGCACAACGCCTGGCACATATGTGCCCAAGTATTTTTAAGTTGGTAAATTAATGTCTGAGATAGAGTAGCAAGAGATAATGACATGGGCCAGATCGTGGAAGTGTTATACATGTGTCGTTTCAGTGTCATAAACAAGGGTACTCTGACATTTGCACATTTGTATTTTTTTAATTTTTTAAATTAATATTATTTTTGAGACAGAGTCTCGCTCTGTCGCCCAGGCTGGAGTGCAGTGGCGTGATCTCGGCTCACTGCAAGCTCCGCCTCCTGGGTTCAAGCCATTCTCCTGCCTCAGCCTCCCGAGTAGCTGGGACTACAGGCGCCCGCAACCACGCCCGGCTAATTTTTTTTTGTATTTTTAGTAGATACGGGGTTTCACCGTGTTAGCCAGGATGGTCTGGATCTCCTGACCTCATGATCCGACCGCCTCGGCCTCCCAAAGTGCTGGGATTACAGGCGTGAGCCACCGCGCCCGGCCGCACATTTGTATCTTACTGGGGAGATGTTTGGCTGTTTCAAAATGAATTAGGGGAGATAAGATGCTAGATAGAATCAAAGGAGGCCATTGAAGTAAAATATAATGGAACGTAAACCAGTCAAGTGATAGGAGATACGGAAAAGCAGAAACACGTGTAAGAAATAGTAGGGAGGCCAAATTAGAAGTGATGCTTGAATGAGATAGAGCAAGAAAAAAATAAGAGTCAAGTATGACTTCCCAGTTTCTGATATCAAAGCATGAAAATGATAAATGTGAGTCTGGTGCAAACAACATTCAGGTGGCAAACACGGGGTGAACATGCCAGAGCTACTTATTGGTGACTGATACATAATTCCATCCTAGAATACCCTGCTAGTGAAAACCCAAGTATAATCCTGCTTTAATTTTTACCTGATTTTTCCCCATGATTAACCCAGGTTTTAATTTGTATTTTAGTCATTCACGATGATTGGTTCACTGCCATTTTTCCTGATGCTTTAATATAATGTGTGTTGGGGGTGGGGGGCGGATCCGAAATAAAACATTTTCTTAGGAGATAATTTGTTATTTGTCTATGGCTTTTTTTTCCTGTTAGTATACTTTCTTTCTTGTGTAAATTGTTCATGTTTATGAGCATTGGACCAACAGCTACCTAATAGTTGTTTATTTTTGTATGATGAATAGCTTTCAAACTGTTTATTGTATTGATCGGATTACAGTGAAAACTGCACAAGAACGCTTCCCACAGTGCTATTTTTCTCACATGGTCACCACCAAGCAAAATTACATTCTGGGTAAAAAGGAAGAAATACATGAAACGTACACTCTCGAGACCAACAATAAATAATTGCAAAATAATTTCCAAATCCTAGACTCAGTTCCATGAAATATAACTCACGTCCCTTGGGGTTTCCAGCACTTTACCAGTCCTTGCTGAATGCATTCTTTGTCACACATCTTGTGATCCTTCACACTTTGGGGTCACGGTGTGTGAATTTATTTTTGAAAAGAGATAAGTTTAATTTCATAATAATATAACAGGTATTGTCAGTATTCCTATCAAGAAAGAACTGCTCACAGAACACGCAATAATGTGTTTATTTAATAATAATAACAATAAATACCCTTCAGAAAACTGGTTTCTGTTTCTTACTCCATTCCCTCCAAATATCATACAGTTTTAAAGCTCTGTTCCATACCTGCCTAATTTTTATAAAACTTGACTCACTGTTCCTCTAACATACTTTGCTGGCTTAGATTTCATATTTGATTAATTTATAGAAGAAATTAGAATTTTAGAACAGACAGAATTAAAATACACAAATGTTTATGTTAAATGAATAGAAGAGCACTATAAGCAAAACATTTTTACACCGAGTTTATTTAGTGCGAAAAAAGAAGAAAAACATAAAACATTTTTGACCCATCAACTTTGCCAGCCAAGTTAACAGCACTGCCTGACCTACCTTCCCTGCGGTCTAATTACACTAGCCTCTGAATTTCGTTAAACAACAGCAATAGAGCCCCATACAGCTTGGGAAAAGTTTGAATGACAGTGACTTGCTCTGTTTAACACAGGATTTAAAAGTGAAACCTAAGAAACCGTTAGGCTAAACGGAAGCCATTTGCTCAAGTAAACTGCTGGGAATATCTTGCTTCCTAGCAGAACTTTCAAAGACACTGACAACATCTAACTTTTCTTGATCAAGGCAGATAAGAAAACAGTCTGACTTATTATCCGGTAATGATTTTTTTCTGTTTTAAATGAGAACCATAGGTAAAATATCAAAACTTTAAGGTCATCCATTGTTAGAGTTTGTCATATGTAAGAATAGAATCAAGTCTTCAGACTCGAAAGAACAGCTTCTTTCCTTCAGCATTAAAAGTTGCATTATTTGCAATGTGCCAATTGTTTCAGGCCACCATTTTCCCCAGAGGGTTTTAACATTTTCTTTATAAGTCAAATGGTCCATTTTTAACATTTTGGGTGTGAAAGTTGACTCAGATAGACTCCTGAAATACCAAGTTAGCATTCTCTCTCCCTGATCTCCTATTCCTTCCATTAACCTGTCGATTTCTTACCACAAGACTTACTCGGTCTGCAAGCAATCAGTCCTGATTACTATTGTATGATGAATAAGAGAAAAGAAAAGGAGAGGCAAGGAAAGGAAAAAGGAAAAGGAAAGGGCAAGGGAAGGAAACCATTGTTCACGAGGTGGGCTCACTTTCAATGCAGCTGCCGCTGTTCCTGGGCTGCCAGTACTCACAGGTCTGATGTGGACCCTGTGGCAAATGAGGCGTATGTAGCCACTGAAATGAACATTCTGGCATCTACTGGAATATCCTTCTACTGCAGGCCTGGCTGTGAATACTCAGAGGGGAAGAAGAATGCTTCTTTCCTGGTGTTCATTTGCAGGTATTGTCCCTCCGTGTCAAATAGATGAGTTTCCAACATTTAGTTTTTATCAAACTGTAATTTGAGTTGCTCATGAGAACAATGTAGGAGCAGAAAAGAGTGATCCGTCTCCTCCCCATCATAAAGCTGGTGCTGACATTCCTATAACAAAAAATAATGAAGAGAAAAGCATAACACATTTATTTCATCATAGTTTTACATGACAGGGGAGCTTTCAGATTGAAGACTCAAAAGATACCAGAAGCTATCTGATGTGACTTGATGCTTAGGTTCTATGAAGCAGAGACAACTTTGCAGAAATACAATTGAACAAAAAGGGTTGAATCTTTTTTTTTTTTTTTTTTTTAGACGGAGTCTTGCTGTGTTGCCCAGGCTGGAGTGCTTACTGCAACCTCTGCCTTTCAGGTTCAAGCAATTCTCCTGCCTCAGCCTCCTGAGTAGCTGGGACTACAGGCACGTGCCACCACACCCACCTAATATATATATATATATATTTTTTTTTTTAGTAGAGGTGGGGTTTCACCATATTGGCCAGGCTGGTCTCGAACTCCTGACCTCAGGTGATCCTCCCGCCTCAGACTCCCAAAGTGCTGGTGAGAGGTGACAGCGTGCCGGCAGTCCTCACAGCCCTCACTTGCTCTCAGCGCCTCCTCTGCCTGGGCTCCCACTTTGGCGGCACTTGAGGAGCCCTTCAGCCCACTGCTGCATTGTGGGAGCCCCTTCCTGGGCGGGCCAAGGCCAGAGCTGGCTCTCTCAGCTTGCAGGGAGATGTGGAGGGAGAGGCGTGGGCGGGAACCAGGGCTGCGCACGGTGCTTGCGGGCCAGCGCGAGTTCGGGTGGGCGTGGGCTCAGCGGTCCCCACTCTCGGAGCGGCCCGCCGGTCCCACCGGCCTGGGCAGTGAGGGGCTTAGTACCTGGGCCAGCAGCTGCTGTGCTCAATTTCTCGCCAGGCCTTAGCTGCCTTCCCGCAGGGCAGGGAAGGGCTCGGGACCTGCAGCCTGCCATGCCTGAGACTCCCCACACCTCCAGTGGGCTCCTGTGCAGCCCGAGCCTCCCCGACGAGGGCCACCCCCTGCTCCACAGTGCCCAGTCCCATCGACCACCCAAGGGCTGAGGAGTGCAGGCGCATGGCGTGGGACTGGCAGGCAGCTCCACCTGCAGCCCCGGTGCAGGATCCACTGGGTGAAGCTAGCTGGGCTCCTGAGTCTGGTGGGGACGTGGAGAACCTTTATGTCTAGCTCAGGGATTGTAAATACACCAGTGGGCACTCTGTATCTAGCTCAAGGTTTGTAAACACACCAATCAGCACCCTGTGTCTAGCTCAGGGTTTGTGAATGCACCAATCCACACTCTGTATCTAGCTACTCTGGTGGGGACCTGGAGAACCTTTGTGTCTAGCTCAGGGATTGTAAACGCACCAATCAGCGCCCTGTCAAAACAGACCACTCGGCTCTACCAATCAGCAGGATGTGGGTGGGGCCAGATAAGAGAATAAAAGCAGGCTGCCCCAGCCAGCAGTGGTAACCTGCTGGGGTTCCCTTCCACGCTGTGGGAGGTTTGTTCTTTCGCTCTTTGCAATAATTCTTGCTGCTGCTCACTCCTTGGGTCCACACTGCCTTTATGAGCTGTAACACTCACTGTGAAGGTCTGCAGCTTCAGTCCTGAAGCCAGCGAGACCACGAGCCCACCAGAAGGAACGAACGACTGCAGACGTGCCGCCTTAAGAGCTATAACACTCACCTCGAAGATCCGCAGCTTCACTCCTGAGCCAGCGAGACCAAGAACCCACCAGAAGGAAGAAACTGCCAACACATCCGAACATCAGAAGGAACGAGCTCCAGACACGCAGCCTTTAAGAACTGTAACACTCACTGCGAGGGTTCGCGGCTTCATTCTTGAAGTCAGTGAGACCAAGAACCCACCAATTCCGGACCCACTGGCATTACAGGCGTGAATCACTGTGTCTGGCCAAAAAGGATCTAATCTTATAGCAGTGGAATGAGGGGGAAGCCCAGCAAGGCCCATCTGTTTGGAGTCTTCCTGGACTTCTGGGGCCTGACCCTTTTGGAACGGGGGTTTTAAGATTCATAATCGACAAAGTAAGTCAAATAATTTTTTTTTTTCTGTCTTTCTTTCTTTTTTTTGTTTTAGACGGAGTCTCGCTCTGTCACCCAGGCTGGAGTGCAGAGGCGCAATGTCAGCTCACTGCAACCTCCGCCTCCCAGGTTCAAATGACTCTCTTGCCTCAGCCTTCTAAGTACCTGGGACTACAGACGTGCGCCACCACACCCAGCTAATTTTTGTATTTTTAGTAGAGATGGGGTTTCACCATGTTGGCCAGGTTGGTCTTGAACTCCTGACCTCAGGTGATCTGTCCACCTTGGTCTCCCAAAGTGCTGGGATTATAGAGTTTTTTTGTTTGTTTGTTTTTTAGAGAAAGGGTCTCTCTCCGTCACCCAGATGAGAGTGCAATGGAATAATCACGGCTCACTGCAGCCTTGAACTCCAGGGCTTAAGCCATCCTCCTGCCTCTGCTTCCTAAGTAGCCAGGACTACCAGCACGCACCACAACACCTGCTTAATTTATTTTTATTTTCTATTTTTTGTTGAAGTGGGTTCTTGATATGTTGCCCAGGCTGAGAGTTTCGTTATGGCCAGCTGTGACACAGAAAGGTGAGGAAAATTAGAGTAATATTTTTCACTTTATGGCTGCCTTTGGGGAAAAAGGGTTCTGTTTTGTATGATCTACCCTGGGGAAGAGAAATTCTATTTTCTGTGTCTTGCCTCAGGGCAGAATGAGAGTGAGACAGGAGGGCAGAAGAAAGTCAAAGAGAAACTTTGCTTCTGAGGCCTTCACTTTGGGGTAGCATTTTCTGACTCCACCACCACCTACTTTCTGTGGTTACAATCTGCAGCTCACAGGTCTGAGTTGGGGCCAGAGTGGATGCACCATAGACTCAGACAGATAGCTTCTCATAATGACCACGTCCAGGTTCAGGGACCACCACTGTTACCTGACTCTTTGATTCTCACAGGGATTTTATCTTAGGAATTTGTTGCCCTTCACTTTCTTTATTGCTTCTTCACCACTGGGTCCTGGTTGGGCCTTCTCTGTCTATCCCAATTTGCATAAAAACTTTTGGGAAATGTTGAGTTTTGATCTCTTCCCTTCCAGAAGACCTTGGGATCCTATTTAAATCTGAATATCCCTTTTCCAGGCATCTTCAAGCTTACTTAATGTTTTCTTTGAAAAAATAAAGATGTCTTTTATCAAGTATACTGCTACAATTTTGTAGGTACCAAGTTGTTGAAAATCCCTCCACCGGAATCTGTATCTGCACCGTATCTGTGTCCCTAACCCATCCCTACCTGTATTTAATCTCTATGTCCATCATTTAAAATCTCCATCCCTCCCCTACGTCTCTTCATATCTCTGCAAATAACATAGTCGTTACTTTTTCCTTATTTTGCTCTGACTGCTTAATTTTATTGGCATTACTACATGAATAGGTAAATAAATTAGTGTGCCAGGAACTCAGTGGTGATTTGGTTTTGAATTCACACAGTGGCTGGAGAAGAAGAAATATGGTGAAGAGATGCAGGTATCATGAGGAAAGCCATCGGGCTTGATGAGCAGTGCTTTGAGATGTTGAGGAAAGGCAGAAATCAAAGATGACACAATGTTTAACCACCTGGTTGATTTAAAGAGTAGTAGTGGAATCAACATTATTGGGGGAGTCAAAAGATATGAGTTATTTTGTAGGGAAAAGCATACATCTAGTTATGGATTGATTTTGTGTGTGTGTGTGTGTGTGTGTGTGTGTGTGTTTTCAGATGGAGTCTCACTCTATTGCCCAGGCTGGAGTACAGTGGTGTGATCTCGGCTCACTACAACCTCCGTCTCCTGGGTTCAAGCAATTCTCCTGCCTCAGCCTCCCAAATAGCTGGGACCACACATGTGCACCACCACGCCCAGCTAATGTTTTTGTATTTTTAGTAGAGATGGAGTTTCACCATGTTGGCCACACTGGTCTTGAACTCCTGACGTCAAGTAATCCACCCACCTCAGCCTCCCAAAGTGCTGGGATTACAGGTGTGAGCCACCACGCCTGGCCTACATTGATTGAATTTGAAAATACATTTAGATATCAAAGTGGGAATGGCCATCACTCTAATAGACTTTTCAGAGCCAGAATCACTACAGTGAACCTTGATGTGATTATCATCGGGCAGTATCTGTGTCAATGTTCACATATGGTATAGTCAGTCCAAATTCTCACTTAAAAGTAAAAGAATTATGATCAGTAGAAGTAAAGTTCTGCCCTCTATTAAAGCTAATGGGCATCAAAAATTTCTTATTTATTTTACATGAAAAAAACATAAAGAATGTTCACTGAGCCTTGGTCTTTTGTGGTTCCATTTTTCAGGAGAGAATAGGAGGAAAAAGAAACTCGCTGAGGCTGTTCCAAACAGGAAACCGACTATGCTGTCTATTAATCTCCATTCTCCTTTGAGTGACTTTTCTTTCTTTATTTAAAGATTTATTTCCAGTCATATGCCTGTGTTTTCATAGCCATTAGGATAGGGAATTATAAGAAGAAATAGACACGGATAAGAAAGAAAGGCAAGGAGTTTTATGTGTGGATGAGTTTAATAAATATTAAGAGCAAAACAGATTTTTAAAAGGCATCCTTTACAAATGTGCATAACACTTTGTGATTCAATTATAAATAAAATACTCCTCTACCCTCTTTTTCTTGAGAGCCTCATGATAAAGCTTCAACAACCGTGTGTTTAGTACTCGAGAGACTTTTAGAAAAAGGTCTTTTTATACATACAACATAGTACAAAACAGAATCATTAGAGAAAAGTAAAGCAGTCAATATGACCTACAGCTTCCAATTTTCAACTTAATATTGAAAGTTGCTTTTCTTTCAGCAATTATTGATGTGGATGAACTAACTGACACCATTTTAAGTCATCTGTAGAATTCTTTTTCTAACCACTTAAGAGAAAACAAAAAAAAAGCTGTAGTTCAAAACTTATGAAACTTTAAAAGAACTCATCCGCATCAGCACTAAAATGTCAATGGTCAATGTCTATTTTCTGCAAATACAAAATTTAAATTTAGAATTCTTTTTGGTGACTAAACTGTGCATTAGAATTTATTTACACACTCTCATTTTGCAGACACAGACCAAAGGCCAAAGATGTTAAATGACTTGCCCGTAGCATTCAGCTAATTAGCATTGAATCGGAGATTCTTGAGTCCCAGGTATACAGATCTTTAAAACAGTTCAAATCAAAGCTGAAGAAAATATATTATTGTCAAATTAAAGCAGACCCTCAGTTTTTCATACATCACATTTTTTATAAAAGAGAAATGAAACAATAATGAGTTTAGTGTTTTTCCATGGACTTAAAAATATTTTCTTATTTAAAAATTACTTCCAGTTAGATCACCAAACTGAGATGAACTTTCAGTGTTTTTGAGGTTCACACAAGTTCATCATTTTGACCAGAAATCATGTGACTGCTATTTCGAACTTTGGCAGAAACTGCTAGAAAAAAGTCCCTCAATGGTCAGAAATGACCCTTCTCTATTCCCTCCACCAGAGCTTGAAATAGTGGGATGATTAGGGAATTAACACTTGGCTTAGTATTCTTATGACTTCTCCGGGCTGGCCCTCACCACTAGGTACTGCATATCTTAGAAGTCAGCCCTCTTAAGATTTTCTAGTCCAGTGGGTTAGGAATGTTCAGAGGGCTTGTGGTTAAGCACTTGTGTTAATTTCTTCCTTCTCCCACATTTTATAGACTGGAAAACCCCTCTGATTTTTCATTTTATGAATTTGGAAAAAAGTCAGATGTTTAAATTTAAAAAGATATTATCATTCAACACATTAATGGCATATTTTGCAAGTTTACCTATGAAGAAGACTAATGTTGATAACAGCAGTAGAACAAGACATAATTATTTTATATTAAATATAGCATTTATTAAAACTTTTGTGTGCTGTTTCTGTAGAGATGAGAACCAGACATTTATTTCCTTCAAATTTCTCATTAATGAATGTGCTTATATGTTAAAGCACAACACGTAGATTGCAATTCTAGGCTGCATTTTTGGAAACCTTCCATGCTCTTTTTGAAATTCCAGGGACTGGAAAATTAGGGCCATTTTAAAGTTTTTATATATATAAAACAAAGCCCAAAATAACAAAATTACAAAAGGCAAACTACAATCAGCTGAATGGCCACTAAATTGGCTAGGACTTATTCCTCTGCTTGTATTGATTGGTTGAGCATGGCACCCTCTAATATTAGACTGAGCTTAACTTGTGGAGAGGGCCTATTGCTCAGTTGGATGAAGTTGCTGTCACAGCACACCTGTGACATTAGAGTTGTCTGGCCAATTTAGCTGAAAGGGTTAGAGAGTGGTAACTGTGAACTCAAGGTTGTGATCATTTTCTGCTTTTCAAAGAGAAAAAAACTGTTTTATAATCACTAACGGGAGCTCTTTCTCTAGTCATGGATGCCTACTGCTCTTCATTAGGAGCAATGGAAAGTGGTAAAATGCAAACCTAGCATTTCTGCCACAGAATAAACTTAAAGCTCAGAGATCAAAGGTATATCATGTAGCCTAGTGGTCAGGTGTATTGGCTTGGAGCTTCATCAGCCTGAGTTAAAATCACAGCTCAGCTTCTTATTATCTGTATAACCTTGTGGAAGCTATTTGACTGTGTGAAGAGGTCAAAAAATATATTTAACTCGTCAGCTTTTCGGGAGATTTTATGTGCCTTGCAAGTAAGATTCAATAAAAATTAGCTACCTTTATTAATTATTTCATCGTTATATACACATGGATGGTTTTGTGTCTACTGTTCCAGTAAAATGGTCAACATTTATTCTTCTGTTGAGAGCATTCTTGAAGCACTTCAGCTGTCGACCCACACATACAATTTACATTATTCATTGTTTTGCTAAATCACTTTTTGAAGTGCTCTTCATTTATCTGTTCTCTCCACAGTACTTAATAGAAATGATTTTCATCATTGTAAATTCCCTTCACATAGATTGGCTATCAATGCTAAACAAGTGATGAACACCATTAAAACAAACAAACAAACAAACTAAAGACAAATCCCTTTTTATTTTGAAATAATTTTAGACTTACAGAAAAAGTGCAAATTGCTCAGAGTTCTCATATTTCCCTAATGTGAGCAACTGACATAGCCATTGTACAATGATCAAAAACCAAGGCATTAAGATTGATACCATAGTTTTGAGCAATAGATCTTATTAGGATTTTACCAGTATTTCCCCTAATGTTCTTTTTCTTCTCCTGAATTTAACCCAGCTTCCTCCATTGCACTTAGTTGTGATACCTCCTTAGTTTCCTCTAATCTGTGACGGTTTGTCATTGTGTCTTTGTCTTGTGACCTTGACGCTTTTAGTGAGAGACAGTGAGTTTGAGTTACTTTGTAAAATGCCTCTGATGTTTTCTCATGACTAGATTTTTGTTATGTATTTTTACCAAAAATAACACAGAAGTGACATTGGGTCCTTCTCAGGGGGTACATGACCTTGATGTCTTATTACTGGTAATACCAACTATAATCACATAAATAATCACATAAATAGGATAGTATGTGCTGGATTTATCCACTATAAAATTGCTATTTTATCTTCACAATTGATCACAATTTTGGGGAAGATTTATGAGACTATTGTAATACCCTGTTTCTCCTCAAATCTTTGCCTACCCTTTTTCAGCATTTGTCAGTGGCTCTTGTCTTCAACAATTATTACTGTCATATTCGCCCAATGGTGATTTAGTACTTCCCCCACTTCTACACTTATTAGTTAATTTTTTTTCTATGAGGAAGAGTTATCCCTTCTCCTCATTTATTTTTCACTCAATTATGTGTTTATATCAATATGGACTCATGGATATTTATTATATTCTAGAAGTACTAACTCAATAATGTCATCTATTTGTTTCTCAGGTTGTTCCTACTTTGGCCATTGGAGCTCTTTCCAGTTAGCTTCTCTTCCTTGGACAGCTTCCATACGTTTTTGAGCACTTCCTTATTTCTGACACCAGAAGATGACTCAGGCTTGACTTGTATTCTCCCCGTCCAACAATGGAATCTGCCATTTCTCCAAGGAGCCCTGATTCCTTTTATTTGAGCGTGGTACATAGAAGCTGAGCAACTTTTTCTCTCTTTCTAATAAATGCTAATTCAGGAAAAATAAAAAACTTATAAAACAAAACTTCTCCTCTCAAAATAAAAATAATTTTACGCAGTCCCATAAGAGAATACACATTTTAAAAATATGTACAGCCTATGCAATTGACTAGAATAGTGTTGGTGAGAACATTCACACTGGCTTTAATTAAAAATTAATGGTTAATATTTTTGCACTTTTATGAAGCAACAGAAATCTGATCTTTAGTACTGAGATAAAGTTTTTGTGTTTGATGCAGTTTGCCCACCCAAACTATCTGCGGGCTACAGTTTGCCCATTTCTATTCTAGATTGCTGTTGGGGTAGATTAGAATTGTTGAGCGAATTGACTAAATTGCTCCAGTCTTTTTGAAAGGCCCAGTTGTCCCTTTGAAATATTTATGGGTTTTTGAATAAAGGTAGAAATTAACCCTCCCACTCTTAAAACTTGAAACTTATATGTGTCTCATCTGAGTGGTTTCCTCAGGAAACAGACCCTCACGCAAGGGACTGAAACTCACCAGATCACCATATCCAGACCATGAGATCTAAGGTCTCTTACCCATCGTGATTGCTCCCTTACCCCTCCCTCATTCCTGTATTCCTGCATGTAGTGACATCCCTTCTCTGCTATGTAAGCCCCAAATTTTAGTGGGTCAAGGAAAAGGATTTGAGACTTATCTCCTGTTCTTCTTGACTGCAGCTCACAAATAAAGTCTTCTTTCCTGGCAATACTTCTTGTATCAGGCATTGGCATTCTGTATGGTGAGCAATGGGATCTAGACCAAACCCCTGGCATTTGGTAACAATTTAATTTCATGTCACTGGGTCATCATTATATAACTTGAGTAATAGGTGGCATCATCTACCTCCTTTTCCTCCTCTTTCTTCTTCCTCTTCCTCTTCCTCTTCTTCTTCTTCCTCTTCTTCTTCTTTCTTTCTTCTCCCTCTCCCTCTCCCTCTCCCCAGTCCCTCAGGATGTAAATCAAGCTCTTCACTTGGGAGAGTGGTCAGGATGATAGAGCCCATGGATTTTCTGCTGGATCTGCTTTTGCTCATTACTGCTTTTCCTCACACTTCCTATGATCAGAGGGAAAAGCCATTACCTTCCTCTATCTGTCTTGGATATTACCTTGTTTGCCTCAGCTGCACAAAGATTAAATATTTGTTTTAAGAGTCTTGTTAATTTTCCGAAGTCAAAAAGCATTTTAAGTTTGCAAGGGAAAAAGAGGGAGTAGGGTATTAACAACAACAAAAAACCCATCAAACTCTAAAATATTTTAAAAAGGTTTATTCTGAGCCAATATGAGTGACCATGCCCAGGGAAAATGGTCTCAAGAGGTCCTGAGAAAGTGTGCCTTAGGCAGTTGGATTCCAGTTTGGTTCTATGAATTTTAAAGGGACAAGAGTTATTACAGGCAAAGACATAAATCAACACATGGGAAGTATATGTTGGTTTGGCCTGAGCAGGCAAGATATCTTGAAATGAGGGGCTTACAGGTGATAAGTGGATTCAGAGATTCTCTTATTTGCAACTGGTTAAAGAAGTAAACCTCTGTTTAAAACTTGTAATCAGCAGAAAGGAAGGTTTTTTTTGAGAGGGAGTCTCACTCTGTCACCCAGGCTTGAGTGCAGTGGCACGATCTCAGCTCACTGCAACCTCCGCCTCCTGGGTTCAAGCAATTCTCCTGCCTCAGCCTCCCGAGTAGCTGGGATTACAGGTGCGTGCCACCACACCTAGCTAATTTTTTATATTTTTGGTAGACACAGGGTTTCACCATGTTGGCCAGGATGGTCTCGATCTCTTGACCTCATGATCCACCTGCCTTGGCCTCCCAAAGTGCTGGGATTACAGGCATGAGCCACTGCTCCTGGCCGGAAGGTTTTAATTTAAGGTTAGGATGTCATGTAGTAAGATTAATGACCTACAGGCATGACTTAACCCTTGGCCTTGCATGGACTCAGGGTCTTGTTTATAAGCTGGTATCTTAGTGTCACAAAGAGTCTGTTTTGTCAGCCTTATGATCTCTATTTTAACACTAATGCTACTCAGTTTTGTCTAAACGCTAGCAGGGATGGCATGTAACAAGGCGTGTTCAATCTTCCTGTGATGGCTAAGAACTCAGTTTTTCAGATTTCTCTTGGGTCTCCTTGGCCAAGAGGGGGTCTGTTCGGTGAATTGGGGGGCTTGGGATTTTATTTTTAGTTTAAAGAGGGTGTCAGAAAATCAGGTGACATGCCCTTTTTTAGTTGTCTTGTTCCTAAAGCCTCTAAGTCTCTTAAGGCTGGGGTGGGAGGCAGAGGTATACAGATGCTCTGTCCTCTCTAGACAAGTTAGCATAGCTATCTTCCTAGGATCTTTGCTTCTCCAGTGCTCCTGTGAAAGAATTCTTATTTCATTGTCCCCTCAGATCCATCTGCAGTTTCCAGATCTTCATAACTTCAGGCATGGAGTATACAGGTTTTTTACTACTCTGAGTTGGATTTTTACTCTGCCAGGAGGCACAAAAAAATCTTTCTCAGTGTCTGTTAATTCCTTTGTCAAGGAGTTGTCTCATCACATAGATGGAGAGGTTGAATGATAAAAAATGGCTGAGGTCCCCATTCTAGGCAACTGCTAGTTCTTACTTTTCTCTGCTCTAAATTACATCACAAAGCATCCCACATTGACTTGATAATAAACTGACAATTACAAGCAGCCCACAAAAACAAGTTTCTGCTAATGCGTGAAGATAAGGGTAATAAAGCTTGGTGAGTAGCTTCCATTTTCAAACCTGTTCATGTCCCCTTAAAACTCTCAGACAGGAACTACTATCACAGAACACAGGAAATGTTGATTTGGGACTGATATTTCCATTTTTTTGATTCCTCATTCTTATCAGTACAACATTTTTGAACAAGTATAGGAAAAAAGGGATTTTTCACTTCCTCTCTGAAGGTTTGAGTTTGCTGAAATAAACTGACAATAGATTAACAGAAAAAGCATACAGATTTGTAAATGTGCAAGTGTGTATGGGAGCCATGTGAAATATGCGACTCAAAGAAGGGCTAAATGGGTAGAATTTAAATAGCACCCTCTTCATAGAGCAGAGGGAGATGGGGTAATGGAGGCAATTTGGAGAGGTAGTAAATAATCTTTAGGAGAGTTGATTGAGCCCAAAGAACAGACAATAGTTTGTAAATGGTTCTCTTTGGAAATGGAATGGGACAGGTGTGGTAACATTCCTTAGTCTTCCCTCCTACCACGTGAGTTTAATGCTCTGGTTAATGAAATCTCAGGAAGGGGATTCAAGGCAATTATGTTCCTTCTGAAAGAGCTACAGATAAGGGAACTTCAGAGACAGTGTTCCATCCTGCACTTAGGGGGAGAAATAAAGGTTAGACAGTCATTGGTTCTGAGGCTGCTTCTAAGGCCTTTTAATTTTTTTTAGTTCAAAGTGCTCAGCACACCAAAGCACCATACTTTGGGGTATCGTTTTCTAAGCCTCAACATAGGCATTCACATATATGGATAGTTATTTATAACACATTAACTACATGTAGTCATAATATATTATATATATATTCGAACTTTCACATAAAGTTTGAACATATATGTAACTTCAGAAAGATGAGATAAATATAAAATAATTTTATTTTTTATTAACAATGCAAAAACACCATTGCTTTCACTAGCATAATGTACTAACATTTTTAGTGAGTGCAACATGATTGAATATATTTCATTATTTTGAAAATTTGAATCTATTTTTTAATTTAATTTTTTTCAATATTTGCTTTTAGTGTCTGTCTTATTTAATATAATAATATTGGAAAATACAGATATTTAAATAAAATGATTTATGAAAAATTATTCTTGGCCAAGTGTGGTGGCTCATACCTGTAATCCAAGCACTTCGGGAGGCCGAAGTGGAAGGATCATTTGAGGCCTAGAGTTTGATACCAGCCTGGGCAATACAGTGAGACCCCATCTCCATAAAAAATAATTTAACAAAATTAGCTGGGTGCAGTGGTATGCATCTGTAATCCCAACTACTTGGGAGGCTGAGACAAGAAGATTGCTTGAGCCCACGAGTTTGAGGTTGCAGAGAGCCAAGGTTGCGCCACTCCTGGGTGACTGAGTGAGACCCTATCTCTAAAAGAAAAGGAAAGAAAAATGGTGCCTGATCTTCAATCTCAATTGTGATTATGTACATTTTTCAATGAAATTGAGTTAATTAATTTATCTTTCTCTGAAATCAGTCAATGTTTTTGAAAAGTAATCAGAAGTTGTTGGTTTTAACATTTTTAAGCTTAGGTTCAAAGCCACCTTTCACTGAAGAATAGCATTTAGGAAACACAACTTGGGTGCTAGGTGTTGAGAGATCTTGGAGAGGTTTTTCAGAGGAGAAGAAATTCTGTTTCCAAGTTTCAAACATGAATATAAGAGTTTGAAAGTAGTGATATATTATTTTCAGCAGAAAAAGAACACTTAATGATGAAAGCATTTAAAAAAATAAATAAACTGTCGGGCTGGGTGTGGTGGCTCATGCCTGTAATCCCAGCACTTTCGGAGGCCGAGGTGGGAGAATCACTTGAGCCCAGGAATTTAAGATAATGCTTGGTGAGTAGCTTCTGTTTTTAAACCTCTCAAGTCCATGTCCCCTTAAAATTCTCAGACAGGAACTACTATCACAGAGCACAGGACATGTTGATTTGGGACTGATATTTCAATTTTTTCCCCCTGGGAAACATAGGGAGACTCCATCTCCACAAAAATTTAAAAATTAGCTGGCATGGTGGCGCACACCTGTGATCCCAGCTACTTGGGTGGCTGAGGTAGGAGGACTGATTGAGCCCAGGAGATCAAGGCCTCAGTGAGCCAAGATCATACCACTGTACTCCATCCTGGCGACAGAGTGAGATCCTATCTCAAAAAATAAAAAATAAATAAATAAATAGAAAAATAAAATACTATTGTAAAATAATCAATTACACTGTCACTTGTTGAAATGTCACTTTTTCTTTAAAAAGGTTGATTAAATGTAATTTATATTTTTCAAAAGGCTCTGCTTAATATCCTACAATTGATGATTATTTATTACTACCAAAATTGTTGCCAATTTGGAACATTATCTTCTGTAAAAGTAAAACATGCTACTTATTTTAAACTCTTTGAATGTTATGAATTCAATAAATACACACTAGAATGAATGATTCAATTAGTGAGTAATGGAGATAACTGTTGAGGTTTTGTGTGGTGCAAAATAGTTTCATGGTTCCTCTCCATTATATTACAAAGTTTTGTGATTCATCAATACAGTAGAGGTCTTAAAAAAAAAAAAGCTAACCACATGATGACATCTTGAAAACATCAGGTTTAGCCGGGCATGGTGGCTCACCCTGTAATCCCAGCACTGTGGGAGGCCGAGGTGGGCGGATCTGAGGTCAGGAGGTCGAGACCATCCTGGCCAATGTGGCAAAACCCTGTCTCTACCAAAAGTACAAAAATTAGCCAGGTGTGGTGGTGGGCGCCTGTAATCCCAGCTACTTGGGAGGCTGATGCAGGAGAATTGCTTGAACCCGGGAGGCAGAGGCTGCAGTGAGCCAAGATCATGCCACTGCACTCCAGCCTGGGGGACAGAACGCAACTCTGTCTCAAGAAAAAAAAAAAGCTAACCACATTATGACATCTTGAAAATGTGAGGTTTAAAATAGTTTACTGTAATTATTTTCTTTTGAATTGGGTACTGAATAAATTTTACCTGTAGTGCTTTTTCTGTATGCTTACTTTGGAATCCTGTTAAAATTCCAGGTAAAAAGTCACCGCATTATTGATTACACTTACATAGTTTTCCTCCTAAAACATTTTACTAAAGAAGTAATTACCATTGAGCTATATCTTTTCTTATAGTTTTCTTTATGATTCACAAAAACTATTTATGCATTTCAAGATTAATATACAATATGCGTTAGTCAAGAATATTATAAACATTAACATTTTGATTCAATTTCCACGCTACAAAAAATATTGTAAAATTTATTTCTGCAAAATTCCTTACATACTTTCTATATGCCTTCCAACAATGTTGAAATGCATTTTAGTTTACCACTGCATTATATTTGTGAATTATTCCAGCTCTTTTACTATAGTAGGAAGAACATGTCCTCTCAAACCTGACAATTATGTAATAAGATGGAGAGTGACCAGAACAGTGAAAACTAGATCTCAGTGCCAGTGCTAACTGATCAAATAGTGGCAGCTGGAATTTCTTTGCTAAGGACACATGCAGGATTAGTTGAATGGTGCTCTGCAAGCATGGTTTAATGCCATGATGTTTAATTAAAAATTATGTCAGTGATTAGTATTTTAATAAATAACAGTAGCTGAAATATTAATTTTGGGGGGTTTGTGGTGAGAATGATAAGTAAGGATAATGACTCAATTTTATCATAAAACAAACCATTTGACCGTATTCTGGTTGTAATCTAGTTCCTATTTTTCATTTTATTGTTCATATCAACAACAGAATGACTCTTTTGCGGCATCTACAGCTCTATTTATTTTTTGGGTGTAAGAAATAATGGTGGAAATAGTCACCATGTGTCAGGAGCAAGTTTGGGGAACAGCATACTCTCCAAATTTACCATACAGCTATGCGACATAACAAAATATTAAACCCCAAATCCTTTGTTGTCTCATTATTTTTCTTTCTTTGTATATCCCAGAGGTGTTCAAGTTCAAATGGACTGACTTTCACAACAGACCCATGAGAAACATGTCTGACAAATATATGCTTCTTTTTACCCATTCATTCAATAGGTATTAAAGGGAGCCTAGTCTGTGTCAGCTACCATCTGGCAGTATGTACCATAGTAGTGAGCAAAATCAGTATGATCTCATGGAACTTATCATCAAAGGAAAGGTAAGGCAAATGACCACTAGGAAAGCACACATGAAAGAAATGAAAATTGTGATATGTGTTATAAAGAAAACATAAAGAAAGCATAAAATGCCACATAAATGATCACCGTTTTAGCACTAGTGCCTTATATTTCATGAATATATTGCTTGTTCTTCGTCAAATGAGTGACAAAGTTCTCTCTTAAAGTTGTTAATGCTATCCAACTTACATAACTGTAGGAAAGAGGTTCCAGAAGAGTGTTCTAGTAAATTTCTAACAAACATGGTCTGGAAAAAGCATAAAATTTAACTTTGAAATCATATTTATGATTGTATTGCAAGATCTGCATTGTCGTTGATTTTTATCTTTACCCTCTTTATATGGCTGGGACAGTAATTCTCAAGAGGTATTTCCTATTGTCAAGTTATATTTTGCTTAAATGACATAAAAATGTATATAAATTTTTAAATGCATATATAATGCATATGGAGTAATGAAAATACTGAGAAGTAAATCCATAGGGCTAATGTTTCTCTTGGGGTAGAATTCATCATCATTAAATTGTACCTTGATAATTCTTTGCCTCCTGGGAATAATGAAGTACAATTAGTTTTCATTTGTTATTTTTTTAAAAAATAAAATAACTTACTCAAATTCAATTCCGTCCTTCATGTACAGCTAACTCAGTGTAAATTAGCTATTGAAGGTTTTAGAAAACCTTGATTCATTGTAGTCAATGAAGTCTCCTATTGATGCCATGTTTGAATGGGAAATTTATGTCATCTACCTTAGTTGAAATAAAGAATGAAAGAAATCATTATACTTTTGTATACACGGTGCCTCTTCCACCTTTTACTTATTTTTGGGTTTTAGCTATGATAGAATACCTTGGAAATGATGGAATAAGTGGAGTGGTATAAATATAGTGGAAAATGAACTTGTCAAACTTCAAAAGGATATAGATTACTACAGATAGAAGAATATAGATTACTATAGACAATACTATTATAACTGGGAAACATAAATTAGACCTTCTCAACTGGCACTTTAGATCAATAAACCATTTTAAAAGCTTTCAAAGCTTTAACTCTTGGAAGCTTTTAAAATGCTGTGAATCTGAAAATGTATGTTTTACAATGACCTGAGAGCATCAGTGCAGATTTAGAAGAATGATTCTTAAAGATAGATGATGTCTTAAAATTGTGTGACAATGCTATATAAGCACATTGTCATGTGCTTTTTAAAGCCATTGATATAAAATACTGGTCTGTCTTGGTAGGTTGTTTCAAATAACGAAACACAATAGGCAAGAGAAATTTTGCACTGAACCTAAGAATTTGTCAGATTCTGAGATGGGTTAGAATAACTAATTTGTTATCAGAAATGCAGGTAAAAAATTAAGTCCTTGATATCTTTTTAACATGGACAAAAGAGAAGCTACAAAATGATTTTTAATTGGCATTTACAGTCAGACAGCTGGATATATGAAATCTTATTTGAGGGCCTGAGACTTTACATTCTCAGTGTGATTGGTTGCACTGGAAGTTGAACAAACTGAGGTTTTTACTGTACCCCAAATTTCAAGACTATTTAAACAGAAGTAGTCCAAATGTCACATATTTTCAATAAATTTGAACAAAAATTCCTGGTAGATATTAAATCATGCTTTCAAGAGGGATTTGAGGCGTTGGGACTATGCATGATATGAAGCAGCCTCAAATTTTACACAGTGTGATTGAGACTGATGGAAGCTACAAACTCGCCTTCTCTTCCATTTGCTTAAAACCTCATTGCCCAATAGTTTTGTCCCAAAGCTCCAAACTTGGTCCTCTCATTGCCAGGATTTCCTGATGCACGGTTTCTGTCTCAGCTGTCCACTGGCTCTCAGTGGATTTTGTGCACCTATATAACACATTTTTGGGGACTGATAAAAGTTTATGATATTTTCCCTGTATTACCTCCCTTATTTACTCCTGTGAGCTGGAGTTCTTTTCTCTCTTCATGCATGGCTCTTTGAGAACCTTGGGTTGATCTCTGTCTCTGAGCATCTCCCCTCAGATCCCCCTTGCCTTGCAATCCACCTGGAGAGTCCTCCTCTGTTCTAACCATTTTCCTGCACCTTCAGATGGAATTTAAAGATTACTTTATCATCTTATCTGCTCTCTTGCATTTTAAATTAAGTATTGATCTTGGAATTTTCTCATATTATTAATGACTTTGCAAATTTCTGACAGTTAGGTCATAGGCAAATGATGGATTCTGAAACTTCCCATTGTTGTTGCTTGACAGTTACATTACCAGATGTTTTTTCTACTTACTCTGTTTCTATTCACCTACATGAAGGAAAAGTTTGAAGGCAAGGCTGAGCTAATAATTGTTGAAAGACAGCCAGTTTTTTCCCAAATGGTAGTGAATTTGGGAATTTACCAACATCCCTTTTTTCTGACCCTCAGTCACATGAGTTGTTAGCACATAAGGTTGAATCTAGTTTTCAAAAGTAGATTCACATCAACGAAACTCCTGACACTGATGTCAGAAAGCCAGAAGTCAGATGCATTAACTTGAGAAGCAGAGTCATTCTGGTGAATGGGAATTTTCATGTTGGCATGACTGACTTACTCTTTTTCAAAGGACTGAAACCAAATCATGATTTAAAATTTTCCTGGGGATAAGCAAGAGATAGAGTTGTATGATGAAGTTTTAGATGGATGAGGCTAAGACAGCTCCATTCACCTATCCCCAGAGAGACTCCTTTGACTATGTAGGTTGACTATGATGTTTGTGTCAGTCAGTGTTCTCATGTAAGCAGAAAAATAACTAATTGAAAGGCTGTTAGCTGACTCATGGGATCATGAGAAGTTTGGGGGAGCCAGGAGCAGAAAGTGAAGAGGAATAACGCGAGGCTGTGTCAGAGCTGTGCTAGGGAACGTGGTGAACAGAATATTGCTTCCTGTAGCGAAAGTTGGCCTGGGTCTCTAGAGCTACCAGTGCACTGCCCACAGTGTGGTAACTAAAAACTAGATGGGATGTAGCAGCTATGTAGCCTCTGCTTCTCAGCATCCTTAACTCTGAATTCCAGGTCTGATGAGTATCAAATTGGCTTGGCCTTCTACGAAGACACATATTATGTAGCTATCCAATCATGGAAAAAGATAAATATTAAGTAGCCAAAAAAAAAATGTGTCAAATGGGTTGTGCTGCTACTATTGATGGCACATGTGAATGAGTTCAGATCTTGCTGCCGCCACCCTGATGAAGTGCTTTTCCCAGCATTCTCCATTAGACTGTTGTGGCAAGAAGACTGGAAACACCTCAGTTCCTAGATCTCATAAACAACTTCAGCACAGTCTCAGGATACAAAATCAATGTATAAAAATTAGTAGTATTTCTATATACCAACAGCATCCAAATTGAGACCCAATCCAGAATGCAATCCCATTTACAATAGCCACGAAAAGAATAAAATACCGAGGAATACAGCTAACCACGAAGGTGAAAGATCTCTACAAGGAGAATTACAAAACGCTTCTGAAAGAAATCAGAGACAACACCAACAAATGGAATAACATTCCATGCTTATGGATAGGAAGAATCAATATTGTTAAAATACTACCTAAAACAATGTACAGATTTAATGCTTTTCCTATCAAACTAACCAGAAAATTTATCACAGAATTAGAAAAAGCTATTTTAAAATTCATATGTAATCAAAAGAGAGCCCAAATAGCCAAAGCAATCCTAAGCAAAAAGAACAAAGCCAGAGGCATCACAGTACCTGATTTCAAACTATACCACAAGTCTACAGTAACCAAAACAGCATGGTACTTGTAATAAAACAGACACATTAGACCAATGGAACAGAATAGAGAGCCCATAAATAAAGCCACACACCTACAATCATCTCATCATTGATAAAGTTCACAATAACAAGCAATGGGGAAAAGATTCACTCAATAAATCGAGCTGGGATAATTGGCTAGCCTTATGTAGAAGATTGAAACTGGTCTTCTTCCTTTCACCATATACAAAAAGCAACTCAAGATAGATTAAAGACTTAAATGTAAAACCTGAAACTATAAAAACTCTAGGAGAAAACCTAAGAAATACCATTTTGGACATAAGTTCTGACAAATATTTCATAATGAAGAACCAAAAGGCAATTATAACAAAAACAATTGACAAATGGGACCTAATTAAAGAATTTCTGCACAGCAAAAGAAACTATCAACACGGTAAACATAAACAGATAACCTACAGAATGGGAAAAATTTTTTGAAAATCATGCATCTGACAAAGATCTAATATCCAGAATCTATAAGGAACTTAAACAAATCAACAAGCAAAAAACAACCCTATTAAAAATGGGCAAAAGACACAAACAGACACTTCTCAAAAGAAGACATACATGCTGCCAATAAGCATCTAAAAAATGTTCAACATTACTAATCATTAGAGAAATGCAAATCCAAATCACAATGGGATATCATCTCACATCAGTCAGAAGGGCCGTTATTAAAAAGTCAAAAAATAACAGATGCTGGCAAGGTTGCAGAGAAAAGGGAATGCTTACACACTGCTAGGGGAATGTAAACTCATTCAGCCACTGTGGAAAACAGTTTGGAGATTTCTCAAAGAACTTAAAACAGAATTATCATTTGACCCAACAATCCTATTATTGGGTATATACCCAAAAGACTAGAAATCATTCTACCATAAAGATATATGCATGTGTGTGTTATTGCAGCACTATTCACGGTAGCAGAGACATGGAATTAACTGAAATGCCCATCAACAGTGGACTGGATAAAGAAAATATGGTATATACACACCATGGAATATTACACAGCCATGAAAAGGAATGTGGTCATGTCTTTTGTAGTAACATGGATGCAGCTGGAGGCCATTATTCTAAGCAAACTAATGCAGGGACTGAAAATCAAATACCACATGTTGTCATGCAGTAGACTAAGGCCTACTTCAGGGTGGAGGGTGGTAGGAGAATGAGTATAGAAAAACTACGTATCGGGTACTATGATTATTACCTGGGTGATGAAATAATCTGCACACCAAATCTTCAAGACACACAATTTACCAATGTAACAAACCTGCACATATACCCCTGAACTTAAAATAAAGGTTTGAAGAAAAAAAAGTGACAAATGTTCATTAGAACTCTTTATTGTCAAAAGAGTTCTACCAGACACTGGCAGGTCAGGAACTGGTGACATTTGCTTTTGTGATCCCAGTAGTATAGACATCAAAGTCAGACAGGCCTATAGTCGGGCTCCAAATCTATCTCTGTCTCACAGTGTCAGAAAAATAAAGAAAAGTGCTTAGTACACTGCTTGGCATAGAGCAATAGGGCAAGTGCCCGATCGGTAGAAGTTATTACTGTACTCTTTGGGTCTGCCCAACACTGCGGCTCATTCCCACACCCTCTCTTTGCATTGGTTCAGTCCTAGACGTCAAATAGATGATTGTGAGTGTTCTGCTGTCAGTCTTTATGTGGTGGTTCATACTTTATCTGTAAGGGACAATGCGGTTTTCCTCATTTCTGAATCCTAGAAAAAGCTCAAGTTAGTGCTCACTAACAACATTTATAAGAGTTGTTATATAAAGCATAAATGAAATTACATTTGAGAAAACGCCTGGTATATTTTATAGCACACATTAGGAATTCAATAGGTGTATACCTTTCTTCTCCTTTTTTGTTTGAACTTTCTTTTCAGCTTTTGTAACCGATTGTTATAAAATGTTAATTAATTTGTAATTTTGTTTGGTATCACAAATACTATGCTTAGTCACTTATACTTGGTCAAATTCTATGACCCAGGCACTGTGATGGGGATGCAGGCAGAGCAACAAATGAGAGGCTTACACTATTATACCAACGCAGGCTTTTAGTTGTAATGATGTTTACCAACCAACTTTAGAGTAAAAAGCTGATTTTCTCCCTCATTCTTAAATGTAAGCAGCTCTTTCCTAACAGGGTATTATAGCAAAACATCTGCAATTTCAAAAATAAAGCAAATACAATTTATTAAGCATCTATTCTATGCTAAAACCATTATAGGAGCTTTCATATAAATTATCTAATTTGATTCTCAAAACAGCTCTGTAAGATCAGCGTTATGTATTGCGGCCTCTGTAATTTTTTTAAAAAAGAGGATAATTTTATTTCATTTTAAGCCTAGTTAAAGCAAAAGACCATTGTCTAGTTCATTGTATGTGTGTATTTTTTTTAAACTAACATATAAGTTTATCTAAGCATGGCACCTAAAACTCTAAGGTTTACCAAAGAGGAAAAGGAGAGCTCATACCCCATCTGTATTTAAACTGAAAGAAGTGTCACATTTGTCATTTTTCAGTGTGGCATCTATTGATCCTCAGGCAGGCAATATGACACAGCAGTTGTGAACATACACATTGAAGCCAGACTGCCCGGGTTCAAATACTAGTTCCATTATTTTTTATTTTTATTTTTTTGAGACAGAGTTTTGCTCTTGTTGCCCAGGCTGGAGTGCAGAGGTGCCATCTCAGCTCACTGCAACCTCTGAATTCTGGTTTCAAGGAATTCTCCTGCATCAGCCTCCAGAGTAGCTGGGATTACAGGTGCCTGCCACCACGCCCAGCTAATTTTTGTATTTTTAGTAGAGACGGGGTTTCACCATGTTGGCCAGGCTGGTCTCAAACTCCTGACCTCGTGATCTGCTCGCTTCAGCTTCCCAAAGTGCTGGGATTACAGGCGTGAGCCACTGTGCCCGGCCTAGTTCCATTATTTATTAGCTGTGTGACCTTGGTAAAGTCACTTCACCTTTCTGTACCTTAGTTTCCTCATCATTAAAATGGGGGAGAACAATAATAACTATCTGATAAGATGGGTGGATTAAATGTTTTTAATCAATTAATTTAATTAAAAGCACAGATTAAATGAATAGAGACCAAACGGAACCTTGACAAAGCTCAGCCATTAAGCTAGGAGATGAAAAACAGGCTTACAAATAGACCTGCGCTAAACCAGAAGTCTCTTGTCTTGACTTGTTTCTTAGTTTTGTTTAGATTGTTCATCTCCTCAGGCTGTTAAGATCTCATGTGTCCTGAAAGTGCCCTCCACTTGGGGAATATGTCCTTCTTCTCCAAACTAGGACAATGAAAGACCTGGATGAAGAAGGCTACCCTTGTGATAGTTTTAAGAGATGGGGGAAAAATTAAAAATTAAAAAATTTAATGGCAGGTGTGGTGGTTCACACCTGTAATCCCAGCACTTTGGGAGGCTTAGGCAGGAGGATTTCTTGAGCCCAGGAATTCAAGATCAGCCTGCACAACATAGGAAACCCTGTCTCTATGAAAAATAAAAAAAATTAGCCAGGCATGGTGGCACACACCTGTAGTCCCAGCTACTCGGGAGGCTGAGGTGGGAGGATCACTTCAGTCCGGGAGATTGAGGCTGCAGTGAGCTATGATTGTACCACTGCACTCCAGCCTGGGTGACAGAGTGACACCCTTTTTTTTTTTTAATTAAAAAAAAAAAAGAAAGCTACCTATATTCTGCTAAGGAGAACATTCTGGTGTTTTTACTTACAGTAAATGCAAGCAGCCATCAGGATGATCTGACTTTCAAAACTTCTGATGTTCTCTAAGCTGCATTAAGAGAAGGTAAAACACCTAAACAAGAGAGATGATAGTTTTATTAAGTCTTTTTCATTTCTTTTCCTTTTTTCTTTTCTTTTTTCTTTTTTTTTGAGACAGGGTCTCACTTTGTTGCCCAGGCCAGAGTGCAGTGTTATGATCTTGGCTCACCGAAGCCTCAACCTCCTGGGCTCAAGTGATTCTCCCACCTCAGCCTCCCAAGTAGCTGGGACCACAGGCATGCACCACCATGCCCAACTAATTTTGGTATTTTTTGTAGAGACAAGGTTTTTCCCTATTGTACAGGTTGGTCTTGAACTCTTGAGCTGAAGTGATCCTCCTGTCTTGGTCTCCCAAAGTGTTGGGATTACAGATGTGAGCCGCCACACCCAGATTGAGCATTTTTCGAAGTGCAGTTCTCAGGACATGTTCATAAACATGCAGATTACTGCACTCCACACCATGTACCTATTGCTTCAGAAACTCTAGAAAGATTTTTATAATTATTTGCAATTTTAACAAGCTCCAGAGTAATCTTTATGCACTTTGCAACTTTAAGTTTGAAAACAACTATCTACCTTTGGTAGGACAAACCAAATGTATATTATTAAAATTTTTCTGATTGATATACTTCACTAAAAACATAGACAATTAGAAAGGAAATGTCTACAACTAGAATAGTAAACAACTTGAAATCAAGTCATATGAAGGCTACTTAAGGAATTACGGTTGCTTAGTAGTTATGATGAACTAGTAATTTTTGCATGATTTGTTAATCATGCAATTACCAGGCACTGGGATAACCTCATTAAATGGTCATTTTCTTTAATCTTCAGAAAAAGTAAATGAAGTAGGTACTATGATTTTGCTTGTTTTAAAGATGAGAAAATGGCCAGTTAATGAGGGAGGATGTAGCAAATGAAAACAATGTTTTCAAGTCAGAGACTGTATTTTATATTTTCTCAACATCTTCTATAGCATCTTTTACAGATAGGTGCTCAATAAGTACTTCTTAGATTAAAAAATAAATACATCTCAAAGCTGTAAGTTTATTTGTGTTGGCTTTTTATGGGGGTAGGGAGAGGTGGGAAAATTGTGAAAAAGACAAAAATAGCAATATTTATTTTAAAGCCCCCCAAAATTTGTGTTTAAGAAAGGTATTTAGACCTTTCTCCTAAATGGTTATATAGAGGCAATATATTTCTCCTTAAGAAGACAGATACATGCTATATTAGAAACAACATGATATATTAAAGGCAGACCTATGAGGGCTTGAATCATAGATCCTCTGTGTACTGACTTTGGGAAAATTACTTAAACACTTGGCTTCAGCAATGTTATCTGTAAAATGGAGAAAGTGAAAAGCCTAACTGTCCCTTAGAACTAATATTTACAGCTTTTTGAATAAACATAGAAAATGACCCTCCCTGTTCTTTTTAAATTCTTTTTAGAGACAGGGTCTTGCTGTGTTGCCCAGGCTTGATCATAGGTCGCTGCAGGCTTGAACTCCTGGGCTCAAGGACCTCCTTGGTCTTATAACTTTAAAGTTACATTTGCCTTATCTAAGTTCTGTTTTCAGGAAACTACCCCACCCAGTAAGGAAGTGAAACTCATCAGATCACCTCATCCAGACAATGAGATGCCAGACCCCTCATCAGTCACAATTTCTTCCTTAACCCCACCCCCAATTCCTTCCCACATGTAGCTACATTCCTTTTGCACTATCTAAGCCCCCAATTTTAGTAGGTTGGGGAAGACGGATTTTATGTTTGGCTTCCATCTCCCTGGCTGATGTCAGCTAAATAAAAAGCCTTCTTCCTTGGCAATCCTTGTTGTCTTGGTAATTGGCTTTCTGTGCTTTGAACGATGGGACCTAGACCACCTGCCTCAGCTTCCCAAAGTGCTGGGATTGCAGGCATGAGCCACCATGCCCAGCTAGTAGAGAAGCTCTTCTAAAAGAACAAGGATAAAGTGGAATAAAATCTGGTATGACTTGGTGTGCCAGTTCTTTTGAACAATTAGAGTGTTAAAGATGCCTGTGCCACTGTCATGATTAAGAGAGGTCAAATCATATTTAATATTAAAAACGTACCCTAAATCTGTGAGGACCTTGTCATTGATTGTACCTTGGCTGTCTAGATATGAATAGTTCTACTGGGATAAAGACAAATGTCAGGTTATCTGCATTTGAAACAGACAGATCACATAGTCAATAAGAAATACTTTCTAGTAGAATATATAAAAAATGCTAATTTCAAAAATCTAGTAATGAGCTTTAACAGACTGGAAAAATTTTTAAAAATTGACTTAGCTCAATCTAAAAGGAAGGAAGAAATATTAGGATTATTTACAAAAGAGATAATAAAGCAAACAGAAAAGTCAGACTGCAGACCAATACATTTCTCCAGAAGTTGTATTAGTTTTTGTTTACTTCTTATTTCTAATCAATATTGCAGAGACCAATGGAAGTGTAAAATGCAACAAAAAGAGAAAAAAATAGAAAGTGGAGACAAAAAGGGAGAGAGATGATTTATTGCAAAATTTAAGGCTTTGAAGGAACATCCAGAGAAGTAACAGTTTAAATTCTTGAAGGAGAAAAAGAAAAAAGAATTAGTAGAAACATCTCAGCAGATTTGTGAGATCTGGAAAAAAAGAAATTTATATCTGGAATATAAAATTTCTGTGAGCCTAAAGTATTTTTTCTCATCCAAGTCACCTTACATAAGATATTATTTAAATGGCTACCACAAAGGACTACATAAAAGACAAAGAAGGATTAAGCTTTCCTTGGCCATAACTTGACCTGAATTTCAATTATCATACAAAATCTTTATCTCAAAGGAAGAATGAAAAAAAAGTAATTAATTGATGTTGTAAAGGTACTATATAAAAAGGATATCAACTCATAAGCCTTGAAAATGAATCTTGTGGGTTTCTCATGTACCACTTTGGAGTTCAAAATCTGATTTCCTCTGAAAATCAAAATAATTTAATTTGTTTTTATTAATCTTTACTCTCAGAAAAATGGAATGGTCCTTAAAGGGAGAATTATGAAAATTAAACTTGTATACACAATGGAGAGATTTATGAATAAATAACTTTATTAAAATAAGGCACAAATACAGAATAAATAACTTCTTGGATTGATGCGATTAGCTCCAATGCAGATATAGTGACAATTGGCAAGATTTTTGATACTGTGTATTTACAATTTTGATTCAATTTATAAGTCTTTTATCCATGGAAATGGATAACTTTGCTTCAAAACAAAGTTTTTCAAGCAAAGTTCATAATGTACTTTTATGAAGCTGAGAATGGAATAAATTAGAGGGTAATAGTACAGAGTTTAGGATTACTAAATTCTTGAGATCTATAGCATTCACATATCTAAAAGGCACAGTATATTTTACATGAAAAATACTTTGTACATGTTTTCCTGAATATAAACTTGTATAATGAAGATAATGAATTTAGATTACAGATATTGTTCCACCTCAATGTTAGGACAAAAAATAAATTAGTCTATAAATGTTGTTATGCTTCAATTTTAGGGCAAAATGTTAAGCATATTAGGCAAAATTAAATGAAAAGTTTAAAGATAACTTTGGTCATCTAAAACAGACTAGCAATCTATGGGTTAAAACCCATCTGCTAATTGTTTTTGTAAATAAAGTTTTACTGGAATACAGCCATGCTCATTTATTTACATATTTTCTGTGGTTGCTTTCATGATATGGTGGCAGAGCTGAGTAGTCAGAGCAGAGACTGTATGGCCTGCAAAGCAGAAAACATTTTCTCTATCCTATTTATATTCACCAGCTGCTGATCTACAAGATCCTTGGAAACAATTTTTATTTTACAATAATTCTTAAACTATGAAAACCTCAAAACTCAAGATTAATGCCAATCATCTTCTTCATACTCTTTTATCCTATGCCTGTTATTCAATTTGTACATTATATGGAAAACTTTCTCCAAGAAAACTATTTGATTGATTCAAAAGTTAAACATTTTGTAAAAAACTGGAGACAAGAAAAAACTAGCAGATTGTTTGAAGACTCTTAATCTGGACCATCTTCCAAGAGTCCATAACTTATCTAATATGCAAAATATTATCCAATTTGTATGTCTCAGCATAATTTTTGTGTGAAGGTCTACAGCTTTCTGAGAACATAATGATAAAAGCTTAAATGATTTTTCCAGTAGTTCATGACTCACAAAATTTAAGAATAATTGACCTAGACAAATCTTAATCTTTAAAGATGAGGATTACGAGGCCAAGAAGGTTAAACAGCTTTTTTCCCAAGCAATATAACTAGAAGTAAAAGGCAGAACTTCTTGCTCCCAGTTAAGAGGTTGCATTCCTGTTGGTTGCCAATTTTCCAAAACAAAAGTGTGATACACAAATCGGAAAAGTTAAATATATATGGAGTTAAATATTCTAGGCAATTGTACATTGGAGGAGGAGAGATTGGGGTACTGGGCCTGGATTCCCTTCAAGTTCCTGGTGGTAAGTGTGGCATTAACCAAGCACCACATGCATAGTTTGGTGTGAAGCAAGTTGAGTTTATTGGCCTAAAGCTACTGCCAAATGTAAAATTCAAAGAGACAGATAGAAGAGTCAATTGACCCCAATTGACTCTTTCTAACTCTCTACAGCCTTTCTAACATCTCAAAACCAGAGCTATTATGGCCTGAATTTTGCTCATTGTTTTCCCATTCTTACTGTGTGCTATCTCCTCTTGTGTTTTTGAGTGGGGGAAAACAAAGGAAAAGGGCAAACATTAATACCTCTTTACTTAACTTGCTGAAGTTATAATTGTCTTATTGGTTGGCTGTTATTACTTTTACATTCCTTGAACATGGACATCATACTGAGGATCACATTAATGAAAAGTGCACTTTTGTATAGCTCCCCTAGGTGTTGGTGTTTGCATGTAAGATTTGCTTGCCACTTCTACCTGACCCGCTGATGACATTCATAAGCATCCTTCTGCTGGAATTGTTTCTTTCCTTCCTGTGATGCTTAATGTTATGTGTCATTTTTTACTGAGCCATAGGGTACCAAGACATTTGGGCAAAGGTCATACTGGGTGCTTCCATAAGGGAGTTTTTGGATGAGATTAGCACTTAAATTGGTAGACTGAATAAAGCGGATTGCCCTACCTAATGGAGCGGGGGGCCTCAATCAATCAGTTGAAAGCCTGAACACAACAAAAAAGCTTACTCTCCTCTGAGTAAGAATTCTTTCTGCCTGACTTCTCTTGAACTGGAACATCAGACTTTTCCTGCCTTCAATCTTGAACTGTAACATTGACCCTTCCTGGGTGTTGAGCATGCTGGTCTTCAGAATGGAACTACGCTATCAGCTCTCCAGGTCCACAGCTTGCTAACTCACCCTGCAGAGCTTGGGACTGGTCAACCCCACAATCACATAAGCCAATTCCTTATAATGAATTCCTATCATCTATCTATCTATCTATCTATCTATCTATCTATCTATCTATCTATCTATTGTCTTCACACATCCTTTTGATTCTGTTTCTCTGGAGAAAGCTGAGTAATATACATCCTATGCTGTGGCAGCTTTATCAGAACTGTAACTCCCAATCTCATCTACCATCCATGACCAGATCCAGGTATCTGTGCAAGTGCATTCATCTTTTACACCTCTCAGATACTGGGACAAATCATCTACCTTTGTTTAGACATCTTCATATATTTGCTAGGGATATTCCTAGAATAGGACTGACACTGTACTGGCACTAAGGATCTAAACTGAGCAACCACTGATTGAACCATAAAGTCCTCTGACCCAGCGGCAAATTATAGGAAGTAAGGATTAAAGATGAAATCACATGCTTCCCTGGCAGTGCAGAAGACCATATGCATGTCCATTGCTGCACCCTCTCAAGAGTGCTGGAGCAGGGAAAGCCAAGCTACCGGTTCCTGGTTGAACATAAGGCAAAAATATAAACTTCATGACCTATCATAGCAGCTTCTAAGCCATACACCTGATATAGTTTGGATGCGTGTCCCAGCCCAAATCTCATATTGAAATGTTACCCTCAATGTTGGAGGTGGGACCTGATGGGAGGCATGATGGTTAATAGTGAGTGTCAACTTGATTGGATTGAGGGATACAAAGTATTAATCCTGGGTGTGTCTGTGTAGGTATTGCCAAGACATTAACGTTTGAGTCAGTGGGCTGGGAAAGGCAGATCCACCCTTAATCTGGTGGGCACAATATGATCAGCTTCCATCACATATAAAGCAGGCAGAAAAACATGAAAAGGAGAGAGAGGCCTAGCCTCCCAGCCTACATCTTTCTCCTGTGCTGGATGCTTCCTGTCCTTGAACATCAGATTCCAAGTTCTTCAGTTCTGGGACTTGGACTGGCTCTCCTTGCTCCTCAGCCTACAGATAGCCTATTGTGGGACCTTGTGATTATGTGAATTAATACTTAATAAATTCCCCTTTATATATATCCTATTCTTTCTGTCCCTCTAAAAGAACTCTGACTAATACAGGAGGTGAAAATTATTTCATGTTTATGGACTGGAAGAATTAATATTGTTAAAATATCCATACTACCCCAAACAATCTACAGATTCAATGCAATCCCTGTTAAAATACCAATGACATTCTTCACAGAAATACAAAAAAATCTCTAAAATTTATATGTAACCTCAAAAGATGCAGGATAGCCAAAGCTATCCTAAGCAAAAAGAACAAAACTGAATGAATTACATTACCTGACTTTAAATTATATTGCAGAGGTATAGTAACCAAAACAGGATGGTGCTTGATTAAAGTAGACACATAGAACAATGGAATAGAATAGAGAACCCAGAAACAAATCTACACACCTACAGTGAACTCATTTTTGACAAAGGTGCCAAGAACATACACTGGGAAAAAGACAGTCTTTTCTATAAATAGTCCTGGGAAAACTGGACATCCATATGCAGAATAATGAAACTAGACCCCTATCTCTCACCATATAAAAAATAAAATAAAAATGGATGAAAGACTGAAATCTAACACTTCACACTATGAAACTACTACAAGAAAACACTGGGGAAAATCTCCAGGACATTAGTCTGTGCAAAAATTTCTTGAGTAATACCCCAAAGCAAAAATGAAGAAATGGTATCACATCAAGTTAAAAAGCTTCTGCAGAGAAAAGAATGCAATCAACAAAATAAAGAGACAACCCACAGAATGGGAGAATATTTGCAAACTACCCATCTGACAAGGGATTAATAACCAGACTATATAAGGGGCTCAAACAACTCTATAGGAAAAAAAAAGCAAACTAATAATGTTTTCAAAATACAGGCAAAAGATCTGAATAGACATTTCTCAAAGGAAGACATATACATGGAAAACAGGCATATGAAAAGGTGTTCAACATCATTGGTCACCAGAGAAATGCAAATAAAAACTACAGTTAGATATTATCTCACCCCAGTTAAAATGGCTTTTATCCAAAAGACAGGCAATAACAAATGCTGGCAAGGATATGGAGAAAAGGGAACCTTTGTACACTGTTGGTGGGAATGCAAATTAGTACAAGCACTATGGAGGACAGTTTGGAGGTTCCTCAAAAAAACTAAAAGCTAAGCCACCATATGATCCAGCAATCCCACTGATGGGTATATAGACACAAGAAAGTAAATCAGTATATTGAAGATATATCTGCACTCCTTTGTTTATTGCAGCACTGTTTACAATAGCTAAGATTTGGAAGCAATCTAAGAGTCCAGCAACAGGTTAATGGATAAAGAAAATGTGACATATATACACAATGGAGTACTATTCAGCCATAAAAAGTAATGAGATCCAGTCATTTTCAACAACATGATAGACCTGGAGATCATTATGCTAAGTGAAATAAGCCAGGCACAGAAAGAAGACAAACACTGCATGTTCTCACTCATTTGTGGCATCTAAAAATTAAAACAACTGTACTCATGGACATGGAGAGTAGAAGGATGGTTACCAGAGGCTGGGAAGGGTAGTCATGGCTGCAGGGGAGGTAGAGATAGTTAATGGGTACAAAAAAATAGAATGAATGAATAAGACCTACTATTTGATAGCACAACAGGGTAATTATAGTTAACAATAGTACATTTTAAAATAACTTAAAGAATGTAATTTGATTGTAACTCAAAGGATAAATGCTTGGGGGAATGGATACCCCATTCTCTATGATGTGTTTATTTCACAATGTATGCCTGTATCAAAACATTTCATGTACCCGATAAATGTATACACCTACTACGTACCCACAAAAATTAAAAATTAAAAAAAAACCTCTTTAGCAAATGAATTCACAAGTGAATAATAACATCAGCTTCCCAGGATGGAGGAATCAATTCTACAGATGTTGCATTATATATAATGTCCCATTTTCAACAAAATATTATCAGATATGCAAATAAAAAGGAAGTGTGATGCATAAAAAAAGGAGAGAAAAACATCATGCAATAGAAGCTGCTTTTTGAAGGGCCCAAGATGTTGGACTTAGCAGGCAAACATTTCAAAACAGCCATTGTACATTTACTCAGAGAACTAGAGGATACTAAGTCTACAGAACTAAAGGAAACATGTTGGCAATGACTAATCAAATAGAGAATATCAACAAAAAGAGATAAAAAAGAACCAAATGAAAATTCTGGAGTTTAGATGTATAATAAACAAGTTAAATGGGCAGAAGATGAAATAAGTGAGCATGAAAATGAATCAACAGAGATTTGGCAGTCTGAACAACAGAGAAAAAACAATGAAGAAAAATAAACTGAGCCTCAGACAAATGTGGGACATAATTAAGTGTACCAATAAAAGCATACTGAGAAAACTAGAAGAAGAAGAAAGAAAAAAAGAGAGGCAAGGCAGAAAAATCATTTGAAGAAATCATAGCTGGAAACATCTCCAAATTGATGAAAAACGTTTGCAAATACAGGAAGCTCAGTGAACTCCAAATATGATACACAGAAAGAGATTAACACCAAGACACATCACAATTAATATGTTGATGGCAAGGCAAAGAGAAAAATCTTGAAACCTGCAAGAAAAAGACTCACCATTTTCAAGGGAATTCCAATAAGATTGACTACTGACTTTTCATCAGAAACAACGAAGGCCAGAGACAGTTGGATAACATATTCATAGGGCTGAAAGTCAACCAAGGATATCTATAACCAGCAATATTATCTTTCAAAACTGAAGACAAAATAAAGACATTATCAATAAAACAAGCAAATAAACAAAAACTCAGATAATTTGTTGCTAGCTGACCTACCTTACAAGTACAGAACTAGATTATGTAAAAATATAACTGTTAAGGAAAAAAATTACCCTATGTTCTTAACCACTGCTTTCCCTACTCATTCCAGGAAACAAATACCAGTCTCTGAAAGTGAGGTGTCATTCACAGTGCCAGTGATGGAGAGAGTGAATGCTCATGCATAGATTAAGGAAGTAGACTTAACTAAAGAGGAGGGCAAGCGAGGGAAATTCCTGAAGTTGTTAAGAACGCAGAAAGCTTTGTAGTGTTCAAGTAGAGGATGCAAGTGCCCTACTCTCTTCTAGTGTCCTGGGGATAAGGTAGAACTCAAATAGAAATGAGCCTAGGAAGACTGAAAGCCAGGCATGGAGTATGTACCCTCTGAATAAATTCCTATGTCCATATTTGGCCTGCAAAAAGCAATGCTAATGACCTTGACCTTGCTGGTTAGATAATTATCAATTTAGTTACCAACAGACCAATGTGATCTTAAATTCAGAGGGTTCTTTCTGAAATGTTCCAGATTGTCTAAAATCCTGAGACTCTTTGTTGGACCTGTAGTTGGATATGGCTACCGAGTATATTCCTCCGCTCCCTGCTCTACATCCAAAACCATGATGATGATGATTATTTTTTTTTGAGATGGAGTCTCACTCTGCCACCCAGGCTGGAGTGTGGTGGCATGATCTTGGCTCACTGCAACCATCGCCTCTCAGGTTCAAGTGATTCTCCTGCCTCAGCCACTACACCTGGCTAATTTTTTGTATTTTTATTAGAGATGGGGCTTTGCCATATTGGCCAGGCTGGTCTTGAACTGCTGACCTCAAATGATCCACCTACCTTGGCCTCTCAAAGTGCTGGGATTACAGGCATGAGTCACTGTGCCCAGTCCCAAGGTTGAACTTTTGCTGGCTAGGCAGACGAAGCTCAAAGAGGATTCGTCTGATTAATATAAATAAAGAAATATGATTTTTAAAAACTCCAAATATTAAAGAGCAATGTTCACTTCTCCTTCAGGCAGACAACAGATTGATTTTCCGCCTAGTTACAAAAATGATTTATGACAATATCCAGAGGTACATAAAGCATAAGAACATATAATTTAAAATGCTAAAATAAATACCAAATTATAGAGTTTATTTCAGGAATTAAAAGAAAATAATAGAATACAATACAAATAGAATCCATTTACACTGCAAGTTGGGGACAAAATAAAGAAGATATTTCTCTGTACTTTCTTTCTTACCAACTCCTAGGATTTTATGGAGTATGCACCCTCAGTTTCACCTAACTTAGAATACTCTAGGGAAAATCTCCTGTTTGATTTGCCAAGCAAAAAACACCCTTTAGAAGTATTTGCTTTCCTTGTATCCTGTGCACTTCATCACTGTTTCAGGTTATAACAAAGAATTTAAAACATTAACCAATGGAGTGAGGCAGACAGAAAGGGAGATAGAGCGAGCACCTCACATTAGAAAGCTAAAAAGGAAATTGAGTTGTGTAACTTTCTGTTTGTGTCATGATGTGTAATTCAGGCGTACACAAAGATCGGCATCAGAGGACACGGTCTTCCCACTTGGTCACCGAGCATGACAAAGAACAGAGCCAGCCTCCGGATCCTCGCTTTCATTTCTTGGTTACACACTCATCTTTCATGAACTTTGTTCTATCAACAATTTAATATTATTTTAGCTCTTTATTGTCTGCTAAGTATCCCTCTATACTGTACCTGCATTTAAATCTTCATAATAACAGTTTAAGAGATATTATTAAGCTAATTTACAGATGAAGAAACAACGCAAATAGTTCTGACAGGAAGCCAATAGTTAGGATGAAATAGAACTCACATGAAGTTCTCTCTCCTTTAACAAGAGATTTGCAAACTTTCTAGAGATTTAAGGTATTAAACCGGGGAGCTTGTTGAAATGCAGATTTCTTCGTTACACTCCAGGTCTACTGAATCAAAGATATAGGAACCCAATGATTTGTGTGTTTAAGAAGAATTCAGGTGAGGATGATGGAGACACTTAGAAGAGTGTATTTTTAAAAAACAGACTAACCATAGGAATGAATTGTGAACTTCTAACAAAAATAATTCGTCAAGTCGTGTGTTTAACTAAATATAACCTTTTGGAAGGATTATTACTTAAATCCTCATATTTAATTTTTTTCTCCCCAATACTTGATGGATATTCAAAAATGGATGGATATCCATTGTAAATACTCTCTATATTTTTTATTACCTTGGTTCTCCAAATTAAGCATGCATAAAAATAACGAGGGATTTTCAAAAAATGCAAGTCTCCAGAGAAACCAATTTATTTAGGCCTGCGAAATTTGCTTTTTTTTTTTTTTTTTTTTTTTGAGACTGAATCGGGCCCAGTCACTCAGGCTGGAGTGCAGTGGTGCAATCTTGGCTCACTGCAACCTGTGTCTCCCAGGCTCAAGCAATTCTTGTGCCTCAGCCTCCCGAGTAACTGGGATTACAGGTGCATACCACCACGCCTGGCTAATTTTTTGTATGTTTAGTAGAGACAGTGTTTTGCCATCTTGGCCAGCCTGGTCTCAAACTCCTGGCCTCAAGTGATCTAACCTCCTCAGCCTCCCAAAGTGCTGGGATTACAGGCGTGAGCCACCGCACCGGGCCAAATTTGCCTTTTTAATAAGTACTCAATTATAATGCAAAGGGAACTTAGAAGAAAGGATCTTCTACATCAGGGCACAGGGGAGAGAGCACAGCGGAATGCCGGTGTGGACAGGAGCTTTGAGTTGTGGAGCTAGAGCTTCTCTGAACTCAGGAGTATCCATCACCTGTGCCCCGGAGATGCTGGAGGCTGAGGTAGCGCCACAGAATAGTCCTTTTCGTTATCACTTGAAGGCCACTTGTTGGTGAGAGGTGACAGCGTGCCGGCAGTCCTCACAGCCCTCGCTCGCTCTCCGCACCTCCTCTGCCTGGGCTCCCACTTTGGCGGCACTTGAGGAGCCCTTCAGCCCACCGCTGCACTGTGGGAGCCCCGTTCTGGGCTGGCCAAGGCCGGAGCCGGCTCCCTCAGCTTGCAGGGAGGTGTCGGGGGAGAGGCGCGAGCGGGAACCGGGGCTGCGCACGGCGCTTGCGGGCCAGCTGGAGTTCCGGGTGGGCGTGGGCTTGGCGGGCCCGCACTCGGAGCAGCCGGCCGGCCCTGTCGCCCAGGGCAATGAGGGGCTTAGCACCCGGGCCAGCGGCTGCGGAGGGTGTACCGGGTCCCCCAACAGTGCCAGCCTACAGGCGCTGCGCTCGATTTCTCACCGGGCCTTAGCTGCCTTCCCGCGGGGCAGGGCTCGGGACCTGCAGCCCGCCATGCCTGAGCCTCCCACCCCCTCCGTGGGCTCCTGTGCGGCCCGAGCCTCCTCGACGAGCGCCACCCCCTGCTCCACTGCGCCCAGTCCCATCAACCACCCAAGGGCTGAGGAGTGCAGGCGCATGCGGCGGGACTGGCAGGCAGCTCCACCTGCAGCCCAGGTGCGGGATCCACCGGGTGAAGCCAGCTGGGCTACTGAGTCTGGTGGGGCCTTGGAGAACCTTTATGTCTAGCTCAAGGATTGTAAATACACCAGTTGGCACTCTGTATCTAGCTCAAGGTTTGTAAACACACCAGTCAGCACCCTGTGTCTAGCTCAGGGTTTGCGAATGCACCAATGGACACTCTGTATCTAGCTACTCTGGTGGGGCCTTGGAGAACCTTTATGTCCACACTGTGTATCTAGCTAATCTGGTGGGGACGTGGAGAACCTTTGTGTCTAGCTCAGGGATTGTAAACGCACCAATCAGCGCCCTGTCAAAACAGACCACTCGGCTCTACCAATCAGCAGGATGTGGGTGGGGCCAGATAAGAGACTAAAAGCAGGCTGCCCCAGCCAGCAGCGGCAACCCGCTAGGGTCCCCTTCCACACTGTGGAAGCTTTGTTCTCTCGGTCTTTGCAATAAATCTTACGACTGCTCACTGGTTGGTCCACACTGTTTTTATGAGCTGTAACACTCACTGCGAAAGTCTGCAGCTTCACTCCTGAAGCCAGCGAGACCACGAGCCCACCGGCAGGAATGAACAACTCCAGACGCGCCACCTTAAGCGCTGTAACACTCACCGCGAAGGTCTGCAGCTTCACTCCTGAGCCAGTGAGACCACGAACCCACCAGAAGGAAGAAACTCCGAACACATCAGAAGGAACAAACTGCAGACGCGCCACCTTAAGAGCTGTAACACTCACCACGAGGGTCCGCGGCTTCATTCTTGAAGTCAGTGAGACCAAGAACCCACCAATTCCGGACACATTGGCAGGAGGCAGTTCATTAATCTTTCCAGCTAGACTGATGCTCTTTTGTATCCAGCAAGACTTTACCCAGCGGTCCTTTTCACACATTGCACAACAGACTACTTATAAAGATTCAGGACTCCAGACATCTTCTGTCTCCTAATGAAAGGGAAGCTTCGGCCTGAGACGGTGGGAGGCAGGAAAAGCCTCACTCCAGATAGCGGGACGACCACGTGGGACATGTTAAAATTACTCACTTGAGCTGGGAGTTCTTAGAGTACACTACTCAGGTAATAAATGTTGACCTAAAAGGAAGAGCCTGAAGCACAAAATGTGATTTAAAGAGTTTACTTGAGCCAAAGTGAGGACAGCTGCCTGGAAAACTCAGCCCCAAGTAACCTTGGATGTGAGCTCTATTTGGCTTTTATTATAGGCAGGTTTTTAATTCTAATAAAGGGATAGGGAGTTAGCTGATACAAAGTTCTGTCAGGAATGCTCATTGGTTTGAAGAAATCACACTGATTCTTGATTGGCTATGCATTGTTAAGCTATGGGGTGTGGGACATAGTGTCCCGGGAGCATTATTAGGTTAATGCATCTCTATCTGTGGCAATGGCAAGCAGTTTCAATAGATGAATACATAGCTGACAGTGGGGAGTAGGATGTGACTGCTGTCTCAGTTTAATGTCTCTCGGCCTAATAATTTGAAAGGGCTCACAATCCTCCGATAGAAGCTCTTTTCTTTCCTCCTCGAGTATCTCAGTGTCCATCTTTAGAGATCATCCTTAACAATAAAACTGGCTTTTTAACCTACTCCCTAATCACCAGTCATCCAACTTTGAGTTAATAATGCTAATTTCAGCCTCACTCCTGACTCTCGCACCCCACCACTCCCAGCCAGGAAATGCTTCTCTGTGTCCACGATGCCTTCCAGCATCTTCCTTACATGGTTATATTGCACTCCCTGTAATTACTCAGCACTCAGCAACTTGGTTGTGGCATACTCTGAAAAGCCTTCGACAAGCTACACAAGGGCTTGTGGAGCTTATGGATTCACCTCTAAGAAAGCAAAAAAACACACTTTCATCTCCACATGTTTACTCAGGTCTGTTCTTCCTTTCACAAGCAGTGGTGTTTCCTACTAGGATGTTTCCAAGTTCACCCTGTTAACAACAGAATTAGTTTAGTACTGGAGAGATTAATCATTAACCTTGGTGTCTCCACTTTCTGGCTCACAAATTTTAACTATGAAGTTAGAAATAAAATTAGATAAGGAAGGGCTCACAAATTTTAACTATGAAGTTAGAAATAAAATTAGATAAGGAAGATATCTAACATGTCTACTTTATTGTAAATGGTAGCAATTACATTTGTCACTTAACTCAATTTGCGAATATATTTTATCTAATGTAAACATATAGATCAAAGTTATATATATTATCAATTGGCTAATGTATCACCTCATTCTAAATAAAAAATTTAAGGACTTAGTGATTCAGATGTGCTATGTAATTGTCTTATCCCCATGGAAATAATATCAATTCATTCTCAACTATAATTTCATTTTTCTGAGATATATTCTAAATAAAAAACTTGGGAACAAAGGAAAAAAATGTTTGATGAAACTTTGAAATACATATCTGCAGAAACCTATGCATCCTACCAAGAACATATATTAACATTAATTCAGGTTGTATCTTCTGAGGACAAAAAGAAAACCTTATATAAAAAGGTACTTAGTAAATATGAGTTAATTTCAGTTGATAGCAGGTGTGAATTTTTAAAATGAATTGACAGTGTTCCTAGGACGATAAAGTCTGCAGCTATGTCTCGAGAAATAAATCCTTTTTGGGGCAATTATAATTCATAAATTTGAGTTTGTGAAGAACATTTTCATCCATTCTAAATCTTTGTTTTAATTACAAAAAGAAATCTTTATTTCTGATTAAGTAGTGTGCTCCTTATGCATATTTAACTCCAAGCTGAATCCAGATAACCTATTTAGAATAGTCTGCAGGAACCATCTTCACACATAGATGTTGCTGTTAGAGATTGCAATGTGCAGAGTGCTGGTTACAATAAAGTCTGATTAATTAACTTTTATTTTTTAATGATTCATATGTCAGAATGCAAGTCAATCAGAAAATTGCTTTTAGTAAAATTTTGCTACCAGATAATAAAATGAAGTCATTTTGAATCTACAAGACAGATACCGAATAACAATTAAGAACCCAATTTTCTTTGCTGAGTTGGATTTAAATAAAAATCTTCACTTAATCTTTGGAAGAGTAGCTCTTTGCTATTAATTAAATCTAGGATTTTTTGCTGTTGAAATCACCACAGTAGTTTAGGTTTTATTTTTGCAAGGCTATGAGAAATGTTATTGCTGCTTCAACACATATAGTACATGGCACATAAAAATGTATATCATGCTTTGTGAACAGAAACAAAAATTCTCAAGCATTAACAATTATATCAGTGGGAGTTTTCCCATTAAATTAAGCTTGGGGAAGGAAAAAATGTGTGCTGTAAACAAGAAAAATATTTCTCTTAAGACAGTTAAATGTTAACTAGGTGCATTAATCAAATTGTGATATAATGGCTGTGCAAAGTCAGCTATAAAGTGTTTTCCATTACTCTTCTACTTTCATATTAATTTTTTTGCAGTAAAAACCAACTACCATATATAGTAAAAGGAAAGAACCTACCTTGATGTATAATTTCCTTTTGAATCGAAGAACCTATAAAATTTGTGTGATAGAGAAAATTAATTGCAACTTTACCTTTTAGTGCAGAAAATCTTAGCACTTTGGATATCTGCCTGCTCTCTTTTTGAGGCCCAAAATATTTCTTACCCCCTGCCTTTTTTGGTTAATTTCTAGTGACAAATGCAGTGCCTGCGATATTTTCACAGCTCATTGTTGGAAGAAGGGAGGGAGGGAGGGAGGAGGAGGGAGGCAGGATGTCAGATAGTCTAATGTATTAGTAACCTCTTGGAAAAACTATTATATTTTGAAAAGTGTCAAAGAAATGTACTTTGAAGTTCACAATATTTAAATATCAGGAAAAGTGAACAATCTGGCGAATACACATCACCTTGCTTTTTTATTAATTTAACAAATGCATTTTAATCTATTTCTGGTTTTAATCTTGGGCAAGTTACAATATTTGTTAGTTTAAATTTCCTTATTTGAAAGACAATGGGATAAATAATCTTTACATTTTAATCCCACTCAAATTTTTAATACACTCTAGAAAAGAAGAACAGATTTAGGAGTGCAATGCAGATTGCTGTCTTTATGTTTTTATTGTTTGTGTTTTTATGTTGAATTGAAATATGCATATAAATGAGCTTATGAGAACTTTTAGCAACAAATAAGGTAACACTATCTTTCTACTGGTAGGAAGTGACTATGGTAGTAACAGTGTGAATGAAGGCAGTTGGGCCATGGAAATTCCATTTGCCACATCTAGAGAGGGCTTTGTAGTGGGGCCTCCTACCTATAGCATTTAGAAGCTCACATTCTTCTTTTTTAAGAAGCACTGTGGCCGGGCGCGGTGGCTCACGCCTGTAATCCCAGCACTTTGGGAGGCCGAGGCGGGCGGATCACGAGGTCAGGAGATCGAGACCATCCCGGCTAAAACGGTGAAACCCCGTCTCTACTAAAAATACAAAAAATTAGCCAGGCGTAGTGGCGGGCGCCTGTAGTCCCAGCTACTTGGGAGGCTGAGGCAGGAGAATGGCGTGAACCCGGGAGGCGGAGCTTGCAGTGAGCCGAGATCGCGCCACTGCACTCCAGCCTGGGCGACAGAGCGAGACTCCGTCTCAAAAAAAAAAAAAAAAAAAAAGCACTGTGTGAACAATAGCAAATTAGTCCAGTTTCTTTTCCTTTAATGTTAGAACATGAGAGCTTTGGAGAAAGCATTTCATCCCTGGGTTCATGGAAATTTTTTTTTTAAGTACTGGTATGTAATGGACCTTTTAGTTATATACAAGCACACTGATAGGACAATGTTTTTGGTCAGGGGGCATTTCCAGGTAGGAGAAAAGTTCAATCATATGGCAGTTCAGTTTTAGTTTGCAGTATGTATCTATATAAAGTAATTTAAAAGATGACAATCAAGCCAAAACAGTTCGAGACTTTATAGGGACTTGGAAAATTAAAATTAACTTGTGAAAAAAAATCATAAAATTATCATAACTGATTTCAGAAATGTACTGAAAGAAACATAGTTTGGGTGTACAATTAAATTACATAGGAATTAAATAAAATTCCAAAATAACATTAAGGAGCAACTTATTTGGCTATTTTGAAACATCTGATTAGTTAGCTTGCTGACTGGATTTGCTCTTTTTTTTTTTTGAGATGGAGTCTTGCTCAGTTTCCCAGACTGGAGTGCAGTGGCCCAAACTCGGCTCATTGCAACCTCCGCCTCCCAGGTTCAAGTCATTCTCCTGCCTCAGCCTCCCAAGTAGCTGGGACTACAGATGCGCACCAGCATGCCCGGCTAATTTTTGTATTTTTAGTAGAGACAGGGTTTCACCATGTTGGCCAGGCTCATCTCAAACTCCTGACCTCAGGTGATCCACTTGCCTTGGTCTCCCAAAGTGCTGAGATTACAGGCTGCTCTCTTTTTAAAATACAGTATACATTCAAAGTAAACCTTCTTTCAGAAGAGGTATACTTTCTAGTCAAAAGATTGCAGGAGCCAGATGTCTGAGAACACAATTTAGAATTTCGAAGTTTCTTGAAGGCAGATCATATACACTGAACTTTCCACATGCCCACTAGCTCAGCACTGAGCTCACAAATGCTAAGAGTTCTTTGTTTTGATTTGCTTAAGAATTTGAATATATTATCTGCAAAAATTGTTGATACAAAATGTCCTAACGTTTTTCAAGCCATAATTTATTATTCCTTATATAAATCAGAATGTGAGGCTCACAATTGTTGTTTGCCAGAGTTCAAATATTTTAAAAAGATCCTTTTTGAGAAAATATTTTATTTTCAAGCAGCCTGTGGTCAGCCTCATATGGAAGTGGGACGGCTCCCAGGACCAGTAATTTGTCAAGTGCCAAACCACATACAATAGATATAATTCTGCCTTCTGACAGCCTCATATTTAAGCACATGGATCTCATGTCAGAATATGTAAACCTGAATTGAATACGAACCAGGACTTCCTGAAATTCTATTTGAGACATAATGTATTAAAAGAAAATCATCTAGGATCTGTCAACTCTGTGTTTTCCTAGGTTTTCTCATTTTTGTCATCAGAAAGCAATACACCTAGAACATTTCTCATGATCTTACAGATATGTCTAAACTACCTTAATTTTGCCATGTTGCAAAAATTAGCAAAGAGTATTATAAAATTTTTATCTTAGGGAACACGTGTGTTCTCACATAACTTCCCAAGCTCTCTATTTTACTTTTTGCAGACCAAAACCAAATAGAGAAATGAGCTGTCCTTTAAAATCATTCATGTTATAATTAGTCAAGCCCAAGTAAAGATAGAGTTGGGGAGGAGGGATAAGCTAGCAGTGATGGTCCTTGCTATACCCTTCATTGATTGATTCAATAAATCACTTTTCTGTATCTACTGGTATCAGACTTGGTGCTAGGCCCTAGCAGCACATTGGTGAACAAGATAGACTGCTGGGGCAAATAGCACTGACTGTTTCTTGAGCTGGGGATGGTCATTGATTAGGGAAGATATGAGCCCCACGGCTGGCCAATGACATATGATATAACCCGAAGTGAAATGCTCTCTCCATTAGTGGCAAAAGATAATTGTCTTTTTTTTTTTTTTTTTTTGAGATGGAGTTTCACTCTTGTCACCCAGGCTATAGTGCAATGGCACAGTCTTGGCTCACTGCAACCTCCGCCTCCCAGGTTCAAGCAATTCTCCTTTCTCAGCCTCTGAGTAGCTGGGATTACAGGTACCCACCACCATGCCTGGCTGATTTTTGTATTTTTAGTAGAGATGGGGTTTCACAATGTTGACCAGGCTGGTCTCGAACTGCTGACCTCAGGTGATCCGCCTGCCTCAGCCTTCCAAAGTGCTGGGATTACAGGCGTGAGCCACTGTGCCCGACCAGCCAATAATTGCCTTTTTAAACTGCGATACCTAATTTGAAGTATAGAACAGTGAAAGCAATTCAAGTCACTATGTTCTTAGTTCTTCCAAGGATGGTATGAAGCTTAGTACCATTGTAGATGTATACATGAGAAATTAAGTCATTGCTTACAATGTACGTCTTTGGCCATTAGAATTTAATTTTATCATGAAACCCCAATTGAGGAATTTAAATGAGAAAATATGAAGTTATCCAAAAGATAACTGGAAAATGGTAATCAAAATTAGAACTGAAACAGAAAGATCGCTTACTATGGTCAGGCACTGTTCTAAATGCAATATATGCATTAACTCATTTAATCCTAGGATGTGGCTTTATTATGATCCCACTTATTGACAGAGAAACCAAACCACAAAGTGGTTAAGTACCTTGCACGATGTCACACAGTTAATAAGTGGTGATACTGGGATTCACACCCAGGCAGTGTGGATTCAGAGCCTGAGGTAGGACCTGAAGGGTGGCTTAGCCATGTTGATAGAAGGACTGGGACTTAGTCACAGTGTTGGGTGCATGATCTCCCTTGACCCTGAGTGTCTCTGAATGAGTCTGCAAGGAATGCAAGGTCCTGGCTACTCTCTACCTGGACCATCTCTCATGGTGGTATTTGTAATGAGCAGCTTTGAGGAATGAGAGAATTTCTCCCTCCATCTATAGAGCAGGCTTGCCTCCTCTTACTAGAAAAGTACAGCGTTCCCGTTTTGGAATGCAGCTCACTGACTGTTTCTTGAGCTGGGGATGATCATTGATTAGGGAAGGTATGAGCCTAGGTATTGTTCTGTAGAATGGGGCAGAGGTGGAGGGGAGAAAGAAACCAGTGCAAACCAGCATGAAGCTCTGACAAATGCTTTTGCATTGAGTAATACAAATCTTTTGTTACTGGCTCAGGAGTCTCATGCCTTCTGCTAGCATCTATGAAACAATAACAGGCTAGCTTGTTAACTTGCAAGAAGAGTAATGCACAGTTTCTGGCACACAGGCAACAGAGTTGAGTTGCAGAGCAGGACTCTGGGCACCCTTGAGCTCTCCTTCCCTATCCACTGTCTGGGCACCCTTGAGATCTCCTTTCCTATCCACTGTCTATTAGTTTGAGGGAGAAAGATCACGATTCTTAGGAATATAGTCAGAGACAGATACAAAAGGTACAGAGTAAAAAAGAAGACAACACAGGCAAGGGAAACTTCCTTTCTTTCTTTCTTTCTTTCTTTCTTTCTTTCTTTCTTTCTTTCTTTCTTTCTTTTTCTTTCTTTTTCTTTCTTTCTTTCTCTTTCTTTCTCTTTCTTTCTTTCTTTCTTTCTTTCTTTCTTTCTTTCTTTCTTTCTCTTTTCTTTCTTTCTTTCCTTTCTTTCTTTTCTTTCCTCCCTTCCCTCCCTTCCCTTCCTTTTCTTTCCCTTACAAAATCCACACTGGAGAGGTAAACATTTCTAAAGTGGCTCTATTGCATGTAAACACAGTAAAAAGAACACAGGAAGTTTGTGTGTCTCCATTTTTAGCTCTTGGCAAAAGTCAAATTCATCTTAAACATTTTTTCTATTGCCTCTTATTTTCTTTTCTTTTTATTCTCTATCTATACCTCATTTTTCATCAGAAAGCTTGTGATAATATAATACTAATTTTTCCTCTTGTTTTATAGAATCATGCAGAAACCTTGATAATCTGTAATGAAGTTACATTTTGTAGATAGATTTCTCTCTCTAATGTGAGTTTATGTAGTCCATTGTAAGGTATTAACATTTTGCTAACTCTATTACACTTCATATGTTAAGATATCTTTAATTTCTCTACAATATAACATTAAAAAACAGCACACAGTCATTCAATTAACCTCAGAATTCTTTCATTGAATCCCTACTGTGTGCAGTGCATGAAGTACTTTCTTCTTTTTTTGAGCCTTATCTTGACTTTTTAAATTAACTCAAAATGATTGCAAATGTTTTTGGAGTTTTCTCAAGCCTCCAAGACTGGCAAAATGTTACAAATGTTAACATTTTTTTCTTATAATAATAATAATTCACAAACACTTGAGAAAAGTTGATGGGCTTTCCAGGAAAAGGCATTTTTGTGGTTGAAACCAAATATGGGACTATAATTTTGGGGTAAATTTTCAGTTAGTGAAAAAGTATCAATGTTAACTTTCCCATTAGATTTCTGTAACACATACTTCAATTAATATAAATTGAGATTTTCAATGGATAAAACCTACTTCTAAAAGGAATTGCAACAATGTGGCTGGAAGTGGACTTCTGTCGTTTGAATAATTACTGCTTGTTATTGCCTGTATGTGTTATCTTCTTAAATAACTTTAGACACATAACCTCATAGGTTCTTTTTCAGGGAAACTTAATTTCACTCTACACACCCCACCTCCGTGTTACAGATGGGACATTTACATCAAAGTGGCTTTACATAGAGATGTGTCTCAATGAGTCAATCTAGAGTCCTGGATGTTATCCAGAATGGGTGATTGTCAGAATAGAATATTCTATAATTAATAGGTACATGTGAAAAATATATTCTAAACTCCCAGTTGCTCAATACTTATTAAAATTTGGTCAAGATTAAAATAGTTCCAGAGGATGGTTTGACAGTACTAAAATCTATCCTCAAGGTAGGAAATCATAGAATGATGTGTTTGAATTGCCTTTAATTGTAACTCCCCACACCAAACTGCACTTTTATTTGATACTATTCCTTGGTTTTAAAGAATAAAAAATTCACTTCTTGCATTTTTTTATTCATCTATTGATTCATTCACGTTTTTATTGAGTCAGAAATATGCTTGTTGATGGCAAAAATAACTGTAAACAAAAGTAGACAAGGAATTAAGTCTCCTGGAGCTAATGGTATAGAAGCAGACATTACTTAAGTAATCACACCAGTGAATGTAGAATTATGAACTTAAATGACTATTCTGGAGCAAAGATACCTGGTTCTCTGAGAGTCCATGAAAAAGAAACACAACTTCAACTGAGGAGTCCATTCTAATGCAGTTTGGAGAGGCATACAGGACTGGAACATATGGAGCCTTATATGTAACCTTATGGATTTTGGGTTTCCAAAAGCAATGGAAAACCACTTACAGAATTTAAGAATCAGGGCAACATCATTAGGTTTTAGCTTAGAATGATAGTATTGAGTAGAGAATGGAGAAAAGATTGGAATGGGCCCAAGTGGAGAGAGATGGGCTCTTAGTCTTGTGACTGTGATTCTTGTGGGGATATTATCAGGAACATGGCTTACTGCATTATGCAGTGTGATGTCTGTGAGGACTTAAGGGCAAATTGTCCCTCCTGACTCAGTACAAGGAATAGTTGACCTAATCTGGGTTACTGTTTGTTTTTATTTTATGAATACTACCAGTAATGCAACTGATTATGCTCTTGTATGCTCATGAGCTTTCAGAAAATCCAAAGCCAAGTTTGTGGCCCTCCTCAGAACTTTCAGAGTACTGGGCTCCAGGGGTTTGCATTCTGTGCCGCACTCATTCCTAGCTTTATCTTACTCTTCTAATTGATTCTCCTTTACCTTAATTCTTTTGCTTAATCTTAGTATTATTTCATACCCTTGTAACAAATGAGCATATAAATTATTTTAAAAAATCAGGAATACTATTATATTAAAATACATGTATTCCTACCTTACAAGCAATGTCTGAAACATAGGAATACACATTGACAATATGCCCAGCATACATAAGGGCTCTATTCAGACACTGGGGACAGAATGGAGTATGTGTGAAAACAATATTCGTTTGCATACTGAATTGGCACTTGAGAATTGTGACAGCTAACCTCTACGTTGCTGTGAACCATATTGCTTCAAGATGTGCAAAACTGGCAGGACCCTAAATTCCAGACATCATTCCCACTTGGCTTTGGAGCATGCTCATGGTATCTGGTATTGTGTAATGTTCTCTGGAATTCACAGAAGATTCTGCCTACTTCTAACCAGAGATACGGAAAAAAAAAAGATCTTATCTCATTTAGCACAGTGATAATGCGGTGTTTTAAATATATACAAGCTTATTTGAGATATGATACTTTTTTTAATGGTACTGTGCCTTAGATATTGTGATTTAGTAGCATGCAGAGTCAAGAAAAATAGATATTTAGAATCTGAAATGGAAACTTACAGTTTTGCTATTCTTTTTCAATAGAAGGATTTATTACATGTTTACCAGTTTCTCACTAATGACTATTTTAAGGCCTAGAACAAAGTAGTTGTTCTTTGAGATTAACTTTTATGAATACAGGTAAGATAAAGAGCAAATAAGATATTACATATTCAATTGGTACAGTCTTAGAACTCTAAAAGACTTTCATTAAATTATCAGTCTAATCCCTCAGTGGGTTGTCAAACTTAATGGTGGAACATAGGCAACAGAAAGTCATTTGAGTGGGAAGGGGATGTAGGTGAAAGCTCATCAAAGAAACCATTCTCCACTGTAATCAACAGTTCCTATATTTTCTTGCCTTTGGACTTAATTGACTTCATCTGGTCCATGTTTCTTAATCCTCAGCCAGTAATCCAGAAAGAGTACTAAAAACTAGACCAGATGAAATTGCTCTGCAATGACACTCTATTGAGAGCTTGTTTGGAGGTTCTAGCAGGGAAGCTCGGCTACTCATATACCCTTGCCTGAAGACTGGTCCTCCTCTACTGGGGATGTTGGTCCTCTTCAGGCGAGTGTGAGCTTCAGGAGGGACACCCATGGAGCCAGATCAGCTGAACCAACCCTGGCGATCAGTGGGGTAACAGATGTCACAGCCAAATCGCCCTCACATCCGACAGTCTACTTTATTGTATGGACCTCTTTGCAATACTGGTTTCCCAAGCTCCGTGTTCTTCTCAATCTATTTTTCCAAAACTGGCTTAAACTTTGAGGTGGAAACCTCAGAACTCCTATACATCTGAACTCTTGAACATCACTTCTGCCTATGACTTTTCTGTTGTGTGTGGACTTTTCATAGCTGTATACTTGCATTAATGTTTCTTATTGTGTCTATTGCCAAGTTTGGAATTCTAGAATACTCTTGTTATATACTTAGGCTTTGCATCTTGACAATTCATTTACCATCCACATTCTGCTCTTGGTTTTATTCTATCAGGACTCAGGGTATCTGCATACCTTCCCAAGCTTTGCTATTGGCCGAATCCTGGTTCCTCACCTGGTCTCACCTACTCTACCCAGGCCCAGGAAAATCACAACTCACTGTTGAAATAAAGGGGAATTAAGCAGATTTAAATTTTTCCAAAATGGGGTCATTAATATGAGAATTGAGGAAGACTGACTCTACACATTCACTGGTATAAGAAACAAAAAATATGATATTCAGAATTAGTCATAATGGACACCATGTAACAGATTTGCTATGCGTGGAAATATCCAGCCCTTTGTTCATTCTGTACAAAATTGTGAGACATGAGCATTCTTGTAGAGCCTTCCAGGGCAATTTGGGGCACAGTATATAAAATATAGAATGATTACAAAAGTGAACCTAAATAAATTTGAACAATGGACTTAATTTTTTCTTTTCATCATTTGCTTCTTAATCCCAATCTTCCCATAAAGTCAGTTAGTGATTTATTATCTTAATACCTATTTCTTATCCATTCATTTGCTTATGATAGAAACTGGGAAATCATATCTGTTTCTATATCTAATCCGTCACCAGCTTGACCACCTAATTTAAAAATATACTTTATGTTTCCTTCTCAACAGTCACCACCCAGGTCATATTTGTATGTCATCCTGTCATCCCTCGGTGAAAATAATGTCATTGCACTCTGACTGGTTTTCCTGCCTCTACTTCTGTTCTCTTTTAACGTCATTCCATATACAATAGGCAGAATGACAGTGCAAATCCCAAAATGGCATCACATCATTATTGCATTTAACTCTCTTTAGCATCTTTGTATGTGTGTGTGTGTGTGTGTGTGTGAGAGAGAGAGTGTGCACCTAGGATAAATTTAAAACCCTCTCACAGACAACAAAGCTGGGCATGATCTAGTCCATGCTAACTTCTTTAACCTTGTCTGGCTCTGTTCTCCCATCCATTCATTATGCTCCAAAAACTCTGGTCATTTTAAAATCTTTCTCACTTTACAAACTTTGCACATACTTCATATTCGTTGGGTTCCTCATCTATGGATTCAATCAACCATAGAAGGAAACTATTTGAAAAAACTATTTACACAGCATTTACATTGAATTAGGTATTGTAAGTAATCTCGAGATGATTTAAAGTATACAGGAGGGTGTGCATAGGTTTTATAAAAATACTATGCTGTTTTATATAAGGGACTGGAGCATCTGATGGTCTTCCCAACAGACTGTGAGCCCCTTGAGTAGGTACCATGTATCTCTTCTGTCTACTATATCCTAATGCTAGTACACGGACTGGCACACAGTAGGCATTCAATATATTGGCTGAATGAATGGGTAGAAATTTCCTGTCTTATAGTTTATATGTTCAATTGTTCAACAAGATGCATATTTTGTATAAAGCGCTGCCCTCAGCTCACTGGAGATACCAGAGACAAAAAGAAATAAAAATTCCTCATCTTGTGGAACTTACTTTCTAGTGTGGGGAGACCAATAAAACACAACAAATATAATAAATTAGTAAATTGCATGGTGTTTCCGAAGGAGACGCATGGTAAAGAAAAATGCAGCAGCGTAATGGGAATGAGGTGTGTCAGGGGAATTTGATTTGAAGTTTTAATAAATGATCAGCTTAGACCTCACAAAATAGGTGGCATTTGGGGAAGGACTTGAGACAAGTGATAATGCTACCTATTTAGATATTTAGAGCAAGAATTTTCCACAAAATAAATAGCTAGTGCAAAAGTTGAAAGCAGAAATCTGTCTGGAGTTTCTGAGAAATAGCAAAAGATGAAGCAATGTGGCCAGGTGGGGAGAGAGGTAGAAGATATGTCCAAAGAGATAATGGGAGGACAAGTAGATAATGTAGGTCTTGTAGGCCATGGTCATTGCATCGACTTCTTTGGTAAATGACCCTGGTTGAGCCATTGCATGGTTTCAGTAGATAGAGTTGAAAAGTGAGATGATCTTTAAGTGGATCAAGATGGTTGCTCTGTGTAGACTAGATGGTTGTGGTGGGACTTGAATAGAAGCAGGAAGAGCAGATGGAAGATGGTGGCTTGAATCAGGGTATAGCAGTGGACTTGGTGACAAACAGTTCAACTATGGATATATTTTGAAGATAGAGCCAAAAGATTTTGCTGATGCTTTGGATGGAGGTTTGAGAAAAAGTAAGGAGTTAAAGATGATTCCAAGAGTTTTGGCATACTTACCTGGAAGAACAGAGTTGCAATCGAGTAAGATGGGAAAGAGTACAGATGAATATGTTTGGGTAGAGTTGGTGAGATCATGTCTAGTTGGAAATCCTAGTGGAGAGGTTGAAAGAACAGTTGAATGTACAATTCAGGAGGGCCACAAAATGAGAGTGATGACTGTCTGTCTATGGACATGAGAATAGATAAATGAGTATACACAGAGAATACATAAGTGAGTACACACATAGAGTAGACAAAGTGAGTATACACAGAGAATAAAGTGAGTATATACAGAGAGTAGATATGTGAGTATACACAGAGAAGAGAAAAGGAGTAAGGTCTGAGCCACTGGGCAGGCACTTCAATGTTAAAAGTTCTCAAATAATAATTTTCTTCATATCATATGCTGGATCCAAATATACTAATGTTTCAAAAGGGCAGTTTTCCATGTAAATTCTAGCCAGTATTTTTCTGAAGAGGAAATGATTTTTCCCCATAGAAATCTAAAGATATTCTGCAAAACTCATGTTTTACTGTGTTTATAAATGAGTATTTGGTAACACAGGCCTAAATTCCTTTTGTCAAAAGCTAATTTATGACAGGTAATATATGTTCTTCATGGAATATGACTTTATCCTTAAATAGATTCTAACGTTGTTTCCTCATTGAGATAATCTTAGAATTATAACATTTTTTGTATTTGGAATATGGCAATGGAATTGGGAGAACAAAAGTTAAATATTTCCTAGTTTTCTGAATGAGTAACAAATGACTATACAAACATATTCTATTAGAAGTTAGAAAAAAAAGTAGCAAGGTTCTGCTTAATTTTGAACTCAGATTTGTTCCAAACAACTTTGAAGGTCAAACTTTGTTCTGGATAATTCACTGATCTGAAGGAATATAAGGAAGTTGGGGTGGTTTCAGGGTTAACAAAGGAATTCAGGCCTTTGGGTTTAATTCAGTTCATGACCCCACAGAGGCACCACTGAATAACTCTGAATCAACTGGAGTTGAGCTACTGAAGCAGTCCAACTTTAACTTCAGGTTCATTATAGTTCAGATTGATACCCTGAAACCAAATGAGCATCAGTGGCATGGAAACCATTCAACTATATATATTCTGGTCCACGGTGGGCTACATTAATGAGCTGTTGGTAAATCACTTTCCTTTGGAAGTCTGGGGTCCAGAGCTTGTACTACAATGCTGCTTTGTGTTGTTTATTTCTCATCTACTTGTGTCAGCTGAGACATAAAGCAAATGTTTAGCAAAGGATTCCAAACTCTTAGCAATGCTTAAGCAATACTAAAAGTATGTGAAATGTAATCTAGTTTCTCAATTGCACACTGTTATTTCTAAATATAAAATCCATCTAAGATTTTTTTCTAGATGGTTCTATTCTTATTCCTCTAGAAATGTAATGAAAATTGTAGTAAAATATAATGGAGTAGTTTGAGTTACTCATGGCTGGAACGAGGACCTAGCTTTGCCACTCAGTTGAATGTGATAACATGAATGTTGTCTAGGAATGTAAACTCACTAGGTATTAGTTTCTTCATCTGTAAAATGGGATTAAGAGTATTAACCTTTGGGTTAATTTTAAAAGATAAAATAAAATAATGTATTCAAGTGTTTAGCAGAGTATCTTACCGCTAATAAGTACTCAATAAATTATAGTCACTTTTATTTGTTACTAGTAGTTATTCTTAAATTTCCAGGTTTTGTTAACAATTTAACATTTATCAATTTAATTTACAATTTAATATTTGATCAGTCTTAAATTCCGACATTATTGTGTATTCCTATTTTCCCTAAATCAAATTTATTGAGATAAATTTTACATATAACAAAATGTATCTATTTTAAATGTAAAATTTGATGAATGTCTTAGTTCTGGCTGCTATAATAAAGTACCAATACCATCAATAGGTTGTGTGATTTGTAAACAGCAGAAATTTATTTCTCATAGTTCTAGAGGCTGAACAACTGAAATTAGGGTGTCAGCATGGTCAGGTGAGGGCTTTCTTCTAGTTGCAGATTGCTGACCTCTCATTCTATCTTCACATAGTGGAAAAAGAGCAAGAGAAGTTTCTGGGGTCTCTTTTATAGAGACATTAATCCAATGCCCATGACCTAATTCCCTCCCAAAGGCTCTGCTTCCTAATACTAACACACTGGGGGGCTAGGATTTCAACATATAAATTGGTAGGGGGGACATAAATATTCTGTCCATACAGTTTTTACAGATTTATACACCTGGGTAACCACTACAACAATCGAGATATAAAACATTTCCATCACTCTGACAAAATTTCCTACAAGCTGTTCTAAAAAATTTTTCCATTCCAGCCCAAAGCAAAGACAACTCTTGCTGTTTACTGTCACTATAGATTATATTTGTCTTTCTAGAGTTTCATATAAATGCGATTCTATAGTATGTGGTCTTTTGTACGAGCCTTTTTTTTTCACTTGGTGTATTTTTGATATTTGTGTTGTTGCATGTATGAGTAGTTAATTTCTTTCTTTTTATTGCTGAGAAATATTCCATTTTATGAATATACCACATTTTTAGGCCATGTGTCTGTGGATAAATACTAGGGTTGTTTCCAGTTTTTAACAATTATGAATAAAAATAATTTATGTACAAGTAATTCTGTGGGCTGCTGTGTTCTTTGCACAAATTTCTAAACAATAAAGATTTGAATTTATTGTACATAAATAATTTTTATTAACAATAAACTTAAATAGCTAATGCATGTGCGGCTTAATAACTAGTTGATAGGTTGATAGGTGCAGCGAAACACCATGGCACACATTCACCTATGTAACAAACCTGCACATGTATCCCAGAATTTAAAATAAAATAAAATAACAATAAATAATCTTTATTAACAATAATTAACAATTACTATTAATGAAGATCACTTATGCACAGGTATTTGAGTGGTCACAGGTTTTTATTTCTCTGATAAATACCTGGGGATTTAATTACTAGGTCATAAAGTAAGGGCATTAAAACTTTATAAGAAATTACCAAACTTCTTCCCAACAGGTTTGTACGTTTCCTTCAACAAAGAGGCTTGGTATGGTAAGTGTGACGGTTAGTTTTATATGTCGAATTGACTGGGGTGCCAACATATTTGACTAAACATTATTCTGAGTGTATCTGTGAGGGTGTTTTAGATGAGGTTAACATTTGAATCAGTAGACTGAGTAAAGCAGATTGCCCTGCTTAATGTAGGTGGGCCTTATCCAATCAGTTGAAGGCCTGAACAGACCCAAAAGGCTGACCTCCCTGTAGGAGAGAACTTCTGCCTGACTGCCTGAGATGAAACACTGGTCTTTTTCTGCCTTTGGGTTCAATCTAAAACATCAGCTCTTCTTGGATCTCAAACCTGCTGCCTTTTGGACTAAAACTTACACAATTGGCTTTCCTGGTTGTCATTCCTTCAAACTCAGACTGGAACTATACCACTGGCTCTCCAAGGTCTCCAGCTTGCCAACAGCAGATCTTGGAACTTCTCAGCCACCCTAATTGTGTGAGCCAATTCCTTATAGTAAATGCTTTTATGCTCTGGAGAACCCAAATACCGTAAATCTTTTTAACTTTAATTTCATTACCGTCTCTTAAGTTTTCTTTTAGTCATTCTAATGTGTGTGTTTTGGCATCACATGACGGTTTCACTTTGCATTTGCCTAAAGATTAATGATGTTAAATATTTATTCATGTGCTTATTGGCCATTGATATACCTATTTTTTGTAAGGATCCATTGAAATCATTTGTGAGATTTTTTTTCCCTTGTTGATTTGTAAGGGTTGTTCATATGTTGAAGTTCAATCCTTTGTCAGATATGTTTTTAGTAAATATTATTTTCCTACATGTGTAAGAAAACTTGTTTCATTTTGTTGGTATTTTATTTCAGCAACGGAAATTTTTTATTTTGACCAATTCTAATTTATCATTTTTTTCCTTTTATTTGGGCTTTTGGGGTCTCATTTAAGAAATATTAGATTGTGAAAATTTTCTCTGTGTTTTCTTATACACGTTTTAAAGTTTTTGCCTTTATATTAGTGTCTATGATTAACTTCAAGTTAATTTTGGTACAAAATATGTGATAATAGTTGAGGTTCATTGTTTTTCCAAATGGATATCAGTTGCTGAAAGGTACTTCTCTGTTGAAGTAACTCACATCTTTGTCAAAAATCAGTTGGCTACATATGCATGTCTCAGTCTGTTTGTTTAAGCTGCATTTCTATTCATACAATAATACAACATTGACTATATTATTGTAGTTTTACAGTAAATGCTAGTATATTAGAAGGCAATTGATTTTTGATTTTTATATTATCCTTATATCCTGTGAATTTGCTGAACTAATTTTTTAAAACTCTTTGTAGTGGCTTTTTGTAGACTTCTTAGGATTTCTACATACAGGATCGTGAACTTTTGTTCTTTTTTTTTTCAATCTGTATGTTCTTTACTTTATTTAAATTTTTTTTTTTGCCTTGTTGCATTGGCTAGGATCTCCAATACAATGTTAAATGGAAGTGGTGAAAGTAGGTGTAGATGGGGAGGAGATCATATTTAACTAGAGATTCTTGTCTTGCTACCAATCCTAAAGAGAAAGCATCCAGTCTTTCACTGTTTAGTATGTTACTGTAAATTTTTCTTAAGTGTCCTCTATCAGGTCAAGGAGTACGTTTCTATTTATAATTTTCTGGGATATTTAAAAATCATGGCTGGGTGCGGTGGCTCACGCCTGTAATCCCAGCACTTTGGGAGGCCAAGGCAGGCGGATCATTTGATATCAGGAGTTTGAGACCAGCCTGGCCAACATGGTGAAACCCCGTCTCTACTAAAACTACAAAAATTAGCCAGGTGTGGTGGTGGGCGCCTATAATCCCAGCTACTCAGGAGGCTGAGGTAGGAGAATTGCTTGAACCCAGGAGGCGGAGGTTGCAGTGAGCCGAGATCGCACTACTGCTCTCCAGCCTGGGCGACAAGGGCAAGACACCATCTCAAAAAAAAAAAAAAAATCATTAGTTATGTTAAATTTTGTCATATGCTTTTTTTTCCGCATCTATGAGAATATCATATGATTTCTTACTTTGTTGTTTTAATGCACTAAATTGCATTAACTTATTTTGAATGCTAAACCAATCTTACATATCTGGGGTAGACCCTAACTAGTAATGATACATTAAGATTTTCATGTTGCTGGATCCTATTTTTCATACTTTATTAAAGATGTATATGTTTACATTTATGAAGGGTATTGATCTATAGCTTTTTGCTTTGTAATATCATTGTTTGTTGTTTTATCATTTATTTTTATTTTATTTTAGTTTTTTAGACAGGGTCTCACTATGTTGTCCAAGCTGGAGTGCAGCGGTGCAAACCTGGCTCACTGTAGCCTCAACTTCCTGGACTCAAAGCAATCCTCCCACCTCAGCCTTCCGAATAATTGGGACCACAGGTGTGCGCCATTACTCCCAGCTAATTTTCGTATTTTTTATAGAGCCAAGGTCATGTTATGTTGCCCAGGCTGGTCTTAAATTTGTGGGCTCAAGTGATCCTCCCACCTCAGCCTCCCAAAGTGTTGGAATTACAGGCAAGAGCCACTGTACCCTGTCATCTTATTTTTTTAATGGGGGTAATGTTGGCCTTATACAATGAGTTGGGAAGTGTTTACTTTTCTTGAAGTTGCTGAAATAATTTATATAAAACTAGTGAATGTGCGCTGTGGCTCACATTTGTAATGCCAGCACTTTGAAAGACCAAGACAAGAGGATTGCTTGAGACCAGCCTGAGAAACATACTGACACTCTGTTTCTACAGAAAATTTAAGACATTAGCCAGGCATAGTGGTGTGCACATGTAGTCCCAGCTACTCAGGAGGCTGAGACGAGAGTATCACTCGAGCCCAGAAGTTTGAGGCTGCAGTGAACTATGATCATGCCACTGCATTCCAGCCTAGGCAATACAGCAAGACCCTGTCTGGAAAAAATAAATTAAAAAAAAAAAAACAAAATTAGTATCATTTCTTCCTTATATATTAGTATCATTTCTTCCTAGTGTATAATTCACTGGTGTATAATTTATCAGGGCCAGAAGTTTTCTTTGCATAAAATGTTTTGGTGATTATACATTTAATTTCCTCAATAAATATATAACTAATCAGACTTTTCTATTTTTCTTGAGTAGCTTGTAATTTTTGTCTTTAAAGGCATTTGTCAATTTCATCTAAATTACGTTTTAGCATTAAGCTTTCAAAATATTCTTTTATTATTGCTTTAATATATATGCAGCACCTGCAGTTATGATATTTGTTTCATCTTGGCTTTAGTAGCATTTATTTATTTATTAAAATAATTTCAACTTTTAGTTTCGGGAGTACATGTGCAGGTTTGTTACATGGGTACATTGCGTGATACTGAGGTTTGGAATATGAACAACAGACACTTGGGACTTCTAGAGGGAGGAGGGAAGAAGGGAAAACGGGCTAAAAATAATTGAATAACTATTAGATGCTACGCTCACTACCTGGAGGTGATGGGACTTTTCATATCTACACTAATGAAGGATATTGTTCTGTAGCTTTTTATATTGTAATATCATTGCTTTGGGCTCCCAAAGTGTTGGGATTACAGGCATGGGCCACTGTGCCCAGCCACTAATTTTATATAAATTCTTTCAGCAAGTACAAGAGAAGCAAATTCCTCCCAACTCATTGTATGAGGCCAACGGTACTTTGATTAGAAAAAGAAAAGAAAAAGCAAACGATATTATAAAATAGAAAGTTACAGATCAATATTCCTTATGAATGTAGATGTAAAAATCCTATCACCTGTGTAATGATCATAATATCCAATAGTTTTTCAACTATTTTTCAACATTTTTTCTCCCACCCACCCTCCCCTTCTAGTAGTCTCCAGTGTCTATTGTTTCCATCTTTACACCCATGAGTACCAAAGACGTAGCTCTCACTTATAAGTGAGAATATGCAGTATTTCGTTTTCTGTTACTGCATTAATTTGCTTAGAATAATGGCCTTTAGCTGCATCCATGTTGATACAAAGAACGTGATTTTGTTCTTTTTTATGGCTGTATAGTATTCCAGGGCATATATGTACCACATTTTCTTTCTCCAATCCACCATCATTGTTGGGCACCTAGGTTGATTCCATGTCTTTGCTATTGTGAATAGTGCTGCTATGACCGTATGAGTGGCATGTGTCTTTTTGGTGGAATGATTTATTTTCCTTTGGCTATATGCCCAGTAATGGGACTGCTGGGTCAAATGGTAGCCCCGTTTTAAGTTCTTTGAGACATCACCAAACTGATTTCCATAGTGGAAGAACTAATTTACTCCCCTCTCCAACAGTGTATAAGCATTCCCTTTTTTGTACAACCTCACCAGCATCCCTCATTTTGACTGGTGTGATTTTGATTTTGACTCACTGTAGTTTTGATTTGAATTTCTCTGATGATAAGTGATGTTGAGTATCTTTTCATATGTTTATTGGCCACTTATAATATATTCTTTTGAGAAGTGTTTGTTCATGTCTTTTCCCCCACTTTTTTTTTTCCTTTTTCTTTTGGTAGAGTTGGGGTCTGGCTACGTTACCATGGCTGGTCTTAAACTTCTGGTTTCAGGTGATTCTCCAACTTTGGCCTCCCAAAGTACTGGGATTACAGGCATGAGCCACCACACCTGGCCTCTTTTGCCCACTTTTTAATAGGGTTATTCATTTTTTTGCTTGTTGAATTGTTTAAGTTCCTTACAGATTCTTGGCTGTTGTCAGATGCATAGTTTGTGAATATTTTCTCCAATTTTATAGCTTGTCTTTTTTTTTAGTAATATTTATTATCTCCTTGTGTTCTTGTTCAATCTAGCTAGAGGTGTATCAATTTCACTGATATAATTTATAAAAATCTTTTGATTTCATTGATTTTTTTTCTAGTTTTCCTTCATTTTGTGTTTCATATATTACTTCCTTCCTTTTGCCTTATGTGGGCTTAATTTTTTTCTCTTTCACACCAGTTGGAGAAGAAAGTTATATGCCTAACTTTAGCCCTGTATCCTTATTTGCCTCTATTGGTGTCTTGACTGCATCTTAAATTTTGATGTTTTATTTTTCTCTTCATGCATTTAAAACTATATTATGATTTTTCTTATGACTTTGTCTTTGATCCATAGGTCTTTGGAAATGTGTTGTTTCATTTGTCAACATTGAATATTTGTCAGATAGCTATCTATTACTGATTTCTAATTTATTGCATTGTGATCAGAAAATTTTTTTGGTATTACTTTGATCTTTTTAACTTTTTTAAGACTTGTTTTATGGTCCTGTGACTTGTCTTGATGGATATTTGACATGCACTTGAAAAGAATTCTGTATATCATTCTGTATTTTCTATGGTTGTTGAGTGGAGTGTCCCATAAATATCAATTAGATAAAGTTGGTTGATAATATTGTTCTGGTCTATAGTCTATATTTCTACTCATTTTCTGTTTTCTTATTCTATACATTTCTGATACAAAAATATTGAAATATCCAACCATAATTATGGATATGTCTATTTCCTTTTTCAGTTTTATCAGTTTGTACTTTATGTATTTTGATGCTCTGATATTGAATGCATACACATTGCTAATTATTGTTATAAAATGTTCTGACTACTTTGTCTGATTTTAGTAAGGACACCCTAATTTATGCTTAGTTTTGTTGTTTTCCATATCTTGGTTATTGTGAATAAGCTCCCAATGTTATTAGAAAAGAAATCACAATTTCTTCTTTCTGGGAGGCTGAAAAGCTTAAAATAAAGAACAATGTGTGTCGGAAGGGGTTTTGTGTGTGTGGTGTGTTTGTAGTTGTGGATTGTGATGAGGTCTTTAAGTGGGTGAAACTATTCCAGGAAGAAAGGATATGTAGATGTTTTCATTACACAGAAGTTTTATTCTTCATTCACAAAAAGGAATTGAGGTAACTTTAAAGGGATATAAAGGGATATATATATATATATATATATATATCCCTTTATATATATATATATATATATATCCCTTTATATATATATATCCCTTTATATATATATATCCCTTTATATATATATATCCCTTTATATATATATACATATATTCCTTCAAAGTTAAAATGATATATATCCCTTCAAAGTTAAAATATTATACTCCTGTAAAATATTATGTATATTCAATATTTTACAAATAGTTTTGGGGTCCTAATATATGCTAGGCATTTTTATATACTCTTTGGAAAAATCTTCCATTGCTACATTCCAAGCATTCTTTCGGATTAAAATTTCCTAAAGTAATGCTTTGATTTGTCACCCTTCTCTTGATCTTTCATGAACACTCATTGCTGAGAAGAAAATATTGCCTCCATGTATCATAAAAATCTCTTTATGGTGTGATCAAACTCTGCCTTTTCAGTTTGATCTCCCATTACATGCCTTGCTTATTCTGTTGTGATGAAATTTGTAACTTACTTTCCTATACTCCTTGTGATTTTCTGTGTACGGTTTTATTTGCCTAGAATGCTCTTGTCCCTTTCTTTGTAAAATTACATTGTAAACTGTATGTTTGTGTCTCTCCAAAATTCATATATTGAAGTCCTAAGCCTGAAAGTAATGATTTGGAGGTGGGGCCTTTGGGAGGTAAATAGGTTTAAATGAGGCCATGAGAGTAGAGCCCCCATTATGGAATTAGTGTCATTGTAAGAAGAAGAGAGAGATCAGGTTGCTTCCTCTCCCCGCAACTAGAAAACAATGGGCTCCCTCCTTGATCTTGGACTTCCCAGCCTCCAGAACTGTGCAAAATAATCTCTTGTTTAAGCCGCACAATCTATGGTATTTTGTTGAAACAGCCTGACTGAAACAATTACATATTCCCTTTGTTTAAATTTATGCCACATTTGATATTAACATATTTTGTTGGGTGGGAGCAGTTGCTCATGCCTGTAATCCTAGCACTTTGGGAGGCCGAGGCGGGTGGATCACTTGAGGTCAGGAGTTCAAGACCAGCCAGGCCAACATGGCGAAACCCCATCTTCTCTACTAAAAATGCAAAAAAATTAGCCAGGCATGGTGGCACGTGCCTGTAATCCCAGCTACTCAGGAGGCTGAGGCAGGAGAATCACTAGAACACAAGGGGCAGAGGTCACAGTGAGCCGAGATCACTCCACTGCACTCCAGCCTGGTTCACAGAGTGAGACTCCATCTCAAAAAAACACACAAAAATATTTGTTTATTTATGTCAAATTGTACTTTGAAAATAATTCATTTCTAAAAAAATGAGAAAAATATAATTTAAATAATTTAAAATATAAAATGGGCTAGTTTGTCTTTTCCAAGGAAGATTTTAAAACTTGCCTTAATCAAATATGGTGAAAACACAAGTCATGCCAAATTGTGGCATTGAGTTCACACTTTCTTTTTTTTTTTTTTTTTTTATGAGTTCACACTTTCATAAAAATCTAAGAGGTTGATTGTTAGGCCTAATTAACTCTTCTATTTACATCTGTCCTTTATAAGTTGGTGTCTCTTTAGGCAGCAAACATCTGTCATGTGATTAATATGTCTGGGAAAATGTAAGTGATGGTTTATTAACTGTGGCTTGGAGGGTACTAAGTAAAACTTGCCCAATCAAAGAAAAGTCAATATATTTGATGCTGGGCAAGCTGGAAATAATCACCTGTCTTCAATTAATTCCTAATTTAATCATTCAAGAAAATTATGGAGGAAATGAGGCATTCCCCATATCAGGCAGCAATAAAAAGACTGATTGAGATGCTCTCTTTCAGGGAATCCTTTTGAATTTACATTTAAGTTAGTGTGTCAGAATTAGAACCAACCTCAGTGACTGTCTAAAATAGGCTATTGATTTCTGATAACTTACCTCCCAACAAAGAGATTAAGTGACAAGCCCAAGCTCAAACCACTCTTGTGTCTACAACCTAGAAATAATAAATTTTTTCCCAGTTCAGTAGCTGGGTAGTGACGAAAATGGGAATTTCAAAATTAATTTCTTCACACCATTTACAAGTTTTTAAAAATGTCAGACTTTTCTGAATTCTATTAGGTATTAACTGCATATAAATATTTGTAAATGTAATGCATTCATATGACTATGTTGATATTATGGACATAAGAGGTAAACATGGGTCAATAAAAGTAAATGATGAAAATGCTTTATTTTTGCATGTTAATGAGGTACAACAAAGAATAAACTATTAGAACACATAAATTGGAATTTACATAATTTACTAATTAGTCTATAAACTGTTTTAAAATTAGGTCTCTTTTATATGTAGCCCTAAGGGTTTGGAGTTTAGAACCAGCTGGTGTTCTAAACCAAGTATTGATGATAAGTAAAACTGTGATTCCTTAAGGACAGTTTTAAGTTGCTATCTCATTTTGTTGGGGCAGGGGGGCATCGATTTTTATTATTAAAGTATAATTGCATAAGATATATAGATCTAAAATTAACTATTAGGTAAATACACTAGCATAAACATCACTCAGCAGAAGACATAGAAAATTATCAGCATCACGGGGATATCTCTCATGTCCCTCCCTGATATTATGCACTCTCCCCAAAATCATCAATATTCTGATTTCTATCATCTTGAGTTATTTAGGCTAGGTTTAGCATTTGTTTAAATGGCTAGCACAAATAAAGCTGGTATGAGTATACATACGCTTATTTGGGTATTTACTAAGAGTAAAATTTCCACGTCGTACTTAGAGCTAGTATAAAACCTAAATGAGTTTCCCAATAAATTTTATCAATTTAGATTCCCAACAGCAATGTACAAGATATTTAGTTGCTCCAAATCCTTACTCACTTTTGCTTTTGTCATGTGTGTGTGTTTCATACTAATATTCTCACAGGTACATGGTAGTATTTCATTGTGGTTTTAATTTGCATTTCCCTAATGATTGAAATGGGCACGTTTGCCCATTTGAATATATTCTTCTGTGAAGTAGCTTTTCATCATGTCTTTGTCCAATTGTCTATTAGATGGTCTTTATAGATGTTCTTTATAATTTTGGAGATACATATGTCTTGATACATACAAGTATATATTTATAAATTTATGTATGTAGATTCCTCTTTACCTTTTCACGCTCTTAATGATGTCTTTTGGTGAGCCTAGAGAATCATAATTTTAACAAAGTTGAATAGGGTTTTTTTTTAATGGTTAGTAGCTGTGTTCAGTTTTAAAAATCTTTACAAGTCCCAAAGTCACAAAGGCGTTTTACAGTTTCATCTAAAACTTTAGTAGTTTACCTTGCACATTTAAAATTAAATTCACCTGGAATTGTGTTTTGAGAATATGATGCAAAATGGGGACCAAGTTTACTTCCTTTTTCCCATTTAATAATATCCAGCTTATCCAGTACCATTTATTGAAAAAGAAAAAGGCATCCTTTCCCCACTACCCTGCTGTACTACATAGATGATAAGGCTGGTGGCCATATATGTGTGGATTTGTTTATGAACTCTCTGCTATTTTCCAATAACCCATTTCTCTCAAACCTTGTCCTAATATCACACTGTCTTATTACAGTGAGTTTATGTCTTGATATCAGATAGGGAAATTCTCTAACTTTGCTCTTCTTCATGACTCACTTAGTCATTCTTAGTTCTTTGACTTTCCATATAAGTTTTAAAATCAGCTTATCACAGAATACATGTAAGGATTTTGATTAGAAATAAATCGAATCAAGAGAACATTAGAAGAGAACTGACATGTTTAAATATTGAATCTCCTTAATCATTAACTTGGTTTAGCTCTCTATTAACACTTAAAATTTCACTCAGTAATTGTTATAGTTTTCTGTGTAGAGGTCTTCCATATATTTTATCGGATTGGCCGTAGCTTGTTCTTTAATTATGGTTTGAATTACTTTAATACATTTAGTACAAATAAATGATATTTTTGTTGCTATTTTTGGTAAAAGATTTTCAAGAAATTTAATTATTTTATCTACATTTTCATGATTTCTTATTATATGCTGTTTTAAAAAATTAATTTTTTAAATTAAGTTTGGGGATACATGTGCAGGACGTGCAGGTTTGTTACATAGGTAAGCGTGTGCCATGGTGGTTTGCTGCACAGATCATCCCATCACCTAGGTATTAAGACCAGCATGCATCAACTCTTTTCCCGGATGCTCTCCCATGCCCACCCTCCCCCAACAAGCTATATGCTGTTTTTAGTTTTTTTTGTTTGTTTGTTTTGAGTTGGGGTCTCGCTCTGTCACCCAGGCTGGAGTGCAGTGGCATAATCATGGCTCACTGCAGCCTTGAACTCCTGGGCTCAAGCCATACTCCTGCAGCTTCCCCAGGAGCTGTGACTACAGGTGCATGCCACCACACCTTGTCTATATGTTTTTTAGTAGATTTCATTTTTTAGAGTTTTGAGTTCACTGCAAAATTGCGTGGAAAGTACAGGGAGTTTCCATATAGCCCCTCCTACATAAATGCACAACTTCCCACATCTCACACTTTAGTGGTACAATTATTACAATCAATGAACCTACATTAACACATCATTATCATTCAAAGTCCAAGTTTGCATTAGGGTTCACTCTTGGTTCTGTACAATCTATGGTTTTTTACATATGTATAATGATCTACATCCATCATTGTAATATCATACAAAATAGTTCCACTGCCCTGAAAATATTCTGTGCTCTGCCTATTCATCCCATTCTCTACCTAATCCCTGGAAACCACTGATCTTTTTACTGTCTCCAAAGCTTTGCCTTTTCTAGAATGTCATATAGGTGGAATCATAGACTGTGTGTGGTGGTTTAAATTTGGCTTCTTTCACTTAGTAATGAGCATTCAAAGTTTCTCCAGGTATTCTTGTGAGTTAAATAGCTCCCCTGTTTAATGCTTCCATTGCCTGGATGCACCACATCCATTCACTTATCAAGGGACATCTTGTTTTCGAGGTTTGGCAACTATGAATAAAGCTGCTATAAGCATCCATGTGTAGGTTTTTGTGTGGACCTCCTTGTATTTTTAACATCTCTAAGATTTATAGTGATGTCTTTTTTTTCTTCATTCTTGATATTAATGATTTTGTTTTCTCTTTTTTTCTATCATTTTTCTAGAAATTTATAGATTTTACTAGTCTTTACAAAGGACCAACCGTTGACTTTATTATCATTATTTTTTAACTTTTATTTTAGTTTCAGGGGTGCAGGCACACATTTGTTACGTAGGTAAATTGGATCTTGTGGGAGTTTGGTGTACAGATTATTTCATCACCCAGGTAATAAGCATAATTCCCAAAAGGAGTTTTTCCACCCTCACTCTCCTCCCATCCTCCACTCTTTAAGTAGGCCCCAGTTTCTATTCTTCCCACCTTTGTGTCCATGTATACTCAAGGTTTAGCTCCCACTTAATGAGTGAGAACATGTGGTATTTGGTTTTCTGTTCCTACATTAGTTCACTTAGGATAATGGCCTTCGGCTGCATCCGTGTTGCTGCAAAGGACATAATCTTATCCTTTTTATAGCTGTGTAGTATTCCATGGGTGTACCACATTTTCTTTATCCAGTCTACCACTGATGGACGTTTAGGTTGATTCCATGTCTTTGCTATTGTGAATAGTGCTGTAATGAACATATACATGCATGTCTTTTTGGTAGAACAATTTATATTCCTTTGGGTATATCACCAATAATGAGATTACCAGTTAAATGGTAGGTTTTTTTTTGTTTTTTTTTTGTTTTTTTTTGATGGAGTCTTGCTCTGTCCCCAGGCTGGGGTGCAGTGGTGCGATCTCGGCTCACTGCAATCTCTGCCTCCCAGGTTCAAGTGATTCTCCTGCCTCAGCCTCTCGAGTAGCTAGGACTACAGGTGTGCACCACCACACCCAGCTAATTTTTGTATTTTTAGTAGAGATGGAGTTTCACAATGTTGGCCAGAATGGTCTCAGTCTCTTGACATCGTGATCTGCCCACCTCAGCCTCCCAAAGTGCTGGTATTACAGGTGTGAGCCACTGCATCCGGCCTGTTCTAAGTTCTTTGAGAAATCGCCAAACTGCTTCTCACAATGGTTGAACTAATTTATATTCCCACCAGCGGTATATATGTGTTCCCTTTTCTTTGCAACTGTGCCAGCATCTGTTACTTTTTGACCTTTTTGTAATAGTCACTGTGACTAGTGTGAGATGGTATCTCATTGTGGTTTTGATTTGCATTTCTCTGCTCATTAGTGATATTGAACATTTTTTCATGTTCAATGGCTGTGTGTTTGTCTTCTTTTGAAAAGCATCTGTTCATGTCCTTTGCCCACTTATTAAGGGGATGTTTGTTTTTTGCCTGTTAATTTGTTTGTTTCTTATAGATTCTAGACATTAGACCTTTGTTAGATGCACAGTTTTCAAACATTTTCTCCTATTCAGTAGGTTGTCTCTTTACTCTGTTGATAGTTTATTTTGATATTCAGAGGCTCTTTAGTTTAATTACGTCCCATTTGTCAATTTTTGTTACAAATGCTTTTGGCATCTTCATCCTGAAATCTTTGCCAGCGCCTATGTCTGAAATGGTGTTTCCTAGGTTTTCTCCTAGGGTCTTTATAGTTTTAGATCTTACATTTAAGTCTTTAATCCATCTTGAGATGATTTTTGTATATGGTGACAGGAAGGAGTCCACTTTCAATCTTCTGCATATGGGCCGGCCGATTATCCCAGCATAATTTTTCAAATAGGGGGGTCCTTTTTCCATTGCTTGTTTTTGCCAACTTTGTTGAAGATGTTATGGTTGTACATGGGTGTGTGGATTTATTTCTAGGCTCTCTATTCTGTTCCATTGGTTTGTATGTCTGTTTTGCTACCAGTACCATGCTGTTTTGGGTACTGTAGCCATGTAATAAAATTTGAAGTTGGGTAATGTGACACCTGTATCTTTGTTCTTTTTGCTTTGGATATTTAGACGCTTTTTTTGTTCCGTATGAATTTCAGATTTTTTTTTGCAGTTATATGAAGAATCTCGTGGTAGTTTGACAGGAATAGCATTGAAGCTGTAGGTTGCTTTGGGCAGTATGACCATTTTAACAATATTGATTCTTCCTATCCATGATCGTGGAATGTTTTCCCATTTGTTTATGTCATCTCTGATTTCTTTCAGCAGTGTTTTGTAATTATTGTTGTAGAAATCATTCACCTCCCTGGTTAGCTGTGTTCCAAGGTATTTTATTCTTTTTGTGGCTATTGAGAATGAGATTGGTTCTTGAGTTGGCAATCAGCCTGGATATTCTTAGTACACAGAAATGGACTGATCTTGTATCCTGAAACTTTGCTTAAGTTGTTTATCAGATCCAGTTTTGAGGTAGAGACTATGGAGTTTTCTAGCCATAAAATTATATCATCTGCAGATGAGGATAATTTTACTTCCTCTCTTATTTGGATGCCTTTTATGTTTTTCACTTGCCTGATTGCTCTGGTTATGATTTCCAGTACTATATTGAATAGGAATGGCGAGAGTGGGAATCCTTGTGTTGTTCCAGTTCTCAAGGGGAATGCGTCCAGCTTTTGCTCATTCAGTATGATGTTGACCATGGGTTTTTCATAGACGACCCTTATTATTTGAAGATATGTTAACTCAATGCCTAGTTTGAGAGTTTTTAATGTAAAGGGATGTTGAATTTTATTGAAAGCCTTTTATGTATCTATTGAGATGATCATGTCGTTTTAGTTTTTAGTTCTGTTTCTGTGATTAATCACATTTATTGATTTGCATATGTTGAACCAATCTCTCATCCCAGAGATAAAGCCTACTTGATTGTGGTGAATTAGCTTTTTTATGTGCAGCTGGATTTGGTTTACTAGTATGTGGTTGAGGATTTTTGCATCTATGTTCATCAAGGATATTGGCCTGAATTTTTCTCATTTTTTTGTTGTGTCTCTGCCAGATTTTGATATCACAATGTGCTGGCCTCATAGGATGAGTTAGGGAGGTGTCCCTCCTTCTTGATTTTTTGGAATAGTTTTATTAGAAACAAGAAGTGGAATCAGCTCTTTATACATCTGATAGAATTCCACTGTGAATTTGTTTGGTCCAGGTCTTTTTTCAGCTGGTAGGCTTGTTATTACTGATTCAATTGCAGAACTCATTATTGATCTCTTCAGGGATACAGTGTCTTCCTAGTGCAGTCTTGGGAGGTGGTATGTTTCCATTTCTTCTGGGTTTTCTCATTTGTGTCAATATAAGTCTTTGTAATAGTCTCTGAGGTTTTTTTTGTATTTCTGTGGGGTCAGTGGTAATGTCTTCTTTGTCATTTCTGATTGTGTTTATTTGGATCGTCTCTCTTTTTTTCTTTATTAGTCCAGCTGGCAGTCTATCAATCTTATTTTTCTTTCAAATAAACAACTTCTGGTTTTGTTGATCTTTTGTATTTTTTTTGCGTCTCAATTTCTTTCAGTTCAGCTCTGATTGTGGTTATTTCTTCTGCTATTGTTGGGGTTGGTTTCTTCTTGTTTTTCTAGTTCCTCTAAGTGTGATTCTTTAAGAATGCTCATTTAGATCCCCAGTCTCTTCTGGCTTGCAGCATTTCTGCTGAAAGGTCTGCTGATGGGGTTCCCTTTGTAGGTGAGCTGCCCCTTCTCACTAGCTGCCTTTAATATTTTTTCTTTTATGTCAATCTTAGAGAATCTGATGATTATGTGTCTTGGGGATTGTCATCTTGTATATATCTCACAGGAGTTCTCTGAATTTCCTGAATTCAAATGTTGGCTTTTATAGCAAGTTTGGGTAAATTTTCTTGGGTGATATCCTCAAATATGTTTCCAAGTTGTATACTTTTTCTCCCTCTTTTTCAGGGATGTCAATGAGTCACAGATTTGATTTTTAAACATAATTGCATGTTTCTCAGGGGTTTGGTTCATTCTTTTTTATGCTTTTTTCTTTATTTTTGTCTGACTGACTTAATTCAAAGAACCAGTCTTCAAGGTCCAAGATTCTTTTTTCAGCTTGGTCTATTCTGCTATTAACACTTGTCATTGTGTTATAAAATTCTTGTAGTGAGTTTTTCAGCTCTATCAGATCAGTTTGGTTTTGTCTTAAAATGGCTATTTCATCTTTCCACTGCTCTATTATTTTATTTTATTCCTTTGATCTCTTTGAGTTTTGGCTTTCTTCTGAATCTCAATAATCTTTGTTCCTATCCATAATCTGAATTCTATGTCTGTCATTTCAGCCTGAAATAGTTAAGAAGCATTACTGAGAAACTCGTGTGGTCATTTGGATGCAAGAAGACACTCTGGGCTTTTGAGTTGCCAGGGTTATTGTACTGGTTCTTTCTCATCTGGCATGGGCTGATGCTCCTTAATCTTTCAAATTGCTATCCTTTAGACTTTTTTTTTTCTCTTATCTTCTTTGACACCCTTGAAGGTTTGATTGTGGCATAAGTTGTATTCTGTTGACTGGCTTCCTTTCTGGAAGATTTCAAGAGACCATTGTTCACCTCAACATTCCTGGGCTGCATGCTCCAGCCCTGGCGGCTAGTATCAGGTGCCTGGCTTTGTTATCTGATGGGCCAGATAACATCTGTGCCCTTATGCTGATGACAGTGGCATGGCAGGGTGTCCATATGTCAGCAGAGGTGGGGTGGCAGGATGTACTTGGACCTGCAAGGCGGGGCATCAAGGTATCGAGCACACACATGCCACTGGGGTAGGGGAAGGAAGATCTGCCCAAGCATACACACCAGCAAAGTCATGGGAGGAGGGCGCGTGGGTGAGTTCATGCTGGCAAAATGGGGAGCCTTCTGTAGGGGGTAGCTGTGGGTGGTTGGGTGCGTTTTGGTATGGACGGGTCTGCTTGATCCTTCGACAGCTAGGCGTGGTCTGCTGGTGAAGAAGTTATCATGAGGGTTCCTAGGAAGAACTCTGGTTGGGCACCTGAGGCTGTACTGCAAGCGAGTATTTTCAGGTTCGTGTCCCAGAAGAGGCTAGCAGAAAGGGGGCTCTCAGATCCCATGGGCGAGACTCCTCTGCTCTGTCCTAGTCCAATAGTTACCCAAAGACTAAAGCCACCTAGTGGAGCATGTTGAGCCTTGGGGGGGCGGGGCATCCGTGGCCATGCTTTACTGCTGCCATTCCTGTGCCAAACCCTCTGAGCTCCACGCTGGCTGAAGTCCTGCCTCTGCTACCTTTCTAAGCAGCTCTCTCTGCCAGCTCAAGTGTCCACAGTGGTCTTGTGGTCTACTCCATCTAGGATTCCAGAGATCCATGGCCAGAGCATTCCAATCCTCACCTGTTCAACTCATCTCTTCCCCAGGAGCCACTGGTGTCTAGAAATGAGTCCCAGTGCTCAGCAGCCTTGTGCATGTATCCCAGCTTCCTCCTCCTTCAGCCCAGTGTCTGCATTCTCTCGCCATTCACTCTCAATCTTCCAAAGATCTGCTTGAAATATGCCGGTCTTCCCAATGTCCCAGTCTTTTGGTTAGAAGTGTTCCTCCTGGCTGCATTTATTCAACCATCTTGGCTCTGACCCCTGTTGAATTTATTTTATCTCTCATGTATTTCTTCTATTTCATTCTTTTATTATTTTTTATATTTTCTTTTGTAAATATTCTTTGAGCTTAACTTGCCATTTTTTCAATCTTCTTTAGAAGTAAGCTTAAATCATGGATTTTTTATCTTTCTTCTTCTTTTCTTAAATTGTGGCAAAAAGGACATAATTTTTAAATTTAACCATCGTAATCATTTTTAAGTGTACATGTCAGCAGTGTTAAGTATATTGATTTTGTTGGGCAACAGATCTCTAGAATTTTTTTATGTTACAACACTGAAATTCTAAATCTACTATACACTGTTTCCTCCTCTCCCTTCTTTCCAGCCCTTGCCGAATGGATTTCTTTCATGCTGGTTCTGTTATTTTGACTACTTTGTATACTACGTATGAGTGGAATCATACAGAATTGGTTCTTTTGTGACTGGCTTATTTTACTTAGCATAAAGTCCTCAATTATCCATGTTGTAGCATGTATAAGATTTCCCTCTTTAAGGCTTAGTGATATTCCACTGTGTGTGTTTACCACATTTTCTTTATTTATTCATCTGTTAATGGACATTTGGGTTTCCTTCACCTCTTGGCTATTGTAGATAATGCTGCAATGAACATGGGAGTGCAAAATTTCTTACAGATCATGCTTTGAATTCTTTTTGATATGTATCTAGAAGTAGGATTGCTGGATCATGTAGTAATTCTCTTTTTAATTTTTTGAAGAACCTCTATACTGTTTTCCATAATGGCTATAGAAACTTACATTCCCACCAACAGTGTGCAGGGGTTCTAATTTCTCTGCAGCTTCACCAATGATTGTTAATTTTGGTTCTTTGGATAGTGGCCATTCTAGTGGGTTTGAGGTGATATCTCTTTTTCATTTTGTTGGCCAGGCTAGTCTCAAACTCCTGACCTTGTGATCCGCCCACCTCGGCCTCCCAAAGTGCTGAGATTACCAGCTCTCTCCATATTTTTTTATTAATGATTCAGTCTTGGTAGACTGTATGCTTTTAGAAATTTATCCATTTTATCTAATTCATCTGATTTGTTGGCATATAATTGTGGATAGTATTCTCATAATCATTTTTATTTCTATGACATTAGTTGTAATGTCTCTTTTTTCATTTATGGTTTTAATTTATTTGAGTCGTCTTTTTTTTCTCACTTAAGTCTACCGAAGGGTTTTATTTATTTTTTCAAAAAACCAACAATTGGTTTTATTTTAAAATTGTTTTCCTATTTTCTATTTCATTTATACCTGTTTTAATTATTATTTTAAACTTCCTTCTGCTGACTTTGAGTTTAGCTCATTCTTCTTTTTCTAGTTGCTTAGGTTATAAGTTAGGTTATTGATTTTAGATATTTTTTATTTTTTAATGTAAGTAAATATTTTTATTGCTGTAAGTATTTTATTGCTATGAGTTTTTGTTGCTATAAACTTCCTTCTTAGTACTGCTTTTGCTGCATCCCATCTTTTTAATTTTCATTTGTCTCCACAGTTTCTAAATTCTCTTTTGATTTTTTTCTTTCATCTATTGTTTGTAGGAGAGTGTATTATTTAATTTGTACATATTTGTGGATTTTTCTGTTTTTCTTCTGCTATTGATTTCTAGTTTTATTTCATTGTTGTCAGAGAAGATATTTTTGTGTAATTTAAATCTTAAATTTTTAAGGACTTGTTTTGTGTGTAACATTGGTGTATCCTGAAGAGTGTTCCATGGGCGCTAGAGAAGAATGTGTGTTCTGCTGTTGTTTACAGAGTGTTCTTTTTTTTTTTTTTTTTTTTTTTTTTTTTTTTTTGAGACGGTGTCTCGCTCTGTCGCCCAGGCTGCAGTGCAGTGGCGCCATCTTGGCTCACTGCAAGCTCCGCCTCCTGAGTTCACGCCATTCTCCTGCTTCAGCCTCCAGAGTAGCTGGGACTGCAGGCGCCAGCCACTGCGCCCGGCTAATTTTTGTATTTTTAGTAGAGACGGGGTTTGTGTTAGCCAGGATGGTCTCGATCTCCTGACCTCGTGATCCGCCCGCCTTGGCCTCCCAAAGTGCTGGGATTACAGGTGTGAGCCACCGCGCCCGGCCTGTGGAGTGTTCTCTTTACGTCTGTTAGGTCCAAGTGCTCCGCAGTATTGTTCATGTTCTCTGTGTCCCTCATGATGTTCTGTCTCCTTGCTCTATCCACAACTGAAAGTGTACTGAAGTCTCATATTATTATTATTATGTTGCTGTCTATTTCTTCCTTCAGTTTTGCCAGTGTTTGCTTCACATATTTGGAAGTTCTAATGTTAGGTGTATATATATTTATAATTACTAATTATATCTTACTGATGAATTTAGCTTTTTTCATTATATTAATATAATGTTTTTCTTTGGCTCCTGTGACAGTTTTTATCTTAAAGGTTATTTTCTCTATTGTAAATATGGCTCTTTTTAGGTTCCTATTTGCATGAACTATCCTTTTTCATTCTTTTACTTTTAACCAATGTGTACATTCCAGGGTCTAGACTGAGTCCCTTGTAGACAGTATATAGCTGCATCTTGGTTGAAGATATTTTATCCATTCATCCAATTTATGATTTTAAATTGGGACATTTAATTCATCTGCATTTAAAGTAATTACTGATAGGAAATACCATTGGCATTGTGCTTTTGTCTTGCATGTTCTGTAGCTTTTTGTTCTTCCTTTTCTTCCTTGCTGCCTTAACTTGTTTTGTTTAATTTTTGTGTTGACACATTTAATTTCTCTTCTGATTTTTTTTGTGAATATTCAGTAGATATTTTCTTCGTGGTTATCATTGCAATTGTATAAAGAATCTTAAAGTTGTAACAATCTATTTTAAATGGATAATTTTAATCACATATAAAAACTTGACTTTTTTAATCTTTGCCCCATCCACTTTATTTTATTGATGACTCAAATGACATCTTTTTATATTGCATATCTAGTAGCATAGACTTACTATTACTTTTTATAATTTTGTTTTTTAAAATTCTACACTTGATTTAAAAGTTTACATGCTTACATTGTAATACTACAGGATTCTATATTTGCCTATATGTATGCTGTCACCAGAGAATTTTATATTTTCATGTGGTTTTGTGCTGCTGTTTATTATTCTCTCACTTCAACTTAAATTATTCCCTTCAGCATTTCTTATAGGGAAGGTCTAGTGGTGATGAACTCCCTCAGCTTTTACGTGGGAAAGTCTTAATTTATCCTTTGTTTTTGATGGGTGGTTTTGCTAGATACACTAATTTTCGTTGACAGGTTTTTTTCTTTCTTTCAGTGCTTTGTATAAATCATCTTATTCCCTTCTCATCTATAAGGTTTCTGCAGAAAAATCTGCTGATAATAAAAGCCCCCATGTACATAAGGAGTCTCTTTTTAATTTGTTTCTTTGACTGGGACATGTTTTCCTGTTTCATTGTATGTCTTGTTATCTTTTGTTTGGACTTTATCATTTAAATAATCGGCCACTTTTTCCAGACTTTGTAATCTGGATTTGTATAGGGAGAATTTTTTAAAATCAGCCCACCTAGAGATTCTGGAGACTTCTCAAATCTTTTCTGATGATATGTCCTCTTTGGGCTTGTGCTTGTAATCTCCTAATTGAGGATGTTTGCCTGTTTCTACCCAGGAGTTTTCCCTGGAGTTTGTGATACATGCAGTGTCTCTGGTGCCATAGTAAGCCATGGTATTGGAGCTTCAACTAGTGTCTGCATGCGTTACTGCAGACTCTGGGGCAGGTTGATTGCATTTGTTCTAAGTGGCTACAATGTGGCACACCTGTTACTGCCAGTAGTTAGATTCAGGCAAAACAGAAAACAATTCCCAGGAAGCCTCCCAAATCACAATGTTGTATACACATTCTACTGTTTCCCTTTCCTAACGAGGAATGGGGAGTTGGTGGTTTTCTCCGAATCATGCCATAGGCTCTGGTAAGAGAATGCTACAAATTTTCCTACTGGGTTTTGATGCAGATTGCTTCACTCTTAATATGGGTTGCAAGAACCTCTTACTTGTTTTTGAATTTCTCAGATAGGCTCACATATTGTTGTTAATTATGTGTCTCTGTGGGAGGAGGATCTGGAGCTTTCTGTAATAATTTTTATAACAAAATTATAAAAAGTAATTATAAGTCTATGCTAATAGATTTGCAATATAAAAAGATGTCATTTGAATCATCAAAATAAAGTAGATTGGGGCAGAGATTTTAAAAAAAGAGTAAAATGTTTATATTTTGCCATCTTGCTGATGTCACTCTCCTCTTTCTTTTTCCTTAACATATGCACTTAAACTATAAATTTCTGTTAAAGTACATCTTTAGATTTCTCCCACAATCTTTTATACTGTATTTCCAATATAACTAATTTTCAAGCAGTTTCTAATTTACATTGTGGGCTTTTCTTTGACCCATTGATTATTTCTGTTTCATAATTTCAAAATATTTGGAAAAATTTCAATAATTTTTCTAGTCTTGATTTCTAGTTTAATAATGCCTTGGTCAAAAAATATGGTCTGTAATTTTGTTTTTGAAATTTGATGAGACTTGCTTTAGGGGCCCGCATATTGTGTAATTTGGTAGCTGTTTTCTGTATATTTGTAAAGAATATGCAATCTGCACTAGGCATGCAGTGTTCTCCATATGCTGATTAGGTCAGATGGTTCAATCATGAAGTTCAATTCTATATACCTTAATAATCATATTCTCTGCTTCTTTATTTTTTTAAATGAGATATATTAAAATCTCAACTCTTATTTGCTTAGGCTTAAAATGAACACTTTAATCCCTCTGAAGAAACAAAAGCATTACTATTGCTATTTGATATTTAGTATCCGAATTTGGTATAGTTTCAACATTATATAAGTCCTTATGTATATGAATATTCCTTATGAAAGGATGTAATAAAATAGAAAAATTTATCATTTTTAAATTTGAGGAATATTGATGTTAGAGCTTAAGAGGAAAATTCCTCCTATCTGTATTAACAACACTTAACCTTTTAACATATTTATTAAAATTAATGTAACAATTATCTTCCTTATATTAATCAAATTCGAAATTAAGCATGTTTTGAATTAACTTTATTCCAGGCCCCGTCCCATTTTATTTGCAGATAGGATGTGAAATGTTTATGATATTCTGCCAGACGCAAGTGCAGCTCTGATAAGTGATGTAAACTGCAATCACGTGTTGACAAGTGTTACTTCTATTTTAAAGATGATAAGATTGAGACTAAGAAATCATTTTCAGCATGGGAAACTTTGAATTTACATGTTCTTGTGATACTCTGTGGACTTGGCTCTAAAGATGATACTTCATAAAACATTGAATCTATTGATCTTCTATTCATACATCTCACTCAGTCCTCAATAAAGAGCAAATGTTCACATTTGCTAATGAAACACTGGTTATCACCTGCAGCATCTCTTAGTTTGCTCCCAGGAACTTGACAGCAGCAACTCTTAGGGAGTATTTTTTTGCCATAAATATTTCATTTTGATTTAGATTTATGTAAACACTGATAATAATGTGATAATAACCTTCAAAAACTAAAAAGCCACATTCTTCTAATTTTTTTTTTTTTTTTTTTTTTTTTTGAGACAGAGTCTCGCTCTGTCGACCAGGCTGGAGCGCAGTGGCGCTATCTCGGCTCACTGCAAGCTCCACCTCTCGGGTTCACGCCATTCTCCTGCCTCAGCCTCTCTAGTAGCTGGGATTACAGGCGCCCGTCACCACGCCCGGCTAATTTTTTGTATTTTTAGTAAAGACGTTGTATTTTTGGTAAAGACGGGGTTTCACCGTGTTAGCCAGGATGGTCTTGATCTCCTGGCCTCGTGATCCGCCCACCTCGGCCTCTCAAAGTGCTGGGATTACAGGCATGACCCACCGCGCCCGGCCCTAAAAAGCCATATTCTAAGAAGGGTGCCAATTCAGGGGCAATTGTGTTTTGTTAAATATGACTTTTTCTTAAGTTTAATTGCCCTTATCTTTCACTATACATCAAAATAAATATGAGGAAAATAGACTTGTATCTCTAGTCAGAATGCTATTAAATATCATTTGATTACTTGATAAAATATAAATATAAATTATTTTAATATATATATTTAATATGAGACTATTTCATATTCTAATTGAAATTTTTTATAATTGCCAAATATTTTTTATGAAAAAAGTTTTAGTTTCTTCTACAAATAATTCATGTTTAATATGGTTTTCCACATGTTTATTAAGTGCCTTCTATTAAGGTGATGCTAAAAAAGTGTAGTACTTGACATCTATGTAGTACTTTACAGTTATCAGTTACTTTAATATACAACGTGTATTAATCTGTTTTGTGTTGCTATTAAGAAATATTTGAGGTTGAGTAATTTATTAAGAAAAGAGGTTTATTTGGCTCCTGATTTTGCTGGCTGTACAAGCATGGCGTGAGCATCTGCTTGGCTTCTGGTGAGGCCTCAGGAAGCTTCTACTCATGGCAAAAAGTGAAGGGGGAGCAAAAGAGAGAGGAGCAGGTGCCAGGCTTCTTTTAACAACCAGCTCTCGCATGACCTAGTAGAGTGAGAACTTACTCATTACCACTGGGGGGACACCATTCATGAGGGATCTGCCCCCATGACCCAGACCCCTCCTATCAAGCCCCACCTTCAACACTGGGGATCACATTTCAACATTGGGTATTACATTTCAACATGAAATTGAAAACAAACATCACAACTGTGCCACAAAACTACAATTTACCAGACCTTATGATCCTTGGAATCTAAGTATTATTATACACATTTTAGGTAGATACAATATTGGGAGATGGGATGTAACTGTCCTTATTTGCAGATGATATAACTATCTATCTAGGAAATTAAATAGAATCAACTGAAAAACAATAGACTTTAAAAAGCATTAGAAGATAACATAGAGATTCTATAACTGTGAAATCAATTCTTTCTAATTCAAATTCCAGAATTTGTAAAGAAAAAGATGAACAAAGGTAGCTGTATTGGGACAAAATTAAAAATATAAACACTATATATTATCGGTTAAAGTGAGAGAAAAATATGTTTCTATATTTCTGTTGGGACTATACATTTGTGAAGCAATTTTTGTCTGTGAAAGTAAAAATAAATGGTCTTGACTTTTATTCCAGATATAACACTTTAAATATCTCTTTTACAGAAATGATTGCAAAATAATCTAGACTATATGCTCAAGGGCAGTTATTAAATTATTTATTATGATAGAAAAAATACAAAATAGACTGTATGCTCAAGGGCATTTATTAAAGTATTTATTATGATGGAAAAAATGGAGATAAGAAAAATATTCAACAATTGGGCAATATTTAAATTATGGCTTGTTTATACCATAGGATACCATTCAGCCTTTTAAAAAAGTAGCAATATCTAAAATCAAAAACATTTTCTCCCGCTTATCCCCACCTCCAAACTTTGTATCCCTTATAGTTATAAATGATATTCCCAATTTCATGTTTATATTTATTTTTTCTTCTCACCTTATTGGGGTATAATTTACAAATAGAAATTGTATATACTTAAGGGATACAATTTGTTGATTTGACATAAGTATACATTGTTAAATGATTACCAAAATCAGGCAACTTAACATATTCCTCCCTTGACATAGTTACCTTTTTCTCTGTATGTGTTAAGAACTCACTTTTTTTAATTTTTATTTTTTATTTATTTCATTTTTGAGGTAAAGTCTCACTCTGTCTTCCACGCTGGAAGTGCAGTGGACCTTCTCTGCTCACTGCAACTTCCGCCTCCTGAGCTCAAACAATTCCTGTGCCTCAGCCTCCCCAGTAACTGGGATTATAGGTGTACACCCCTATGCCTGGATAATTTTTGTATTTTTTACTAGAGACAGGGTTTTGTCATGTTGGCTAGGCTGGTCTCAAACTCCTGGCCTCAAGTGATCTGCCTTCCTCAGCCTCCCAAAGTGCTGGGAATACAGGCCTGAGACACCATGCCGGCCAAGAACTCTTAAGATCTACCCTCTTAATAGATTTCAAGTATACAATACAGTATGGTTGACTGTAGTTGCTGTGCTATACATTTGATCCTCAGAATTTATTCATCTTGCATAACTGAAGTTTTGTGTCCTTTGACATTTCCTCATTTTCCCTACCTCCAATACCTAGCAACTACCATTGACTCTGTGCTTCTATGAGTTCTAATATTTTATATTCTGAATACATGTGAGATCATGCACTATTTTTCTTTCTGTTTCTGGATTACTTCACTTAGCATAATGTTCTCAAGTTTCATCCATGTTGTTACATAGGCAGGATTTTCTTTTTTTTAAACAGCTGAATAATATTCCATTGTGTGTTTGTGTGTGTATATGTATACATGTGTGTATTGTGTCTACTCATCTGTTAGTGAAAATTTAGGTTGTTTTTCTATCTTGGCTATTATGAATAATGCTTCAGTGAACATGGTCATGTACATATTTCTGCAGGATACTGATTTAATATTTTTAAATCAAGATACTGATTTAATACCAGAAGAGGAGTTGCTGAATCATTTGGTAATTCTCTTTTTTTTAACAGGAGCTTCCATAGTGTTTTCCATAATGGCTATAAAAATTTACTTTATTACCAACAATGTATAAGCATTTCCTGTTCATACCCTTTCCAAAGTGTGCTATCTTTTGTCTTTCTGATAATAGCCTTTTAAATAGGTGTGAGGTGATATCTGTTAATGATTTTGATTTGAATTTCACTGCTGATTAGTGATTTTGAGCATCTTTCCATATTCCTGTTGGCTGTTTTTTTTTCATTGGAAAAAGTGCTGCTTTTGCTGTATCCCGTAAGTTTTGGTATGTTGTGTTTTTATTTTCATTTGTCTCAAAATGTTTTTAGAATTCTCTTTTGGTTTTCTGTTTGACCCAGTGATTGTTTAAGAGTCTGTTATTCAGTTTCTATGTATTTGTGAATTTTTCTGTTTTCTTATTGTTACTGATTTAGGTTTTATTTTTTGTGGTTGGAAAATATACTTGGAGTGATATTGACTTTTTTTTTTTTTTTTTTTTTTTTTTAAGACAGAGTCTCGCTCTGTCACCCCGGCTGGAGGGCAGTGGTACAATCGCGGCTCACTGCAACCTCCACCTCTCGGGCTTAAGCAATTCTCCTGCCTCAGCCTCCCTAGTAGCTGGGATTACAGGTGTCTGCCACCATGCCCAGCTAATTTTTGTATTTTTAGTAGAGATGGGGTTTCACCATGTTGGCCAGGCTGGTCTTGAACCCCTGACCTCGTGCTCCGCCCGCCTCGGCCTCCCAAAGTGCTGGGATTACAAGTGTGAGCCTGGCCAATATTGACATTTTTAAATATGTTAAGACTTGTTTTATAAACTAACATTTGATCTATCCCGGGGAGTGTGCCATGTGTACGTTAGAAGAATGTGTATTCTGCTGCCACAAGGTAGAATTTCTGTATGTCTGTTAGCTCTATGTAGTCTGCAGTGTTCTTTGTTTCTGTGGTTTTCTTACAGATCTTCTGTGTAGTTGATCCATCTGTTGTACAGGGTGGGGTCTTCTACTCTTATTTTGCTAATGTTTGTTTATACCTTCAGATTTACCAATGTTTGCTTTATATATTTTGGTGCTTTTATCTTGGGTGCATATATGTTTATAATTATTATATCTTCCTTTTGAACTGACCATTTTATGATTATATAATTAACTTCTTTGTCTCTTGTGATAGTTTTTGACTTAAAGTCTGTTTTGCCTGATATGAGTTTAACCACCCTGCTCTCTTTTGGTTACAATTTACATGGAATATCTTTTTTCATCTCTTCACTTTTAGTTTCTTGAAGACAATATATATTTGGGCCTTGTTTTTTTTCTTTTTTTAAAAAAATCCATTCCGCCACTCCTATGCCTTTTGATTAAAAAGTATAGTTCATTTATATTTCTAGTAATTTTTGGATACTAAGGATTGCCTTTGGCCACTGTTTAAATTGTTTTTTGTCTGTTTTATATTTCTCTTGTTCCTCTCTTCTTGTATTTCTTTGCGGTTTGATAATTTCTTGTATTGGTGTGCTTTGATTCTTTTCTCTTTATCTTTTGTCTACCTGATGTATATTTTTTGTGTGTGGTTACTATGGGGCTCACATTGAACATTTTATTTATATAGCCACATGTCTTAAGCTGAAATAACTTCACATCAATCACATAAACACTAGACTTCACTCCCCCCAACAAACTTTATGTAATTAATGACATAATAATTTCTTTCCATGTTGTATTGTCATTAACATATTTCTGTATTTGTAATTATTCTGACTACTTTCTTCCTTTAATATGGGTTATAGTATTCTGTGTTTGTGATTACAGTTACCTTTACCAGTGAGATTTATACTTTATTATGCTTTCATGTTGTTGTTCAGCATCTTTTTGTTTAAACTTGTAGAAATTTGTTCAGCATTTCTTGTGAAGCAGGTCTAGTAGTCATGCACTTCCTCAGTTTTTGTTTCTCTGGGAAAGTCTTTATCTCTCTTTCATTCTAAAAAGACAGTTTTGCTGGGTAAGTATTCTTTTTTTTCTTTCAGCATTTGACTGTATCATCTAACTCCCTCTTGCTTTGCAAGGTTACTCTAAAGAAGTCCATTGATGGTATTGAGTTCCCTTGTATATAATGAACCTTTTTTTTCTTATAGCTTTCATTATTCTTTTTTTGTGTTTAACTTTCAACAATTTAATTATAATATGTCCCTGAGTATTCTTCATTGGGTTAATCATGCCTGGGATCCCCTAAGCTTTATAAATCTAGATGTTCATATTCCTCTCAAGATTTGGGAAATTTTCAACCGGTACTTCTTTAAGCTTTCTGTTTTCCTTTCTCTTTTTCTTCTGGAAATCTCATAATTTGTATATTTGTACACTTGATGGTGTTCCACAAGTCATATATGCTTTTCTTCACTCTTTCATTCTCTTTTCATTTTGTTTCTCTAACTGGCTAATTTCAAATAACATGTCTTTGAGATCACCAGTTTTTTGTTTTTTTTTCCTGTATTATCATGTTTACTGTTGTAGCTCTTTATCACTTTTTCGGTTAATTCATCATATTCTTCAGCTCTGGATTGTCATTTAATTCTTTCTAATGGTTTCTATTTTTTAATTAAACTTTTCATTCTGTTCATGTATTGTTTTTTCTGATTTTGTTTATGTGTCCATTTTTGTTCTCTTGTAGCTAATTGAGCTTCTTTAAGATGCTTACTTAAAATTCTTTGTCGAGCAGTTAATGAATCTACATTTTTTTAAAGGGTCATTTCCTTTGGTGGTGTCATGTTTGCCTGTTTCTTCATGATCCATGTGTGTATGCATCTGGAGGGGTAAATGCCTCTTCCAGTCTTTACAGACTGTTTTCAGAAGGTAAAGGCCTTCTCTTGCTGGGTTTTTGGGTTGATGGAATGTCCCCCAGACTGCAGTAGAGTGGTGCTGGAATTTAATCACAGAGCTGCTTCAGTATCTGCAATCTGGTCTTAGGTGGACAGGCCTGCTACTGGAGGCATGGAAAGGTATGTCCCTTACTGGGCCCCTTAATTAAGTGAGCAAGACTGCTCCCAGTTTATGCTAGAGCAGAAATGGAGCTGAGTTACAGGTCTGCTTCAGAGTTCATAGTTGGATTTCAGATCAGTGGGCCTGTTACAAGGGGAATGTATGGGCATTGTTCATGCATGGGTGGGGCTGGTGGCAGGACCTAGTGTTTCACCTTTAAAAATAAAGTTAACTGTAGGTTTTTTGGGGGGTGATTTTATTTAGCAATAAATAGAAATGAAATACAAATACAGGCTACAACATAGAGGAAACGGAAATACGTTATTTTATGTATTATAATTCTTCCATTTATATGAAATGTCCAGAATAGGCAAAGCTTTAGAGACAGAAAGATTTATGATTGCCTGAGACTGAGGGGATTAGGGAATAAACATATAATAGGGTTTCTTTTTAATGTTATTAATATATTTCTAAATTTAAATTTCGGTGATGGCTGCAAAACTGGATACGCTAAAAACTATTGAATTGTACACTTTAAAAGAATGAAATCTATGGCATGTGAATTATGTCTCAATAAAGATGCTAAAAATTTTTATTAGACAAAATCAGACTTTTCCAATCATGTAAGACTTTGCTCATTTTGTACAGGTTTCTGAGATAACAGAATTAAAACATACTACTACAATTGTGGAATTGTCTCAATTTCCTATTTTTTCATGTATTTTAAACCTTGTTGTTGGGTACCTCTATGATTATAACATGCTCCTTTTTATCTCTGGTAATAATCTTGTCTTGAAGTCTGCTTTATCTCATGAAAATTGCCACTCCAACTTATTTTTCATATTATATGCTTTTCCCATACATTTACTTTAAATCCATTTAAATGTTTATATTTGACAACTCTTAAAACTCATAGTGAGATACATCATTTTCCTAGTGGCAAAGGAATTGAAAAATTACATAGAAGGAAATCCCTGAAGACATATTTCTATGTCACACACTCTTAAAAGAAGGAGTTTTTTTCATATTTTGTTGATATATTCTATAAACTTAATGATTAATGACAAACTAACCAGCAATAACAAGATAGGTTTAAAACATATTTAACAGATCATGCCAGTTATTTCGGCTAAAGATAACTTTTTTGCTATGGTGAAACTTTACTTTTGCCATCTTTTGAAAGGAAAGAAAATTTAACCTAGTGCAAAGCAGTAAGGCAATTAACATCAGGACATTCATTCTAAAAGAAATTAAGAAACGAAGCTCCGGTCTTTTAAATTAATGATAGTTATTACAAATCAATGACCTATGGTCTATGGATGAGAAGTCACCAAAGGTACCTGGTGAGCAGCAGTGCAACAAAGCAGAGGTGATTCTAAAGTTACTGTTTATGCCACTTTAATTAGATATTAGCCAGCTAGTTCTTCTTCCATTACACTCTTTGTAATAGTAAAGATACAGAATGAGATGAATGCATTAAAATAATTATGAGTAGATTTGGATGTTTTCTCTGTATCTCCTGTTATATGAAGGCAAAATTTAGGGATTATGATGACCTATACATTGAAAACCTAGAAAATAAGGCAGTATAGGTGTTAAGTTAATAAAACGAATAGCTTTTCAGCAAACACATATGGTTTCAGTATGTATTTTTAATTTAGAAAAAATAGGCAGGGCACTGTGGCTCATGCCTGTAATCCCAGCACTTTGGGAGGCTGAGGTGAGTGGATCACTTGAGGTCAGGAGTTTGAGACCAGCCTGGCCAACATGGTGAAACCCTGTCTCTACTAAAAATATAAAAGTTGGCTAGGCATGGTGGCCTGCACCTGTAATCCCAGCTACTCGGGAGGTTGAGGTGGGAGGACCACTTGAACCTCAGAGGGGTAGGTTGCAGTGAGCTAAGATTGCTCCACTACACTCCAGCCTGGGCAACACAGTGAGACTCCATCTGAAAGAAAAAAAAACAAAAAGAAAAAATGAGTAGATGAGTAGAAGGACAAAATAAAAAATAAATGTATGCGTAAAAGGAAGATACATAACTAATTTCTTCAATTTTAACAAAGGGTCAAATGATCTTGTAACCATTGTATTAATACTTGGTATTACATTACATAACACATAGTATTAGCCAATCTCTGTTCTTGGCCAGAGCTCAGGAATTTGATTCTCTTCCTTCTAATTAAGGCTTCCTTTCTTCCTTGCCCCTGGACTGCTTCTGTATTCATCATAGATCTTCTGAGGCCAATCAACAGATTTGTATTAAATATGATCCTTTTGGGACATTGGCTCTCACCATAATGCTGTCAAGAGATACCTCCAAGCATTTTCCTCAATTTTATCCATATAAATAGGATTTTAGTAGTAATTTTAAAGAGGTGATTATAAACATAGTCACTTGAAAATTTTTTTAAAGAGACAATTTAATAAGCATTTACTCTTAGAGAGGTACAATGCTAATTTACTCTCTATAATTAGCTACTCATGGCTCTATTTATGCTAATTGTATGACCTTGTACAAGATTCTGCAAGCCTCAATTTTCTCATAGATAAGATAGATATAACAAAATATTACCTACTATACAAAGTTTTTAAGACGATTCATAAAAATAATGAATATCATGTATTTGCAAAGTGCCTAGGATGCAGTCAATATTAGTTAATAATTAATAAAATGTTATATACTAAAGAAAAGGTGATTCTTTTATTTTCAGATTATTTTGAATATTGAAGATTACCTGCTAGAATTTTTTAAACTAATATACACTCCACCTAGAAATGTATGAGAGTATCTTTTTCTGCATAATATCACAACACTGGGTGTTAGAATTGAAAAATGATTTGCCAAGACCTAAACCAAGTTCAACTTTGAGAATGAATTTCCACTAATAAAAATGAACTGTATATCTAAATAGAAAAAAAAATGAAAAACACTTGGAAACTATTAGAAGTTTCAGCCTTTGGATTTCATATACCCTTTATTATAAAAGCATACTTTCTTTAGTCAATAAAATAGAGGAAAATGCAACTTACACTTTATTTGCTACTCTGTTTCAGGAGATGGTAATATATAAACAGCTAACATATATAAAAATAGGAGAAAGCACAATGATATAATATTCCACATATTTTTATTTTAAAACTTTGACTCTAAAATATTTATATTATTTCTACCTTTTTACAACATAAAATGAAAGGAAAATTGTGAAAATTTGATTGCAAGCCATTGAGCCATTTCTGGTATTTAGGTATTTTATTTTAGTATTTAAACATTTAGCCAACTGAACATGATTTCATGTGTAAGAACCTGTAGCAACTGTTACTATGGTTAATCATTGTGACAAAGAATATTGAGCATCTTTGCGTGTACTTACTTGACATTTTTGTGAAGTATTTGTTCAATCTTTTTCCCATTAAAAGACATTGGGTTGTTTGCTTTTTTATTGCTGAGTTTTGAAATTTATTTTTATATTCTGGATGCAAGCCTTTTGTTAAGTATGTGATTTGCAATTGTCGCTAATCAGTCTATAGCTGCTCTTTGCATTCTCTTAACAATGTCTTTTGAAGAGCAAAATGCTTTTATTTTACTGAAGTCCAGTTTAAGAATTTTTTATATCCTTGCTGATTTTCTTTTATATCAGTTACTAAGAGAGGAATGCTAAAGTCTTTAACTATAATTGTAGATACGTCTTTTTTATTTCCTTTCAGTTCTAGCAGGTTTTCTTCATGTACTTTGGAGGCTCATTGTTATGTGAAGACACATTTAGAATAGTTTGTTTATTGTCAGTGAATTAGCCCTTTTAATATTTTTAATCTGGACAATTTTTCATGCTCTGAAATTAACTTCATTTGATATTAATATAGCTACTACGTTTTCTTTTGGTTAATGATTAAATGGTATGTCATTTTTCATCTTTTTACTTTTAATTTATTTATCTGATTATATTTATAATAGATTTCTTGTAACTGGCACAAAATTGAGTCTTTAAAAAATTTAATTCAACTTGACAATTTCTGTATTTTAATTTTTAGACTATGCACAGCTAATGTAATTATTGATATGTTTGTATTTCTGTCTACCATTTTATTATTTGTTTCCTTTTTATATAGATTTTTAATGAGATATAATGGGTGACAAATTCTCTTAGTTTCCTTTCATTTGAGAATGTTTTATTTTTTTCCTTTATTCCTGAAAAATATTTTCACTGGATTTAGAATTCTGGGTCAAGAGTTCTTTACTTTCAGCTCTTTAGAAATATTTTCTACTGTTCTCTTACCTCTATCTTTTCCAATAAATCCCAAAACATGTGAATTCTTGATCCTCAATATGTAACGTAATATTTTCAAGAGTTGCTTTCAAGTGTTTTTTCTTTGTTTTTAGTTTTTGGCCATTTGATTGTGATGCATCTGGGTATGGATTTTTTGTGCATTTATCCCATTTGAGTTTTACTGAACTTCTTAAATCTGTAAGTATACTGTATTAGTCTGTTTTCCTGCTGCTGATAAGACATACCTGAGACTGGGCAATTTATAAAAAAGGAGGTTTATTTGGACTTACAGTTCTGTGTGGCTGGGGAAGCCTCACAATCATGGGCAAAGGCAAGCAGAAGCAACTAATGTCCTACATGGATGGCAGCAGGCAAAGAGACAATGAGGAAGACACAAAAACAGAAACCCCTGATGAAACCATCAAATCTTTTGAGACTTATTCAGTGCCACAAGAACAGTATGGAGGAAACCGCCCCCATGATTCAATTATCCACCACCAGGTCCCTCACACAACACGTGGGAATTATGTGAGTACAACTCAAGATGAGATTTGGGTGGGGACACAGAACCAAACCATATCATTCTGCCCCTGGCCACTGCCAAATGTCATGTCCTCACATTTCTAAACCAATCATGCCTTCCCAACAGTTCCCCAAAGTCTTAGCTCATTTCAGCATTAACTCAGAAGTCCACAGTCCAAAGTTTCATCTGAGACAAAGCAAGTCCCTTCTGCCTATGAGCATGTAAAATCAAAAGCAAGCTAATTATTTCCTAGATATAATGGGGGTACAGACATTGGGTAAATACAGCTCTTCCAAATGGGAGACATTGGCCAAAACAAAGGGGCTACAGGGCCCATGAAATTCCAAAATCCAGAGAGGCAGTCAATCTTAAAGCTCCAAAATGATCTCCTTTGACTCCGTGTCTCACATCCCAGTCATGTTGATGCAAGAGGTGGATTCCCATGGTCTTGGGCAGTTCCACCCCTGTGGCTTTGCAGAGTATATTCAGCCTCTCTCCTGGCTACTTTCACAGGCTTCCATTGAGTGTCTGCAGCTCTTCCAGGTGCGTGGTGCAAGCTGTAGGTGGATCTACCATTCTGGGGTCTGGAGGACAGTGGCCCTATTCTCACAGCTCCACTAGGAGATGCCCCAGCAGGGACTCTGTGTGGGGGCTTCGACCCCACATTTCCCTTCCGCACTCCCCTATCAGAAGTTCTCCATGAAAGCCCTGCCCCTGCATCAAACTTCTGCCTGGGTATCTAGGTGTTTCCATACATCTGAAATCATCTAGATAGAGGTTCCCAAACCCAAATTCTTGACTTCTGCGCACTCACAGGCTTAATGCCATGTGGAAGCTACCAAGGCTTGGGGCTTGCACTATCTGAAGCCAAGGCCCAAGCTCTACACTAGCCCCTTTCAGCCACAGCTGGAGTGGCTGGGACGCAGGGCACCAAGTCCCTAGGCTGCACACAGCACAGGGATCCTGGGCCTCACCCACAAAAACATTTTCTCCTAGGCCTCTGGGCCTGTGATGGGAGGGGCTGCGTGAAGACCTCAGACATGCCCTGGAGACATTTTCCCTATTGTCTTAGGGATTGACTTCAGCTCCTCATTACTTAGACAAATTTCTGCAGCCTGCTTGAATTTCTCCTCAGAATATGGGTTTTTCTTTTCTATTGTATTGTCAGGCTGCAAATTTTCTGAACTTTTATGCTCTGCTTCTCTTATAAAACTGAATGCCTTTAACAGCACCCAAGTCACCTCTTGAATGCTTTGCTGCTTAGAAATTTCTTCTGCCAGATACCCTAAATCATGTCTGTCAAGTTCAAAGTTCTACAAATCTCTAGGGCAGGGGAAAAATGTTACCAGTCTCTTTGCTAAAACATAACATGAGCCACCTTTGCTCCAGTTCCCAATAAGTTCCTCATTTCCATCTAAGACCACCTCAGCCTGGATTTTATTGTCCATATTGCTATCAGCATTTTGGGCAAAGTCATTCAACAAGTGTCTAGGAAGTTCCAAACTTACGCACATTTTCGAGTTTTCTAAGCCCTCCAAATTGTTCCAACCTCTGCCTGTTACCCAGTTCCAAAGTTGCTTCCACATTTTCAGGTATCTTTTCAGCAGCACCCCACTCTACTGGTACCAATTTACATATTAGTTCAATTTCATGCTGCTGATAAATACATACCTGAGACTGGGCAATTTATAAAAGAAAGAGGTTTAATTGGACTTACAGTTCCATGTGGCTGGGGAAGCCTCACAATCATGGCCAAAGGCAAGGAGGAGCAAATCACATCTTATGTGGATGGCAGCAGACAAAGAGAGAATGAGGAATATGTAAAAGTGGAAATCCCTGATAAAACCATCAAAACTCGTAAGGCTTATTCACTACCACAAGAATAGTATGGAGGAAACCACCCCCATGATTCACTTATCTCCCACCAGGTCCCTCCCATAACATGTGGGAATTATGGGAGTTCAATTCAAGATGAGATTTGAATGGAGACACAGATCCAAACCACATCATATACCTTCACCAAATTTAAGAATTTTTAAGCCATTATTTCTGCACTCATACTTCTCTTTTTCAGAGACTGAAATTATTCAAATTTTAGATTTTTCTGGGCTATGCACAGGGTCTTATGGTTCTGTACACATTCTTTAAAACTATTGTTTCTCTTCTGTTTTACTCTGATATCTCCATTTTGATACTGATCCTATTCAATACATTTTAAATTTTACTTCATTTTGTGTAGTAGTTTTCAGTTGTAAAAGTTTTATTTGTCTTTAAGAAATAATTCCCTCACAGGATCATAGCCCATATGTTACTTATTCAAATTACTCACAATTTTGTGAATGGATCAGTCTTTCAATAATTTCCAAATCTATTTGACGATGAATTTTTTTTCTTAGATCACCAATTAACATCTCACAATATGCAGCATTATTGGGAAACTGATCAATATTTCTATATGCTATATAGATTAAGAGTATAAGTATTAGAGATATTACAATTAATGTTTTTATCCATTGGAGAGATATATTTTGTTTTCATAGTTATAACATTTTATTTATGAGAAAATAAGAAATTTGAGGCTGAGAGATGTACTCTTATTTCCCAAATGCACATCCCTAGCAATAATGTATAAATTCAGGCCAAGGGGGCAAAATATTCAAGCTTTAAAAAAAAGTATCTGTACATATGAATGATATACATTTTATTGTTATATATTATACATTTAATTATACAGTGATACACTGCATGTTGAAATTTTGATCAATGATATATATACAATGATGATGCCATAATATTATAATGGAGCTTGAAAATTCCTATTACTTGCTGATGTCATAGACATTTTAACGTGGTGCTATGATGCATTACTCACATGTAAATGGTAATGCTTGTATAAATAAACTTACTGTGCTACAAGTTGTATGAAAGTATAGCACATGAGATTATGAATAGTACATAATACTTGATAATAAACACTGTGTTGCTGGCTTATGTATTTACTATACTTTTTACCATTATTTTAGAGTGAACTCTTTCTACTGATATATTTTTAAAAGTTTACTGTGGAACAGCCCCAGGCAGATCATTCAGGAGGTATTCCAGAAGAAGGCGTTATCAGAGGAGATGACAGCCTCGTGTGTGGTATTTCCCCTAAAGTCCTTATAGTGAACAAGGTGTGGAGGTGGAAGACAGTGATAATGATAATCCTGACCCTGTGTAGGCCTAGGCTAACTTGTGTGTTTGTGTCTGTGTTTTTAACAAAATAGTTTAGAAAGTAAAAGATAAATGAATTTTTAAAATAGAAAAATGCTTATAGGATGAGGATATAAAGAAGGAAAGTATTTTTGTACAGCTGTATAATGTGTTTGTTTTTTGAGTGTTATTACAAAACAGTCAAAAAGTTAAAAATATGTGTATGAAGTAAAACATTTACAGTAATCTATTATTGAAAAACATGTATTTTTTAAATGTAGTGTAGCCTAAGTGTAGAGTGTTTATAAAGTCTACAGTAATGTCCTAGGCCTTCACATTCACTCACCACTCACTCACTGTCTCACTCAGAACAACTTCCAGTCCTGCAAGCTTCATTTATGGTAGGTGCCCTGTACAGGTATACTACTTTTATCTTTCATATCATATTTTTACTGTTCATTTTCTAGTTTAAATATGTTTAGATATACAAATACTTCCCATTGTGTTAAAACTGCCTACAGCATTGAGTTCAGTAACATGCTGTACAGGTTTGTAGTCTAGAAGCAATAGGCTAAAAGCACTTCACTAATAAACAATTGCTTTCCTACATATAGCCTGGGTACGTAGTAGGCTGTCTTATCTAAGTTTGTGTAAGTACACTCAATGATGTTCACACAACCAAATTGCCAAAGGATGCATTTCTCAGAACATATTCCCATTGTTAATCAATGTATGACTGTAAGAAGCATATATTGCATTACATGTATGTCCTTTACACATAATAAAGTAAAAAATGAAAAATCAGTTTTTTAAATATCTATTATATGGTAATGATGGTTTTATTCAATTTGCATGAAACTCATTAAAATGTCTGAAATAAACAGGCAAACTTTTCCTTTAAACATACACAATTTATGCTTTAAGGAGGTTCTATTTCGGTATATTTTGGGGATTTGTTTCAAGAGTTAGAGCTCCTTTGAGCAGTTCTTATAGTGCTGGCTTGGTAGTGGCAAATTCTCTCAGCATTTGTTTGTCTAGAAAAGACTGTATCTTTCCCTCATTTATGAAGCTTAGTTTTACTGGATACAAAATTCTTGGCTAATAATTGTTTTGTTTAAGGAGGTTAAAAATAGGACCCCAATCCCTTCTGGCTTGCAGGGTTTCTGCTGAGAAATCTGCTGTTAATCTGATAGGTTTTCCTTTATAGGTTACCAAATACTTTTGCATCACAGGTCTTAAGATTCTTTCCTTAGTCTTGACTCTAGATAAACTAATGACTATGTACCTAGGCGATGATCTTTTTGCAATGAATTTCCCAGGTGTTCTTTGAGCTTCTTGTATTTGGATGTCTAGATCTCTAGCAAGGCTGGAGAAGTTTTCCTCGATTATTCCCTCAAGTGTTTTCCAAACTTTTTTATTTCTCTTATTCTTTGAGAATACCAATCATTCTTAGGTTTGGACATTTAACATAGCCCCTAACTTCTTGGAGGCTTTGTTCATTTTTTCAATTCTTTTTTTCTTTGTCTTTGATGGATTGGGTTAATTGAAAAGCCTTGTCTTTGAGCTCCGAAGTTCTTTCTTCTGTTTATTCAGTTCTATTTTTGTTGAGACCTTCCAGTGCATTTTGCATTTTTCTAAGAGTGTCTTTGATTCCAGAAGTTGTGATTTTTTTTATTTATGTTATCTATTTCACTGAAGAATTTTCCTTTCATATCCTGTATTAGGGTTTTGATTTCTTTAAGTTGGACTTCACCTTTCTTTGGTGCGTCCTTGATTAGCTTCATAATTGACCTTCTGAATTCTTTTTCTGGCAATTCAGAGATTTCATCTTGGTTTGGATCCATTGCGGGTGAACTGGTATGATCTTTTGGGGTGTTAAAGAACCTCATTTTGTCATATTACCAGAGTTGTTTTTCTGGTTCCTTCTCATTTGGGTAGACTATGTTAGAGGGAAGATCTGGGATTCAAGGGGATTCAAGGGCTGCTGTTCAGATTCTTTTGTTCCATGGGGTGCTCCCTGGGTGTGGTGTTCTCCCCTTTGCCTTAGGAACTGTAGTGATTATTTTTGCTCTTCCAGGTCTAGCCAACCAGCAGAGCTACCACGCTCCGGACTGGTACTGGGGAGTGTTTGCAAAAGAGTCCTGTGATGTGATCTGTCTTCAGGTCTCCTAGCCATGGATACTAGCATCTGCTCCGGTGGAGGTAGCGGGAGAGTGAAGTGGACTCTGTGAGGGTTCTTGGTTGTGTTTTTGTTTAGTGCACTGGTTTTGTGTTGGTTGGCCTCCAGCCAGGAGGTAGTGCTTTCAAGAGTACATCAGCTGTGGTCCTATAGGGAGGATGCAAACTTGCCTTAGGGACACCTGGTTAGGTATTCAAGTTTCTCAGGTGGGCAGGGCCATAGAGCTTCCAAGAGATTATGACCTTTGTCTTTGGCTACCAGGGTGGGTAAAGAAAGATCACCAGGTGGGGGCAGGATTAGGTGTGTCTGAGCTCAGCCTCTCATTAGGTGGGGGTTGTTGCAGCTGCTGTGGGGCACGGGGGTGTGGTCCCACTCCAATGGAGGTATATTCTCAGGGTGATTATGGCTGCCCTCTCTGAGCCATAGAGGTCACCAGGGAAGTGGGGGAAAGCCGGCAGTCATAGACCTCACCCTTCTCTCATGCAGCTGGCAGTCGTAAAGGCTGTTCTCACTCCCACCATGCCCCTTCAACAGAACCAAGTCTATTTCCAGGCAACCGGTGGCCATGGCTGAGAGCTTTCCTCAGACCATGAGCCTCCCCACTGAGAAAGCTGGCAGACACACAGTTTTTCCATGTCTCAAGGAGCCTGCAGTGGTGATCCAGTTCTTTCAAAGGGTCTATGGATTATCTTGGTTTTCCTGGTATGTTCCTGCAGTACTTCTTGAAGCAAAAGTTCATGATATGGGTCTCCACACTCTGCTCTGTCCATCCAAGTGGGATCTGCAAGCTAGTCTTGCCTCCTATCTGCCATCTTAGCTCTGGTGTCCCATCTAAACCTACACATTGATAAGTTTGAAACTTCTATTTGATTATAGCTGTTCAAATAATAGTATAGATCTCTGGTGAATAGTTTAATGAAAATAATATTAGTAAATTGCTTTTATATGGTGCTTCTATCAAGGGGTTTTAAAATTGGTAGAGAACTTTGCAAGACAAAAAAATTACTGTTGTATCAGTGAAAAGGAGTTTACCTCACAAAAGAAACATAATACATAGTATTACATTTAATCTCAATACTAGATATAATTTTATCTGAAGTTTTTTATTTTTATATTTTTTATTTTTTTGAGACAGGGTCTTGCACTGTCACCTAGGCTGGAGTGCAGTGCTGTGATTTTGGCTAACTGCAACCTATGCCTCTTGGGCTCAAGCAATCCCTCCATCTAAGTCTCCCCAGGAGCTGGAACCACAGGTGCAACTTACCATGCCTGGCTAATTTTTGCATGTTTTGTAGAGATGTCACTATGTTGCGCAGTCTAGTCTCAAACTCCTGGGCTGAAGTGAGCCACCTGCCTTGGCCTCCCAAAATCATGGGATTAAAGGCGTAAGCCACTGTGCCTGGTTGAAAGTATCTTACTAAATATACTTTATGTCACATTTTCACTGATTTTATTTTAATTGCTATTTACCTTACCCATGACCTCTTCTCCAGCTTTTCTGCTGCCTATTGACCTGGTTAATCAAGAAATTCTGTGTCATTTATCCTGCTTTCCAGGAATAGGGTAAAAAAACAAAAAGAAATTCTATGTCATTTAGAAAAAGTTAAGGGAAATGCTTGCAGTATTTTTGATTCAGAAGTATGGTGTTGTTTAATTGACGATAACAATAAGTATGAAAACAAGTATACAATTAATAGCCTTATTAAATGAATGATTTAGAAATTCATTTAATTAGACTGTTAATTAGCACTTAAAATGTGACTGTTTTTTCTTATTTTACTTTAAGTTCCAGGATACATGTGCAGAACATGCAGATTTGTTACATAGGTATACGTGTGCTAGGGTGGTTTGCTGCACCTATTGACCCATCATCTAGGTTTCCTCCCCTCATCAGCCATCCCCCAAAAGGCCCCAGTGTGTGTTGTTCCCCTCCCTGTGTTCATGTGTTCTCATTGTTCAACTCTCACTTATGAGCGAGAGCATGTGGTGTCTGGATTTCCATTCCTGTGTTAGTTTGCTGAGGATGATGGCTTCCAGCTTCATCCATGTCCCCTGTAAAGGAAATGATCTCATTCTTTTTTATGGCTGCATAGTATTCCATGGTGTATATGTACCACATTTTATTTACCCAGTCTATCACTGATGGTCATTTGGGTTGGTTCCAAGTCTTTGCTATTGTAAATAGTGCTGCAATAAACATACATGTGCATGTGTCTTTATAGTAGAATGATTTATATTCCTTTGGGTATATACCCAGTAATGGGATTGCTGGGTCAAATGGTATTTCTGGTTCTAGATCCTTGAGGAATCACCATACTGTCTTTCACAATGGTTGAAATAATTTACATTCCCACCAACAGTGTAAAACTGTTCCTATTTCTCTATAGCCTCACCAGCATCTATTGTTTCTTGAGTTTTTAATCATCACCATTCTGACTGGTATGAGATGGTTTCTCACTGTGGTTTTGATTTGCATTTCTCTCATAATCAGTGAAGTTGAGCTTTTTTTCATGTTTTTTGGCCACATAAATGTCTTCTTTTGAGAAATGTCTGTTTATATCCTTTGCCCACTTTTTGATGTGTTTTTTCTTCTTGCAAATTTGTTTAAGTTCCTCGTGGATTCTGGATATTAGACCTTTGTCAGATAGGTAGATAGCAAAAATTTTCTCCCATTCTGTAGTTAGCCTGTTTACTCTGATGATAGTTTGTGTGTGTGTGTATATGTGTGTATGTATGTGTGTGTGTGTGTGTGTGTGTGTGTGTGCTGTGCAGAAGCTCTTTAGTTTAATTAGATCCCATTTGTCAATTGCTTTTGCTGCAATTGCTTTTGGCATTTTTGTTATGAAGTCTTTGCCCATGCCTATGTCCTGAATGGTATTGCCTAGGTGTTCTTCTAGAGTTTTTATGGTTTTTGATTTTACATTTAAGATTTTAATTCATATTGAGTTAATTTTTGTATAAGGTGTAAGGAAGGAGTCCAGTTTCAGTTTTCTGCATATGACTAGCCATTTTCCCAGTACCATTTATTGAGTAGGAAATCTTTTCCCCATTGCTTGTTTTTGTCAGGTTTGTCGAAAATCAGATGGCTGTAGATGTGTGGTGTTATTTCTGAGGTCTCTGTTCTGTTTCTAAAATGTGACTATTATTTAGACTTTAATAAGACTATTAATTAGCTTTAAAATTAGCACTTAAAATGATAAATATTAATCTTTGAATTATTTCTAATCATATGTATTCAAATGCCTTTGACAAAAATAAATCATGGCAATGCAGATATTTTATGAGATACAACTTTCAAAGACACAGGAAATGTTTTTAATTCCATCTTCTTTTCAAAAAAAATTCTTTTTCTGTCAGCTTCAATTTTTATTTATTTATTTATTTATTTTTATTATACTTTAAGTTCTAGGGTACATATGCACAACGTGCAGGTTTGTTACATACGTATACATGTGCCATGTTGGTGTGCTGCACCCATTAACTCTCATTTACATTAGGTATATCTCCTAATGCTATCCCTTCCCTAGCCCTCCACCCCATGACAGGCCATGGTGTGTGATGTTCCCCTTCCTGTGTCCATGTGTTCTCATTTTTCAATTCCCACCTATGAGTGAAATCATGCGGTGTTTGGTTTTCTGTCTTTGTGGTAGTTTGCTCAGAATGATGGTTTCCAGCTTCATCCATGTGCCTACAAAGGACATGAACTCATCCTTTTTTATGGCTGCAGAGGCAGGCAGGCCTCCTTGAGCTGCGGTGGGCTCCACCCAGTTTGAGCTTCCAGGCCGCTTTGTTTACCTACTCAAGCCTCAGCAGTGGTGGATGTCCCTCCCCCAGCCTTGCTGCCGCCTTGCAGTTTGATCTCAGACTGCTGTGCTAGCAGTGAGTAAGGCTCCATGGGCATGGGACCCTCCGAGCCAGGCGCGGAATATAATCTCCTGGTGTGTCATTTGCTAAGACCTTTGGAAAAGTGCAGTATTAGGGTGGGAGTGTCCTGATTTTCCGGGTACTGTTGGTCATGGCTTCCCTTGGCTAGAAAAGGGAATTCCCCAACCCCTTGCGCTTCCTGGGTGAGGCGATGCCCTGCTCTGCTTTGGCTCACGGTCAGTGGGCTGCACCCACTGTCCGACAAGCCACAATGAGATGAACCTGGTACCTCAGTTGGAAATGCAGAAATCACCCCTCTTCTGCGCTGCTCACCCTGGGAGCTGTAGACTGGAGCTGTTCCTATTCGACCATCTTGGAACCTCCTCATCAGCTTCAATTTTTAAATTAAAATACTTATATTCTCAAATCTATAATTAGAAACACTTTGGTACTGTGCAAAAGGATACCAATTTCAAAGAGCCATGGAGGTGTCATGCATGCATGCCTTTTTTTGGCTAAGGTTACAGAAATATTTTCACCCAGGACTGTCAAGAGAACATAAGAACTTGTGTGCTGATTGTAAGCATTCTTCTTAGAATCCTAAGTGAGTTCTTACACAATTATATATGAAAAGATCTTAAAAGAATGATGACATTGTAAAGTAAATTACGGTATATTAAATTCCTTTAAGATTTTTCTCTTGAGCTGGGAAATTTCTAAAGAAATTTAAAGATATCTGTACATTAATATAACAAATGACTTTTAAAATAAAACATATTTCTTTAATCATTAAAATGTAACTACTACTGTTTTCTATTTCAGCAGTCTCTCCTGTAACTGCTCCCAGAAGGTTAAATTGGCATGACTTTTTCTATATTTATTGCTTTGTTCAGTCTTTTTTATTTTATGTGTTAGTGTAAACTTATTTATAATAAGGATCATATTATCTACCTCTGGCACCTCTAACATGGTAATCGAATTTTATATCTTTGGGGATTTACTTGTAAGTCTGCTTGAAGATGATGAAATATACTATATGGTCTCTCATTCTTTTAAATCAGCTGGCTTTTGACAGTTTCCCAACTTATATCCCCATCAACACTTACTTCCTTTCTTACAACTCAGATTTCATTATTTTTTTAAATGGCATGGACATATTCTAGTGTATTTACCAAGAAAAAAAATTTAAAATATCAAACATGATATCCATTTAGCTTTTAGGTACGCTAGGTAAATGTCCTTACAGAAGTAGTTTAAAAACTTTTCTTCCATAAAATAGAAACTATATTTACACCAAATATCACAGCTCAGAATCATACTCTTGCTTTTTACACATGACCAGTGCTCAGCCACTGTAGACACTACCTGATTTTTCGTGATATTCGGGCTGGTAGCTTTTATCTCACCTTCTTTCTCTCTACTTTCTTCTTTCTTTTCTATTTCTTCCCCATCACTTACTCAAGAGTTAAATCTTTTCCATTCTTAATCCATGTGATAAATAATAAATTAGCATAAAAATCTTTAAAATGCAGATTTGATATAATAGGGGAAATGAAAGGCAAATTCTAATGAAAACTTCCCAGAGAAAAATAATTAGAAAATATTATAGTTAAAGTAAATAAGAGGTGTACAGGGGACAAAGAACAACAGGGTACAGAATGACAAAGGACAAGCCCCTGATCCAGCCAATGATGGAAACCCAAGAAGGTTGGTACAGCTGGAAACCTGAAGCTGGCCTAGAGAGGGAGAGGCTAATGCACTCATCTAGTCCCTGAGGACTGAGAGGTTTCTCTGAGTCTGATGTTGTCAAAATCAAATCATAAACCCTCCATGGGTCAAGTCTTTCTGTGGTTTCCTTCTCTCCACTCTATAAATATTATTTCTATCCCTTCCAACCAATGATGATGATGACCACAATGAACCATACCAATCTGCCCACTTATTTCTCCATATTCCTTCTTATGTAAGGTCTGGGCAGATTGCTCACCTTGTTCAACTTCTCAACTCACTGGAATCAGGTTTCTCCCCCATAGCCTTAGGAAAAGATTGTTTCCTCCACCCAAAATACAATTATCTTCATTTCACATGGCTGACTTCTGCTCATTATTCAGGACCCTTATTCAAAGGTCCTTCCTAGCTGCCTGTATGAGAGTGGCTGCCCCCATTATGCCCTCCTTCAGCACCCTCTTTATTCTTCTTGTAGCACTTATCAAAGTTTGTGAATAATTTATTTTTTCTTGACATATTTTTAATTCTCCCTCCCTTCACAAAATTTTAAATTTTATGGGAATAAGAATATTTGTTTTGTTCATTACAACATATTTAACATATTTAAGGCCTGGCATATTGTACATTTCTGGATCACTGAGCAGAATGGTCTGAGAGTGATCCTGAGTCCTTGCTCTCCATTGCCACCCACGTTTCTCCTAGTGGATTCTCATGGAGCCAGCGGTTTCTATTCTCTGACAGGAAAGACTGAACGATGTTATGGGCCCTCAAAAACCCAGAAGCATTTAGCTTTGGTCTTCTCAGACGACACTTGTCATCTGCTGGCCCCAATTCCCAATTGCCCACCACCATGCGACCTTCGATTAAATTATTTTAAATTGCTCTGTTTAAAATTGAATTTTAAATTTAATTTAAAGGTAACAAAATTGCTATTATTCAGCATAACAAATCTGGTAGAAGTATGTATATTAACAATGATGATGTTCTACCTTTCAGTATTTTTCAGTGTCAGGTTTCCTTTGACCTCATATCAGTGTCTCAGTAGAATCCATTTCATCCACAACTTTCCTCTCAGAAACCTTAGTTTATGGACTTGAACATATATATAAACTCATCATGATTTACTCCATTCAGATTTATTTATTCTGTAATGAATTGGAGACCTTTTCCACAGACCTATCTTATTTACATATGTATATGTTGTATTCAGCCACTTTTATTATCAATTATTTTTTCTTAAAGCTATTTTAGGATTAGAACAGAGAAAGAATAAGTGCAGGGAGAGGGATCAAGATGGCTGACTAGATGCAAGTAGTATGTACCTCCTCTGTGGAGAGGAACCAGAATAATTAATGGATACTCACATTTTAAACAGATTGTCTAGAAGAGAATCCTAGGATTCACTAGAGAAGAGACAGGAAGCCCAAGAGTAAGAAAGAAGAGTGTTCAAGGCAGCCTGCCTGGCCAGGGACTGACTGAGAGCGGGAAAATGGCTCCTGGAGGCAGGGAAACAGTAATGGAGAAACCCCCAAGGTTCCACAGTCTTGGCTACAGGAGAAACCCTCAACCCATGAGGTCTTTAGGCCTGACATATGGAGGTAGCTAAAGGTTGTTCAGAGACATTGCTCCACAAAGGGAATGTACATGTAATCTCACAGGTATTTGAGCCTTTGTTCTAGCAGCCTCCGCTAGGCATCATTTTGAGGGATGGATACCAGGGATCTCCAGACATGGCAGCTGCTGCTTTTGTGAGGCTTCAAAAAGGGAGAAGGGAGGTTGAGATTGGGTGCTCCTATGCACCCAAGGAGGGTCCCTTGCAATCTCCTGTGGACTGCTGTTGAGATGGAGATGTGAGCAGATCATATTCTCCAAAGTTTCTTGCCTGTGCTGCTTGCCTGAGATGGGCACCATCCTTTCTGGTTTCTAGCCCACAGCTGGCACCATTTTGAAAATTTAACACTGGGCTGTGCCTCACCCTCAGGCCGAGTTTGAGGTAACAGAGCTGCAGCTGCCACCTAACTGGGGAGGGAAAGGGAAGAGCAAACTCTCCGAAGCACACTTAGGACAATACCCACCACTCTTGCTACTCATGACTGTGGGACTACAGACTAGCCCACTTAACACACCTCAGCTTCCAGCAACACCAACATGGGCCACTTGTATCCCAGTGGGCTGCTCTACTGCTGCTCCTGCCATCACCCACAATGAACCAGTTGCCCAGGCATCTGAGAACCCACACACCCATCTGGCCTACCGCTCCCACTACTAGCTTCTAAGAAAGCCACCCAGAGTCCCAAGAATCAGCCCTCTTTAACCGACTAACATCAGAGCCAGTGTAAGTTGCTCTGGGGCCTAAAAACAGGCAAACTCACCCTACTGCCGTCACCACCAGGGCCCAAAGACTGGCTTAGCTGGTGTCCAAGTCCCCAGCAAAACTTCACCAAAACCTCAACTAGTAACTGTACCCTAAGCTACCAAGGAAATCACAGATACCACTGAACCTTTGTACTGCTGAAGAAGTCATACAAAGATAACACTACCACAGACACCCAAAATCAAAGCAAAAGTATCTTAACCCACAGCATACATACATCTTCAGGAAAAAAAAATTATCTCCTACAAAAGCAATTTCAAAAAATTGGAACAAGCGAATGTTACACCAGATGTGCAGATATCAATGGAAGGACACAGGAAACATGAAGAAGCAGGGAAATATGACACCACTAAAGGACCACAAAGATTGTCTAGCAATAGACCCCAATCAAAAAGAATTCCTTGAAATGCCAAATAAAAGATTCAAAATACTGATTTTAAAGCTTAGTGAGATTCAAGAAAAATCTGAAAACAAACTAAAGAAATCAGAATCTCAATTCAGAATGTGAATGAGAAATTTACCAAGAAGAAAGATACTTTTTTAAAAAAAGCAGAGATTCTGAAACTAAAATAATTCATTGAAGGAAATATAAAATATATCTGAAAGCTTCAATAATAGGTTAGATGAAGTAAAAGAAAGAATCTCAAAACATGAAGACAGGTCTTTTAAAATAATTTTAAAATAAGACAAAAATAATTAAAAAGAATGAATAAAGCCTTTGAGATGTCTGGGACTACATAAAATGAGCAAATTTATGAATGATCAGTACTCCCAAGGGTGAGGAGGTATCAAAAAGTATAGAAAATCTGTTTAAGAAAATAATTGATGACAACTTCCCAAGTCTATCAACAGAGTTAGCCATCCAGATCCAGAAGATCCAATGATCCCCACGAAAATACACTGCAAAAAGGACTACATCATGGCATATTATATTCAGAATGTCTAACGTCAAAGTTAAATAAAGAATTTTAAAATTAGCAAGAGGAAAACATCTAGTCACCTATACTGCTTTTTACAACCCCATCAGATGAACAGCTGACTTTTCAGCAGAAACCTCACAGGCCAGAAGAAAATTGGGTGTCATTTTTCAAAGTGGTGAACTATAAAAAAGAAAAAACAAAACTTTAAGTCAAGAATTGTATATTCCACCAGAATAAGTTTCATACATGAAGGAAAGATAAAGTCTTTCCCAGACAAGTGAATGCTAAGGAAATTAGTCACCACTAGACTGGTTCTACAGGAAATGCTTGAAGGAGACTTAAACGTGGCAATGAAAGGTTGATATTTACCATCACAAAAACACATAGAAATAAAGAAATGTAGTGAGATCAATTAGGAAGACTTAAGTGAGTATGAAAAATATGTAAACTAGTAGGAATGAAGATCATGACACTATTTTGAGATGTGTAACAGAAGTAGAATGATCAGACCGTGGCAACAAGATGTGGATTGTCAGAGGAAAGGGGAAGTAAAACTTGTGTGGTGTCCTAACTGCAGTAGAATGTAATGAAAAATAAGAGGATTGTTTTCCTGAAAAAAAAATTGATGTTTGGTACTTGTTTGTGGATGTAGGTAGAAAAGACACAATTGAATTAAGTCATTCGTTATACCAGTATATTTTGTTAGGGTCTTTCAGGTTTTGAGGAACAGAAGTAAACTTAGGTCAGCTTAGATAATAGAATTTTATTCTAAGGATGTGATTGAAATTTAGGAAAATAGGAACTAGAATGTTTTTCTCAATATGTAGGCACATTAGCAACCAGTTTCTAATTCTCTCCACAGCAGGTCTATTCTCTTACCTTTAATAGTGGTACACTTTTGTGATGAGTCACTTGTTCCTTCCCTTTGGTTTCAATGTTCTTTTCATCACTGAATAAATTTTTCTTCTCCTGTCTGTTGTTTTTGCTTAATTCCATGGCTATGGATACTAATAGCTTTTGCTATTGATTCTAAAATCTCAAGACACCTTCTTATCACCTCTACTCTGTGGATCTTTTGGTTGGTTCTAGTCCCAACTACTGACTCATTTTTTCAGGCATTCAGTATGACTTTTAGCATTCTTTTATTCCACAGCTATTAAACATCAGTCATTAGATATCAAATTTTATAAAAACACTGTCCTTCATGAATAAGCATTTTTTTTTCAGAAATACCTTTAATTACATGGGAGAGTATAATTTTTGAAATCTAATTGTACACTTGAATTTGTTCAATGACATAAAATAGCAGAAATACCTTTAATTATATGGTAGACTATAGTTTCTGGAATCTAACTGTATACTTGAATTTGTCTAATGACATAAAATGGTTTTACTGAGGAAATAAAATGCATCCTTTAACAAACATCCATTGAGAATCTGCTCTATGTCAGCATACAATGTACCGAGACACAAGGGAGAAGAAAATGCTAATTTAAAATTGATCAGACAGGTCATAAACGTAAGTAGGTAATTATAATACAGTAATGTAAATGTGAAAATCAATGTACAAATTAACATTTGAGGGAGTACAAAAGAAGAATTGACTATGTATATGGGGGAAAAGGAGGAAGTTACAAAGGTGTTGGTATTTGAGCTTTCGAAAGTGACTAGAAGGAAAGAGACATCACAGGCCATGCAACGTCCAGTAGATTATGAGCCATTCTCTTTTATTATTACCTCGTTGATATAAATAATTACTTCTTTATGGGACCAATTATCCTTCCACATGATGTAAAGAAACAAACTCTTTTGAGGATAAATAATATGGGAAAATGACAGATAAATGTCATAACTTTGTATGCCACTATATAAAATATTCCTCCTTATATTCTTGAGTCTATAGTTATTTTTGGTGACAAAATTATACAGTGCCTCTAGATGGAAATATCAGTTAAGTATATCATTTTAGCATCCTCATAAGCAGTTGATAATGTAAGCTGCTTGGCTATTCCCTAGTTTTACACCAGCAAATATGAGAGAAATAATTTAGTGATTCACAGATATTTCTATCCCGGACATGAATTTATAACTTCTTAGAAGACTATTCATTTGTTTGAAACTCTTCTGAGGCACCATATAAATTAGATTTTAAATGCATTATTTTTGGAGTCTCCTTTTCAAAATCTCCTTTTACCAAATTTAAGACTTGTCAGCTTTTTGTCTTGTTAAAACTTATCAAAACTAAAAAAATAACTATTGAGAACTTTTTAATGCAATGGACTTATGTAATTGTTAGAATATTAAAGTCTGGAGGTTGAGATTAGGTAAGAAATTGTTTGCTAAAAATCAAATCTGATTCAAGAATGAATTTTACAAGGAACATAGAGTCTTTTAAAAACAGTCCCATAACGGTACAATGAAAACCTTTTCAATTCACCAGTGAGCTTTCTGTCTCACCCTTTCTGAGGCAAGTTTTTCAAACAATTCAACTGTTCTCCCTTGTATCACAAAAATGTCAGATGAGTTATAAGGAAGAGAGTAGGCCCATTAGAGATATTTATTGAAGCCTTTGCCATATGTGATCTTGCAGTGCAAGGGAAAGCTTCTTTTGTATCTTCTGAGATCCCAGACTTCCACCTAGATTCTGCATGTTTAACCATGCTTCAATTTTAGTCTGTGGAAGAAAATATTTTTTCTATTTAACACAGTGGGAACATTCTTCTATTACTTAAGGTAATACTAGCTACCATAATACATGAACCACAAATTCTCAGTAATTTAAAACAAGAGAAGTAGACTTCGTATTTATATAAAGTCCAATGTGTATTCACGATGGCAGGCAACCCCCTCCAAGCAGTGGTTCCAGGATCCAGGCTTGTTTCATCTTGTGGTGCCACAGTATTCAACATGTGGCTTCCTGAGTTATCATGCACATTGCTATCAAGCCAGGAAATGAGACAGAGCATGGAAAAGCACAAGTGAGGGATTTTTAAAGGACTAGGTCTGGAAGTTATGCCTATCAGTGTCTCCCACATTCTATTGGCTGGGACTTAGTCACATGGCCACACCTAACTATAAAAGAAGATGGATAAAATATTGTCATGCTACATCCTCAAAAAAAGAGACGTAATGGATTTGTTGAGCAATCTGCCAGTATCTTCCAGAATCTCTTTCTAGGCTCTTTCTTGTCTTAAAATTTTTTGCTCATGCACAATCTAAAACAATTTGGAAAGTCTTTATATTCCTACACTCTTTGGAATGGCTTCTAAAGTTTTTTTCTAATGTCCTTCCTTTAGTTTTATTAAAAATAGTGAATTTGAACAACTTAAATTTTAATAGATAAGCTTCTGATTGAGAGTCATTTTCTTTCTCAACATGTATGCCAGTATTTTGAGTAAGATTTACTATAAGTGAGCGAGTCACTCATTCATTCACTCATAGTTTCAGCAAATCTTTATTAAATAATGCCTACTCTGCACCATGAATTATTCTGGAAAGTGGAGATAATTAGTGAGTAAAAGATATAAAGACCCTTTTCTCACAGAGCTTACATTAAACTGAATAAGACAGAAAGTTATAAAAAAAACCCAGATCTAATAAATGTGATAATTGTAACATATAGAATAAAATGGTAAATGAAATAGAAATAGGAAAAAATAGAGAAGAGCAAGGTGGGGGTTCAAAACTGTGCTGTCAGGGAGGATAATTATATTTTTATAAATTATATTTTTAAAAAGAGTCTTAAACTTTATTGAGTATGTGACATTTGAACAGATGGAGATGCTTCCTGGGGAAGGGAGTTTCAAGCAGAGAAAGCAGCCTATAGATAGACGCTAAGGTGTGATCATGTCTAGCATGTTGGAGAAGCAACATGCGGGACAATGTGACTGGAGAGCAGTGAGAAAAATGAAGATAATACGAGAAGAGGGAGGTCACAGAGTCAATGATGGGGAGTTCACATTTTGAAAGAGGTTTGAACTTTTGAAAGAGGTTAAGAAACTGGAATGCAAATGGATTTCTTTAAAACTCCTTGAAAAAACTATGTACCATGGGGATAATTTGAATAAAATTGAATAATATTTTTAAACTGTGCAGCATGTGTTGCGAATAACAAATATTTTATCGTATTATTCACTTTCTATTTTGATAGATGCAGGACATTTACAGGGAAAATGACTAGTGTTTATGACTTCTGAATGTTCTTGTTGAGAGTTAGTGTCCAGAGCTTGGGATCCAAGAATGTGGAAAGTTGATCTGAGTTTCCCTGTCCTAACCTGGACTTTAACAGGCTCCTGCTCTGCTTGTACTGGGGGCGGGTAGGCATCTGCTCTCCTGCTCTTCCCCCCATGGTAGGCCTCCTCTGCCTGGAAATGTTGAAGAATCTATGTGTGCAATTTGCTGATAACGGTGAACTTAAGAGAAGTTTATTCTTATTCTTCCTTACCTGTTTGAAGAAATTATCCTCAGAGATTCTCCTCTTGACTCAGATCTGTTTCATTCTATCCTGTGCAGGTTGCCATGAATCCTTCTTATTTCAAAATGGAGAGGAAAGAGAGGGAGGGAGGGAGCAGGAGAAAGAAAGAAGGTGGAGGAAGAGGGAGTGAGAGAGAGGGAAGTGGAGAGAGGGAGAGGGGTAGACAAAAGGGAGAGAAAGGAGAGGAAGAAAAAAGACAAGATCCAAAGGGATCTATCTCTCAGTTCATTCATCTTTCCTAAGTGCACAGCAAATAAGTTTATATATACAAATCTTCCCAGGAGCCTTACAATACCCTAAACAGACAAGCAAAAACCTGAATAAACATGTCTGTAGCTTAAACCAGAAAATTCCCAAGTTAAACATTCCTTTAGAAATGACAAATCAGGCTAAGCACGTAGAACCAAAATTGAATGCCTTATAGATATATTTCGAGCTTTAGAGTATTTTCTATATGAATAAATTAAAACTCTCACACTTACCTGCAAAATATGTGAAAGAGAAGTGGACTTGGATTTGTTTACACAGCTTAACATAAAGAGAAAAACTATTAATTTGATGGATATGGGTGGTATAAAGGTCAGAGAAATTACACAAATTCTACAATTATATGTGTTTTTGTTTTCTTCATTAATCAGGTAACTAGGTATCTGGCAATTTAAATGTAGTAACAGCTTTCTGCTTATTTTTATCTTCCCAATATTTGCCTTGAACATGGCAAACTTTGTGTGGGTTTAAACTTCTAGGTAATATTGTGCTATTTAAATTGCAGCCTACTATATTTTCTTTTGATTTGAATCAGGAAGTTTATAATAGAAAGAACTGATTTGTTTTACTGCTACAAAGCACCATTTAAAATATATATATAAATATAATTTTCCTTTATTTAGTCCACTCCACCTTTTGGATAGAGGTATATCCATTTTAATAGTGATGATTAGCCAAATTCCTTTCTATGAGATTTTGTGCTGCACTCTGTCTTCATATATTTTTATTCGAATGGTTTTTGGTTTCCCATTCTTCTGTATTTTTTTCTTCATGAATATATCTGTTTTCATAATTTAGTTAACTCTATTCTCATTGTTGAAAGATTTTTACCCATTCAGGTAAGATATATTTTCAAGGTTTTATTTTTCTTGAGTATAATAACATTTCAGAGTAGTCAAATTACCTCCAAGGGCATCAATATTTAGGGGCATCAAGATTTCCAAAACAACCCTAGAGACAATATATCACTCCAAATATTTAAAATTAGTATCATTTATCTCTACTGACCAGACAGTTGAAGAAAAAAAAACGTAAAAGAGTGAACAGTATTTTGAGATGACTGTATTAGAACTTCCCTACCGTCAACTGAAGTTGCTGTCATTATGATTAATGTATGGAGTTCTATTTAGTGCACCTGGGATTGTCCCAAAGAAAAGTAACATTTTCAGTGATATTCTGACAATTTAAAAAATGATGAGAAAGGTTAGGGGGGCTTTAGAGATTTAATTTTTCTGGGATTTGATTTTGGTTTTGACAGGAAGTTAAATATAGAACTAATTGCAGAGTCAATTTCTTTGAAATAAGACTTTGACATGTTAGAGTTATAACTAATAATTTATCTTGTTTTCTTCCCTGAACAACTAGCTTGATTATGTGTCGAATACTGGCATGCTATTTGAGTGTACTTTTCAATTAAGATAAACTTTTGTTTGAAATAATTATCCTGATAAAACTTTTGCTTTGTATTTCCTCAGTATTAATGAACTATATTTTTCTCTACAGGCTACATTAATTCACGTGAGTGTGCATATATGTGTCTGCATATATTATTGATTCACATGTATGTAGAATATATGGATATATTGGAAAAATAATTTTAAAATATTTTTGTTATGCTATTCAAATTTATTGAAAAAATAAAGTACCTTTTAAATTGAGGTTTTATTGAAGCAATTTTGAAAAGAAGCAAGTGGCCTAGTATTGTTAGGAAAATTGGTTTCAGAGGCTTTTCTATATTAACTCACATATTGAAAAAAAGATTATGTTGAAAGACACAAATGAGCAGAATATTCATCTCCTAAAAAGAGTCAAAAGTTGAAAAAAAGAAAAATTTTTATTGCAGATATAGGCACTAAGCATCAAAAAGAATATAAATTGTGTAAAGAAATACTCCAGAGAGAAATAGGTCATTATGAAAGATACTGACTCACGAACAAAGAAGTCAACAGCTGACAAAAGGAAAAGTGAGCACTTATGAGTTGCTACACAGAAAGTTTAACAAGAAGTTGCCACAGTGAGCCCTCTTTCTGATTTTTCTATTTAAATTTTTATTTTGAAATAAAGATTTACAAGAAGTTGTAAGGATGTACAGAGAGGCCTTCCCCTCTTCAACCCGTTTTGCCCAATGGTTACATCTTAAGTAACTACAGTACAATAGAAAACCCAGGAGATTGATGTTGGTATAATGTGTGTACCTAGTTTTATTCCATTTTATCATACGTAGATTTATGTAATAGCCACCTCAATGAAGATACACAATGATTTCATCACAAAAATAGCCCCCGTGCAACCTCCCCATAGTTACACTTTTCCCCTTCTTCCTTCCTATCACCATCCTTAATCCCCTAGCAACTATTAATTTATTTTCCCTCTCTAAAACTTTATTATTTTGAAAATATTATTGAATCATATTGTATATGATCTTTTGAGGTTTGCTTTTTCCCTCCACTCAGCAAAATGCCCTTGATAGCCATCCCATTTGTTGCACATATCAATACTTCATTTTTTTTAACTGCTGTGTAGTATTCCAGGGTATGAAGGTACTACAGTATGTTTAACCATTCACCTATTGTAGGACATTCTTGATGGTTCCATTTGTGGCTATTACAACTAAAGCTGCCATGAACACTGGTATAAAAGTTTTTATGTGGGCATAAATTTTCATTTCGCTAGAATAAATACTCAGGAGTGTGATTGCTGTGTAATACGTTATGTATGTTTAGTGTTTTAAGAAACGGCCAAATTATGTCCCAGAGTGGCTGTACCAGTTTGAGTAAAGTATGAAAATCTTACCTCCTTTTACAAAATCCTTTTACCCTCCATTTTTAGTATAAATGTCTTAAATATTTCTTACACCTCATTGACACCCACCCACACCAGGAAGTGTTATAATTTTTGTTTCAACCCTCAAACATATGTTAAAAACTCAACAGGAAAAGGAAAATCTATTGTATTAACTATACTTTTACTCTTTCTATTATTTTTTTTATTTTTGGTTTTCAAAGATTGTTTCCTTTATCATTTGTTTTCTATTTCAAAAAATAGCTTAGCCATTCATTTAGGGTTGGTCTGCTGGCAAAAAATTCTGTTAGATTTCCCACAATTGAGAATGTCTTGATTTCCCCTTCATCACTGAAAGATGATTTTGCTGGATATAGAATTCTGGGTTTGCACGCCTTTTCTTTCAGCACTTGAAAAATGTCATACTACTTTTTTCTTGTCTCGGTGGTTTCTGATGAGAACTCAACTGTCATTCAAATTTTTGCATACAGATTTTCTTTCACGGAGAGGCAGGAGGAAGGATAAGTTATACCAGAGAAAAAGTGTTGGGTCCTGGGAAGGGTGCAGTAGAGAAGGAGGGTAAAATTCCAGGTACATTTTGATTTGTTCTCTCTTGCGTATAAGTGAATTTCAGTCTTGAATTTCTTTTTCTTTTCTTTTTCTTTTTTTTTTTTTTTTGAGATAGAGTCTCACTCTGTCACCTAGGCTGGAGTGCAGTGGCTTGACCTTGTCTCACTGCAACCTCTGCCTCCCAGGTTCAAGTGATTCTCCTGCCTCAGTCTCCCAAGTAGCTGAGATTATAGGTACATTCCACCACACCCAGCTAATTTTTGTATTTTTAGTAGAGACAGGGTTTTACCATGTTGGCCAGGCTGGTCTCAAACTCCTGACCTCAAGTGATCTGACCACCTTGGCCTCCCAAAGTGATGGGATTACAGGCATGAGCCACCACCCCCAATTGGATTTCTGAGGAGTTATTTAAAGTTTGCATTAGAATTATCAACTTGAGATATGAAAGATGAATTCTTTATCCACTGACTTCCGTCTTCTATTTCTCAAATGTTGCCCCATCATTTCTTAACTCTCAAACTTTTAGATTTATACATTAATGAGTGCCAAAAGGCTTCGTGTCCCAGCACAGATGAGAAAATAGCAGGAGATACCCAATGTGTCCAAAGTAAAGTGCTCTTTTGCTGCTAGCAATGATTGGAGTAAACTGTAGATTTAGAAGATGGATGGATGGCTGAGCACAAGATTCCCTCAGCCTAGACCTTCTATTCGTGCAGGGAAAGAAATGATTTCCAATTCCTTCATGTTAACTTGACCACTGGGAATTTTCCAAGGGTTGTAACACTGTGGCAATGATTCCTCCGATCTCAGTCAGCATTGCTGTGCTCTCCTTTCTGATCATGGCCAGCAAGAGGGCAATTGAGTTCAAGAACCCTTGGATTCTGTCACTTTCCTCTCCTTCAGTCTCTGAGGATTCATTCCCTTTCTTGGTCAGGACACTTCCACTTCTTCACAAAGTAAAGACCTCATTCCATTCCCTTCCTGAACGATTTCAGCTTCCTCTTTGTAGGAAATTTTTTTAGTGGAATACTGAAAAGTCACTTTTGTATTTATTCAAGTCTTTTATAGAAGTCAGACCAAATTCCAAATTAATAACTCAATACTTTTGAAGAATTGCTCAAGAATAATTGTTCTTTTAAAATATCGAGTTTAAATCAGTTTTCAATTCTGTAGAGGTAATACTTCCCTTTTTGATATATGGAGTTCACGCAATAGAAATTATAGTTGTGATCATTCATTTGTCAAGAATTTGGTTCTACCACAGAAGGCAGTGTCCAAATAATCTGTTGGCAAATGATTTTCTCTTGAGGCCATTTTCAGAATTGGACAATTGGCCAACATTTATGATAGATAATTTTTTTGGATCATAGCTAGGCTGAACATTGGAATGTTATTTTTAGAGGTAACATCATAAAAATGCAGCTATGACTAAATTCATTTGTCAGCCATGAATTTTATTTCATGGATTTATTTAGCCAGGAGAACATCTCTCAATTCTCCTTTCATTATAGTTAGGGTGACTGCACCATCTGATTTGTCAGAGATTGTTCTGGCTTATGTTATTCCTAGTGTCCTAATTAATAGTTATTCCTTTCATACTTAAAAAATTATCCTGATTAGATCAATAAATTATATGGTCACACAAATCATCATCCTTAAGTATTGAATTCAAAACGTCCTATTGGAATTTTAAATTTAAATTTAAGTTTTGTACGTTGTGTGTGTGTGTGTGTGAGAGTGTGTGTGCATATAAAAAGACCAAGTTGTTTATAAAACAATGTTGGAATGTAACATGTCTTTGAGGATTTTTCTGAGTTCCATTTGAGGTATGTTCTTTTGCTGCCAGGATTTTTTCTGGCTCCCTAAAAGTCTTTATCAAACCAGGAGTCCAGATGGTCAGCTCTTTGGTTGCCCAGAGACAGGGGAGTCAAAGCTTGTTTCTGCATGACTACAATCTGTTGAAACTTAAGTAGGGCAGGAACCTTTCCCAAAAGATTGCACAAACAGAATGTTACCAATTCTTAAACTCTCCAAAGATTACACATGAATTAGAAGGGAATCCTGTTCTATTTAAATCTAATTTTCCCTGTAATAGCACTATTCTAGTTATGCATGGCTGACTTGGTAATGTGGTGAAAAAACTTAAAAGAGAAATGATCACTTTTAGCCTAAAGAATTTATCCCAAATATTAACAAAATGCTGGTTTATATCTAATCAAGAAATCTGGGTCCTTGCTTAGAGATATTGTTGAAATTTTTTTCAAAGTTTATTACCTAAAAATATATTTTATGATAAAATTTATCTGTGTTATATAGAAAGAGATTAAATAGAAAATTTGCTAAAAATACAATCAGAAGGGGTTTGGCGTAGGAAGAAATGGACTAAAGTTGTTGGCTTTGAAATATCTTAAACCTATTATTTCCTTTATATTATTAAGAAAAATGTTTTTGAAGTATTCAATAAACACCTCCCAGTGGTTTTTGAATGCAAGAAACACTTATATTGAAATTCTGAAGGCAGGTAAGATGAGAACATTTTGTAGTCCCAATGTTTAGGTAATTTGCATTTTAGTTAGGATTTAATTGAAAAGGGACATTTGGGATTTTATTTTTAAATGCTGGCATTTTACATAAATACAGACTCTCTAGTCTGGAAAGTAACCCAAATCCAAGCTACTTTATTCTTAGTTTTCTTGATAAAGAAAATGCATTTGAGCTTACCGTTACATTCCATTTAAACTTCTGCCTTGAAGGAAAGTGTATTTGGATTAAAGTAACATAGCAGCAAGCTGAAGTTTCTAACAGTTCTTAAGTATTTAGAACCATTATCTATAAAATTAAATCTAAAGAAATGTCATTTAGAGAAATAGAAATATTTTAGAAAATTTTTTCTTCCTGTAGTGTAGATTTTTTTGGGGACTTATCTGATATTAGAACATAGGTTACATTGGATACTATAGATTTTAACTCATGTTAAAGAGGGAATTCAGTAAACCCAGATGAAATAAAACAACATTTTCTCCCTGTATGTCTCCTGAACCAATTTGGGGACTTGGAAAACTGTCAATTTAGGAGAAATTCAAACATTTAGTTTCTGAAGCAGTGATTATATTTTGGAGCATCAGTTGCCACAGAGGGTCTCGATGAAAAGAGTGTATTTGTTTTAGAATAGCCAGGGACCAACGAATGGATTGAGAAAGACAAAGCAGCCGTCTAGCCTCTGGTGCTCTCATTATTGTGCTACACAAGGCAGTCCCACTTGCTGGGCGTCACAGCCATTTCAAACTGCGCTGTCAGGCATTAGAATCTCTCTTGTCTTGCGGTAATGACCACAGCAGTTCATTGCCATTATCTGGGGCTTCCTTGTGCCAATTTGTATAACGGTGCAAAGTAAAATTGAAATGGGTCGGCAGGGATGGAGAACTACTTTTTTCTTTTTGTCTATGATACAAACCAATATTATTTGTATCCCATTGTTTTAAGAATTTTAAAAAAATCTTAATTTTAAAATTATTTCTCTTTCTCTCCCTCCCTCTCTCTCCACTTCTACCTGTACCTCTACCTATCTACCTCTTTGAAACACACTTGCATCCATCCAGAGGACTAGTTTTCCTGCTGGTTAAAGTAGTAGCCAAGACTCAGAACTACTGCCCTCCATATGTCTACTGTGTTCTTAGGCTAGACTCATGAAGCCTCATTCCTTCTTTCTTTAGGATGGTGATCATAACTAACATCTATTGAATGCTTATTATGTGTCAAGAATTCTTGAATAATTTTATGTTAATTCATTTCTTATACTGTCATAATCACTGTCAGGTAAGAACTGATATTATTCTCATTTTAAAGGGGATCAAATTGAGATGAAGGAAGATTAAGTGGTTGCCCAAGGTCACACAGTTGGGAAGGGAAAGAGCTAGAATATAATCTCAAAGAAACACTCAACTACTTTGAATAGATTCCAGCTACCTATGCACAGTCTCATATAAACATGTTGGAGCATCTTTTAATCTCTCTGATCCCAAACGGGCATTTAAAAATATATATAGTTATGAATTAAGGAACACCTAAAGGACTTTTAGTTCCTCACTAGGAAAATCCCAGTTATCATCATAGTTGTTAACGTAATAGACATAACATAGATTTTAGCAATATTAAAACTAAATATTTTATGGCACTAGAGAATAATTACTTTTTAAAAAAATTTTGCAAATTTGACCCTGGGTCTCAGTCTGACATTTCAAGTACAATTAATTATCTTTACTCAGAATGTTTGCTCAAATTTGTTGATGTCATGAAAATATTTTAAACACAAGCAGTTACAAGTTATTTCAAGAATTTTATGCAATTATTTAAAAATCCCAAGAATGAGTTTATGTGATCATTTGACGCTCACGTACTTTCAAAAACATCTGATTCCCTGATAGAGAAAAGAAGGCTATATCTCATTTCATACCACTGTACTTTCGCTTCTGTTCCCTGCAGGTGAACACATTAGATAGTTATGTTATTATTTTACCTTCCTTTATTGTAGTAATTTTTGAAAATATATTAAAACCTCTACATTTTTATTTCAGTTTATTTAGATCCTATCTCCATATTTCCCTATTCTAGCCACAGCCTGCCTGGGTTCCTCTCTTCCTGCAAAATACCTCCTAGATTATATCAGTTATTCCTTATAACTGTCTTCATGCCTTATCTACAGGTTAATTTTTAAAGTGAAAAACCAGTAAGATAGCGTTTAAATGACTATGCCGATGTAAATGTTCCTCTCTTCAGATACAAGTTGAGTGAGTGGAAATACACACAAACTGTTTTTTCTCTGCTCTCGCCCCATAGCAATCAACACAGAAGACCTCTGTGACCAAATGTGTGAGGACTTCTCCCCACCAATAAGCAGGCAAGCCATCATCTCTACAGCAGCCACCAGCTGGGTGTCCTCCAACTCAATTCTGACACTGTCTACCTGGAGAGAGAGTCAGATCCCACAGGGTGAGGGCTCAGTCCCACAAGAGTGCCCCCATTTTCTATGCCAGTTGTAAGTCCTAGGTTGTGACTCGTGCTTCTGACCAACCAGCTATAAATTGGGGTTCCCATGATCCCCTCCTTGGGTATGATTAATTTGCTAGAGCAGCTCACAGAACTCAGGGAACCACATTTATGATAAAGGATATTACCAATGATACAGATGAAGAGGTGCCTAGAGTGAGGTATGGGAGAAGAGGAGTGGAGTTTCTGTGCCCTCTCTGAGTATACCACTCTCCAGAAACCTCCATGTGTTCAGCTATCTGGAAGCTCTTCATACCCGTTGATATGCTTTGGCTGTGTCCTCACCCAAATCTCATCTTGAATTGTAACTGCCACAATTCCCACATGTTGTGGGAGGAACCTGGTGGGAGGTGATTGAATTATGGGGGTGGGTCTTTCCTGCGCTGTTCTGGTGATAGTGAATGAATCTCACGAGATCTGAGGGTTTTTTAAAAACAGGAGTCTTCCTGTTCAAGCTCTATCTTTGCCTGCTGCCATCCAGGTAAGATATGGCTTGCTCCTCCTTGCCTTCTGCCATGATTGTGAGGCTTCCCCAGCCATGTGGAACTGTGAGTTCTCCATTAAACCTCTTTCTTTTGTAAATTGCCCAGTCTCTGGTTTGTCTTTATCAGCAGTGAGAAAATAAATAGCCTTTTGTGGAGACTTCATTAAATAGGTGGGATTGAAGCGTGGGCAACCATGTAGAAATGTGATTAGGCAAAAAGGATAGGATCTAACACTAATAGACTGGGGTGGGTGGGGGGAACCCCAGCAAGGCCTGTCTGTTTAGATCCTTCCTGTCCTCTCCATGTGGCATTCCTTCCTCCAGTATATGGTACAGGACCCTTTCTGAAATGTGGGTCTTATGACCTACGGTCAGATAAAGTAGGTCAGAGCATTGCTTTGTGGCCAGCTCCAAGACAGACAGGTAGGTGAATGTGAGGTTATATTTTCAGTTTCTATGGCCTGCCCTGGGGAGAAAGAACAAGGGCTATGGGAGTTATGAGTCAGGAACTATAGACACATAATTAATGGGTTGGGATTATATTTTCTTTATTTAAAGTCTGATGCCATAACTGCCGTGTTGCCTACATCAAGCTCAAAATAATTCTCTTAATTCCTTCAAATTATCATTCTTACAATTATATCATGTTTTAATTAGCTTTCTATTTGTACCATGATTTTCTTATATGGCTTTTGGCACTCCTGTAGTTTCTACTTGTGTCTTTCTTATGCCTTTGGATTACACCATCTCTTAGTGTGACAAATGTCATTTCCTGTAGCTTCCTTTGACATACATTTATTTTACTTCCTTGGAACCCCTACTTCCAAACCATGGGAAAACAAGAGTCCTCCCCTTATACTCTATGACTGCCATGCTGGAACTTTCCATCACTGTATCCCTCTTTCATTAATACAATGTCTTTAAAAAATTTTTTTTGTTTTCTCTGTCATTTTGCTAGAGTATTCTGTAAACTAAGTTATTTATAATGGGAAGTTAAATTTTATGATTCCTGTGTGTTTTAAAATGCATTTATTTTGCTTCCACATTCCACTGAGATTTTGATAGAGTATCAGATGCTCAAATAAAATTAATTTCCCTTAGAACTCTGAAGTTGTAAGGGAATGGTTTGGTGTTGCTGATGACAAGGTTAATGGCAGCTGGCGCCTTGAGTCTGCAAGTGAGTTCTTCCATCTAGAGGCTTGGAGGCCTAAAAAATTTTAGGTTCTAAAATTTCTTGGTGTCTTCTTACCAATATTCAGCTTAGAATTTATAGGATCAACCTTCCAATACAAAGTCAGGCCTGATAATTTTTTCTTATTCTCCAAAATAATTTCTTCTTAATATTTTTCTCTTATCCAAATGTTAGCACTCCTGGATTTTTTTCTTTGACATTTCTTTTCTGAGATGATCTGTCCCTTTTGTTGACTGTGCTTTACATCACAGACAATTTCCTCCTTTATGTTCTAACCCTCCTCATCCAATTTTTTTTGTTTTTCTATTTATGTTTTTAATTTCCAAAAGGGTTATTAATTTCTTTTATAAATTATGAGACCCTGAGGCAGGAGGATTGCTTGAGACCAGAATTTGATACCAGCCTGGGCAACATAGCAAGATCTCATCTCTATAAAAAAAAAAAAAAAAAAAAAAATACAGCCAGGTGTGGTGGAGCACCTGTAGTCTCAGCTACATGAGAGGCCGAGGAAAGAAGATCACTTGAGGCCAGAAGTTTAAGGCTGTAGAAAGCTATGATTGCACCACTGCACTCCAGCCTGGATGACAGACTCTGTCTCTTAAAAAAATAAAAAGAATTATATTGGCTTATGTTTACTATTAGGTTGGTGCAAAAATAATTGCATATTTTGCCATTGAAAGTAAAATTATTACCAGATATATTGTATACAGGACAAGTTTCTTTTTTTTACACATACCTAAATCTGAGGACGCTTGCTGGTCTGCGGTCATTAGGGAGTCAAACTCTGTCTTACAACTTGCCATTTTTAATGCAGGCCTCATGGTTCAGGATGCCTACATGAGTTTCAGACATGATGACTGTATTCACACCAAAATGAATAGGAGAGGAAATAAGACTTATTTTACTTTTTATTTAAGAGACTTTTGGAAAGTTCTATATGAAAGTTTTAGTTACATCTCTGATATGGTTTGGCTCTGTGTCCCCACTCAAATCTCATCTTGTAGCTCCCATAATTCCCACGTGCTGTGGTAGGGACCTGGTGGGAGATGATTGAATCATGGGGGCAGGTCTTTCCTGTGCTGTTCTTGTCATAATGGGGCACTGCTGAAAAGATACCTGAAAATGTGGAATTGACTTTGGAACTGGGTAACAGTCAAGGGTTGGAACAGTTTGGAGGGCTCAGAAGAAGACAGGAAAATGTGGGTAAGTTTGGAACTTCCTAGAGACTTGTAGAATGGTTTTGACCAAAAGCCTGATAGTGATATGGACAATAAGTTCCAGGCAGAGGTGGTCTCAGAGTGAGATGAGGAACTTGTTGGGAACTGGAGCACAGGTGACTCTTGTTATGTTTTAGCAAAGAGATTGATGGCATTTTGCCCCTGCCCTAGAGATTTGTGGAACTTTGAACTTGAGAGAGATGATTTAGGGTATCTGGCAGAAGAAATTCTGCAGCAAAGCATTCAAGAGGTGACTTGGGTGCTGTTAAAGGCATTCAGTTTTATAAGGGAAGCAGAGCATAAAAATTCCAAAAATTTGCCTCCTGACAATGAGAGAGAAAAGAAAAATCCCATTTTCTGAGGAGAAATTCAAGCCAGCTGCAGAAATTTGCGTAAGTAACAAGTAGCCGAATGTTAATTCCTAAGACAATGGTAAAAATATCTCCAGGGAATGTCAGAGGTCTTCATGACAGCCTCTTCCATCACAGGCCCAGAGGCCTAAGAGGAAAATGTGGTTTTGTGGGTCGAGCCCAGGGTCCCCATGCTGTGTGCAGCCAAGGGACTTGGCACCCTGAGTCCCAGTTGTTCCAGCCGTGGCTGAAAGGGGCCAATGTGGAGCTTGGGCTATGGCTTCAAAAGGTGCAAGCCCCAAACCTTGGCAGCTTCCACATGGTGTTGAGCCCGCTAGTGCACAGAAATCAAGAATTGGGGTTTGGAAACCTCTGCCTAGATTTCAGGGGATGTATGGATACAGCTGGATGCCCAGGGCACTCAATGCCCATCTGTGAAAGCAGCCAGGAGGAAGGCTGTACCCTGCAAATCCACAGGGGTGGAGCTGCCCAAGAACATGGGAACCTACCTCTTGCATCAGTGTGACCTGGATGTGAGACTTGGTGTCAAAGGAGATGATTCTGGAACTTTAAGATTTTATTGCCCTGCTGGATATCAAACTTACATGGGGCCTGTAGCCCCTTTGTTTTGGCCAATGTCTCCCATTCAGAATGGCTGTATGTATCCAGTGCCTGTAATTCCATTGTATCTAGGAAGTAACTAACTTGCTTTTGATTTTACAGGCTCATAGGCACAAGGGACTTGCCTTGTCTAAGATGAGACTTTGGACTATGCATTTTTCAGTTAATACTGAAATGAGTTAAGACATTGGGGGACTGTTGGGAAGGCATGATTGGTTTTGAAATGTGATGATATGATATTTGGGAGGGGCCAGATGTAGAGTGATTTGGCTTGGCTCTGTGTCCTCACTCAAATTTCATCTTGTAGCTCCCATAATTCCCACGTGTTATGAGAGGGACTCGGTGGGAGATGATTGAATCATGGGGGTGGGTCTTTCCTGTGCTGTTCTTGTGATGGTGAATGAGTCCCACAAGATCTGATGGTTTTAAAAATGGGAGTTTCTCTGCACAAGCTCTCTCTTTGCCTGCTGCCATCTACGTAAGATATGACTTGCTCCTCCTTACTTTCCGCCATGATTGTGAGGCTTCCCCAGCCATGTGGAACTGTGAGTTCTTCATTAAACCTCTTTCCTTTATAAATTGCTCAGTCTCAGGTATACCTTTATAAGCAGTGTGAAAACAGACTAATACAATCTCACTGGTCAGAATTTAGTAACATAATTTCCCATTAGTTTCGTGGAATGCTGAGAAGCATAATAGTTTAGCTGTGAAGAAGCGTGTTAATCTAAAAATCAAGTTTTTGTTACTAAAGATATGGAAGATAGACACTGAAAGTCAATTATCAGCCAGGCGTGGTGGCTCACATCTGTAATCCTAGCACTTTGGGAGGCCGAGGCAGTGGATCACCTGAGGTCAGGAGTTGGAGACCAGCCTGGCCAACATGGCAAAACCCTGTCTCTACTAAAAATGCAAAAATTAGCTGGGCATGGTGGCACGTGCCTGGAATCCCAGCTACTCGGGAGGCAGGAGATTTGCTTGAACCCAAAAGGCAGACGTTGCAGTGAGCCAAGATTGCACCACTGCACTGTGGCCTTGGTGACAGAGTGAGACTCCATCTCAAAAACAAAAAAACAAAAAAGAAGGTCATAATTATCTACAGCATTCTCTGTCTAACACATTCTCTAATGACTGTTTTCACAGCATCCTGGGAATTCAATATTTTCTCCAAACTTTCTGAAGATACTGGTAAGATTATTTTATATATTTTATATGTTTCATGAATCTTTATTTTTTTCTTTAGGGCTAGTTAGCATTATTTATTTATATTGGTCTTCTTCTTGCAGTTGGATTTCTTCTATGACTGGTGAGAATGTTTTTTTTCTGTAATATTTAAGAATGAAGAACTTTTTTGACAATTAAGAGGACCTGACTTGGTTTATCTGTGTTATTTCATAGCTGGACCTATTTCCTCAATAGACACCTGCAGGGAGTGGGAAGCCTAAATAGAACCTCTATGTATGGGTGCTGTAAAGTGTTAGATTTCATTTTGTGGCCAGTGGATGGGAAACTGCCCTCAGGCAGAAAGCCCCTAAATACCAGAATGGGGAGGATGGCCATCAGTGTCCATAGCTAGAAGTTATAGGTTTTTGTAGATATTTTTAAAAGAAAGAATGATCCCTTTTTAAAAAATATTTATATTTTTCAGGGTCAGACTGATAAATTAGGTGGGATATTATAGTGGCCACCCCTGCATTTTTTTAGTTACTGAGGGTGACAGTAATCTCTGCCGTTCCCTCTGGCATGTACTCTACTTTGTTTTGCTTTGTTTGTTTGTTTTTTAATCTCTTGGCTCAAGACAGAGGTAGTTTCAGTCTTCAATTGAAAACTGAATTTGAAAACTGAAACTACCTCTGTCTTATAGGTCAAGAACTTTAGATGAAGGTCCCATCAACTGCCATGTGTGTTTATGCTAATTATACATTAGAATGCTAGAGAAGTGTTCATCAGGTGGAATAATGGACCTAGTAGCTTCACTGGTACCTGGATCTAGGTGAAGACTCCATTTGTTTTCTAGTCCCCACATTCTGCATATTATCACTTTGGAACCCTGAATATCTGTGCCAACTCAGATCCTGTGTCCAAGCATCCTCAAAAAAAAAAAAAAAAAAAAAAAACCTAGTTATTTCCCCTTTTCCAGTTCACTGTTACCAAAGAAAATGGCTGTGTATTCCTTTGGGGATGGACTAGGTAGTTTACTACTGAATACACTTGCTTTGGCATTTCAGGGTCCTTCTTTATAGGAACGAAACTGTTTCTTCAGTGGTTGGGTTTCAGGTCTGAGAGCTAGTTTAGGAAATTGGGGTGGGATCATGACGTTTATTGTGGTGAGTGTCCACACCCTCTTGTTTATCCATTTGGGATTTCTTCTGATTCTTTAAATTTAAAACACTCATTGGTTTTCCTCCCTCTTGCCTGTAGGAACACTCTGTCCTATTAACCATCTCCATGGCCCTCTGATGGGCCTGCCATTCAGGTTTTTCTGCTGTTGTGAAGATTGCGTTAGTCTTGCCACTGATGGTTAAGTGTTGGACCTTTATCATTCCATTGTCCTGCAATCTCCATTGTTTTTTTGCAATTCAGTTCTGTTGTAGCACCTCTTTTTGTCAGCTTTAGCCTGCAGAAGACAGCCATCACTGTCTTCTGAACAATGTTAGTACCCCTTTCATTAGGACACTCTTCTTTGGTAAATGGAGTGTCTTTCATGTCTTGTAAGAAACAGATGGCTGGTGGGTTTTCCAGCCTTGTATGGTTTATCAGAGTGCCTACTTGAGCCTTCTGATCCCTTTCAATTATACCTTTCCTATCAATTTTGGCATTTTTATTTGACTAACTGTATAGGCTGTAACTTATTTCAAGCTTCCATGAGCCATCTAAATAGTGTGTTAGCACCATCTCCTGGACTGTCAGAGGGCTAAATCATGTATGCTAGCAGAGGGCTCCCATAATGACAGACTCTCATTTTCTCAACTTTATGTTCTGCATTCCTCCTTTAAATATATCTTCCTTGGGATATTGTTCCCGAGAGTGATACTATCCTACCTCTGCCAGTCTTATTCCCCAGTTGGGCTGTGCTGGTATTTGACTCTTATTATTGATCTGGTTGTCAGGAAGGAAGAAGAGGGTTGACTCCAGGAAAAGGGACTTTGTCTCATAAGGCATCTGCTTCATGAAGACCTCTCCATGATCTTTAGGCTGGAGGTGGCTACTATTTTCTAAGAAGAAGTAGGCCACTGCCAGACCAGTTGAACTAGGGGCATCTGGAGTTCCAGGGTTTCAAATGAATCTACCCAGATTTTCACCTCCAAGTGTCAGTGTCTCATTTCTTTCTTGTTAGAAATCTGAATTTGGCCTAGGAAACTCACTGGAGCTACGTATTTTGTAGCATAGAATAATTTTACAGATGAACTATGACCGTTCTGTGCTTATCTCCAGAGGCACATGGAAGTATCTGACTCATTGCCATATAAGGGTAGTGGGCTAACTCATAATTTATAACATTTAGTTTAAAATTTAGAATACCGCAAGTGGTACCCAGGCTGGGTTGTTTATTGATACCTTATATGTAGCATCACTGGTTCTGCAGCCAAATTTAGCTAGGTGAATTTAGGGGAATACAGAACTCTGCTGGAAACTCTTACGAAGGTCTTTCCAAACCAAATTTACTTGCAATAAACCTTGGAGGTTCAGTCCAAAGACAAAGCACACCCTTCTGTGAATAAGGGCCCTAGGTAGCTATGCCTGGAAGACTTTCAGATATTGATGCTTTTTTACATTCTCTTTCTCCTAACGCACTGTATCATTTGCCTGTATTAAAAGTCTTACATGAATGTGCTCCATGGAATCTTGTGAGTCCTTTCAAATATCTGACCTTGTTGTAAAAATTGCAGCCTTTAACATTGTCTGAATCTCCTCTACTCTTATGATTTAGTCGTGAGCTCATTCCTCCTTTCTGTCTTCTCTCCATTTATAGGAGATTAGAGTTTTACTAAATGCTGCCAAGGAACTCCTTTGGCTTTCAGATTTTGCCCTTAATTGCTGATTAATCATTCTGGGCCTGTCATTGGCTCTCTTCATTGAATTTATGGCACTTAGTCACAGCCACCCAATTCAATAATATATTCCCTCATACTTTTCAAGAAAAATATTGCATAAACTCATGTACTTCCTTTCCACCATTACCCATCCTGACTAACTGATGATGAAAGTTTTAACAATTGTGTTATTATTGCATGTCATGGGCCATCTATTCCCCATTCACCACTGGTCACAGAATTCTTATTGCCAGACTGCTGTTCATTGATTTATAGCCACAATCTTATTTGAGAATCTGCTTCCTTGTGATAGACATGGCTATGAGCCAATGAGCAGCAGGTATCTGTGACAGTTTCGGATGAGTGTGCTGATTTTAGAGAAGAAAATGAGTGGACTACCGTGGTATCACTACCTATTTTTTCTTACGCATTTGTATATTTTTAATAGCCAACTTAGTATGTTTTCAGGAGGAAAGTAAGGTAAATATAGGTATTTATTCTGTAATCTAGAAATAAAAACCCATTTTTTTACCCTTCACTTAATTCTGATTTGTTGAGCCAAACAATCTATGTTCTAATTAATTTCTCAATGTATTCATGGAAAAGAATATTTTATACAAAGTAGGCAACATCACAATCTGGTCAAATACTCTAACATTCACTGAAATGGAAATTAACATAATTCATGACCTGAAAACACAAATTGCTAAATTAATAATTCAATATCCCACCTCAAGAATATGAAATAATCCTACAAAGTGTGAATGAATTTAAGCAGGACTAAAGGCTTCGTGAGGCCAGGGTGTTTTTTCTTCCTTTGTAAAGCAAGTAGAAGATATTTATGACCTTAAACATTTTTAGTATTGATTTTTAAATTCATTAACTTCTTAAGAAGCCAGAGGAAGGGGTCAAGTACTAAAAGATGAATATGATTAGGAAGGCCCATAAAACCAGCTTTTTAGCCTCAAAGTTAAAAACCATGAAGAGCACCTGGCCCACCTTAGTCAGGTGCTCACATAGTGCCATCTGCAGATGGCATGGTGGTCCTGTTTATAAATGAGGCGCATTACAATATGGTTCCTGCTTCCCAGATTTCAAATGACAGAGCAGTTCCCTGTGACCCAACAATTATAACTCAGTGAATGTGTTCCATGGAAATAATCAGAAGTGCATACAAAAAGTAAGGTTCATGATTAAAGGTAGAATACTGAAAATAAAATATCAGTGGCAGATGGATATAAAAATTATGGCTCATAATTGTGATATAATAATGTGTAGATATTAAACACATTGTAGAAGAGAAATGCTTAACATGTACTAATGAAAAGAAACTAGCCCTGAAAATATTTATTCACACGTACTTTCCAAAAATGTTCTTTGAAAGCTCATGTTTAGCCTTTAAATTCTTTTTAGGATGAGAATTTTATTTTTAAGTTTTATTTTATTTTTGATTGACAAATAATAATTGAATATATTTATGGGGTACAATGTCATGTATACATGTATTGTGAAATGATCAAATCAGGCTAATTAACATATCCATCACCTCAAACAGTTATCATTCGTTTGTGGTGAGAAACTTAAAATCCTTTCTTTTATCTGTTTTGAAATATACAATACATTATTATTAGCTAGAGTCACCATTCTGTGCAATAGATCACCAGAGCCTGTTCCTCCCATCTCACTGAAACTTGGCACCCTTTGACCAACATTTCCCCTTTCCCTGTCCACCCTCACTCCAGCCTCTGGTTGCTAGATCATTTATTTTTCGGTTTGTTTAACTCTTCTTACCAGCATCTCATGATAAATATATTATTGTTGCCATCATACTCTTTGGTGTTTTGCTCAGCTTTTACAAAAAATGTTGTTTTTCAGTCTTTGATAATAACATGAATAGTGCCGGTATATAAAAATGCCTGATAAAAGGCCCAGTTATGTGAAGTCATTGCTAAACAAAGCCAGTCACGTTAACTCGGATAATTTGAAACATAAGAAAATAAGCAGCCTTTGCCAATGGCAAGGATCAGGGTGGGGAGAAAACACATTTTGCTTGAAGCTTCTCTGAGTATTTTATAGGTCACGGGGAATGAAGGAACCAATTAAAATCTACATTTAGAACAATTCGTCTGAACCCTTTCAAAGTTTCATTCCTTCAAAAGCCAAGTGACTGCCAGTTTTCACATGTCTTCCAAATGAGTAACTATCGTAGGGAAATATTTTATTTCTTTTGAATGGAAAATAATAGGAATTTCTTGCTTTTAGTAAAATGATATGGTGTTAACTGTTAGCACTTTGAATATTAATATGAGACTAATTGCTGTCCTCTTACATTTTATATAATTATATATAAAACTGTATGTGATCTGCATATATATAGATTCTAACAATAAATCCTTCATGTAATGTCATAAGTCCATAAAACATAAGTCCATAAAAGAAAAATGTGTCATTGTCCCTTCTAGTTCTTTCTCAGATTATAGAGACCAGCATTTTCCATTTTTTCCAATCTTTAAATTAAAACTTTGATGACAACTGGAGATAATTATGTAAGCATTGCTCTTGGGTCACCTCCCTTTATTATTTTTGTGGATTCATATACGGTACATGGATTCTGGCTTATGTAAGGAAGGTAGCAAGCGAATCTTAGTGTTCTTTTCAATGCCTGGCCTTACAATACTAATGTGCTCTACTGGTCATCAGCCAAATGCTGAAAGTTCCAGCAGTGTTAAATCAAGGTAGCTATTCCTTTGGGTCTTTCTACCATGTAATTTTCTTTTCTAAATATACAAGGCAGTAGTTTTTAGCTATTCTTTTCATCATGTAAGATCTTGTTTATATTTCATGTTAGCTATGTGCTGAGCTGATTTTTAAAATCACACGGTTTCTAACTTTAAAATTAAATCATCTAATGGAACACATGCAAAACATTCTAATTATGTTGTTTATCAAAGAGATGGCATAGTGCCTGGGTAATAGTACGCACTCAATAAATATTTGTTAAATAAGTAAATGAAAACAATAATATGCTAAGAAAACAATTTTTTTAAAAAATATTTTTTCAAGAGTTACTGCTTATCTTTTATCTTCTTTAAGGATGCAAGGGGATTCTTTTAAAAATTTAATCATATTTTGATTCTGGCCTAATTTTTATAATTTGTTTTTACCTATAAGAATTTTAGAAAAGATATTATTTTCAAACTTTTAAAATTTTATTTTTATTTTTAAATGAGACAGGGTCTTACTATGTCACCCAGCCTGGGATGTAGTAGCACAATCTCGGCTTACTGCAACCTCCACTCCTGGGCTTAAACGGTCCTCCCACCTCAGCTTCCCGAGTAGCAGGGTCCACAGGTGCACACCACCATGCCTGGCTATATTTTTTTTTTTTTTGTATTTTTGATAAAGACAGGATGTCACCATGTTGCCCAGGCTGGTCTTCAACCCCTGAGCTCAAATTCACCTGCTTCGGCCTCCCAAAATGCTGGGATTACAGGCATGAGCCACTGTGCGTGGCTATTTTCAGACTTTTGATTTACCATAAACAATATTCTCTCTTTCAAGTTCTAAGAAATTTATTCATTCATTCAATCACATATTCCTTCTTTCAAGGTATATATTATCTAGTATATATATGTAATTTGTTAAACATTGGATAAATGTAAATAAGGCAACTACAGAACCTGGTCTCAGAGAAGAGTCAATTATTAAAGGAAGACAGGTAAAAATTCAGAAAATAAAATTTGACAAAATATGATTCTACAGGAATGCATACATTTTAAATACAGATAGCAGAGGATCTCAATCTCAAAGACTTAAGGAAAGATTTTCTGTGTATGTGATAGATGGAGATTGAAGGATGAGTAGAGTTGATAATATAAAGAGGAAAATAAACAGCACAGATAGCTAGAGGATATGTTATTCTGTGTCAAGTAAGCAAAATGCTTACCCAATCCATAAGCAATTCATATGCTAAGGAGAGGGTGGTGAAAGGAATGACAGAATGGAAAGTCCATTCAAAGAACAAAAATATGTTAGCTTTTGCTATATTTTTTAAATAGGAAGGAAAGAGGTTGCATATAAGCCTAAATAAATACTCAGTTTGTTAGACTGTAGAGGATTTTAAAAGTGATATTAAGGGATTTGGACTTTAACATGGGGATGATGGGTAGCTACTGAACAATTTTACAGTGGGATGGTAAAATTTGAGAGTATGCTGAATGGCTTCATGGAGACTCAAGACTGGAGGCAGAGAGAGCAATTCAAGGGCTGAGGCAGATATCAATGTGAGAAATGAAAGATGGAAAGAAGTTAAAGCATGAAACACTATTTGGATGTAGAAGCAACTAGACTTGTGGAATGATATATGGAAGTCAGCAACAGGGAGATATGTTGAGAGTTGTTGAGAGTTTTTATCATGAACACATGTTAAATTTTGTCAAATACCTTTTCTGCATTTATTGAGATAATTATATATTTATCCTTCATTCTTTAATGTGGCATATCACATTTATTGATTTATGTATGTTGAGCCATTCTTGAATTCCAGAAATAATTGCCATGTGATCATGCTGTGTGATCTTTTTACTGTCCTGTTGAATTTGGTTTGCTAGTATTTTACTCAGGATTTTTGCATGTTCATCAGTAATAGTGGCCTGTAGCTTACTTTTCTTATAGTGTCCTTGCCTGACTTTGGTATCATGTTAATGTTGGCATTGTAAAATAAATTTGGTGGTGTTTCCTTTGCTACAATTTTTTGGAAGAGTTAGAGAAAGGTTGGTTGTAATTCTTTTTTATTATTATTATACTTTAAGTTCTGCAGTACATGTACAGAACGTGCAGGTTTGTTACATAGGTATACATGTGCCATGGTGGTTTGCTGCACCCATCAACCCGTCATCTACATTAGGTATTTCTCCTAATGTTATCCCTCCCTCCACTCCGCACCCCCCGACAGGCCCCGGTGTGTGATGTTCCCCTCCCTATGTCCGTGTGTACTCATTGTTCAACTCCCACTTATGAGTGAGAACATGCGGTGTTTGGTTTTCTGTTCTTGTGTTAGTTTGCTGAGAATAATTCTTTAAATGTTTTATAAAATTCTTTAGTGAAGACATCAGGTCCTGGACTTTACTTTGATAGGAGATTTTTGAGAACAGATTTAATCTTCCTACTTGTTATTGGTTTGTTCAGGCTTTCTGTTTCTTCTTGATTCAGTTTTATCAGGTTGTATAATTGTAGAAATTTATCTTTTTCTTGTAGGTTATCTAATTTGTTGACATATAATAGTTTGTTCTAGTCTCTTATGATCCTTTGTATTTCTGGGCTATCAGTTATAATGTCTATTCTTTCTAATTCTATTTATTAAAAGGCTTCAATTTCTTCTTAATCTAGTTAAAGTTTTATCAAGTTTATTTACCTTTGCAAAAAGAAACTCTTAGTTTCATTGATCTTTTCTATTTTTTTTAGTCTCTTTATTTCTGCTCTGACCTTTTCACTTTTTTCTTCATGTAGATGTTTATCACTATAAAATTCCCTCTTTAAACTACTTTTGTTGAATCCCTTAAGTTTGGGATGCTGTGTTCCCGTTTTCATTTGTCTCAAGATATTCTTAAATTTCCTCTTGAATTTCTTCTTAGATCTATTGGTCGTTCAGATGCATGTTGTTTAATTTCCACGGATTTGTGAATTTTTCAGTTTTCTCCTGTTACTGATTTCTGGTTCACATCATTGTGTTTAGAAAGATGTTCAATATGATTTCACTTTTGTTAAATTTGTTTAGACTTATTTTGTGGCCTAACATATGATCTATCCAAGAGAATGTTGCTTGTGTACTTGAGAAGAATGCACATCCTGCTGCTGTTGGGTGGAAAGTTCTGTATATGTGTCTTTGCTTTATTTGGTCAAGTCCAATGTTTTCTAAATGATTTTCTGTCTGAATATCCATTGTAAAAAGTGGAGTATGGAAATGCCTTACTTTTTTACATTTCTGTTAATTTTTCCCTTTATATATGTTAATATTTGCTCCAATATTGGGTTCATATATGTTTACAATTGTATCCTCTCAATGAATTGATTCCTTTCTCATGATACAATGGCTTTTGCTGTCTCTTGTGACAGTTTACAATTTAAAGCCTGTTTTTATCTGACGTAAGTATAGCTATCTCTGTGTTATTTTGGTTTTCATATGTATGGTAAATTTTTTTGCCATTCCTTTAACCCTATGTGTGTTTTTAAAGATGAAGGAGTCACTTGTAGGTAGCATTTAATTGGGTTTTGTTTTCATTTAATCCATTCAGACACTGTATATCTTTTAATTGTAGAATTTAATTCCTTTACATTTAAAGTAGTTGTTGGTAGGTAAGGATTTACTGTTGCCATTTTGTTCATTGATTTCTGGCTGTTTTCTATATTCATTATTTCATTTCTTCCTCTTTTGCTGTCTTCCTTTGTGATTTGATGATATTCTGTAGTGATATACTTTGATTCCTCTTGCTTTATCTTTTGTACATCTACTGAAGATTTCTGGTTTGTGGTTACCATGAGGCTGACACAAAATATATTATAGTTACAATAGCCTATTAAGCTCACAAACACTTACATTTCCATTGCATACAAAAACTCTATACTTTTACTTCTCTATAAAGTTACTAAATCGATAAAAAATAAAGATCCAGTGACATGTTAGCTATGGGACTCATTTTATTTATTTATTTATTTTCATTTTCTTTTCTTTTTTATTATACTTTAAGTTTTAGGGTACATGTGCACAATGTGCAGGTTTGTTACATATGTATACATGTGCCATGTTGGTGTGCTGCACCCATTAACTCGTCATTTAACATTAGGTATATCTCCTAATGCTATCCCTCCCCCCTCCCACCATGGGACTCATTTTAGATACAATGATACACATAGGCTGAAAGCGAAAGGATGATATGGTGGGTTGTGGCTGGGTTCAGCAAAGACAAAATTTTTGGAGTCTTAGAGGTGAAAGCTGTGACAGGTAGTATATGGCAGCTACAAGGATGTAATGTTGAGATCCTCAGCAGTGAAAGCTGTTGGAGTCCTTTGCAGAGCAGGTAACTGGAGGCCACTATGGCATCTGTCATGTGGCTGACACTTACGGCTTTTACTCTTTGTTACTAGGCATCTACAGACATCACTGCTATGCTGATCTCTGCAGTAATCTGCATGTGGTAAAATCAAAGCAGGTTTTTTTGATAGGGCTTCCAAAGTCTGGGGACGCTGTTTGCTCACCCTGTTCTCCTTTTCCCCTGCAGGGGGACTTGCAGGACACTTGGTACCAAGCTGTGCCAGAGTAGGGGATGGAATAATGAAAGTATTCTTCCTATCCTTTCCATGACCTTATTCTGTTTTTGTTCCCCCCCTCCCCAACTGAATTGCTGCAGCTTCTTATATGAACTGTACGTCTAAGCTATCCCAGAGCTATTTTCATTTGTGCATAGTGATCTAATTGTTTTTTTGTTGGGTGGCAAAGGCTAGGATCTCCTACTCTGCCATTTTGCTGATGCCACATCCCAATTTACTTAAATCTTAATATCCTTCCCAATAATTTAGCCCTCTATGCAGAAAATCCAAATAATATTTTGAGGTTTTTCGTTTTCTCTTCTAGGAAATAAAAAATGAGAAAGTATTTGATTTTACTGAGACATTTACAATATGGAGTTAATTTTTAAAGTGTGTGAATAACATTAGAATAAAAATTTTACTTTGACCTCTAATGTTATATTTTTATTTTTGGTTACATCTGGGATATGGAAGTTATAAAGAATTATGTTAATCCAAACACATACAAATGATTATAGATGACAGGTTAAAGGCTTGTAGTATGAGATATTAAAACTCCCTAAAAAGAGCAGCTACATTTCATATTATCCCACAAAGTTTCAGTTTTTAGAAAATTAATAAGAACATAAGTAGTTATATATATATATATACACATACATATACTATATATACACATACATATACATATACACATATATATGTATGTGTGTATATATGTATTACTACTTACGTTTTTATTAAGTATGTATAACTACTTATGTTTTTATTAATTTTCTAAAACCTGAAACTGCGGGATAATACGAAATGTAGCTGCTCTTTTTAGGGAGTTTTAATATCTCAATACTGCAAGCCTTTAACTCGTCGTATACATATGTATATATCTGTATGTACGTATGTGTGTATGTATATAAGTAGGAAATGTTTTCGCTCCACTTAAGGAATTTTGAGTACAAAGGGTATTTCTCTGCAGTTAGAAGTTTACTTCATGATTCATACCTGTGTTCACCAGCTGAGAATAATTATAGATTCATTTTCTGAGTTTAAAACTTCCTATGGAATCCTTCCACATTCTTGCTAAAAATTAGATTGGTACATACAGTGATGAGAAGGAGGTATGGGGGTTAAGTCTGAGAGAGCCATACGTATATTAGCCATCTGTTTTAATCACGGAGGCAAGAGCATCCAAACCAATTTCCATGTTAAAATCTGTATCTCCTAAAATGCCATACAGTGCAGCCAAAAGAGACAGTAAATGCACATTTTAAAAAATTTCTTTATGGTATTAAACTTTTTATAAAATGCTTTTGGCTTTGCATTCTCATAAATGTAAATTTCACATCGGGATGGGGAAGCTTGATTTCCAGCAAAAAAAAAAAAAAAAAAAAAAAAAAAAAGTCTCCCATTTGGCCTAAGTTTCTTTAGAAGATCTAAGTAAGGTGAGCACTAAGGAAAGATTCAGAAGCTGTTATTTTTCAGCTGAGTTAAATTTGACCACTTCATCATCTTGTTTCTAATGATGAGCTTGAAAAAAATATTAGTGATTACTTAGTGATGAAAGAATAGATTTTTCTTTCATTTACCTTCATGTAGAAACAATTTCTAGTAACATAAAACAGGTCCCAGTCCCAGATAGGAACATAAACCCATTCCTTTCTCACCTGCTTTAGTTTATGTTTAATCTTTTTTTTTTTTAAAGCAATTACTAAAAATATTAAAAAACAAATCAGGGTATGGAACAAGATTTTTTTACATGAGTGTATGTGTGCGTGTATTTTTTTAAAAATACTGTGGCTCAGGATCCTTTTCTGAAAGTTTATATTTCAAGCTTTTTTTTTGAGATTAGTTAATAGAAGCACGTACACTAAATAGAATGATGTTGACCTTCTATGGAAGCACATAATTGGTTCGAAGGTATTTTTGTTTTCTAGGATGGTTTCTTTTTACATAGTCTAAATACTGTTGATAAAAATTTTACTTAAGTAAACAACATGTATATTTATTCAGTGTCCAAATATCACCATAGTTTTTCCAGGTGAATGCTGCAATAACGGGCAACAGATTATACACTAATAAGTGCTTTAAAATTGAAAATGAAAAAACTCAGCTACTGTCAGTTCAATATTTAGTGCCAGATAGTTTACATTTCTGTGGTATCTGGGTCTATTTGAAGTGTTTACTTCTTGGTTCTATAGCTCAGCAAAATTGACATTTTTTTTTTTTTTTTGGTACTCCATGAGAAATAGAGCCATCAATGTTGAAGACTTTTTTTTAAGTTTATTTTCAAAGTAAAACAAGCTAATTGAATCTATTTCATTGACTTAAGCTTAATGAAAAGTGCTGGGAAAGGCCATGGCTGACCATGTTAATTTATTTTTAAACTCCAGCAAGGCAAGTGGTTGCTTTGTGTTCCAAAGAGACAGCCTGAAAGAAGTGGACTCATCCCACTCATTTGCAAAATTCTTTGACTCGAGGTGCAACTATCTCAGACACATTCACAGAGGCCTTGATGGGTATTGTTCTTCCGTAAAAAAAACACTGAGTATCCAGGATTGTTAGATAGAAATCTAGAGAATGATGTCAGGGAGATCAAGGCCATTGGCTAAGTTCCAATACAGATTTTTTTTTTTTTTTTTAAATTCTATTTTGATTTGGACCATATCCCAAATCAACAAGTCATCTTAGAAAGGTGCTTCAAAGTTTAGCACACACACACAAGAAGTACATATTGAACCCAGGTGAGTTACATCAATATTTTATCAAGCATTCGTGAGCATTCATTGTATTTAGATTTTTTTTTTATTATTATTAGACCAAATCTCACTCCATCGCCCAGCTTGGAGTGTATCATAGCTCACTGCAGCCTTCAACTCCTGGGCGTAAGAGATCCTCCTGCCTCAGCCTCACGAGTAGTTAGGACTATAGGCATATGCCGTTCTGCCTGACTAATCTTGTGTGTGTGTGTGGAGATGGTTATCTCACCGTTGCCTAGGCTGGTCTTGAATTCCTGGCCTCAAAAGATCCTACCAGCTTAGCTTCTTGAATAGCTGGGATTACAGGATGTATTAAAAATTATGTGCGGCCAGGCAGGGTGGCTCACACCTGTAATCTCAGCACTTTGGGAGGCTGAGATGGGTGGGTCATGAGGTCAGGAGTTCAAAACCAGCCTGACCAACCAGGTGAAACCCCATCTCTACTAAAAATACAAAAATTAGCCAGGCGTGGTGGCACGTGCCTGTAATCCCAGCTACTCAGGAGGCTGAGGCAGGAGAATCGCTTGAACCCAGGAGGCAGAGGTTGCAGTGAGCCAGGATCGCTCCACTGCATTCCAGCCTGGGGGACAGAGCGAGACACGGTCTCAAAAACAAACAAACAAAAAGATTATGTGCTAGCGATGGGAGAAGGAAAAGAAATTGAAAATCACTGGCTGATCTCAGCAAACTTTCAGCTGGTTTATTTGGTCCTATGTATTAAAATGTAAAAGACACACTTCATGAAGTGCCAAATGAGTGGTAAAGGAGAAAACAACTTATTTAGAAATTACCTTGGCCAGGTATATACGCATTCAGTTTGTAGGAACTGAATGGGAAGAGCTTGAGGAAGTAGAAATAATGGATGGATGGGTTCAGGGGAAAGATGATGTACAGACATATGAAGGCAGGAAAGAAAATGGTAAGTTTGGGGGACCCTGACCAGAAGAGTTTGGATGTAGCACAGAGTATATGGAGGGAAGTTTTGCTTGGTATGATTTGAGAAGTTCATTGCCTCTGCACTGTAGAAAGCCAAGAATATTGTCTGTAAATACTGTCATTTTCTTGATGATACCAAAAAGACAGTTGAGACTTTAAATAGGTGGACGATGTAGGAAATATTTTTTAGAAAATTTAGAGTAGTCTGCAAGGTGGATTACAAAGTGACTGCTAATAAGGTACATTGAAACACATCACTGCCTTACTGGACACTCAAATCAGAACTCTTCACTATAATTTGTAAGGCCTTACACAGCTGGTCCTTGCCTGTCTCCAAGCTCATGTCTTGCTCTAGCCCCCATTTACTGCTCCATCTCTAGTCAGGCGAAGCTCATTCTTACCTCCCAACCATTGTCCTTGCATTCTCACTGCTAGGAAAGCTCTCTCCCCATGTCGGTAATTTTTGGGGATTGATCTCAAATTGGCTTCTGTTCAGAGACTTTTCCTGACCACATTATCTAATTTTGTCTGCCTTAACATCAGTCACTCTCTGTCACACCACCAGGTGTACACTTCTGATTACCTGAGGTCCTCTATGTATTAACTGTTGTAAGTCCATCTCTTCTCAATTAATTGTAAGCTCCTTAAGAAAAGGAATTCCTTAGGGAATCCCATTTGTGTGTTCTTGTTCATTGCTTTATACCCAGTACCTAGAATAGTGTCTGGAATATATGCTGAATAAATATTGGTTAAGCAAATGAATTGGTTGAAATGGGGTGAGATTGAAATTCAAGGCTTAAAGTTCTCCAAATTGTAGACAAAGAAGAGCCTAAATATACAGATAAAGTAGTGGAAGTTCACATAATCCATACTGGCAGTGTCTGCAGTACTAGAAGAACACTATTTGATGAACCAGATGTCCATGACCCACCTTCATAGTCAGGCAAACAAATGCAAATAATGGCCTTATTGTTTAATTTAATTGTTTAATATTGGCCTTATTTTCTCAGGCAGGCATCTTTTGTTAGAGAAGTCATTGACATGGAAACAAACATTTATCTGAACATTATGCTTGGTTCAAACTTTAAAACTAATATGTGAGTTATAGCTTTTGAATAGGCAGCTAGCAGTGAATATAAGCTTTCACTAATTTTCTAAATCAGTTATAATTTTTGATTATCTTCTAATAAGATCTAATTTTTGTTTGTAAACATTAACAATACTGAACTGGTCCCATTTCATTAAATATTTCATAAAAATTTGTAATGGCCCTTAAAATTGTCCCAGACCACTAGCATTCCTGCATAATGTAAATCAGAAAATAAAATAAAACCAAAAGAAGCTTGCTAATTTTGACTAGAATTACATAAATTCAAACCCCATAGGCTTTCTAGTAGTCTTTTATTTTAACTATATTGGGCCATGAAGATCAATTAAAAAACAACTGTGAACTAATGAAGATTTAGCTTTTCAGCTTTTTAAATGAAATTAGTCATAAACTTATTTTCAACTATTTCAAGTTAGCTAATAAACTGTCTTGACAAACATTTTCTGCTCTTTATAACCTGGGTAACAAATGTTTACAAAATCAAAGAGTGCTTTTGAACATAACGAAGGAAAGTATGTTTTAGAAAAAATTTTCTAGGATGTTTATAGGAAATTAGAATACTTTCATTATATTATATTCTTTTGATACCAACACATTTCATTATATAGATATGTACCCAACCTTCTACTCTATATGTGAGTACAGTTTAGTGGGCTGAGGGGCTGAGACTCAGATTTCCAGTGATAGTAGATTTTAGCAAACTTTCCAAATAAATGGTTTAAAAAGTACAGCATAGAATCCCTGATGAACCCTCCAGGTTGTTTGGAAACTGATCCAGACTCTAAAGTAAGCTCTTTTGACTTGTTGTGAGTTTCCCTGGCATCAGAGGAGAAAAAAGAGAAGGAGAGTTGTTTGTTTTTTCACTAACCTTTGGAAATTCACTAAGAATAGCTTGTGGGAAGCTGAACCATCTAGAATGTTGTTACTGCCACAAATGCCAACTTGAATCAGATGTGATACAGTTGGATCCCACCATCCCTTAGCTTTCAACCATAGAAACAAAGGCCACCCACAAGCACAAGCCAGGCAGAAAGAGGTGAAGGGAAGTTATACCCCATAAGATCTTACTGGAAAAAAAAAAAAAAAAAAGGGCCACATCTGGTACTCTGCCTCTGTGGCTGTATCTCACCATATCCACCAACAGTGTTCAGGCCAGTTGCATATCTTTCTCATACTGAAGGACTAAATGATAAGATTAGCTGTTCCGAGTGCAAAGGGGCAAATGCCATAGCTCTGGAGGAGCTGATCTGTGAAAACGCGTGGGAGCAGTTGTGGATAATAGTTTTAATTTTTGATGTGATTCAAAGGAAAAAATATGAAAAGCACTGATTTGCTTTATGTTAGTAATTTGTGCTATGCGTAAGTCAGAATTTACATGACATAAAACAAGGCTGGTACCTCAGGCAGGGCCCTCCTGTGCTAACTGTATGCCAAGAAATGATCATCTGTTCTGGATTATTGTCACAGGCAGCCCTATTGTCTTTGCTATGAGTCTGCAAAAAGTAGTATCAATCTAAGTGCCTTGTGTGTTCACTGGTGTCCAAATAAGCAAGGGAAGAAGTGTGACCACATTCTCCCTCTGGCCCACTTTGAGGTTTTTGTGGCTGATTAGGTTTTGTCTTGACTTCTCTGGCCTGTCAGCTCTGGAAAGGAAAGGCCCTTAGTATATTTGGTATATTTCAACTATTTGTTTTAAAAATAATTTTGCAAGGGAGAAATTGATCTGCATAAAGCAGAAGGAGGAAATACCCTCAAGCATTTGACAATGTGTTCCATTTTTCCTTCCCACAGGGTACACAATCTTCCTGATGATTTTTTTGTTATTTCAATTACTAAAGCTTAAAGTGTCACCATATTAGGAATGGTGCATTTGACTTTAAAATACTAGTCTGAAATAAAAAATACCTAATTTTATATTACTTCAGATACGTCAATACAGGGAGAGACTTCAAATAGGTCAATACAGGTCGAGGCATCCTTCAATATTCCAGTAACAAAATATATAATTCAAAATTTTATTTAAATATATTTTTTGTTGGATTGAGTGTCAAATATTCGAGTAACTCCAAGGAAAAAGTTATGAATATGTATATATACACACATATATGTTTATGTATGTATGTATGTACATATATATGCATATATATACATATATTTCTATATATAGCAGCCTATATAATATGGTATATATAAAAAAGTAAGATTCACATATGGAAATAATGCCTTCATATAATTTTATTGAAATTAATTTTGGACTAGGAGAGTTGTAGCTATTTCAAAACTTACTGATTATCAGAACAATTGTACAAATAGTTTCTAATATGTTAAATAATTTTCTGTCTTCCCAAGTTTCAGATAGGCATCTATTATGCAGGACAAAAATTCTAAGTACCATCAATAAATTTAAAAAATTAAGTGAAAAATATTACTGTATTAAAAATTATGTCATAAAATTTAACAGCCAGAGTAACCTTGGCAGGGCTGACTATAGAATGGGACTGTAGAGAAATTTAACTGACTGTACAAATATGTTTGCAGGGTGTTGTTTTGTTTCGGTGTTATGTAAATTCTTCAAATCTAAAACAGAAAGTTTATGTAACACACGCCAAGTCAATCTCTGTATGTGCTTCATCCCTTGTTACTTGGGAAATGATGGGCTTTTCACTTAATGATGTTGAAAATCACTCCAAGGACACAAAGCCAAATATGCAGGAGACCAATTGGATGGTGTAATTTGCAAACCCATTATTTATTTCTGTCATATGGCATGAACTTTGTTTAAAGGGCTAGTAGCACAGAGTGTGTCTTGTGAGGTATACTCTTTAAAAATTTTAACACAAGACTATAGCTCTCATCAATGACTTAGAAAATAAACAACTTTTAAAACAAGCTAGTTGATATGGTTGGTAAAATAGTACTATTTAGATACTAAGTCTCATATCAAGCCTTTGACATAGAAATAGCAGGATGATCTAGGACAATAAATAAGTGAGTGATATTTTCAATCTGTGTGCTGGAAACCTTGTTTTTCAGTCTAAAACATAATCTAAGAACTTATTTTCCAAACATTAAATATAGTAACAACATTGGGTGTTCTTTCAAATTTAATATATAGCTTTCACTTCATGAGTATAGACGTAATCTTTACATTGCATTTGGGAGCATTATTTTTAGCTTAGAGTAGCAAAGCTACTTTGGGATTTTGGTCATCCTAATAATCAATATGCACTAAGTCAGAAATCATCTACACCATCACGCTGGAAACTAAGGCAAATTTTCTAAAGGAATGGTGTTTCCTTTTTCTTCCTAGAAAGGTATAAACCTAAGGTTCCTCAATAGTCTCCCAGCAGATGAGGCAACCTCTTAATGGTTTGGCCATTGCTATAAAGGCAATTAGCAAAGTTTATGTAAATAAATTTATTGACTACATCACAGCATGGCCTGGTAGCAGCATGTTTGTCTTGCCATTAGCTGTTTTTTAAGAAGATAGAAATAACTTTTTGTGAACCATGAAATAGGGAGTTTAATGTCTGTGAGCTTACTCACATCTGCCATGCCTGCAAGAAAGTTGATGACCTGTTGTAAATTCAATGTACTGATCTTGGAAGGTAATGGGAGAGAGAAAAACACATGGATTAGAAGTGTTGAATTTTAGAGATTTTGAAACAAAGAAGAAAATACTTCAGTAGAAAAATAAGAAAGTGATGGAGAATACATGAAAATTTTTAGAACCTACATGCCTGTCATCATTAATTACTTCTGTAAGGTATTACATTTATGCCTTTCTTGTTTCTATTTTTCATATTTTGTATATTATGGCTTTTTTCCAATTTACTAATTATAATGTTGGAATAACCCCAAACTATTTTCTGAGGAAAATATTGACCTTGTCTGCAGGTACTCACTTTGATACATTCTGTAGGGAATTAAAAAGTAATCTGTTCAGATACAAGTCAATTTGTCTTCCTAATTAAAAAAAAGAACATGTGTCCTTTTAAATCTTACCACACTTTCAAGTTCAACATCAAGGACAATAAATCCATCCTTAATTAAAACCATAAAAACTTTGTACTGCAGGCAGCTGCTGGAAAGTATAACCCCATATTTGCAGCTGTCTAAATCTTAATAAAAGTTTGATAACTTTCATTGAGCATTGCTTGCAGGATATATACAATGTCCTACAGAATATTCTAAAGACATTACATTTTATCCCTGCATTAAACTGGCTCATCAGAGAACCAAAATGCCAAGTACTTAAACTACATTGCCTTGGCTCCTTCTGAGATCATTTATTCTTAGAGAATTTCACATTGACATTATGTCATACCAAACATTGCATTTTATTGTGGAGCTATTTTGAAAACATTGACCGTTATATAACATAACTTTGGCTTTGTGTGGACTCATGAGAGAAATTTCTCTTTGGATACAGTACATTTGATAGCACAATGGGATGACTACAGTCAATAATAATTTATTGTACATTAAAAAGTAACTAAAAGAGTACAATTGGATTGTTTGTAACACAAAGAAAGGTTAGATGCTTGAGGTGATGGATACCCCATTTACCTGTTGTCATTATTATGCATTGTATGCCTGTAGCTAAATATCTCATGTACCCCATAAACATATACACCTACTATGTACCCACAAAAATTAAAAATAAAAAAATGTAAACCTGAACAACACAGCAGAACCCCGTCTCTATGAAAAATACAAAAACTGAGCTGTGCCCTGGTTGGGAGGATCACTTGAGCCTGGGACGTCAGGACTGCAGTGAGCCAAGATCATGCCACTGCACTCCAGTCTGGGAGACAGAGCAAGACCCTGTCACCAAAAAAGACAAAAAAAAAAAAAAAAGTAAAGAACCTCAAGAAAACTACTACTTTTTTTTTTTTTTTCTGAGACGGAGTCTCGCTCTGTCGCCCAGGCTGGAGTGCAGTGATGTGATCTTGGCTCACTGCAAGCTCTGCCTGGTGGGTTCACACCATTCTCCTGCCTCAGCCTCCTGAGCTAGGGACTACAGGTGCCCACCACCATGCCCAGCTAATTTTTTTTTGTATTTTTAGTACAGACGGGGTTTCACCGTGTTGGCCAGGATGGTCTCGATCTCTTGACCTTGTGATCAGCCAGCCTCGGCCTCCCAAATTGCTGGGATTACAGGCGTGAGCCCCCACGCCTGGCCGAAAACTACTTCTTCTAAGAAAAAATTAATTTTATTTAAAAAGGTCTCAATATTATGTATAATATTCTTTTGGCTGCTTGGAAGCTTACAGCCAAATTTGAATACTGTCTCTGCATCTGTATGAATTAATTTTCCTCTAAATTATAAAATTTTTGAATTATTATTTTACTCATGACATGATTACTTCCATTTGTTTTCTCTTACAATATGTATTTTTGCAAACCACTTCGAATTGAACTTTTACTTGTGAGTTACTGGGAACTCTTTAAGGGATTAAGTATTATATATTAGTGGATGATATGATCAAAGTAGAATTTTAGACAAATTATTATTGTGAAAATAAGAAGTATACATTGGGCATGAGAGCATTGGAGAAAAGAAGACTTGATAGAAAACGATAGGAAAGTCTAGTAAATTTGAAGAAAAAGAATTTGGATTCTTAGTGGTAGTAGACATGGAGCGGAAAAGACAGAAGTTAGAAATGTTCGTAAGATGGAAGTCAAATGGTTTGGTCACCAACTGGATTTGCTTGGGTTAAACAAGATGAAGGAAGTGAACTCAGGTTTCAGCCTTGGAAAATAGAGTGGATGGGAGATGAGAGACATCAAAAGAGGAATAGTAGGAAGAATCTTCTGAGGTTTAAATGCCCTGGAATTTGTCAGTAAAGATGTTCGTGGTGAAGTTGTATATGCAGAATGGGAACCCAGGGGGAAGACATTTTAGAGACACAGATATAGAAATATAGAGATACCACCAAAAATTGAGGTTATGGGATTGGATGAGATTGCCCAGGGAGAACAAGTAGTATTAGAATTTGTGCTGGACTGTGCTTTGGGAGAAATTCATATTTAAGGGGTTGGCAGACAAAACAGACTTTTAATGTAAATTCACAAAAATTCCCAAAGAAGAAAAGAGAGTCTAGAGGAAATCAAGAATCAAAAAGTAAAAGGTTTTCCATACTGTCAAACAATATACAAAGCTCAAATACAGGAAAGATGAAAGGGGTTTATTTACTAATCAGATCGCGGACACACTGGACTGGAGTAGTTCCATGCACTGATGAAGAAGAAAGACCAGATATATGAATCTGGAGACTAACTAGGAACTCAGTTCATTTATTTACAGAATTATCTTCAGACTGATTACAAAAATTCACAGCAACATAAAAAAGAAAATTTCTGACCAGTATAACATGAAAATGGATACAAAATTCCCCAATAAAATGTTATTCAATCCATTTCAGAAATTAAGAAAAATACATTTTGTCTTATTTAAGAACTCTCAAAAGTATAATCTCAGGGTACCTATTAATCAAATACTGCATGGAGTGGATCAAAGGAGAAAAATCAAAATCACTTCAAGTAGTTTCAAGAGGACACGAGAAAAATTCACCATGTTTTCATCTATTAAAAACTCTTCGTAAACCTGGATGAATTTAGATGAAAGATAATTTCTTAACATGAAAAGAATATTTTAGCCCAAAAGCCGAATAGTTGAATATCACATTTAATAGCAAACATTAAAGTGACTCTCTTAAAGTAAAAAAGAAATATTTTGGAAAAACTGGTAAATACAGAATGATTTTTTAAAAAAGATATAAACAGAAAGGAGATGCTACCATCATTTAGAGATATTAAAATAAAACAAGAAAGCTCTAAGAGTTAATAAGACAGTCAGTAAAGATGCTAGATGCAAAATACATATACCTCCCAAAACAGTTATTTAGAATTTTAGAAAATAATAAAAATTATCTTTTGATCATGACTACAAAAATATAAAATACATGAAAATAAAATAACAAATCTCTTCAATTTTAATATGAAGACTATTGTACTAGTTTATTAAAGAACATGAAATACAAATAATGCTATTCTATTCCATGAGAAAAATACATATTCCAAAGATGTAGGGCCATAACATTCCTGATTTTGTATTATGCAATTATTGAAATAAAGAAGTGTACATTAATGTAAAAAAAGAAAATTGTAATCTTGTTTTCTAAAACAAGACCATTTTCTCAGGTAAGGAAGGCTGAATATTTTCTTTCCATAGAAGCTTCATTTGCTTGGCATTTGATCTTGAGGTAAATAATTACGTTCAATATTTTTCAGGCTTGACATTAAATGTTTAATAATGTTGTCTTCTATTATCATCCCAGTTCCATGATCCCCTTACTCAAAGAATTTATCTTAATCATTTAACATGTAAATATTAACTAGCTTGGGGAAACTTTTATACTATAATTTACTGTTAACTTATTCGATATTTTAAGTTCTAATTTTGCCATCTGTTTTATAATCTTTGCATACAAGGAATATGTCTGTGTGTATATGAATATGTGTGTGGGTGAGGAGGGTTGTGTAATTTTAATTTTAGAAATAAAATTGGCACATAAAATACCTCCTCTTTTGATATTCTATTGAATTCCTTCTTCTTAGCTCAATAAGACTTTACCTAAAATTTCTTTTTCTCCCTTTAGCTATTAAAAGAGGAAAGCAACTACAATGTGCTAACATTCTATATAGAGGGACTTTATTCAATTTTTTTCTCCTGCTCCCTTATGTAAAATTTTTACTGACCTTCAGGTGTAAAGATATGAGCACACAGTATCTAATAAATGATTGTACAGAGCCAGGGTATTTCTTTACTAGTATTAATAATGAATATTTTGTTAGTTAAGGCTGATTTGCAATTTGCAGAACAAACGACAGAATCAGTCAGATCTCTATTAATGTAAGACTAATGTTAAACTTGTGTACTGATTTGGCAGTAATATGTGCATGCGTTGTGGTGAGGAGGAGCTATTCTGGAAATGCAGATTTGGACATTGTGTCAGTTTTATCACTATGAAATCTCATTGGGACTAGTTTAGAATTCTTGTCTCAGGCAATGTAGACTTTTTACACTTAAAATGCAAGTGTGAAAATTTTGTTACAATACTCTTTGCCCTTGTATACTATACATTTTTGCTGACTCAAATACAATAGAATATGAGAAACAGATAGGAGATATGTCTTTTGGGCCTCGACATCTAGGAGTATTTCAGCAAGTACATACACTTAAAAGTGTTCTCTCACTTTCTCAGAGTTGACATTTTTCTGTTTGTAAGCTACCCTGAAGGCCCAGGACATGGGCACTTTACAAGTATACCAAGATAGAATGTGAGGCACTTTTGCTGCCTGGCTGTCAGGGAACAGGTAGGTGCTGAGCCGCTCTAGCCAGCAGGCTATATGCCTCGTGACTATGGCTGTGTGAGCTCTAGCGTCAGACTGCACTGTTTACAGGCTGCGTGACTCCAGGCAAGCTGCTTAAATACTGTGCCTCAATTTCCTCATCCATAATATGGGATGATAGTATCTACCTTTTAGATTTGTTGTGAAGATTAATTGATATATATTAATTATATGTACAGCTTTAAATTGGACCTTGCAATAGGCACTAATAGATTATCTACTCTAAATGTTGTTGATTTGGTCTGAGTTCAGATATTTTATAGTGATGGAAATGAAAGTCTGAGTAAAGTGTTTGGTGATTTAAAAAGATGATTTAACTCAACTGAATAGTGGATTGGCAAACTACCATGTGTCTGGCACTCTTGTAAGGTATGAATATGATCATGGTTTAAAGAAAAATTTAGGGCTGAAAACTGAGAATAACTGATTATGCTAATGTGATCCAGTCATTAATAATGTCTGCAGAAACACTAAACACTTGAGTTTAGCATTTTATGTTTCTTTATATCGATCCATTTAAGACATATTAGATTTTCTAGCTAGGATAAAATGCATCTCAAATATGTACTTGAACTCTGATGCTGAGGCACAGATTTGGTAAAGATTATAGGACATTGTTAACACACAGTTATGCCCAGAGAGAATTTGTTCATCTGCATAACTAAGAGAAATATGATGTATTGTTAAGTATAAGGTTATCGAGAGAATAAGGGAATATTCCCATTATCTTTATGAAACTTGAAATCAGCTGACTTGATGAAATTAGTATTTAGAGAGACAAACTAAATCATCAAATGTCCTCCTATAATTTGTGACAATTGAATATACATACTTAAAATCACACATTTTATAAATGTTAATTTATAAATATTACTTTTTACTACTCACATTTCATGAAAAAGTCAGCATCCTTTTCAGTAGTGTATTTATCATTATAAAATATACTTTTTGGGTATCTAGTCAATTTCCAGAGCCCAATATCTTCTAAGTTACTTTAGATGAGCACTTTTTGATTCTGATCTTCAAACTGCATAGTTACCCATTCGTGAAATATTAGTGTGTATATATATATGTCTTTATATATATATATGTCTTTATATCTACGTATGTTTTTATATGTATTCATCTTTGGTGTTGGTATCAGAGTAATTCTGGCTTCATAAAGGAAATTGCAAAGTAGTGTCTCTGTTTTATTTTTGTGGAAGAGTTTTATTCAATCGTATTACTTTTTAATTAAATATTGGGTAAAATCTATCAAAATTATGGATTCTGTGGGGGTTCTGCTCAGGTTAGTATACTCTTGAGTGAGCTTTCATAATTTGTGTCTTTCAAGAAAAGTTTTCATTTTGTATAAATAGTTGAATTTTGGTATAGAGTTGTTGATAATATTTTATTCCTATCTATTTAATATCTTTAGTATTTGAAGTGATGCCTTTTCTTTTATTGGTAACTTGTGTCTTCTCTTTTTGTTTCAAGACCAGTCTCACTAGAAATCCATGAACTTTTTTTAAATTGCTAAAAAACAGCTTTTGGTTTTATTGATTTTTTTCTCTATTGCTTTTCTGTGTTCTAGTTCACTAATGACCACATTAATCTTTATTATTTTCTTTCCTCTTCTTCTGAATTTAATTTGCTTTATTCCCTATTAATTTCTAGAGGTAAGATCTATAATATAGAAATTTTCCACTCCTAGGTATTTATTTAATATAAGTAAAACGTATGTCAACAAAAAAGTCTAGATGAGTGTTAATATCTGTATTACTCATAACAAAAAACTAATTGCAGCCATCTCAGCTTTCTTTTGACTTTTGTTAGAATGCTATACTTTTTTTTCACTATTTTCCTGTTAATCTATTTGTGTCTTTACATTAAAAGTGCTTTTATTGCAGGCAACATATAGCTGAGTCTTACTTTTTTGTTCACTCTGACAATCTCTGACTTCTAATTGGGTTGTTTAACCCATTTACATTTAATTTGATTATTGATATTGTTAGGTTTGTGTCTGCCATTTTGCTATTTGTTTTCTATTTTCCCATCTGTTTCCTCCCCTTTTCATTTTTGTCTGCATTCTTTTGGATTGAAAAAATATTTGTCATAAATCTACTTTATCTCCTTGGTTGGCAAATTGAGTGGTTATTTTAGTGGTTTCTTTAGGATTGATTTTATTCAGCTTCAATTTATCACAGTCTACCTTCTGGTTTATAACATAATTTAAATAAGAAGCCACATTAAAATAATCTGGACTTAACTTTTTCTCATTTCTTTCCAACAAAATACATAATTGTTGAAATAAAAATAAATAGTATACATCATATCAATAAATAATGAAAGTCTTTTATTCACATTGCTATTTTTAACCCACCCCTAGTAGTTCTATTCCCTAGGAGAAAGCACTATACAGGTTATATGCAGTTATTTCTATATCTACGTTTATTATCCATATATGTTAAATTTGCTAGTAAATCACAGTAGTGAGACTAGAATGAGAACCTAAGTTACCTTACTCCTAGTTTCTTGGTCTTCATGGAACCATATTATATATTATATAGTATATAGTATATATATACTATATAATATATATAATATATATATTATATAGTATTATATATTATATAGTATATATATATACTATATATATTATATATTATATAGTATGTGTATACATGGTATACACAGTGTAAGCTTAAACTCTGTAGTGACAGTTCATAATCATTTTATCATCCTTTATATTTTATTGATTCATTTATGTACGTATTTTTGAGACAGAGTCTTGCTCTGTCACCCAGGCTGGAGTGCAGTGGCATGATCTCAGCTCACTGCAACCTCCACCTCCCGGGTTCAAGCAATTCTCCTGGCTCAGCCTCCCAAGTAGCCAGGACTACAGGTGTGCACCACCATGCCTGGCTAATTTTTTTGTATTTTTAGTAGAGACAGGGTTTTGCCATGTTGGCCAGGCTGGTCTTGAACTCCTGACCTCAAGTGATCCTCCCGCCTTGGCCTCCCAGAGTGCTGGAATTACAGGTGTGAACCACCACATCCAGCCTATCATCCTTTTCTGTTGTCAATAAAATTCACTGAAAAAAATATGAGTTTAATATAAAGAATAGCCAAAACTTGTATATAAGTAGTTATCATAAATTATTAGATAGGCAATTACATCTGTAATTTTATCTAGGTGCATCAAAATAATCTCAGAGGATAATTCTTTCTTATCTTTGAAATGTGTTTGATTAGAATGATCTCCAGTATCAGAAATTCATATTGGTTATTTTTTTCTGTAAGTTTCATTTGCATCTTAAAGAAGAAAAAGATAGCCAAATCAATTTATTAACATATTTGTTATTTAACTGAATATGTTGCTTATTTGGTTTATCATGTCAATTCACTAATTTCTAAAAATGTTGAAATGCTGGGTGGTTTACTAAATTGCAAAATTCAACATAACATTCATGCACATAAAACAACTTTATATCATGTTTTTCTTGATTCTTTGACACATTATATAAATAAAAACATTTATTCTTTTTATCTGTTGTTAACTCAGCAAATATTTATTGTGTACTGTATGTCTGGCACTATTTTAGGCCACGGCTTCAATGGTAAATAAAACAGACAAGGCCTATACTCTCAGATATTGTACTCTATTATAGAGGGGAAATTGTAAGTGAAACAAAAATGGACAAGATAATTTCAAGTAATGTTTAAAATTATGAAGAAAACAAATGAAAAATTAGAGAATATCTGTGACTGAGATGACTTCATATTGAGAACCGGGGAAAGCCTCTTTGAGGAAGTAACATTAAAGTGGAGACAGGAGAAAGACAGTGCCAAGTAGAGAGCTGAGAACAGAAATTTCAGACAAAAGTAACAAAAAGAATTCCAGAATTCAAGAATAAAGATACAAAAGAAGGCCATAATGGCTGGAGTGTAGTCAATAAGATGAAGACACAGTTAGTGGGAAATTAACTTAGAGCAGGAGGCAAGGGCTTTTGGGAGGCCCAACAGACTGTTGTTTGGAGTTTGGCTTTTACATGCAACTGGGATGCAGCTGAACTATTTTAAATCAGAAAGGAGGGGTGATAATTTATGTTTTGCAAAATGAGTAAATAGTGACAGCAAAGATTACAACTAGGAAGCTATTGAAATACAAAAAAGTGATGGTGTCTGGGATTGGGATGACAGTGTATTTTGAAGGTAGAGTGGACAGTAGTTTCTGATGAATTAAATTTTGGGAAAAAAAAAAACAGGAATCAAGATATTTTGTAGGTTTTAGCGTAAGCAATCATGTGGATGAGAATAGCCAGAGAACAAACTAATTTGTTTTTCTTAGGCCATGTGAAGTTTAAAACTCCAATTAGCTATCCAAGTGGAGATGTCAAGTAAAAAAAAATGTACTCTTAATTAGAAAATATTGCTTTACTTGTGTGTGTAAAACAAGAAAGAATGATTTTTAGAGTAACAACTTTTAAGTAAAAAGAATTAGTAGACTACACCAAATTTTGCTACTATTTTTCATTATTTTACTACTAACATCTATAGTAAAAAACTGTATTTGTAACAATTATTAAACAGGTTTTATGATTGTTTTCATAATGCATCCTAATTTTCTACGAGGTATCTAGAGACCATCAACATAAAAATGCTAATTAATTGGGAATTATTATTTTATTGACAAAAAGGCTAGATCTTGTTATAGGGAAAAGGGTATCCCCCAAAAAATTAGTTTTCAAAGAACCACTATATAGAATTGAGGCGCATGTGAAAAGGAAAGGGGAATGCATTTTATTTTAAATAGGGAAAGAAAAAAATCAATTTTTTCCAAGTTTAAAATGAAAACATATCAATGCTCACTTACATAGAGACAGAAACAATTTTCATCCTAATCACAATGTTATATTCCTTGTCAAGTCAATTCTGTAAAATTAGACTTTATAGTGTTTTAAGAAATAATGTCCAGATGCATTACAAGAAATTGCTGAACTTCAGTCCTTCTCTATGGTTTATCAAGTGCCATTCTTTCATCCAACAATATTCTATTCACAAATTTACAATCAATCAATAAATACATACTTTAATAATCTATTTGCACTCTATACCAACAAACACTCTATACCAGAGTATTTTGAAGAGACTTTGCTGTCACCAATTATAAAGCATCATCTATTTTTTATTTCATCTGGTAGACATGAAATATAAGTAAACATGGAAGATTCAGTAGTAAGGCATACATATATTATAGAAAAATAGAAAAAAGTTCTTTCAGGATTAAAGTCTATGTTCAAATTTTATTTTGCTTATTACTTTACAGAAACCTGGATACTCAGTTTTAGGAAACACTTAATGATAGGAACTAATAATTTTAGTGCCAACGAATCAGGAAGATCTCAAACTTTTGGTTTCCATACTTCTTTATACTCTTAAAAATTATTGAGAATTAAGCAGGCTGGGTGCCGTGTCTCACCCTGTAATCCCATCACTTTGGGAGGCTGAGGTGGGCAAATCACGAGATCAGGAGATCGAGACCATCCTGGCTAACACGGTGAAGCCCTGTCTCTACTAAAAATACAAAAAATTAGCCAGGCGTGGTGGCGGATGCCTGTAGTCCCAGCTACTCTGGAGGCTGAGGCAGGAGAATGGCTTGAACCTGGAAGGTGGAGCTTGCAGTGAGCAGAGATTGTGCCACTGCACTCCAGCCTGGGTGACAGAGCGAGACTCCATCTCGAAAAAAAAAAAATATTGAGAATTTCAAAGACTTTTTGTTCTGTTTTATATTTACTATATGAGAAATTAAAATGAAGAATATTGCCAGTGAGGGCACATGCCTGTGGACCCAGCTACTTAGGAGGCTGAGGCTGGAGCCCATGGGTCCAAGACATAGTATGCTATTATTGCACCTGTGAATAATCATTGCCCTTAGCCTGGGCAACACAGAGAAACACGGTTTTTTTTTTTTTTTTAATGGAGAATATTAAAAGTGAGTCATAAATTTGTTTGAAATGACAATAGTAAACTCATTTTTTATTTATAAAAATTAGATTTTACAGAATAAATATATTTAATGAGAAGACTTACACTGTTTTACACTTTGCAAGCCTCCCTGGCTAAGATGACAGGTAGATTTTTATGTCTGCTTCTACATTCAGCCTATTGCATCTCACGCTTCAAATGGACTGTGAAAAACTCACTTTGCTCTCATGTAAGATTAGGAGTGAAAGAGACAAATAATGTTTTTGCATTTTTATGAATATAGTTTTGACTTCAGAGATCCCTAAAAAGTTCTCGGGGCAGCCAGAGTTGCCAAGATCAAACTGTGTGAATGATGGAACTAATCTTTATTGAATACTTATAATGGGTAGATAGATGGTTTTTTGTATCAATTGTCTCATTTACACATGAATATGGAAGAAGTGTCCAAGAAAGAGAGAGATGTTTGTGAGAGCAAAGTTCAATGGCTACGCCCCTGCATTCCACTCTAACCACTGCCACATCTCATCGTCCTACTCAGATACAAGCTTTTTGAGAAACTTCTCTACTTGCTGTTTTTGCCTTCTCACTTCGTACTCCCCTTAGAACACATTGTAGTATTAATTCTTCCTCTTAACACCCCTGCTCCCCACAAGGCTTCTTAAGTCTAAAGGGCAATTCTCAGTCTTCATTTTGTCTAAATTCATGGTTGCATTCACCTAGTAACTGGCCATACTGAAACCGCCTCCTGCGAATCAAACTTCTCTCTGCTGGGTTTCTGAGACAATGTACTTTTCTTGTTTTCTCCAATTTCTCTATCTTCTCCTTCTCAGTTTCCTTTTGGGTTGTTCTCAATATCTTCTTGTTGCTTACGTGATGGTTTTACTTAGGTGTCTTCCCTGGGTGATTTTCTGCTCTTACGGTAAGCATTCTCCCTTGGAGACAATCTCATCCCCTGTCAAGGTTGCTACCGCTGTCTATATGCCAAACAATTCCACATCTATAGCTGTAGGCCAGATTTCTTTCACAAGCTTAAAATCTGCCAAAAAACACCTGCCTATTGGTCTCCTGTAATATAAAACTCTGAAGGCATCCAAAACTCAATTTAAAAGCAAACACATTTTTTTCCCCATGCAGATTGATTCTCAATTCTGTCTTCCCTGCATAGGTTATCCAAGACATAATTTTATTGCATCCCCCCTCTCTCTAAATCTTACTTCAATTTCTGTTGTTCATCTCTCATAACTGTGTCCTCAATTTATTCCTCTATCTTGAGTTCTGCTGCCATTATTCTAGTTTAAGTCTTTTTCATCTTATGTCTGCATTGTACGAATGGCACCTAACCCTTCTGCCTCCAGATTTGGCCCTCTTCAATATATTATAGCCAGAGGGATATGTCTAAAATTTCGAGTTGATTCTATCACTCTTTTCTTTTTGAATCTTTAGTGATAGCCCACTGCTTTTAGAATCAAAGTGAACACTTCTCAGTCAGCATGAAGAAGACCTGCCCAGTCACAAAATAGTAATATTATCACCTGATGCTTGCTATGTGCCAGACATTGTTCTAAGTGATTTACACATATTAATTCATTTAAATCTCATAAAATCACATGAGTAGATATTATTATCTTCATTTTACAAATCAAAGAGCTTTCTGTTAACTACTTGCACAGTTCACCTTTAGGAACTGTGCACTGCCCCCAGTGCCCACACAATGGGTGGAAGCATTATTTGATATCCTTGCCTCACCATGGGAGGGAGTCCTCTGCAGTCACTGGGCCGAGGTGAGTCATTCACATTTATAACCACATCGTAGAAGTGACAGACAGCCCCTGTGTTGATGGCACAAACAATGAAACTTATGTAAAGGAAACAATATTTGGTGATGCAAAATAAAATGTATCTATTTCTAGCCTTTTTATTTCAGAGGCATTTATGATTTTTTGCTTCACTCACTTCTCTCGTTGTGTTACACTCTGGCTCCCCGGAGAGGAGCTGCTTACCATGTTTGCTTTTCCGTCTTTTCATCGCGACATGGTTCTCTAGACTTAGTGCTTCACTCATGTCAAAAGTTAATCCTAAATTAGATGCTAAATGTAGAACTTTCAATTGTCATAGACAAAGTTATACCCATAATTTTTCTAGGTTATTCATTTAAAAATGATAACTCTTTGGGAGGCCGAGGCAGGTGGATCACCTGAGGTCAGGAGCTCAGGAGCAGCCTGGCCAACACGGTGAAACATCGTCCTACTAAAAATACAAAAATTAGCCGGGTGTGGAGGCACACGCCTGTAATCCCAGCTACATGGGAGGCTAAGGCAGAATTGCTTGAACCCAGGAGGCGGAGGTTGCAGTGAGCCAAGACTGAGCCATTGCACTCCAGCCTGGGTGATAAGAGTGAAACTCCACCTCAAAAAAAAAAAAAAAAAAAAAGAAAGTTTAACTTAAACATTACTTAGGCAACTAAATTAAAACTCTGCCATAATGCAGTAAGTGGGTCAACAAATTCTGTAGTGTAGAATATGGGATCATAATATTGTGGGGTTAAATTAAATACTTTTGGTTTAATTAAACACTGAAAGTATTTAATTTAACAAAAAATAATTATAGTAACATTCAAATGTACACAACTCATATTAGAAAGGAGTAATATAAAAATTAAAAATAAAAACCTGGGGAGTTCAATAATTGTAATCCATTATGTTTTAATCCCACCATGATAACATAGCCCATCTCACCCTTGATTGTTTTTTCACACTTGCAGACTTTGCCTGGTTACACTCCTAACCAAGCAGTCTATGGAGTGTCGAGAGGTGTAATATGACTGATTCAGAAAAAGTGTCTGAGACAAACTGATGAGAACATTTGGGAAATGAAATTTGCAACCTTGGAAAAAGAGTATATTATCATCTTATGTGTATCAGAATGTATCTAATAAATAAGGATGACTTGTTGAAGGTCATAAAGCTTGTCCACAAGAATACTGGAACAGACTTCAAATATTTGACTTCTGTACCAAAAGATGATCTATTCACTAATGTCTGTTTTTTTGCAATATTCCTTTCCTTATATGAGCACCGTTGGGTATCACATACACAAATACACACATACAATAAACACTCACATCTCTATTTACATATACATATATCATATATCTGTACCTATATATAGATGGAATATACATATATATATGTATATTCCATTACTCTGGGAAACTTACTATGAAGGAAATATTACTTATTAGAAATGATGTTTCAGGCTTTTTCAGATCTACAGGGCATGGAACAAATCAAGAAAGAGGACCCTTCTTTTTTATCATATAAATATAGCCCTAATGCCCCATACATTCTGAGTAGAATTTGGATTAAAAGCAAGTTTGGCTGACTTCCAAACTTGGGAATGTCATTTATTTGGTAACTTGCCATACATTTATCTTCCTGCTCCATAAATAAGAATCTAAGATAAGATTGTCATTTTAATGCACCAATGACAGCATAAAAAAAAACAGGAATCATGAAGGAAATATCTTTGTGGCATGATTTTAGAAGGTATAATCGAAAGGATATTTAAAATTATCTGGTCAAGTGATTTTTAAAATAAATTAGAAAACTGAGGCGCAAATAAAATGCACACATTCCAAAAGCAGCAGTTATTTGAATGGATGCAAATGTGGCTTGTCAAGACTACTGATATATTGCTATATGGTAATATATTTAGATTCCTTGCAAATATTCTGGGAAATAATTCAATTTACCCACTATTTATTGCATACTTGACAAGCTCCAGGCACAATGATATAGCTACAAAGACAAGAGCCAGTCTCTATTCAGAGAGAAACTCACGTTCTGATTCTGTAACTAATTATATAATATGTTACATTACTATTTATAATTGGCAAAGAGTTTTGAATTTCTTGTTAGAGCTTCTCCTTGGATACCTAGTTCTAGGAATTCATGACATCAAATGTCATTGTGTGTAGGTAATGCTTCAGTGAGTGCTGACAGTGCTTACAAAGTGGAAATTACATGTTTGCTAAGATAGATGGTTTTTAGGTCAGTAAGATGCAATTAGGTATCATTGGCAGTTCTTACACAAAGTTTATTGGAGGTTTGGAGGTAGCAGTGGTGTCATCAACAAATATTTATCATCTTGATCCCTCAGATCAGTCAGATCAAGAGCACATTTCTACATGGGCGATTGAAATTGTTGAACCAGAGAATTTAGCCAAAATGGTGTACTGCTTCACTACTATTGGTTAACCTAATGTACAGCATATTATAACATTCAATTCAGATCTTAACTATCCAAGCAATAAGATAGGTATTTGCCTAATTGACACTTGTTCCCATTAACAACCTACCAAAACAAAATCTGCATAATTTAGATAAATAATAACTCCAAGTTGCTTTATACATAGCATCTATTATAGGTTCATAAATTCTTTTGGAAGGTTTAGATCATTTGTATTCCTCTGTCTTCTGCTTCTTTAACTATAAAGTTTGAGTCTTAATGTAAATTTAATATGAAAGCATATGAAATAGCAGGGCACAGTGGCTCACACTTGTAATCACAGCACTTTGGGAGGCCGAGGCGGGCAGATCACTTGAGGTCAGGAGTTCAAGACCAGCTTGGCCAACATGGTGAAACCCGTCTCTACTAAAAATACAAAAATTAGCTGGACATGGTGGTGTGCACCTGTAATCTCAGCTGCTTGGGAGGCTGAGGCAGGAGAATCGCTTGGACCTGGGAGGTGGAGGTTGCAGTGAGCTGAGATTGTGTCCTTGCACTCTAGCCTGGGTAACAAAAGCAAAGCATATGAAATAATATATGGTGTACTAAAATGCACACAATATTTTGTTTTAATGTCTTTTTTTATTTTTTGTACAAATATATGGTCATTATACATGACACAAAAATTAACTATATTGGCACTTTTTATATTAATAATTGTTATTGGTTCATAATCTTTTAAGATATAGAGAATAGATCATATTTAATCATAACCTTTTATTTTTGGGAAATGTATAGAGAATCTCAAACCAGTAAGGTCAAATAATGTATTCACTGAAGATAGTGATGTGCCTCATTCTTTTTTCTTTTTTTTGCCAAAGGTTTGAACATAATGTTGTGAATTCTCATTTCGTATTATTTTTCCTTCTCCAGACATTATATCAAAATAGAAATATTAAAATAATATGATTTATGACCACGATTCAAGATTGAAAAATGCATTTTTGGATATGCAGATATATATTTACATTATTATCAGAATAAAGAGTACATCTCATTCTATTCCATAATACAAACAAACTCATGACTTCTGGGTTTTGTTCAGGAGGCTGAATTTTTAATAATAATATAAAGCTGTGTTTTTACTCCAGCAGAGTGAAGTTCTTTGGAAATATTAATCTATTCATAAATGATAATATCCCTCTCAGTTTATCCTAATTTATAGCTATGAAATCACTCCTATTACACTTATTGCATCCATGCCCCAATGTATATATACATTGGTCATAACTGAACTACTTACATGAAGCATATCAGACACATCAGGCGTCATTGCACACATGCCAAATTTCAGGCCCAGTGACAGTGGTAGAGGCAGGAGGCAGAAAAATAATAGGCAGACAGGGGCAGGTCCCTGACGAAAGCCCATCTTTGAGCCAAAAAAGCCTGAAACCCATGGTCCAAAGTGAGAACTTCTATCCCGGTTTGCCTGCTGTCTTCCAGTTGATTCTTTCTGAATAATGTCTTCTTACCAATTGAATGTTACCTTTTCCAAAACTACCTATGGCTCACCCTGCCCCGCATCCTGTGCCTAAAAAGACCCTAGACTCACTAAGGAGAGAGAGAGAGAGAAGTGGCTTGACTAGAGAGAGGTGACTTGACTTCAGAGGGACAGCTGGATTTTGGAGGGAGATTCCTTAACTTCAGAGAGGCAACTTGACTACAGGGAAGAGATGGCTGGGGATAGCTGGACTTCAGGGAAGATTACCTGCCTGTCCACCCGCCCCCACCCCGCCCCTGCTCTTAGCTCCTCTCTCTGCTGAGAGCCATTTCCACCACTAAATAAAATTCTCCGTTTCCACCATCCTTCAAGTGTCCGTGCAACCTCATTTTTCTTGGACTCTGGACAAGAGCTCGGGACCTACCGAGTGCAGGTACCCAAAAAAGGCTGTCACACTGGCCCTTTGCCCTTGCTGGCAGAGGGCAGCTGCCCCACGCAACAATGCAAAGAGCCTACTAAGCTGATAACACACCGCTGTCCACAGATGGCGGAGCTAAGAGAGCATTGTAACATGCCTTCTGGGACTTCAGGGGCACAGACACCCTCACCTGGGCACTGCCACAGGGCCCACACGGAGCCTGCTCCTGCCAGCACCCAAAGCAGTCAGCCAGATCCCACACTCACTCACGTGCTCCCTTTGCAAAAGTTTGAGCATGTCAGGCTGAATAAATGAGACACCCCTGTTACAAGTGCAATGAAGGGGTTGAGAGAAAAATCATACATCAACAGGGCTGTAGAGATGAGACAAAGAGGGTGTAAAAATTAGACAAAATTTATCTTATTATTTTTTTCTTTTACACTTTCTTCTTTTACATTTTCTTTATGTGTTCAACACCAGGATACTGTGGCCCCATGAATGCTCTGAAAACATGTTAAGAAGCCTGACTTTATAGCTAAAGCCAAACTTAGTCTGTTCATCAAATAGCTATATAATTGTAATTATAGGTACAAATAGATTTTATACCTGAGTGCAATCGAATGAACAAATGTAAATTTCAAAATAATAAATGTGCAGACTGAAGCGTAGTCATCAATGCCTTTCCTTTCGATTTTGTAACCAATCTGGCCACTCCACATTGCAATAATACTAGCTTGCTGCAGTTTAATTTTCTGTTCTTAAGAGAAAATATCTGGGTTGGTAGTCCAGATGTATTACTTCATGAATTAATTTAGGTATAAGCCTTTTCTTTCAGTATTTATAGTGTTTAAATATACATTGAAATGGATGATTATTTGCTTTATCTGTTGAATAACTCTTGTAATGACAACCATGTGTATTTGTTTTCTGTATACCTATATAGTTATAAGCTGGGTGACTATATTAGTGTTGACATCCTATCCTATTAACTGATGGTTACTTACTACATGGAGGTGTTTCTTTTAAAATTTAAATCCCCACTAAAATTTAACCATCAGTTGAGTAAAAACCAAATTTAACTCATGAAAACTAAACATGTGAAGCATAATTTAGTCAAAAGCCTCTGGCACTCCTTCTCTCAATTTGCTACCTCTAACACATGCCAGTACCGTGATCAGAATTAATGGATCATCACAGGAAAAAAATTAAGTACACTTACAGAAAGATGTTGGGGAGTCCGACTAAGGCAGTGACTAGTTCTGGTCCAACAGATTAAGAAAGGGGTTAGAATTTCCAGAATTAAAAATGTAGATCAATCATTCCAGCATTAACTGCTGTTTCCAGAAGCTAAAACATACACAGCTGTGCATCTACTAATTTTTAAGGAAATTTTAACTGAAGTATAACAAAGATATAGAAACATGCATGAATCATAATGGTATAGCATGACAAACTTCACCAACTATATACCAACATCGAGAAATAAAACTTTACCATTGCTCCACAAGCTGCCTGGGTGCACTGTCATTATCACCCAACCCTGGGAGTACCCACATCCTGACTTTTAACGCTATAAATTCATTGTGCATGTATTGTTCACAACTTCAAGGTTATTTGATGGGAACTTCATTTTATTTAATGTTGCTAGGTGTAAAGTTCTACTACTGTGAGTAGTGGAGAGATTGATAGATATCCTAACATTTCAGAAAACTGGATTTTGGAAAAGTATTATAACCAAAATTTATGCTTCCATTGATGTATAATATATATTAAAAGACATTTATGGAAACATAACTGGAAGAAAGCTACTCATCTTCCTTCTAGTCACTGTCTATTAGCACTGTATCTATTGAATTGGTTAAGAATTAGTGCTAAAATATCAGACATGACTTTAACTATTGACTCCCTCTTGCTAGGAATTTGATTCTGAACAAATAAATCTCTCTAATTTTTAAATTCTCCCTTTATAATGGATATGATACTAGAACTTAATTTACAATGTTTTATATACATTTAAAAATGTCAAAAATATTTGTCTCACATACTGGCACATAGTAAAATCTCAATAGATTATAATTACTATCTATATCCTTTGGAATGTTTGATTTCTCAGAAGCCATTTTAAAAATATAAAATATGGGAAAGCTTTATGCACAAATTCCTCATAGTAATAATCTTTGTAACAAGAAAACAATGGATACATTAGATGGGTTTATTCAATATGAGAAAGAAAATTGACTAGACATATATAGCATAAATATGCAAAACATCTTATGAAAATATTGCTAAGTAAAAATTGTTTGAATGGAATATGTTCCTCCCCATGATATTGTAACATTGAGCAAGCAATGGAACATGAATCTTTTTCTAATTAGCACTGATAATCCTTCTGACTTTTAATTGTTTACTATTTTAAAAAATTATTTTAAAGTAAATAAGTCACTTATCTTTAAATGATTAGGACCACTGGTCTTTTGGGCAAAAGCTACAGGCACCTTGAATGAAATATGCAGTGTTAAGAATGTTCAAATACTATGCAGCCATAAAAAATGATGAGTTCATGTCCTTTGTAGGGACATGGATGAAATTGGAAACCATCATTCTCAGTAAACTATCGCAAGAACAAAAAGCCAAACACCGCATATTCTCACTCATAGGTGGGAATTGAACAATGAGATCACATGGACACAGGAAGGGGAATATCACACTCTGGGGACTGTGGTGGGGTGGGGGGAGGGGGGAGGGATAGCATTGGGAGATATACCTAATGCTAGATGACGCGTTAGTGGGTGCAGCGCACCAGCATGGCACATGTATACATATGTAACTAACCTGCACAATGTGCACATGTACCCTAAAACTTAAAGTATAAAAAAAAAAAAAAAAAAAGAAGAACGTTCATTTCTTCATGGTCATGGTAAACAAGGATTAGGTTTTCAACTCTTTGCTATATCAGGCTCATGGGTATGCAGAGGAGGTTCAGGAACTAATAAAGATGATTTGTTTTAAGTGAAAATAATTTTATTAGAAATCCTTGGAAGATCTTCAGAATTTTATCAACATTGCCTACTTTTGCTCAGTTAGAAACAGTAATATATGTAAATAAGTGAAAGTAAATGCCTACACACACACAGACACACACCAACACACATAAATGAATGAAGTAGAATGCAAAGAAAGTTTAAATACAATTTTTTTAGTTAAATAACCATGCTAATATAGCATTATAATACTTTCATTATACTTTAAGTATATATTTGAATTACTTCTCGACATACTCAGTTCAAATAAATTAGCGATAAAAATAGAAGTAGATGCACGAAGGGAAAGAATAGAAGAAAGATTTTAGTTGTGATAAAGAAATGACTAAGAACATTTCAATTTTCTGTTTATAAATAAGCACCAAGTAAACCAATAGGCATACTTACCAAGATGCTTGCATTTGATGTCAGAGATTTTTATGTTGATTCCTAACTGTGCTCATTTTTATAAAATAACACAAAATTTTTAGTTGGCTTACATTTTTCTACTTGTGAAGGATTTAATGTTTTAATATTTTTCTTTATAATCCTTCACACTTTATTTAAAATTTCCTTTATAATCCTGACAATGCTGTTATCTAATAAAAAGTTGTTTCTGGGCCAGGTGCGGTGACTCACGCCTGTAATCCCAGCACTTTGGGAGGCCAAGCCAGGCGGATCACGAGGTCGACCATCCTGGCCAACATGGTGCAACCCTGCCTCTACTAAAAATACAAAAATTAGCTGGGTTTGGTGGTGTGTGCTTTTAATCCCAGCTACTCAGGAGGCTGAGGCAGGAGAATCTCTTGAACCAGGGAGTTGGAGGTTGCAGTGAGCCGAGAACATGCCACGGCACTCCAGCCTGGCAACGGAACAAGACTATGTCTCAAAAAAAAAAGTTGTTTCTGTGTTATGAAGCTGGACTTTAAGAATTATAATGAAAAATTCCTTAGTTGTACATATTGGTCAAGCACAAAATCTGAATGTTCACAATTAAAATAAGAGCAAACAATGATTTTTGTTTTTACCAGTGATTCATTAATTTTTCTAGCAGACATTAAAATGACCATCATATTATACAAGGTCCTGGACTAGACGAGTTGATACAAGCTAGGACAATCAACCTTCCATCTTTGGCTAGCTAAGCCTTGGACTGTTTTTCTATAAGATACGTAAAACCATTGCTTAGTGATTTAATGAGGCAGAGGCTAAATTACTGCCTATATATATTAATGAAAGCCTGCCTTCACAGTTGACTAGAAAGCCATTTGCAGGTCAATCTATCTATTTTAGTTGTTTAAATGAACAACTCAGATACAATTCATTGCATAGCCACTGTGTGCTATGACAAAAATAAGATTTAAAAGTCTCAAAGGTTGACTCAGAATGTGCTGTGTCATCTTCTCAGGGAAATCCTTCATTTCATATGAGTTTTGGTGCATTGCTACCAGTCAGGCTTTCTAGAATGCAGAATTTTTTTCTCCCTTATTCCAAAATCCTTGGAACTAAAACAAAATATATTTTTAGAAAATTTATTTATATGAATTTTTATGACAATGTTTACTGAGTTTTTTATATACCAATAACAACAACAACAAAAGAATGTACCAGACCACTTTTTTTATTTTTTATTTTTGAGACAGAGTTTTGCTCTTGTTGCCCAGGCTGGAGTGCAATGGTGCGATCTCGGCTCACTGCAACCTCCACCTCCCAGGTTCAAGCAATTCTCCTGCCTCAGCCTCCTGACTATCTGGGATTAGAGGTGTGTGCCACCACGCCCTGCTAATTTTTGTGTTCTCCATGTTGGTCAGGCTGGTCTCGAACTCCTGACCTCAGGTGATCTGCCTGCCTCGGCCTCCGAAATTGTTGAGATTACAGGTGTGAGCCACTGCACCCAGCCACCAGACCACTTTTTAAAACAAAAAGAAAAAAATGGAGTTCTGTGTTAGTTTGACAAATGCATTTGCATATTTCAGAGATTTTGTGTCATATTACTCATATGAATTATAACTAAAGGTGATATCTAGATTCTCTTCATTCTTTAATAATATATAGATTTTAAAAATTGTCACATGTAAATAGGTACTTCAAGATAATATGATTGGAAATAAAGTAGAGAAATTTAGTCTTAGGACGATCAGTTAATTAGGTTGACTATGTAAGTTCATAGGCTTTTTCAAAAACGATACTTGGTGTACCTAATCATTCAAAACATAAAAATATCAAAAATGAGCCAGGCAAGGTGGCTTACGCCTCTAATCCCAGCATTTTGGGAGGCCTGAGGCATGCGGATCACAAGGTCAGGAGATCAAGACCATCATGGCTAACATAGTGAAACCCTGACTCTACTAAAAATACAAAAAATTAGCCCAGTGTGATGGCACATGCCTGTAGTCCCAGCTACTCTGGAGGCTGAGGCAGGAGAATTGCTTGAACCTGGGAAGCAGAGGTTGCAGTGAGCCAAGATTGCACCACTGCACTCCAGCCGGGGCGACAGGTAAGACTCTATCTCAAAAACAAAACAAAAAACAAAAAACAAAACAAAAAGATCGAAATGCCACAAAAATCAAATGATTAAAATGTTCCTAGCTTATTAAAGGCTTAGAATCCTAAATATGAAAACACACATTAAGATCCAAAATCTATTTATATAATTTTAGAGAAGTGACAATAATATTGTGTCAAATTTTTCAAAGAATCTCTTGTAATTATAAATATTAGAACAATTGGGGTACATCAAGTAGGAATTTTAATCCTGTGTTCTAATTGTTGTAAATGTAGATATTTCAAGACTCCTATAGCAGTCAATTTTATATAGCTGTTAGGAATTCCTGATATCTGTTTGTGCAGAACCTAATATGAAGCTAGAAATTTGAGAAAGCAAGCCATGGGAGTATTGCACATTTTACCTATGATGCAGAACAACAGGAAATGTATTTTATGACAAGATGGAGTCAGACACATAAAAAAATACATAGTAATCATTTTTTAAAAAAGAACAGGTATTTGGCTTAAGAACCTGAAAATAAATCTACACTGGGGCCAAATCTGAAACGCAAACCAATGAAAGAAAACTGTTCCTGCAAATCGGAAATTCCAATTTGTATGTGTAAAAAAAAAATACAGAGTGACTTCAAGTTGACACTTGCAAATGTAATAGAAACTTCTAATGTTCGTCTATATCTTGTTCTCCTCTCCATCCTAATATATGGAAGAATTTTCTCAGCCATGTTCGAAGGTGGGTAGAATTACAATTAGTTCTAAGTAATGGTTCCTGTGTAGAAGTGAAATGTATTATATCAAGACTATAGTATTGAACTGCCTCCTACTTTATTCTTTGCTTGCCACTATGATCAGAAAGACATATCAAGATAGGACATCTGTCATCTTGTGTCATTAACAGGCCACAATAAGCTGAGTTCCTCTAATGACACATTTTAGAAATACACCATAAGAAATAAAAATTAAACTGTTACTTTAATCTACTAAGATTTTGGGGTTGCTTGTTAGTGCAGGAAACCCTAACCTGTCCTGGCTGATCCAGCAAACCAAATTGTGTAGAGTACTATTAATTCTAAAGTGGCAATGTAAATACTTTTAGGAAAGAAGGTCGAATATTCTTATTAATCAGAAATATTCTGCTATAATTTGGATTGACTGAAAGTAGGAAAATGTTTATATTTAAATGCCTAATGGCAAAACCAAAATACAGATATTGATGAGTTACTCCTAAATTCATAATTTAGTGTTAAATATTTCTTTAGCATTGGTAAGACTATAATATTACTTCCCCTTCTTCCTGCTGTTTAATAGCATTGACATTTATAAATAAATAATTAAGATGGATTCTTCTGAATTAGATAGAACTGTCAAGCCTATACTTACTGGCCTCCAGAGAGTAGGATGTTAAGAATTGTCTCAGAAGTAGCATTACTAATTATAAAAGAAATAATAACTGTAGAAGGTAATGCAGACACTCTACATATTATCACTAAAGATCATAAAATAGAAAACCCTACAGAATTACTCATTTTCAAATATATTGCACAAAGATTTTGCCAAAGTTTTATTTCTAAACTGTTGAATTTATTAATTTGCATGCTTTTTTACACAAAGACACAGAATACTGTGCTAATGTGGGGAATACATTCCACATATTTCAAAGATTTTGAATTTAAGCAAGAATGTTTATTGAAATGTAAATATTCTTTTCTATTTGGGTTGAAATGTGAAATAATAGTCTGTAAAACGAACAAAGTCCAAGAGAATTGACTCAACATGAATGTTCCCTTATTTAATACCATTCATATTTTAAGTCCTCATTGGTGGTTATTTTCCAACAGTCCACTAGTATCCTAGAGAAGATTTGCAAATGGATTTTATAATTTAGGTCCATGTTTCAGAAATGGACTATTTAATGGAGAAATGAAGTGTTTAAGATTACTACATGAATGATGTCCTCCAGATTGCTGAAAGTTAAAAGTTTTGGTTTAGAGGGAGACTGGTATTCAGAAGAAGGCATTCTTTCTCTGTTTGAATACTGCTTAAATTTTATAGCTTCATTCAGATGGAAGGATTAGCCAGAAAACTTATAGATTCTTTTATTCTTCCTCTTTCGTAACAGAAATTCCATTAATCTGTTGGTACTTTTGTTCATTCTTTTATCTATTCTTCAACAAGCAAGTTTCACCTGAATGTGTACTAAATGATGGATGATACACCAGGTACAAGTGATACAGAAAATAAAATGCAGCTCTTGTCCAAGAAACTCACTCTTTGGGGATTCTGGATATCAAATAGTAAATTTCAGCATGGATGAGAACAGGGCTGCTGCAGTCATAGGGACATGCTTTGGTCAAACCCCTCTTTGTTTAATCAATTACTAGTTACGTGACTTTGGGGGAAGAATTTCTCATCAATTACCTGTAGATTACTTTATAGTCTGTTGTTTAGATTAAATTAGATAATGATATAGTTATCAAAGTTATCACTCACTTGAATTTGATATATGGTAATTATTATAGGTGTATTTTTTAAAATAGAATTGTTACAAGAGAAGGGCTGATGAAAAGCAATTATTTAGCCTGACACTTGGGAAACGGCTTGGCTAGGCATGTGCATAAACCAACAGGTGGGTCAAAGTTTGAAACATATGGAGAATTCAGTAAATATTTACTGAGAGTTGCTGTGTAATGGGCAGCACACTGGAGTCTTTGTTGATAAACACAAAAGTCTATTTCTGTCTTTAAAGGAGCTTAAAATCTGAATAGGTGAAATAACAAGAAAGTAATAAACATTTCATGTTATGGCTATTCTAATAGAAGTTTATGGAGATAGTGGTGAGAGGTGAAGCCAGCTGGACTTCCTGGGTCAAGTGGAGACTTCAAGAACTTTTCTGTCTTATAAGAGGATTGTAAAATGCACCAATCAGCACTCTGTAAAAATGCACCAATCAGCGCTCTGTAGCTAGCAAGAGAATTGTAAAATGCACCAATTAGTGCTCCGAAAAATGTACCAATCAGCAGGATCCTAAAAGTAGCCAGTTGCAGGGAGGATTGAGAAAAGGGCACTCTGACAGGACAAAAACAGAACATGGAAGGGGAGCAAATAAGGGAATAAAAGTTGGCCACCTCAGCCAGTAGTGGCAACCTGCTCAGGTCCCTTCCACACTGTGGAAGCTTTGTTCTTTCACTCTTCACAATAAACCTTGCTACTGCTCACTCTTTGGGTCTGTGCCATCTTTTTTTTTTTTCCCCAAGACGGAGTCTTGCTCTGTTGTCCAGGCTGGAGTGCAGTGGTGAGATCTCGGCTCACTGGAAGCTCCGCCTCCCGGGTTCACGCCATTCTCCTGCCTCAGTCTCCCTAGAAGCTGGGACTACAGGTGCCGGCCACCACGCCGGGCTAATTTTTTTCTAAGTTTAGTAGAGACGGGGTTTCACCGCATTAGCCAGGATGGTCCGATCTCCTGACCTTGTGAACCGCTCGCCTTGGCCTCCCAAAGTGCTGGGATTACAGGTGTGAGCCATAGCGCCCGGCCGGGTCCTTGCCATCTCTAAGAGTTCTAACATTCACCTCAAAGGTCCGCAGCTTCATTCTTGAAGTCAGTGAGACCACGAACCCACCGGCAGGAACCAACTCAGGACACAGTAGCATATAGAAAAAATCACTAAAATCTACCAGGCCACCATTGTGAGGAGGACCAGAAGAAACGCTATTGCAATAATTCAGGTTAGATTATGATGGCTTGAAACATATTAACGGCAGCACCCATGAAGATAAGGGACAGAAACAAGATATATTCAGGGGTAGGACAGGAGACTCACTGCACGTAAGGGCGGAAGGAGGATTCCAACGTTAGTCATAGGGCCTTAGTGGGGGGAACTGTAAATCAATATTCAAAAACAAGAAAGCTAAATGAAAGAATCAAATATTTTGAATAGTTTAGATGTTGAAATCACTTAGTGCCATATCCACCTCTGATCTCTCTTTTTTTCATCATTCCAGCTTATTCTGGTTTGGTTTTGCTTTGGAATACCTGTATATATAAGTGGTTTTCACCTCAATGCCTACATTACCCTTGGTTTGAGGTAAATAGAGAAAAATGTGTGGTCTGAGGACTACAGTCCCCATGAGGAATAATGATATCTTAGATGATTTAAATATTTGGTCCTAAACTTTTCTTTGGGATCTCTAAAATATTTCCTTATTATGGGTATCAACATTTGAAGTAAAACAAAATATCAGAATTACATGTGAAAGTTGTGTTACACACACATGAAAAACTACTGGAAAGAACTCAAAGTGCTTTGGGAGTTGAAGGGTAGAGTACCAGAGATCTGAGATGCCTTTCTGTCAGCAATCTGGAAAGTGACCTCAAGAGAATGGTCTCCTCTTGAGGTTTGGATGGCTCCGTCTGCCCTAAGAGTTACCTTTGTTGCAGCTAAGTGGCCCCTTTATATGGTGATTTCTTTTTTCATGTGGAAAGCTTATCCCACTCAAAGACGAATGGGCAATGACATTTCTTCCCAACTGGAAGTGCATAAGCTCAGTGTGAACAGCTGTTGGAACAATTGTGGGTGAAAATTTTGTTCTATAGAAAACAACCTTGATGAACATACATGGTCACATTGCTTTCAGGGCTAATGCCCATCTGTTGGACTGGCTGAGTGCCTGGTCACTTGTTGGTTAGACTTTAGGAGGCACAGTGTCTCAGTCAACAAGTTTCAGCTCCTTTCCCGCGACAGCACTGCCCTCTGGATGTTGTACGCTCCTTTACCACAGATAAGCTGCAAATGGATACCTGAGATTTAATTCCCTCTTCTCACAAGCTCATCCAAGAAAAAAAGAAATTAGCATTTTATAGAAGTTGTCTCTCAAAGGCCAGAGTATTTGAAGTCTGTTGTTGGTTTGTGTTTTTTTCTGTTTATTCTATTTTCTCCATAGATGAGACAGGGTCAGCATAGCATGCTATGATTACATATATTAATCATTGCATGTTGATGTCTTATTTGGTTTTCATAAAGAATAGTTTCATTTCAGTTTCCCCCCTTTACAAAGAAAGTCAAGTAAAATATAAGAATATGATAATTTTTTTCCTGATTTTAATTTCTTTTCTATTTTTAATCTACTTTTTCCGTTATTTTTCTTTTATCTTTAGCCATTTTTTGACTCACTGATTTACTTTCTCGTAATATTATTCCAGTTTACTTTTTCCCATCCATGACACTGGATTCAGTCATTCTTTGTAGGTCCCTGATGTTTTTTTTTGTTTTGCCCTCAAGTCTGAAATCTCTCCAGTGTGTTCCTCTAATTATTTCCTTCTTTCTTCATTCAGAATTCCAGTTTTGCCCTGTTCCTTATCCTGTTCATCTTCCAGAAGTTTAAATTCTTCACATTCTTGGTACCTTTGAGACTGGTCTCTTCACTTTCTACTGAGTATGAAAGGAACTATGGTTTACCATTCTCTAATTATTTTCTTTTGCTCTTCTGATGAACAGGTTTCCTTTGACATTAGGACAGCGGGGGGAATAGCGCTGAAAGGGAATATAACTCTAAGCAGGGAAATTTCTTTGTGGGACATAAAAACACATTAATGTCCCTTTTGTAAACCTGTGTAGTGGAGAGGCCGTTCTTTGCAAATCACTGTCATCTGAGGACTCTGAACAATCACAAGAACCTCAGACCAGAGAAACTTAGGTTTAAGAGATTTGCAACATGCAAGATAAGGCATTTTGGTTTTTTATTGTTTATTTTAATAGTTTTTGAGGAACAGGTGGTTTTTGATTACGTGGAGAAATGCTTTAGTGGTAGTTTCTGAGATTTTGGTGTACCCATCATCTGAGCAGTGTACACTGGACCCAGTATATAGTCATTTATCCCTCACCCTCCTCACACCCTTCCCCCTGAGCCCCTAAAGCCCCTTATATCATTCTTATGCCTTTGCATCTGATATCATTTGGCTGTGTCACCAACCAAATCTCATCTTGAATTGTAGTTTCCATAACACTGGACCCAGTATATAGTCCTTTATCCCTCACCCTCCTCACACCCTTCCCCATGAGCCCCTAAAGTCCCTTATATCATTCTTATGCCTTTGCATCTGATATGGTTTGGCTGTGTCACCACCCAAATCTCATCTTGAATTGTAGTTTCCATAATTCCCACATTTTGTGGGAGGGACCTGGTGGGAGGTAATTGATTCATGGAGGTGGTTACCCCCATGCTGTTCTCCTGATAGTGAGTGAGTGTCATGAGATCTGATGGCTTTATAAGGGACTTTTTCCCCTTTGCTTGGCAGTTCTCTCTCCTGCTACCTTGTGAAGTAGGATTCATTTGCTTCCCCTTCCACCATGATTGTAAGTTTCCTGAGGCCTCCCCAGCCATGTGGAACTGTGAGTCAATTAAAACTCTTTTCTTTATAAACTATCCAGTCTTGGATATTCTTCATAGCCACATGAGAATGGACTAGTACAGCATCCTCATAGCTTAGCTCCCACTTATAAGTGAGAACATATGATATTCGGTTTTCCATTCCTGAGTTACTTCATTTAGAGCAATGATCCAGGTTGCTGTGAATGCCATTATGTAATTCCTTTTGATGGCTGAGTAGTATTCTGTGATTTATATATATATATATGTATGTATCACATTTTCTTTATCCATTCATTGGTTGATGGACATTTAGGCTGGTGCCGTATTTTTTACAGTTGTGAATTATGTCTTTTTAATATAATGACTTATTTTCTTTTGGGTAGATACCCAGTATTGGGATTGCTGGATCAAATGGTAGTTCTACTTTTAGTTCTTTAAGGAATCTACATACTGTTTTTCATACTGGTTGTACTAGTTTACATTCCTACCCACCGTGTAAAAGTATTCCCTTTGCACTACATCCATGCCAACATCTATTATTTTTTGACTTTTTAATTATGGCCATTCTTGCAGGAGTGAAGTGGTATCTCATTTTGGTTTTAATTTTTATTTCCCTGATAATTAGTGATGTTGAGTATTTTTCATATGTTTCTTGGCCAGTTGTTTATCTTCTTTTGCAAATTGTTTATTCATGTCCTTTGCCCACTTTCTGATGGAATTATTTGTATTTTTTTCTTGCTGATTTGTTTGAGTCCATTGTAGATTTTGGATATTTGTCCTTTGTCAGATGCATTGTTTGCGAATATCTTCACTTTCTGTGGGTGTGACTATAGGGTGACCTCTCTTACTGTCTTCCTTCCCTTCTCTCTGGATGTAAGTCTTCTTTTTCTTCTAGCCCCAGGGTGACAAGATCAAGAGAGAGTGAGAGTTCTGGGGACAGTGAATGAAAATGTGGAACAAAGTATATCACCTCCCTACCTAGCATTGGCTCCAAGGAAGTTTACGTAGAATGTGTGATTGTTTATTTGTTTTTTTTGTGTTGTTTTCTAGTCAAAAATAAGTAGAAAATACTGAATATATTATATTTATTGTTTTAATAAATATCAATTAAGTGGATGTACTTGGGACAAATAGTGTTCTACCAACTGAGAAAGGGTGAACAAAATGTTAGAGTGTATGTGCCAGAAGGTGTGATTATAGTTATAACCTTGTTTAACAACGATATTAGGTTTAATAAGTTCATTAATGCCCCAGTATTGTAAATGTTGTTATATTCTGAAATAATTAAGCCCTACTAAAAAATAGAAATACTTAATATGTTTGAAGACTACCTATTGCCTAGGCTCTGTGTTAAATGATTTACAAAATATCAGTTAATACTCAAAATGACACAATGAGGTAGGTTGCTCTTTAAAATGCCATTTTGAAAGAAACTGGGGCTCAGGAAAGTGAAGTGGCTTACCCACAGCTAGGAAGTGACAGTGCTGGGTTTGAGAAATCAGTCTTGACATTGCAGCCACATGAACTCTATACTTTTGACTTGGTAATGTAAGGGGATTGTTTACCTAGTTGTGGTCACTCTGGATACAGAAAACACTTAGTTTGTGCAAATGTGAATATTAAGGTTCAATTTAAATCATTGTTATTTTAATGTAAAATGATTCCTTGATTATACTTTGCAAAATGTTGAGTGCCTTAATCCTTAACTTGGGAATCACTGTAGAGATTCATATTGCAAGTGCTCTGTGTGAAGAAAACATGGTACGTTATCTCTCTCATCAGCATTCTGTGTGTTGTGACAAAGTCAGAAGAATTTTAAATATATTTTAGTGAGAATAATTTCTTCAAGAAGACCTGAACTGAGAGCTCAGTTTCTATTTGACAGAAAGCTGAACCCTATGATAATTCTTGTAAAACTGCATTAAGTGCTATAGTCTAAGATATTCTATCTTTTTTTCCAGAATATGCTTCTTGTCTCAGTGTCTTCTTCTCAGTTCCCATTGACAGTGCCCTATATCTGGCCTAATGAACTATGGATTTTGTCTTGCTTCGAAGCAACCAGTAGCTATATGTTACCGAAAGAAAAGTCTGTTTAAAATTCCCAAGATTTCAGCTTTACAGCAGCATTTAAGACATGTTAAACACTCAAATTTGAAGTTATGTATTAACATTTTGCCATTTGGTGTGGTTTTAGGTTTCTTTTATTGACAATGAACATACCAACTAGATCAAAACATAAAGAATTCAGATAGCATCATTATTTTGGTCCACATTTTTCCACTTGTGAAAACACTTAAAGGAGTGAATTTTGCGGTATTCGTTCTGTTCCCAAACATCATCTAGCCCATCTTGAAATTTATTTTAATTTAGTACAGTGATTTTTAATTTATTTTCACCAAATCATGGTGTCTTGAATGCTCAGAGATATATTCTACTTATTTTGTTATCATCACATATACTCAAATGGAAATAAATACCGTGAAGGGAGAATGATAGTGAGGAGGGTTGGTTATGTTTGGAATCATTGAATATGATGAGAGGACTATTGTGCAGGGTATAAGTTGGGGCACTTTGATCTACAGGGTCCAATCTGCATATAACATTTCATTGATTCTTTGTCCATAAATAAGTTATATTATTTTTATATCAACTATTTTGTAGAGTATGGTAAAATATATATAGTCATTCAGTTGTGTAAATTTACATAAAAACTCACACTTTCATATTTTTTGAAGTTAGTGTCAAACAGACAACCTGGGACTAAATAATTTTACCTGCTGAGAACAATAACATCTTATTTGAAAAAAAAGTGCATTGCAACTCTCTTTACATAAATTGCACCAAAATTTAATACAAAACAGCATTCTTCTCTCTCTACTATGAAGATCTCAAAAGAATTGTTGCATATAATAATTATATTTTTGGTACAGGAAGGAAACATAAAAATTTTCTTTAATATAAGTATATAAATCTCCTTTAATACATGCATATATTTATTACGAGCAATATATATGTGCGATTTATAATATGTTTGCATATATAATATATGTGCAATAAATCTGAAATTATGTTTTTTATAATAGATGTCTTAATGTTGATGTGAATTCATTGGTTCTTGGTAGATTCTAAAAATTACAGTTTTAAAAGTTATTTTTATGATACTTATATGTATAATATAAAATTTAATATATGATCATTTATTATCTTCACAGAGACATAATATTTTAAATTGTACCACTTTAATCTTCAAATAAAGTAAAACCTTCAAAACAATATCTTTTCACTTTATGATCCCCACGTCTTTAAACCTAAAATGTTTATATAGTGTTTTCTGTACATTTGGTGAATCAGAGGAAGAAGTTAGTTGCTGTGCTTTTACATGCTCCAAACATCATATAGCTATCTCCATATTTTCAAGCAATGAGAATGTTTGACAGTAGTTTGTAAAAAAACAAACCACGAAACAAAATTCGTTTGAGAGAAGGGGTCACTTTGAGAATGTGATGTCATTGAAACGCCCATCTGAAAAGGGTGAATGATGGATTATATTGTTGTTACATAGGTGACAAGGGTGAAGACTGACAATGTGAATATGAGAAGTAAGATCAAGGCAAGAGGTAACATTTATTTGAAATGTAAAATTAGAAGCTGTCCAAACTGATAGGTAAATCAACATGAAAACTTTCTTCCTGTGAATATAAAAGTTAGATCAAGAAACATTTATGAGAGGAAATGCCAGTGGTTCTTCCGGATAGTAAAACTTTCTGTTAAATTTCACCTCATTTAGTTTAGCCTAATTACAAAATTTAGGGATGCAAGGTTTGCTCCCATTCTGAATTTCTTCTGAAAACACAAATTTATGAAAGTGTTTAAAAAAATGTTCAACCTCAATAAGAACACTTGGACATAGGGTGGGGAACATCACACACTGGGGACTGTCATGGTTTTCTAGGTTTTCTTCTAGGATTCTTATAGTTTGAGGTATTACATTTAAGTCTTCAATCCATCTTGAATTAATTTTTGTATATTGTGAGATAAGCCCAGTTTCATTCTTCTGCATGTGACTAGCCAGTTGTCCTTGCAGCATTTGTTGAATAGGGAGTCTTTGTCCTATTTGTTATTATCAACTTTGTCAAATATCAGATACTTATAGATGTGGGACTTTATTTCTGGGTCCTCTATCCTGTCATTGGTGTACATGTCATTTTTGGTTTTTTTTTTGAGACAGAGTCTCGCTCTGTCGCCCAGGCTAGAGTGCAATGGTGCAATCTTGGCTCACTGCAAGCTCCGCCTCCCGGGTTCACACCATTCTTCTGTTCAGCCTCCCGATTAGCTAGGACTACAGGTACCTGCCACCACGCCCGGCTAATTTTTTGTGTTTTTAGTAGAGATGGGTTTCACCGTGTTAGCCAGGATGGTCTCGATCTCCTGACCTTGTGATCCACCTGCCTTGGCCTCCCAAAGTGCTGGGATTACAGGCATGATGAGCCACTGCGCCTGGCCACGTGTCTGTTTTTATACCAGTACCATGCTGCTCTGGTTACTGTAGGCTTGTAGTATAGTTTGAAGTCAGGTAGTGTGATGCCCCTGGCTTTGTTCCTTTTGCTTAGGATTGTTTTAGCTATTTGGGCTTTTTTTGGTTTCATATGAATTTTAGAATAGTTTTTTCTAATTCTGTGAAAATCAGCATTAGTAGTTGGATGGGAAAACACTAATCTGTAAACTGCTTTGGGAAGTGTGGCCATTTAAACAATATTAATTCTTCCAATCCATGAGCATCGAATGTTGTTCCATTTGTTTGTATCATCTATGTTTCTTTCAGCTATGACAAACCCACCGTCAATATTATACTGAACGAGCAAAAGCTGGGAGCATTCCCCTTAAGACCTGGAACAAGACAAGGATGCTGACAATCACTGCTCCTATTCAACATGGTATTGGAAGTCCTAGCCAAAGCAATCAGGAAAGAAAAAGCAATAAAAGTCTTCCAAACAGGAAAAGAAGAAGTCAAATTATTTCTCTTAAAACTGTTGATATGATTCTATATCTAAAAAACCCTATGGACTCCACCAAAGGGCTTCTGGAGCTGATAAATGATTTCAATAAAGTTTCAGGATTCAAAATCAATGTACAAAAATCAGTAGCATTTTATATACCAATAATGTTCTAGCCGAGAGCCAAATCAGGAGTGCAATCTTTTACAATAGCCATACCAAAAAAAAGAAAAAAACTTTGGAATACATCTAACCAAAAAAGTGAAATATCTACAAGGAGAACTACTAAACACTGCTAAAATAATTTTCTATTAAAAAATAAGTAGATTGTTAAGATACTGGATGTTTAACACCTCTAATTCCAAGAAACTCAAAGCAAAAAAAAAAAATCATTCAGAAAATAATCTGCTAATATCTCCATGAGGAAGTAAGATACATAACCTATGCATAAGCTCAATAAGTTAAAGGTTAGTTTTAAAATATATCAAAATCTGTATTAATACTGTAGAGATTGCTTCACTTAGCTACTAACTCATTTGTTCCTTTGTTTTAAATGTGTGATAGAAAAGTTTTGGGATGTCTCTGGAATTTTGATTGTATTTCCTATGCCAAAAAGTCAACTTTCAGGGCATTAATGAATAGCTCATGCGTAAGTCTTAATTGTTATAATAAAAACATTTTTCTTCCCTTTAGGTTTTATCCAAGGTCTTGTATGTTTTATGGTTATAAGCAAAAACAGATTGGCAGAGGTCAGTTTCCCTGCCAACCTTAAAGATAGATGCAAATTGCTTGAGGAGCATTATTTTAAGCCAAGCTTGGCTTGTTTAATCAAGTTCATAGTAAAGAGATGGTAACTAGCTGGAAAACAGCCAACACACGAGTCAAATTAAATTATTCATGTTGTCCCTTCCACACTGCTTTTATAATTAGAGTAGCAGCATGACACTGAGGGAAATGCATGAGCTTTGAATTTAGAAATGTAGGCGCTTGAAAGTATGCAAATAAGCCTTTATGAGCCTCAATGTTTTCAACTGTAAAATGGGGAGATGTGTACCTTTTTTGTGGCTTGTTTTAAATGGATGAAATGAGATAATGTACTTATAGTGCTTGGCATTAAATATGCTTGAAAATTAGTAGTGAACATTATTACCTTTTAATCTAGACCATTCAAGATAAAGCAAAGCTTGGTGTTTGATTGTATATCTCTGCCTGTCCTTATAATCCTGGTGGTTAAGCATCTTCATAAAATACTGTCTCTAAAATGTAAGCAATAAAATTTGGATTTATTTTATGTAGGATTCTTTAAGGTAGTCAAGCATGAAAGTGAAAAGTTCTTCGATGGCCTTTTTCCATTTAATTCCTCAGATGTAGAAAACCAAAAAGATTCACAACTATATTATGTTAATGATCATAGTTCCAAAATGTCCTAGAACTACAATAAATAACCTATGATGTCCATAATCATTTTGTGACTCACTGTTCATAACCAAAGGACTTCCCTGACATTTATATACTCTGTTAAACCACCCATATCTGTGCCAAAAAAAAAAAAAAAAAAGACACTCACAAGCATGTCTTAAACTAATCAGAGCAAGGCCATTCAAGCTTATTGCCCAAAGCCTGTCAGAAGACTCAGCACAGGCTGTTATTCAATTATGGAGAAACTAGCTTATTACTCTGCATTAATTAAGTGTAAAATTATGAATTGTGTCTCTCTATATATCTTGACACTGCAAAGTGATGCTAGTGGAATAATTATTTTTATATCCTTTAATAACTTAATATATATATTTAAGGGTGGCATAAATGTCTCTTGACTATGTTTTCTTCTGATAGACATCAGCATGTAACTATATTCAGCAGCTGATGAACTACAGTCACCTGACTCTTGAACCCAATCGGGCTTGCACTGTAAGCATCCACAAAGGGAAATGTTCCTTAGACTCCAGGAAGGCTGGGGAGTCCATAACCTGCTTCAAGGTCTTTTCTTAAGGAGAGAGGAGAGGAGGTTGTGCATCAGAGGCATTGGAAGGAAGCAGAATCACATTCCTGTGAGACAGTTTTAGAATGTTAGCCTTGCAGTTCTTAAAATCATGTGGTACTTTGCATTATTAAAATACAAATAACCCTGAGAGGGCTAACACTTTAATCCATTATCAGACCACAAATGGAGGCAGCATTTAAGCAGCAGGCTGAGCAGAAATGTGCATTGGCAGAAAAGGAAGAGTAGGGCAAAATTGTTCCTACTTTACTTCTCAAGTTTGTCTCAGCTCAATTCTGACCCAACTCTACCCCTATAAAACAATAAAAAAGGAAAGATTCTGGTTGACAAATGATGACTGTATGGCCTCCCTCACCCTCCCTGACCCCCACCCCAGGACACTTAAGATGATTGAAAATAATGCCAACATTATGCTATTATCAGAACAATGATTAGATTTTAAATATATCTTGCGTCATTGGAAAATTAATTACAGTCACTAACACATTAGTATATTATCCAAAGCTTGATTTGAATTCTATCCTGCTAAAGTACTTGGGATAAATCTTCACCATTTGATGATCACAACATACCTCTTATGGTGTGTCTCTAGAAAACTGAGAAACATTTTAAACTAAAAATAATGGAGTTCACCTCCATCAGATAATGGCAAGTTAAAATTAAAAGTTAACATCAGAGTATAAATATGTGACTATTAATATTATTGAAACATAAAACAAATGCCAGTTTAAGGGACAGAATATAGTGACGATGATGACAGAGGGCTGCTACTTACCGCAGAAGGAAGGAGTTATGCCTGGGGAAGTTGTCTGAGGTTATGGGGTGAAACTGAAGAGGTTTTCATATGCAGCATGTTTCCCTGAAATGAGGAGAGAATTACTATTGCTATAAACCAGTTTAGCAACACTTTATAAAATAGAATCTGGGTCTTCAGTTAGCATCATGGTCATAATAGAACTTCTAAATTATTAACTAAATTTACAGGCATTTTGGAATATTCATATACATAAGGGAAACCTTGAAAATTTCCCTTAATGATGTCTCTGAGATGTGCAGGGAAAGGAGGAAGCTGAGTTAGTGTAAGGCTCTCTGGACAAACCCACCGCCCAATTAGGAACTACTAAACTTTAGTGTCTACTAAATAAAACACTGGTTTCCAAATAGTAAGACAAGCCCAGTTACCTGCTAAGAATCTTGTAAAAAACTTGTCCATAAAAAAATTCTTATTTATCAGGTTAAATGAGAAACCCGGTAATTTATTTCTTTAAAAAGTTTTCAGGATATTCTAATACACTCAGAAATTGGAACTACAAAACTGGTCTTTTTGGAAATGATGGGACAGCTGGCAGCTTTAGTGGCAGTTGAGTCTTCACAGTTCTCTGGTTGGTTTGGTGGACTTATGACAGGTGGCCCCTGTTATCCTTTAAAACTATGTACTGGGGCCGGGCGCGGTGGCTCACGCCTGTAATCCCAACACTTTGGGAGACCGAGGCACGTGAATCACGAGGTCAGGAGATCGAGACCATCCCAGCCAACATGGTGAAACCCTACCTCTGCTAAAATACAAAAATTTAGCTGGGCGTGGTGGCCTGTGCCTGCAATCCAAGCCACCTTGGAGGCTGAGGCAGGGGAATTGCTTGAACACAGGAGGCAGAGGTTGCAGTGAGCCGAGATCGCGTCACTGCACTCCGGCCTGGTGACAGAGCAAGACTCCGTCTCAAAAATAAATAAATAAATAAAATAAAACCGTGTATTGGAACGTAGAAGTGACTCCAGAAGCATCAGTTCAAAGACTGCCCAAAATCTGGGCCTGTGGCTCATCCTGTAGAAACAGCAGAGAACATCTCCCTGATACAGTGTCTTCTACCTCCTGGTACCTGAAGAAATAGGAAATTCAATTCCAAGGTTGCTTGCTTTTTGTAGTTTGCTCACATGTTTGAAGGCTCTCTGCTCATTTTTATAGTTGCATAATATGAATTGCCTGTAAAAAGAAAGAAAAAAAATGGAAAGGAAGAGATTTATTTTCAAAGGTGCTCCAGGGTTGAGTTAGAGTAGAATGATAATTACGAATAAAAGAAGAGCTTAGAACTCTCTGTTCTTTATAATACGATGTGATACGTTCGTGATGGCCTTTCTTTTCCATGCATTTTATGTGTGACTGAAGAAACTTACATGTAAGACACCCACCCTGCGAGTTTTCCTGAGGCTGATGACTCTTAAATAGCCAATCTGATTTTAAAAACACGCATGTATCATTAAACTATGTGTATTCATCCACAGAATTGTTCAAACTAGATTTTATTCATACCTTCTTTCAAAGGTTTGAGTTTTATTACATTAGTAAAAAATGGCTTATTTAGAAACATTCTAAAGGACTAACATCAATGTGGCCAGGGTAAAATGGCTGAGTAGAAATTATAGATTAAGAGTAATAAATAACAAAATAATTAAAGGAGAACATGCTATTTTAGATAAGAAAAGGTTGCATTTTCCAGCATTGTCAATGGAGGGGAGGAAAAATTGAGAGGTTAAAAAGGGTGAGAAATAATGTGGCGAATGGAAGTCACAGATTCTCCCAAGTCTGATAATGATTGAATTTGAGTAAATAAGTCAAAGAATGGGCTAGGTTATGTGACGATAATGAATAACTTTAAGTCGTAGTGGCTTAAAACAACGATTTATTTCTCTCTCATACCACGTGTGCAATCTGGCTGAGGCTCCCCTCAGCACTGTCCTCACTCAGGACAATAGAACTTCTATTCTATGGAATATTGCTTGTTAATCATGGCAGAGAAAAAAAGAGGGTGTGGCAAATCGTGTAACGACTTCAATCCAGAAAAGATGGAATTCTGCTTATATTTCACTGGTCAAAGCAACTTCAAATTAGCCAGGAAGTATAATCTGACCCACGTGCCCCAAATGGAGAAAAAAGGAATATTTGATTAACGGCACTAATGACTATACTACTCTGCACTTTCGGTCACTCCCTCTCCCTCCAACAACAAAACATATACTAGCTTTGATGCCCATGATATCCAAGTGATGCCAAATACTATTCATCCAGACACGCTCCCTCTTGGTCTGCAGATCTGTGTACAGACAAGTTATCGTCCACCTTCAACCCCAGCGTGCAATGGCAGAACAGGGACAGACAACTATCACTATCAGAAGAATGGGAAACACTGAGAAGTCGCTGGTCTGTAGATATTCTAAAATCCTGCTAGACAAATGTCATGAGGGGCCCTTATTCTGGGAAAGTGGAGAATGTTGATTGTTTAGACAGTAATTCATGTTCCTAGAAGGCCCCCCTCCTAACTTTTTCCCATGGCCCTTGGCTACTCTTTCCAGTTGTTTATTCCTCCCTCTTTTTTATTATTCTTCTTGGCCATATATGAATTGGACATGAGACTGTGATGCTATGTTGTCATTGGAGGTTCAGCGGCTTTCTCAGCCTGTTCCTGGCCTGCCAGAAACTTAAGGACTGAGGGTTATTTTGGTTCTTGAATAAGGTTTTTATTTTTATTTTTTGGCTCATGCTCATGACTCCTTCAATAGTAATCTCTCTTAAAACCTTAGCAGCTTTTAAAATGTTTGACTTAGTCCGTTACATGTTCCGGTAACCACATCCAGAATTCCTTTTGGACATATTTCTCAGATTTACAGTATTTGTTTGCTTCTTGCCCCATGCTTGCTCTCCCTCAACTTAATTACAGGCCCTAGGCCAATCGGGCTGAGGTGGGAGATCCACACCTTTAATCTCTTTTCCCTGAGCTATTTTATCCAATTCAAAGGATTTACTGTGTGCTACTTTAATCCATTCAAAGGGTTTTAATAATGGGAATAAACAGCTTTAGCCTTGATTTGATCCTTGCCTCAAGGCTAAGTTTTAATCAGCTTTTGTTGCTTGAAGTAGTTTTTCTTCCAACCCCACTAGTCTTTCTCTCAGAAGACTGTTCTGTTTTGTCACAGCTTTCATTGACTTTTTAAATGATCATGGGACTATTAAGAGGTATACTGAAGAGTACCCTGGATTCCAGATATAGAACTCTCTGTCCACATTGTATAGCAGCAACCAACCTCCTGTTATTAATAGGAATCGATCTCCGCCTGTTTGTGCAGTAGCAAGAAGAGTTGAAAATGACCAGGAAGAAGTCTCAGCTTCTACATTAATGGGACTAAGGCTTCATTCCCTTTTTTGAAAGTTTTCTCTCTTAGGACTAGCGCCCCTAAGTCTTTCAAGTGCAAGGTTGTGGGTATGGGAAGCAAATATTTTTGTGAAATTCTGAATCAGAATAATCTTATGAGGAATAGTAAATGGAGAATAAGGCATTCTCTTAAACGGATCATGATGCTAGCAGAAGCTATGCAGACAACGAAAGCAAATCTGTTTCGGTGCCATGTTTTTATTCCCAGAAGGGCAAACTATTGGTCCTCCCTAATCTAAGGAAGCCAAAGTCATCAACTTCCACCAGATGGCTGGATAGCAACCAATTGCTCCTGAACACCTGAAGGAATTGTGCCACGCTCGAGGCTCTGAGCCACTTTCTGCTGTTGGCACAAAGTCTCTTGTTCACCTGCTTATTGAGAGCATGCTCGGCAGTGGATGCCCCCTACTGGGCATTTCTTGAACACACAACTATCTATACACTGTGCTCATCCCAAGAGATGCAGCCCAATACTCCTTCCAAAGACCACTTTATTCTTCTCAACCTTACCAATCTTATTCTTTTCAACTGGTCAAATTATTACCCTGTATTCATTTTGCAGTGAAAATCTATACCTCAAATTATGTTTTTCTACAAACCAATGTGGACAACCAGCTATATGCTCACAATTGTTGCTATCAGGAACATTTTATTTTACAGCCATCTATCAAGGTCACTTTGAAATGAAACTATACTATATTCTATCCAAATTTTAGCATAAAAATCTTGAAAAAACCCACTATATCTTCATTTTTTTTCTCTTCAGATATCTAGTCATACTGGTTATAAAGAATTTCCTACTAAGCCACAGATTTGAGTTGAAGAAAGACCACAAAACAGCAAGGGTGGGTCTAGACACATGCAGTTTACATGCATATTCTGAACTTGCTTGGGACCTGTCTCAGACACATCAGCCCCACTTAGTAACGGAATATTACACTTGTGTTCAGCCTTATGATTTGGTGAATCTGATAATACTCAGTTGACAGCCTAGAAGATATTGCTTGATCTAAATAGTTGGGGGAAAATCCCAGTATGGTGGACAGAAATATACCAAGATCACAATAGTAGTAATACACAGCCTTTCACCCAGTTCCTAGAATGCAGGCTGTTCATGGATCTGGAGTTCATTGATTGAGGAAGAGACACTTCCTCTGAGGCAGGGTCCCATAACGCACCTCAAGTATATGCTCTAAATTTTTTTCTATGTCTTCACTAGAGGTACAATAGGTATTTACCAGGATAACTTTGAATTGGGGAATGGCAAATACCCAGATCCTCCAAAAGTTTCTCAATGCTGGCTTTGCGTTTACATTAATTTCTGCTGGCTCAACATATCACCATGGCCCATTGGTGGTGAGGGGATAAAGGGACAGGTGACTGTGGAGGTCTGGGGGGAAGTGCGGTTGGCACCCAGAGCCATCTCACTGAGGCATTGTGAGTCCCTGGAAACACCATGTGAATATTTTCCCAGTTTCTAAATGCAGAGTTGGAATAGATGTACTTGGCACCAGATGGACTTCCCAAATTGCTTGCTTCCTTATCTTGCAGAGAAAGGTCTATCTTAGAAGCAAGAAACAGTGGAAGCCTCTATGACTCCAAGGCAAAAGGGAGAAATGGAGGAATTAATTTTCTCAGGGCCTAATGAAAACTGGAAGCAAGTAATGGGGCCAGAGACAGGGAGGGAATGGAACAAAGAAGGAAGGGAGCAGGGAAAATATGCTGACATTTCTCCATTCCGGAGCTCCAGAGTCCTGTACTGATGCCTCCAATTGTGTGTACCAGCTGGAACCAGCAGGAATGAGGCCGGATTTCATGGGGTTTAGAGAGGTCACAGGGTCTACAGGGTGCCATGTGTCACCTTGGGCACAGAAGAGATTAAGGAAGGATGGAAATGGATGGGTTTGGGCAAAAAATAATAATAAGGAGCAAAATTACCGCAGATATTGGATCCCTGCCATTGAAGAAAAAGGCTAAGAAGGGATTTATTTTGGAAGTTTTTTTTTTTTAATTGGTGAACAGAACACTCTCTAAATATGTGTAATGTTGACAAAAGAATCTCCTAAGAGAGAAAAAAATATTTTTTAAAAGAAACTCAACATTACTTAAGTAGAAATCAAGTTTCTATTATGTTAGAGATTATTTCACTTGAGATTAGAGTATATAAAGGTGCTCCTGGATCAGTTATTATTAAAATATAGATTGTATTTTAGCACAGACTGTTTCTTCTTTCATTAGAAATTTATTGAGTGAAATGAAAAGTATGGTACAATTTATGTCAGATATGTGTGTAGCTTATCTTTAAATAGATTTATCCATTCATCAGTCCTGTAGATGATATGGATTGTGTATCTGTGTGTGTGTGTGTTTATATGAGTTTTTAAAAAAAGCTTTCTAAGTGAGGCAACTCTTTTATTCTGAATTTTACACTATAATTTGAGGACTTTTTTTTTTTTTTAAATGCTTTCTATCATTTGTCTTGTTGCTGTGTCTTGTTACATTCTTAGAGCATTTTGAATTGTTTTGGATGGTTTTTGGAATAGAAGCTTGCCTACAGTTCCATTTTGGCCAAAAGTTTGATTTAAGAAATGTAATTATCTAATGTTAAGTTTGTGCTTGAATGTAGTTTCTTGCTCTCCTTGTTTAGACTGAACTGGTAACTTTTAGATTAAACTTTTATTTGGTCTACTCTCTTATTGAAGAGAAAAAGTAACAACCAAAGTAATAACCTGGGAAAGATTCTTGCTTTTTCAAACAGGCAAACTACTGCTAATTTATCTAATTCGTTTGTTTTTTAAATCACAGCTAAATATACCTTCCCTGTTAAAGCCATCCTTTATTTTCTATTTCAATTGTGCAAGAAGGAGCTTGAGATCATGAAATTCTTAAAATTCAGCCACAGTTCTCTTATATTCATATCCCCTAACACACTTTCTTCCTGAGGTTTTCAGAGATGTAGAAGTTAAAAGGGCTAGGAAGTGTGTTTTCTCAACAGAAAAAGTATAGAACAGAATTGTTAGCAAATACTTCTCTATCCATAAAAATACTTTAAAACTTAATTTATCATAGCATTAAATCATATAGGGATAATCTTTACATTTTTGTGATTTATGATGCAGGGAAAAGGTCATGGAAATGTTTTGGTCAAATGTAATCTCTGGGATTCTATATCAAACTAAAAACAAATATGTTTCTAGCCAGGAAAACTCTTACATGTATCCTCTCATGAGAATCCCCACTCAAGTTATATATTGGGGAGAGATTGATTAGAATTAGAGCAACAGTTTTACTTTGGTCAAAGTGTGAGTCCCAAGATGGCCTCACAATAAATCTGACAATGTCTATAGGGCACCCAGTAGACGTCAGGTAGTTTACTAGGAAGAACAGAGAAAATATTCCAGAGTTTTCCCTTGAGTTTGACCAACATTTCCTAGGGCACTAAGAGAACTCAGTATGCCTTTATTTCTTAGTTAAAAACATATGGGTAAGAATTTTGAGAAAAGCTTCCGATGACAGAGTCTGCAGCAAAGTGAGAATTGGATTTGAGTTAGAAAGTCCAAGTTTAAGCAAGGTTTTGCCCTTACCAGCTGTTACTAAGTCTCTAAGACTTATTTTCCTGTATGTGTCCTGTGGAAAATAGGACCTGACCGGCAGTTTGCCTATTTTTTATTATAATTTAAAATAGTAATGCCTTTGAGAAATGAATTATCAACTGAGCACCCATATATAAGTGCTACATATTTCTGTTCACAAACTTAGAGAAGTAACAAAGGGTAAGAATTTGTATGAGCAACACATAGTGTTTACAGATGAAGAGATGGACACAAGAGGGTAAATAATATTGTTTAGGGTTACACAGATGGAAAGAAAAATTAAAATCTGAAGTTTTCTGCAAGTCAACTTTTAATAAAAAACTTTGGGAGATAAAGAGGATTGTAGATCAGTGTTTATTCAGAACAAGGTCTGTGAATGACCTGCCTCAGAATATGTGGCCATTTGTTAAAAATGCAAATTCGTGGGCTTCACTCAAGTAACTAGGTCAGAGTCATTGGGAATGAGGCCCATTTTTTTTTTAAACAAATTCCCAAGTGATTCATGTGCATTCTAATAATCATGAATTGCTCTTTTATAGAGAATGCTAAAGTGAGTTACATCTTGCTCTGATGAGTGAATATTTGTATGTCCTTGGAGGTCTCATTGACCATCTTGATTTTCTGTATCTTTAAACAAAAGCTAAAGATTGCTGTCATTTGCCAATCTGTGATATTATAAGGAGAAAATATGGAAATATATATATATATATATACACACACACACACACAGTATATATATTTGTCCTGGAGCTTTAAGATGAGCTGTGAGGGGGATGCACTATGCATCAGGGATGCATCTGTAAACACTGTGTCGCTCATACACATTGTCACCCTTTGTTACTTTTCTAAGTAACATACAAAATACAGCTCCTTTGATGAAGACTGCACTGTACACCGTGTGCTTATACACACCCCCCAGCAGAGGGCAGTGTGCATCCCTCTCACAGCCCTTGCTAAAGCTCAGGGACAAATTCTACGTTGAATTCCCCCGAGTGATAGAGATAATACATATTTCTTGCAGGGCATTTGTTATTTTATAAAGGAAACACAGTGTGTTGTTAAATCTTACTTTATTTATTTTCCAAGAAAAAAATATGACCCTCCCAGGTCTTCTAAAATGAAGTTTGGCACTTCTAAGTCATGTCTGTGACTCAGTGCTGAGCTTTCCGTGAGCTCCGTCCCCAGGCTTGTATCAGTAAGTCGCCAGCCTGTACACCCGGGGCCATTATGGTCCTGCGCACAACCAAAGCATTGTGCGATTTGACCCTTTCTCTATCTACCTGGGGAAAGGAAGACTACAGCATGGAAGAAACACACAAACTCTCGTGTAGTGACATCACCTTGGCTTTGCTGCCTATCAAGGCCCAATTCCTAATAGGGACTTACTGGCTGTGTGGCCTTGGGAAAGCCACTTAATATTCCTGAATTTCAGTTTCCTTATTAGTTAAATTTGAGATAAAATCATATACTTCCCTGGGTTTGAAAGGATTGAAATGACATATTTGTGTAAATTTTCCTGGCAAAAAGCAATTGATAGAAAGATATTTCCTTTCTTCTCATCCTTATTGAAGATATTCATCCTTTTCTGTGGTTCACTGCATCCCTCTCATCATCAGATTAACTGAAATGTGACCAACATTTTTGGACATCTTCAATAAAGGAGCATGTATGCATCGAGGTCCAATGAATCTCAGCTCTGCAGCAGCCAGTGGAGAATCTCACCTGGATTTCACACAGGTACCCCTGCCAGGTTTGGAATGGTAGCAGTCACCATTTCACGAGACACCAATAAGCATCTTGTACATATTGTAAGACAGAACAATTCTGCAAGGAAGAAATTGTGATCCATATTTTACAGATGGAATCATGGCTCAGGGACATAAAGGAGAGAACCAAGGCCACAGATCTAATACACAGCACACCTGGGGTTTGAACTCAACTCTGTCTTCTTCCAAAATGTACATTTCTGCTAGACCACACTGATGCTCAGTCTAAAGCCAGATTGAAAATCTTTCTTCCTCAAACCTTCTTCTTTTTAATCTATTTCCTGTGTCAGAAAATGGAATCCTGATTTGCC